>NC_000023.11:2137488-2762488 GCF_000001405.40 Homo sapiens | reverse complement strand
GGGGCTGCAGACACCAGAGCTGAGCAGGCCGCCCTGGTGCATGATCTGCTCCTCGGAACCCATGAACCCTCCACGGTCTCAGCATCCAAGCAGCCCAGCCTCTCCCCAGAAGGTCAACCAACTGGCCCCGTTCTTGACTTCCCAGTGACCATATTATGCAGTTGCAGATTGAAGCTCTATTAGAGCAGACATTGGTAATGAGAATTCAGGCCTCAGTGTCTGTCTGTAACACAACAGACGGTGTCTGCAGAGATCGAAGTATTTTGTCGTCGAAGAGGAAGGAATGATCATTCATCACAAAAAGCAAGACATCTTTGGTGCAAGGAAAACTCGAGGAAAATACCGCAGACCATGCAATGAGGCACTGGTTGACGGTGTGTTATAAACCCGTCTTCCCAGAGTGGCATGCACACGGATCCCTCAGGACATGGGTGACACACAGACTATGCTTCAGCAGGTCTGTCTGGGCCCAAGACACAGTGTTTCTCATCAGCTCCCAGGGGATGTCAAGGCTGCAGATCCATGGATCTCACTTTGCAGGACAGAGACTTGGTAATGGCTTCCCAGAGTTGTTACAATGCAATCCCAAAGACTGGGCAGCTTAAACAACAACCTTGATTCTCCCACAGTCCTGGAAGCTGGAAGTCTGAGATCAAGGTGTGGGCAGGGCCGGTTCCTCCTGAGTCCTCTCTCCTGGGCTTGTAGATGCCGTCTTCTCCCTGAGTCCCCACGTGGTCATCCCTCTGTGTGCGTCTGTGTCCTCATCTCCTCTTCTTATGAGGTGTCTTAGTCCATTTCAGGCTGCTGTCACAGCATACCATAGACTGGGTGGCTTATAAGCAACAGACATTGATTCTCCCACAGCCCTGGAGGCTGGACGTCTTGAGATCAGGATATGGGCAAGGCTGTTTCCTCCTGAGGCCTCTGTCCTGGGCTTGTAGACACCATCTTCTCCCTGTGTCCCCACGTGGTCATCCCTCTATGTGCATGTCTGTGTCCTCATCTGCTCTTCTTATGAGATGTCTTAGTCCATTGCAGGCTGCTATCACAGAATACCATAGGCTGGGTGGCTTACAAACCACAGACTTTTATTCTCCCACAGTCCTGGAGGCTGGAATTCTGAGATCAAGGCATGGGCAGAGCTGGTTCCTCCTGAGGCCTCTCTTCTTGACTTGTAGACACCCTCTTCTCCCTGTGTCTTTACAGGGTCATCCCTCTGTGTGTGTCTGTGTCCTTATCTACTCTTTTTATAAGGACCCCAGTCCTATTGGATCAGGGCACAACCTCCTGAGCTCATTGTACCCTTCTCACCTCTTTAAAGACCCCATCACCAAACACAGTCATGTTCTGAGGTCCTAGGGATTAGGCCTTCAATATATAAATTTTGGAGACGCACAATTCAACCCTTACAGAGGTAACTCATTCATTGGAATACAAATGTGTTTGTCCACTGTGGCTGCTGCCATAGCAAAGTCCCACAGACCAGGCTGTTTAAACAGTGGACATTGATTCTCCCACAGGCCTGGAAGCTGGAAGTCTGAGATCAAGGTGTGGGCAGGGCTGGTTCCTACTGAGACCTCTCTCCTTGGCTTGTGGATGCCATCTTTTCCCTAAGTCCTCACAGGATCGTCCCTGTGTGCATGTCTGTGTCTTCATCTCGTCTTTTTATAAGGTCTGCAGTCCTGTTGGATCAGGGCCCAACCTAGTGACCTCATTTTGCCTGAATCACCTCTTTTTTTTTTTTTTTTTTTTTTGAGACAGAGCCTCGCTCTGTCGCCCAGGCTGGAGTGCAGTAGTGCGATCTCGGCTCACTGCAACCTCCACCTCCCAGGTTCAAGCGATTCTCCTGCCTCAGCCTCCCAAGTAGCTGGGACTACAGGCACGCCCAGCTAATTTTTTTTTTTTTTTTGTATTTTTAGTAGAGATGGGGTTTCACCGTGTTAGCCAGGATGATCTCCATCTCCTGACCTCATGATCTGCCAGCCTCAGCCTCCCAAAGTGCTGGGATTACAGGCATGAGCCACCGCACCCAGCCTGAATCACCTCTTTAAAGACCCCATCTCCAAACACAGTCACAATTGGAGGTCCTGCAGGTTAGGACTTCCATTTGTAAAATTGAGGAGGGTACAATTTGGCTCACAACAGATTTAAACCATGGAACATGGTCAATTACAATGGGGATGCCATTGGACAGCCTGGTTCAGTGGAGATAACCAGGGTTTGGGAATCTAGAGAGACAGTTTCATCTCAGCAACATCACGCGCCTGGCCTACGCTCTCAATAATACTCTTCCTTAATTTTTTTTTTCTGAGACAGAGTCTCGCTCTGTTGCCCAGGCTGGAGTGCAGTGGTGCAATCTCAGCTCACTGCAGTGCAATGGCACAATCTCAGCTCACTGCAACCTCTGCCTCCCAGGTTCAAGCAGTTCTCTCACCTCAGCCTCCCGAGTAGCTGGGATTACAGGCACACGCCTCCATGCCTGGATCAGACCAGAATCCAGCCACATGCAGATTCCAGATCAGCCCAGAATCTGATTCTGAAGCATTCCCAGAGGTTGGGATTCACAGACTACAGCAGAGTTTCCCAGCCTCAGCACCGTGGCTGCACACATCGCTCACAGGTTTAGGTGCCTCTGGCCCCTGATCCATCGGGGGAATCCCCAGGAGCTTTGCCGTGTCTGGCAGAGCCCCACCTGCAGGCAGAACCCCACTTTTCTACCCCCTGTGTGCCAATGAGAAAGAGGAAAATGGCTGGAATGAGGGGGGCCCTCACAGGAAGGGTCAGTTGTTATCCAAGAAAGGGGAGACATTTCTTGGACTCCGTGCTTGTCTGCTAATTGGCTCCAATATTTGCCAGATGTCTTCACACTCAGGTGCCAAACAGCCATAGACTTTTTCTGCACAGCCCCTTCCTACTCCAAGAAGGAAACTATGGAATGCTCAGCTTCTGGGTTATATGTGCCATGGCTCTATGCCCTATGGGGAAAAGATCCTACAAGTGCATTCTGACAGTAAGATCCATTTAGAAATGCCCAGACAACTATACCGTACCTCCTATACTGTACAGGACAACTATACCTCCAGACAACTATACCTCCAGACAACTATACCTCCTACAGCGTACAGGAGCATGACATTTCCAACCTGTCCCCTTTCGCAGGGTTAGAAGTTATAACTAACAGCAGGTTCTCCACTACAGCACTAATGACACTTGGGGCTGCGTAACTCTCTGTCATGGGTGCTGTCCTGTGCACTGTAAGGTGTTGAACAACATGCCTTGTCTCCACCCACCGAATGCGAGAACACCCATCCCAGTGCAACTACCAAAATTGTTTCCAGACATTGCCAAGTGTTACTCGAGGAACACAATTATCCCTGGGTAGCAGAAGAATGTCACAGATAGATGATGGACTGCTAGATAAATAGATAGATTGATAGACGGATGGATAGATAGATACATAGATAGATACATAGATACATAGATAGGTAATAGAGATGAGAGTTGGATAGAGAAGTAGGTAGAAAGATAGATAAATAGATAGATAATAGATGACAGAAAATCATTGACAGATAGATTAGGTAGATGATAGGTGTATATAATAGAGACAGATAGGTGGATGGATAATGGTAGACGATAGATAGATCTAGAGATAGGCAGACAGACAGACAGGATCTCTCATGCTAAGGCAAGATTCCTCAGCCTCAGTCCTACTGACATATGAGGTTGGATCATTCTTTTCTGTGGGGCGTCCTGTGCACTGCAGGGTGTTGACCAGCATCCCTGGGCTCCACCCACTAGATGCCAGCAGCATCCCTGCTATCAGTGTGGCAACGCAAAGCCTCAAGATATCGACAAGTGTCCCTGTGGATAAACATGATCCCTGGTTGAGAATGGCTGGATGGCAGCACCTGTATCTGGGGGTGTCACCTTGGGCCTGCATAGAGTGAATGACACATCACCGAATTGGAGAGCACAGAGCTGCCTCCCCACTGTGGCAGTGATCCATGAGACTCCACGCAAAGGTAACCACACGGTTGCACACGGAGTCATCATCTCTTAAAAGAAGCACATAGCTCCGCTTGGGCATCACCTGGGGTGCTTCTTAAAATGCAGGTCTCCCAGCTCCCAAATGCCTGACCCACACCTGCTGAATAAAGACCTCAGTGGGTGGGGACTGGGTGGCGCTTTTAATACCTCCTCCCTTCAAGGTGATGACCTGCACATCAAAGACAGAGAATCACTGCACGAAATGGCTACACGCTCCAGGTGACAATGGCAGGGAAATGACCCATTTGTGGTTCCCTTTCCACACCTACAAATTTGCTAGATCCTTTGCAGGGAAGGAGGGGGCAGGGAGAGAGGGGGCACCAGAATGGAAGCAAGTCAAGAAAAATATAACTGAGACGTAGGATGAGGCTGGCGTGGTTTGGGGTTCTGTACGCTGGCGTGGTATGGCTTCTCACCTTAGGCGATCATCATAACTTTTTTTTCCTTTTTTTTTTTTTTTTTTTTTTTTTGAGATGGAGTCTTACTCTGTCACCCAGGCTGGAGTGCAGTGGTATGATCTCAGCTGATTGCAACCTCCGCCTCCTGGGTTCAAGCGATTCTCCTGTCTCAGCCTCCTGAATAGCTGGGATTACAGACACCCCCCACCATGCCTGGCTAATTTTTGTATTTTTAGTAGAAACAGCGTTCTGCCATGTTGGCCAGGCTGGTCTCAAACTCCTGACCTCAAGTGATCTGCCCAACTCGGCCTCCCAAACTGCTGGGATTACAAACATGAGCCACTGTGCCCGGCCCACAACTTCCCCATATCCCAATTTTTAGAAGTAAACTAAACAGCCTGTGACAACCTAATGCAGCAAGTAATGAAAAATACTTGGCACAATCCTCACTTACCTTTACTCAACAGGAAGTACTCAGAAATATGATTTGCTACTGTTCAGAGCTCTGAGTGATCTTTTTCATAAGTCTTTTTTAGTCTTTACATAGAAACACAGCTCTATACAAATGCACACACATTTTAAGTCATGTTGATACGGACAGGAGGCCTGAAGATACTAGATACAAGAGGGCAGTTCCCCAGCAAAGGCCCCGCCCTCAAGCCTGGAAACCTGTAGTCCTAAATGGAAACAGGCATTCCTATTTTTGTGCCCAAATGTTGCCTTTTGACCCACCATGCCTGCCTGTCCTGTACCCATATAACCCCAAACCCCAGACCCCATGTGCAGACAGACAGATGAGCAGAAAAGGTGAGGAACCAAAGAGCAGCACAGCAGAGAAGGAGAGAAGAGAAGGAACATCTGAACACTGAGAGGTGTTCAGCTGGGGATGGTTGGAGAAGAGATTAGCCGCAGGACAACCAAACTCCAGGGGAAGATCATCTGCCCACTCCATCCCCTTTCCAACTCCCCAACCATCCCGCTAAGAGTCATCTCCATCTGGCAACAAACTCTTCTGCATTTACCATCCTTCAGCTGGTTCGTGTGACCTGATTCTTCCTGGATGCTGGACAAGAACCCGGGTACCAAGACGGCACTGAGCTGGCTAACACTTAAGCCACGTGCGGATGGCAGAGCTAAAAGAGCACCGTAAAACGCCCACTAGGGCTTCGGGGGTCGCAGGCACCCATCCCTAGATGCTACCGTGGGGCCCAGAGCTCAAAAACACTCACACTAGCTGCTGCACCTGCCCGTCTGCAAGTTCTGCCTCCCATAAGAGGTTTCAGTGTGTGGCGGTCAAACAGATCAAACACACCCCTGTTGCACATCCTGTGAGGGGGCGTCAGGGAACTCTCAGGTTTCAAATCTGATAAGGGAATAATGTACAATAGACTTGGAAGAGACTGTCTTAGCTGGTGTATATCCTGGACATATATCCTTTTCTTTTAATTTATTTTTAATTGATGCATAACAGATGTACATAGCTTCAGGGTACATGTAATAATTTAATACATTTATATAATTTGTAAAGATCAAATCAGCCTACTTGGGATATCCATCCACCTTAAATATTTGTCTTTCCTTCATATTAGAACCATTCCGACTCTTCTATTTTGAAGTCTACAATAGATTATTGTAAACTAAAGTCACCCTACTGATTATGTAAACACTAGTGCTTATTTCTTCTATCGAACTCTGTCATTTTCTTTTTTTTCCCCTCAATAAATGACATTTCATACACTGCCCTTTGGGGTTTCCACTTCTGGTTCTCAGCTTCTTCTCAGCTGTTAGAAGACCTGATTTTGTCTCGTGCTCCTTCATGCCCCTCTGGATTGGACGGCAAATACTAATTAAATACAGTGGAAATGTAGGGCTGCTAAAATGTCAACCTCTATTAGGAATATGGCCGTCTTGCTATTATCTTCTTTTGTATTGATAATTTAGTAATCATCATAATGATTTACAGCATATTAACCATTAACAATATTCTGTCTTCTTTATTTTATTTTAAGTTCCGGGATACGTGTGCAGGACGTGCAGGTTTGTTACATAGGTAAACATGTGCCATGGTGGTTTGCTGCACCCATCAACCCGTCACAGAGGCATTAAGCCCCACATGCATTAGCTATTGATCCTGAACAATAATCTGTTTTCTTAAGTACTTCATAGCAATCATCGCACCAGCCTTGCAGAATGTTTTTGGGATCTTGGGAATGTGCCCCATTTCCAGCTGGTGATGGCTGGGGATGAAACAGGGTCGTCTGTGCATTTAACTAATTTTTACCCAGGACATACCCAGCTGCTGCATGTACATCATCTTATTTACACAGAAGGGCCCTGATCCAGACCTCACTTTCCTTCCAGTCCCTCCTGTAACCTCCCTAAGGGGCGCTACTTGTGTCAGAGGCACTGGAACCAGAGCGACTCCATCTTGAATAGGGGCTGGGCAATAGAAGGCTGAAACCTACTGGGCTGCATTCCCAGATGATTAAGGCATTCTGAGTCACAGGATGAGACTGAAGGTCTGCACAAGATACAGGTCATAAAGACCTAGCTGATAAAACAGGTGGTAGTAAAGAAGCCGGCCAGAACCCACCAAAACCCAGATGGTGATGAGAGTGGCCTCTGGTTGTCCTCAGTGTTACCCTCCCACCAGCACCATGACAATTACAAATACCACGGCAATGTCAGGAACTCTGCATGGTCTAAAAAGGGGAGGCATGAATAATCCAAGCCTTGCTTAGCATATCACTAAGAAATAACCATAAAAATGGGCAAGCAGTAGCTCTAAGAGCTGCTCTGCGGAATAGCCATTCTTTTATTCCTTTACTTTCCTAATAAACTTGTTTTCAGTTTACAGACTAGCCCTGAATTCTTTATGGAGCGAGATCCAAGAACCCCGTCTTGGCGTCTGGATCCGGACCCCTTTCCTGTAACACTTGGAGGAGGGATGATTCTGATTTTCAGAAGACAAGGCTTGGGATAGAGCGGGATGCTCACTGGAGTCTTCCCAGACAGAGCTACAGGACAGCTCAGATTCCGCTGCCGGCTGCCCCCGTCCAAATCCTCAGTGCCTCAGTTTACCCATATCTGTGACGGTTAATACTGAATGTCAACTTGATTGGATTGAAGGATACAAAGTATTGATCCTGGGTGTGTCTGTGAGGGTGTTGCCAAAGGAGATTAACATTTGAGTCAGTGGACTGGAAGGGGCGGACCCACCCTCAATTTGGGTGGGCACCATCTAATCAGCTGCCGCTGTGGCTAGAATATAAGCAGGCAGAAAAATGTGAAAAGAGACACTGGCCTAGTCTTCTGGCCTACATCTTTCTCCCATGGTGGATGCTGGAACATCAGACTCCAAGTTCTTCAGTTTTGGAACCTGGACTGGCTCTCCTTGCTCCTCAGCCTGCAGACGGCCTGTTGTGGGACCTTGTGATCATATGAGTTAATACTTAATAAACTCCTCTCTCTATATATATTTCTATTGCATTAGTTCTGTCCCTCTAGAGAACCCTGACTAATACACCATCTGTAAAATGACATCAGGCACGACACTCCCGTCATAGGGCTGAGGGACAATCAACTAAGTTAATCCATGCCTAGTGCATAGGAAGTGCTGCCGTCAGTCAAAGAATTTAGCGCAGGACAGGGTATGGTGGCTGATGCCTGTAATCTCAAGATTTGGGGAGGCCAAGGCAGGAGGATCGTTTGAGCTGAGATGTTCAAGTCCAGCCTGGACAACATAGTGAGATCCCGTCTCTACAAAAAGTTTTAAAAACTAGTCAGGCACAGCGGCAAATGCCTGTAGTCCCAGCTACTCTGGAGGCTGAGGTGGGAGGTTTGTTCGAACCCCTGGGGTGAAGACTGCAGTGAGCTATGATGGAACCACCGCACTCCAGTCTAGGTGACACAGTGGGCCCCTCCCTCAAAAAAATTAAAACACATTAAAAAAAAGAAAATATTTTATGTTGTAAGTGCATTTAATACAACTACCCTACCAAACGCCATAGCTTAGCCTTACCTGCCTTCAGAGTGCTCAGAACACTTTTCATCAGCCAACGGATGGACAAATCATCTAGCACACAGTCAACTTTATAATGAGGTGTTGCATACCTCACATAATTTATTGAACATTGTACTGAAAGTGAAAAACAGAATGGCTGTATGGGGCCGGGCATGGTGGCTCACATTTATAATCCCAGCACTTTGGGAGGCCGGTGGATCACCAGAGGTCAAGATTCAAGACCAGCCTGGCCAACATGGTGAAACCCAGTCTCTACTAAAAATAGAAAAATTAGCTGGGTGTGGTGGTGGGCACCTATAATCCCAGCTACTTGAGATGCTGAGGCAGGAGAATTGCTTGAACGTAGGAGGTGGAGGTTGCAGTGAGCTCAGATTGTGTCACTGCACTCCAGCCTGGGCAACAGAATGAAACGACACGACATCTCAAAAAAAAAAAAGAAAAGTTGTATGGGTACTCAAAGTACAGTTTTCGTTTGTACTGAATGCATACCAATTTTACACCGTTGTAAAGTTGAAAAATCTTAAATTGAACCATCATGTCAAACCATGGTAAGTTGGGAACTGTCTGTATCCGCACTTTGTAGAAGTTGATTTGCCCAAGGGGATATGGTTAACCTTTGGCTCTTACTGTGAATGATACAAACTCCTGGAAGTACTTTTCTGGGGAGGTGGGTTTACTGTTGAACATCTCCCTGTAAACAGAAGCTAATGAATGCATGGCCACATTGTCCACTTACTAGGTGAGATCTGAAGACAGCACAGAATAATAAAAAATTCTCACTGCAGATCCTAGACTATGTCCACCAGGATCTATCCATCCCGACACCGCCTCCGCCCATAAACAACCAACTCCAATCTTAATGACGTCCATGTCTTTAAATAGGATAAACAGGAAATGCTGCCACAGGGACATCTGAATGATGTGTTTTAACTCCTAACAGAAATACTTCTCTCTCTTAAGATGCGCCCAGGTGTTCCCTTCTCTGAAATCGCCACATGAAAATGACCAAAGAAACTTACTCAACCGTTGTTCAAATCCTGTACTTTATGAGTTCATTGGAGTTTCTTAAAGAGGTCCTCGTACGGAACTGAAAAATCTAATCTTGGATCTGGGACAGCCAGCCTGCAAGTTTATATCGAAGTTTTTGATGTGAACAATTCAGGTGGTTTTAATTTGCAAGAATGAATGACAGTGTTTAGGAAAAGATTTAAAAATCTGAATAAATGCAACCCTTCCGGCAAACGAATCTCTGGTAATCTGCCCCACGGGATGAAGTAGTTTCAACTCTACTTTTACTGTATGGAAATGGTCAGAACTAATTTTTAAAATCAGAAAGAAATGACTGACATTCCACACACACCCAGTCATGCTTGAATCATGGAGTTAAATAGGTCATTTTTTAAACGCTTGGG
Organism: Homo sapiens; assembly: GCF_000001405.40. Classification (NCBI taxonomy): domain Eukaryota; kingdom Metazoa; phylum Chordata; class Mammalia; order Primates; family Hominidae; genus Homo; species Homo sapiens. Next base: position 2,752,607 of record NC_000023.11, on the reverse strand, counting down.
ACACATGGATCAAAACAGGAAAATATGGCGAATATCTAGATGGTATCAGCTAACATCCTGCCCTTCTGGATCTAATTCCCAGATTCCAAATGGGAGCAGCCCGTCTTCTCCCTCCCCTCTCAGCCACCCATCGCTCTTAGTCTCCTTTCTAATCCCATTGGGCAAATTATCCCCATTCACTTCATAGCAACTCCTTTGGAAAGAGTTTCTTAAAGCAAGAATAGAAAAATCCATGCCCAGGCAGATCTCCCTCAAAGCAAAATGCCTCTTACCTCGGGCGTGCATTAGAAAACACAGGAACGCAAGACAGGGAAGTCCCCACCAGCTCTCCATGGTTTGCTTCAGGATGCAAGAACCTCAGTGGACTCCCCAGCCAAGCGGATTGTGAGACCCGGCCTCTCCACCCTCCTGTTGTTGACTTCTGGTCTCCCAGCTTGGAAGGAAGGGAGGCGATGTCTTCAAGTGGAAAATATGAGCGGAACTGCCAGAAACAAATGGGCTCCAAGCTCAGATCCCAAACTCCACAGCTGAAAACCTGTGGGACCAGTGTAGGCACACTCAGTCGTGTGTCGGAGCCAGCCTCCCCGGGCTGCCCCAACCAATCTGCAGCAGCACAGACGATGGGGAAACTGGGGTGGTTCCCAAGCACCAATGGGCATCTCAGGCTTCTGGAAGCCGGCACACTTGCTTGGCAACTCTGCTCGCTGCGGGTGTGGGAGCTGTAGCAAGTTCAAAGTCACCAACCCAGAAACCAGAGAAGACACTGGCCGCCTGTAATCTTCCTCCTGCAGGACATGATTGTACAGTGATACCCAGTGTGGGGTTAATGTACACATCAGTGCAAAGACCTCAGTTGAAGTCTTGGCTTTTATACCTAACAAACTCAGTGACTTCCAAGAGGCATTTTTTATCCTCAGCCTTCAGTTGTCTTTGTAGGTGGCAGAACTAATATTTCAGCAGAGACGGTTGTTCAGGAAAAGGAGATATGTGGCTTTTTGTGTCTTTCATTTAAATCTGAGACATTTTATGTAACTACCAAAATTTACATCTTCTGTTTGAAATCTCCTTGGAGAAGAAACATGACTGGATAGCTGAGTTCGATGATGACTCCTGCTTTCACAATGGTTTTAATTATATTCTTCCCTGCAGATCTGTGAGTGTGTCTAATTTATCCATATACAACTCGTGGGTTAACCCTTACACTCTACCTACCATGAAGCAGTAGGCAAGCACTTAAAAAGTTACCATTTGCAAACAGCTTTGAAGTCCTCTGGTAAATAGATTAACTGCAGGAGAAAGGGGAAAATCAGTCTTAGTTATGAGGGCAGCTTCTAAATTCCCAGAGAAGCAGGATTCATGGCAAACAGACCCAAAAGGAGAAATAAACCTTGGACTTTTCTCTCTGCAAATTTGAGCATCTGGAGTGTTAAGTCTGTTCATGTTGTTGACCTGGTGTTTGGGAGTTGTCTTCTATGAAATATCTTCCTTTTTTTTTTTTGAGACAGAGTCTCACTCTGTTGCCCAGGCTGGAGTGCAGTGGTGTGATCTCAACTCACTACAACCTCCGCCTCTCAGGTTCAAGTGATTCTCCTGCCTCAGCCACCCGAGTAGCTAGGATTACAGGCACCCGACACCACACCCGGCTAATTTCTGTATTTTTAGTAGATACAGGGTTTCACTGCATTGGCCAGGCTGGTCTTGAACTCTTGACCTCAAGTGATCCACCTGCCTCGGCTTCCCAAAGTGCTGGGATTACAGGTGTGAGCCATCGCGCCTGGACTGCAACATCTTTATAAAGGTAAGTTACTTGGATGGATTAAGTTCCTGTGCACACAGGTGTGTGTGTGTGTGCACGTGTCTGTCTGTGTGTGTGTGCGTGTGTGCGTGTGCATGTGTGCGTGTGCATGTGTGTTCATGTGTGTGTGTGTGTGCATATGGGGGAAATGCTCTAAGGCAGTTAGCTTGTGCAGTCCTAAGCTCTGAGTGGCAGAGTCCAGGAAGCAGTTGATGCATTTAGAAAGATATTTCCTTCAAAGTCCCCTGACCCTAAAGAGGACTGACACCGTGACATCTGCTACAAAGTGGATGGACGTCAAAAACTGGATGCTGAGTTAGAGAAAACAGACACAGAAGAACGCATTGTGTAGGATTCCATTTCTCTGAAATGTCCAGAACAGGCAAATCTGCAGAGACAGAAAGCACATTGCCGGTTGCCAGGGGCTGGAAAGACGTGGGAATGGATATATTATGAGTTGCATTTTTTCTCCCGCAAACTTCATATATTGAAGCCCAACCCTTCAGTACTTCAGAATGTGACTTTCTTTGGAGATAAGATCTTTGCAGATGTATTACTTTGGTGCAAAAGTAATTGCAGTTTTCACCATTAATTTTTTTTTTTTTTTTGAGACACAGGCTTGCTCTGTCACCCAGGCTGGAATGCAGTGGCGTGATGTCAGCTCACTGCAACTTCTGCCTCCTGAGCTCAAGTGATTCTTCTGCCTCAGCCTCCTGAGTAGCTGGAATTACAGGCATGCACCACCACACCTGGTTAATTTTTGCATTTTTAGTAGAGACGGGGTTTCACCATGTTGGCCAGGCTGGTCTCGAACTCCTGACCTTGTGATCCGCCCACCTCGGCCTCTCGAAGTGCTGAGATTACAGGCGTGAGGTAGCGTGCCCAGCTCCTCGCCATTACTTTTGAAGGTGAAAACTGCAATTACTTTTGCACCAACCTAATCATTAGTTAAGATGAGGTCATACTGCAATATGATTGGTATTTTAAAAGAAGAGAGAAATCTGGACACTGACATGCACACAGGGAGAAGGCCTTGGGAACATGAAGTGGGAGATTGGGGTGATGCACCTACAAGCCAAGGGATATTGGCAGCAAACCACTGGACGCAATGGGAGGGGCATGGAATCCATTCTACCTCACAGCATCAGAAGAAATCAGCCCTGCTGGCTGGGCCCGGTGGCTCACGTCTGTAATCCCAGCACTTTGGGTGGCTGAGGTGAGCGGATCACTGGAGATTAGTAGTTCGAGACCAGCCTGGCCAACATGGTGAAATCCCGTTTCTACTAAAAATACAAAAATTAACTAGGCACGATGGTGCGCGCCTGTAATCCCAGCTACTTGGGAAGCTGAGGCAGGAGAATTGCTTGAACCCGGGAGGCAGAGGTTGCAGTGAGCCAAGATTGTGCCACCGCACTACAGACTGGGCAACAGAAACAGAGTGAGACTCAGAAAGAGAGAGAGAGCGAGAGAGAGAGAAGAAAGAGAAAGAAGAAAGAAAGGAAGAAAGAAAGAAAGAAGAAGGAGGAGGAGGAAAGGAAGGAAGGAAGGAAGGAAGGAGGGAAGGAAGGAAGGAAGGGAGGGAGGGAGGGAGGGAAAGGGGAAAGGTAAGGAAAGGAAGAAAGAGAAAGGAAGGAAGGAGGGAAGGCAGGAAGGGAGGGAGGGAGGGAGGGAGGGAGGGAGGGAGGGAGGGAGGGAAGGAGGGACGGAGGGAGGAATCCACCCTGTTTGCTCCTTGATTTCAGACCTCTATGCTCCAGAACTGTGACAGCTTAACTGTCTGTTTTTTAAGCCCCCTACCTAGTTTGAAGCATGTTTTTATGACAGCCCCAGGAAGCCAATATAAAAAACAGCTGCTAATGGGATTTCTTTTGGGGGCAGTGAAAATATCTTGGAACTAGGTAGAAGTGGTGGCCACAAAACACTGTGAAAGCAGCAAGCAACCTGAATTGTTCACTTTAAAATGGTGAATTCTCCTGTCATCCCAGCACTTTGGGAGGCTGAGGCGGGTGGATCACCTAAGGTCAGGAGTTCAAGACCAGCCTGGCCAACATGATGCAACCCATCTCTACTAAAAATACAAAAATTAGCCAGATGTGGTGGTGACTGCCTGTAATCCCAACTACTTGGCAGGCTGAGGCACGAGAATTGCCTGAACCCGGTAAGCAGAGGTTGCAGTGAGATGAGATCACGCCAGCCTGGGTGACAGAGACTCCGGGTCAAAAAAAAAAAAAAGGTTAATTCTATGATTTGTGAATTTCACCTTAATAAAAAAAATGTTTCCCAAAAGGTAGTGAGGAGTTAGGTTAAATGGTTAAGTTCAGGAAATCCTCTCAGATGTAGTGAAGGTGCAAAATAATTGCTACGATTTCCAGCATGCCTAACGTGCCAGTGTTGTAAGTATTTTACATGCTTCTTGAGGCAAGAGTAGACAAGCTTTTCTGCAGAAGGTCAGATAGTAAAGGCATTTATCTTTGCAAACCATATGGATTCTGCTGCAATATGTAACCAATGTCTGTGCGCCAAGTGGACTTTATGAACATAAAAACTTGAGTGTCACATAATTTTCATGCATCACAAAATATTATTGTTCTTTGGAGTTTTGAAAATTATTCAGACATGTAAAAACCATTCTTGGCTGGGCACCGTGGCTCATGTCTGTAATCCCAGGACTTTGAGAGCCAGAGGCAGGCAGATCACTTGAGGCCAGGAGTTCGAGACCAACCTGGCCAACATGGTGAAACCCTGTCTCTACTGAAAATACAAAAAGTAGCCGGGCGTAGTGGTGCATGCCTGTAGTCCCAGCTGCTCAGGTGGCTGAGGCAGGAGAATCGCTTGAACCCAGGGGCGGAGGTTGCAGTGAGCCGAGATCATGCCACTGGACTCCAGCCTGGGCGACGGAGTAAGACGCCATCTCAAAACAACGATAACGACAATAATACAAAAAAATTCTTACCTCGAAAGCTGTACAAAAACACACCGTGGGCAGATTTGGCTCCCGGGTTCTAGTTTGCCGACATCAAAGCTGTGTGTTGCAGGAGTCCTGGGAAACCCAGTTTTATCACCTCTGCTTCACTAAAGTATGGTCAGGGCAGGCCGTGTGCCCAGCGGTAATACACGCAGGCTCCAGATCAGAGCACGTTAGGGGAAAAGCACTCTACTTCACCGCTCGAAGCCTCAGCTGATCAAATGCTGGGAGCTCACAGACATGGCAGAATTTACAAAGCCGACTTTAATTTTCACATCCTCGATAACCTTAAAAAGCGTGAATGCATCTCCTTTTCAATGTTCATGGGATGCTCCTGAAAATTCACAACTGCACTACAAAGAAAGCTTTAGCAAACTGTTTTTTTAAAGTAGAAACAAGACAGAAGACATTCTGTTGCTGTAAAATTGGAAATAAGAATATTCTAGGCCACGCATGATGGCTCACACCTGCGATCCCAGCACTTTAGGAGGCCGAGGCGGATGGATCACCTGAGGTCAGGAGTTTGAGACCAGCCTGGCCAACATGGTGAAACCACATTTCTACTACAAATACAAAAATTAGCCGGGTGTGGTGGCATGTGCCTGTAATCCCAGCTACTTGGGAGGCTGAGGCAGGAGAATCACTTGAACCGGAGAGGTGGAGGTTGTAGTGAGCTTAGATCAGGCCACCGCACTCCAGCCTGGGGGACAGAGTAAGACTCTGTCTCAAAAACAAAATAAAAAGTAATAAAAAATAAAAGAATAAAGATATCCTTATTCTGCGTCACACTAACTTCCTGACTTTGTGATTCACCCTGGCACACATACAGACATGGATACAACAGGTTTTTAAGATATAAAATCAAGAAAAAAATCAAATCTATTCCTTTCTTAGGAGCGTTGGTCAGGAATGGGCAGGAATTAGGTAGAAAGGTGTGTGCATGTTTCATTGCTTGTAGACACTGCCTGTGATGGTTCATACTGACTGTTAACCTGATTGGATTGATTGACACAAAGTATTGATCCTGGGTGTGTCTGTGAGGGTGTTGCCGAAGGAGATTACCATGTGAGTCAGTGGGCTGGGAAAGGCAGGCCCCCCGCCCTTAATCTGGGTGGGCATAATCTAATCAGCTGCCATCAAGGCTAGAATATAAAGCAGGCAAAAAAATGCAAAAAGAGAGACTGGCCTACCCTCCCAGCCTACATCTCTGTCCCGTGCTGGATGCTTCCTGCCCTCAAACACTGGACTCCAAGTTCTTCAGTTTTGGGACTGGGACTGGCTCTCCTTGCTCCTCAGCCTGCAGATGGCCTATTGTGGGACCTTGTGATCGTGTGAGTTAATATTTAATAAACTCCCCTTTGTGTGTATATATATATTCCATTAGTTATGTCCCTCTAGAGAACGCTGACTAATATACAGCCAAATCACTCCCCAAGGAGACGGTGCAAATTCACAGCAGCAAAATTGAAAATGGATAATGAAACCAGGAAAGCAAACAAAGCAACAATATCACCCGGACGTTTTAAAAAACTTTTAATGTTGAGTTGACAGGAAACAAAAGCTGAAAATGCTAAATACTAGAAAATGACCATGATACAAACTCCCCATGAAAGAACTTGAGAGCTTGTAGTACACAGATGAAAAGTTAGAACCTCGCCTGTTTACAACATTAAGCAAGAAAGAATGAAAATAAATGGAATGAACATTCAACTCGAGAAGTCATCCTGTGTGGGGAGAGTGGGTATCACATGAAACTCCAGAAAAGCAGGTGGAGGAAATTAATGCATTGAAAATTGAGAAATGATTTGCCAAATAATTTAAACATTATCTGAGAAAACTAAAGTAGACGAAGATAACAAACTAAAATAATGACAGCACAAAACAAGAAGAATGCGAGCTTCTCCATACACTTGGAGGATGCGGAAGAATTATAAACAACTACTTTGTTCTAATCTGCACTGTGATATTTGAAAACTTAAGTAAATACGAATGACTTTCCAATGAAGAAGTAGAAATACATAAAGTTTTTTTTTTAAAAATTCATTTCCCAGCCGGGTACAGTGACTCATGCCTGTCATCCCAGCACTTTGGGAGGCCGAGGAAGGCAGATCACTTGAAGTCAGGAGTTTGAGCCAGCCTGGCCAACATGGTGAAACCCCATCTCTACTAAAAATACAAAAATTAGCTGAGCGTGCTTGTATATGCCTGTAATCCCAGCTACTCGGGAGGCTGAGGCAGGAGAATTGCTTGAACTTGGGAGGTGGAGGTTGCAGTGAGCCAAGATTGCACCACTGGACTCCAGCCTGGGCAACAGAGTGAGACTCCATCTCTAAATAAATAAATCTCTCTCCAACAGAAAGAAACAAAAACCCTTTGCCCCCTCTAAAACACACACACACACACACACACACAGCCCATGCCCAGAAAACTTTAGCCAATCAGATTTTCCACAAGAGAAAGAAGAAAATCTACCAAAATGTATGTATGAAGAAAGCACAATATTGAAATATATTACATGCAAACATATAACACACATGAATTTGACTTTTGAATATTGACACAATAATCCTAAAGAAAATAACAAAACTAAAGTGTAACACCAAATAAGATTGGATTGAAGGATGATCGATGATATGTCATTATATTTAATTCACCATATTAACAGGTCAAAGTAGAAAACCATAGTCAGCATGATGCATCCCAAGAAAACACTTGATTGAATTTAATACCCATTCCTGACAAATGTTCTTAAGAAAGGAATACATTTTTTCATTATTTTATAGATGAAAACCTGTTGTAACCCTCACAAAAGTGTTAGAAGAATAGATACTTTTTTTCACGATTTTTTTTTTTTTTTTTAGATGGACTCTTGCTCTGTGGCCAGGCTGGAGTGCAGTGGCGCGATCTTGGCTCACTGCAACCTCCACCTCCCGGGTTCAAGCAATTCTCCTGCCTCAGCCTCCCGAGTAGCTGGGATTACAAGTGCGTGCCACCACGCCCAGCTAATTTTTTGTATTTTTAGTAGAGACAGGGTTTCACCATGTTGGCCAGGATGGTCTCGATCTCCTGACCTCTTGATCCAGCCGCCTCGGCCTCCCAAAGTGCTGGGATTACAGGCGTGAGCCACCGCACTCGGCCTTTTTCATGATTTTATATATGAAAACCTTTTGTATCCCCACAAAGGTGTTAGAAGAATTTTTTTTCATAATTTTATATATGAAAACCTGTTGTATCCTCACAAAGTGTTAGAAGAATAGATGCATTTTTTCATGATTTATATATGAAAACCTGTTGTATCCCCACAAAATGTTAAAAGAATAAACTTTTTCATAATTTTATATACGAAAGCCTGTTGTATCCATGACTGTATGTATGCCCATATGAATCATGAATTAAGGAAGTTACCATGGCACAGAATTAACATAAGTAGGTAGTTTAAATATATAAAAAATGAAAGATACAAATCAATATAAAAATATGAAAAGGCTATGAAGAGATACAAAAGAAGTCAACTAAGAAAAGAGATGTATTGGGCCCAGCGCGGTGGCTCACGCCTGAAATCCCAGCATTTTGGTAGGTCGAGGTGAGCAGATCACGAGGTCAACAGATCGAGACCATCCTGGCCAACATGTTGAAACCCCGTCTCTACTAAAAATACAAATATTAGCTGGGCATGGTGGTCTGTTCTCTTCTCTGCGATACATGACAACTTTTCCACATTGAGAACTGTCTCCCCATTAAGGCTTCCAAAATACATGGCTCTATGAAAGCTTGGAGAGGGCTCCACTTGCATTTTGTGCTAACATCATAGAGATTTAAAGTCCTGATATTCGGAATGGGATTGACGTCATAAACTTTCCTCCACCGGAAAATGAGGATATCATCAGTACGTCCTCAGTCGCACAGGCAGGCTAACGTGAAGCTGTTTAAATAGTCATCCAGAGAAAGGCGATTTCAAGGGAATGTTTCATTTCGCCACTGATGATGGTGTTAAAAACTGACTGCTGCACGTCACAGCAGCTAGGCTTCCCATGAATCTCTCTATGCAAACGTATGGTGTTACCATACCCATGTCAAAAATCGTCTGATTTGGGGAAAGAGGTTGGATGAAGGAGTCAGTCATAAATGCTGGGTCTTTCCCCTTTCTAAGCTCAGAAACTCCGCCTTCAATTTCAGTTCTGGGTGGGAGTCATCCAAGCAGTCTCCCTGCTGTTGAGGATTCGACACCTTTTCACATCCCATCATTCTCAGGATATTGAAGGGCACAGCCAGCTGGCTTTTTCTGGCATTGGAGTTATTTCTTCTGATTTTGACACTAGTGATAACTTGGAGTATGTAAAATTGGGTGAACACAGTGGCGGGCACCTCTTGGTTATTTATCTTACCCTTTCATTGCTTCCTTTAGCAAATACCTATAGGATGCCACCTGTGGTGCAGGTGTGTGGAGGTGACCTTCTAGATTCTCCAGGATGTATTGAGACATCACAAATGCCTCATCCTCTCCACCCTTGAGGGGGCCGACCACGGATGTGCATGTTTAATTGTTTAAGGACACTGTCAGTCCATTCCCCATAGAAGTTTCGCAAATGCCCAGGACTTACATGATGTCTCAGATCTGTTTCCTAAGAGCCCTACAAACTTTCTGATTATTGCCAATCTCTTAGTTGAAAAACGACATCAAATGGGCTATCTTCATAAAATCATCTGCGTTCCATTTCTGGAAAACATGTGAATTGCCCTTTGTTTTTATACGGGTGTTGGGTCCTTTTCTCATTGATCTATAGGGACTGTTTACGCCTCAGTGAAGTAGGTGGCAGATATTCTTTTTCACTTAATCCTTAGTCTGGTGAATCTTCAAGGGCTGAAAGCTGGATAAACCAGCATGCCTGGCCGCTTTGCTGAGTGACCAATGACACGTTATAAAGTTAGAGGGTGGTGTTTCTAGTCCTCCCCAATGAATTATCAAGAATTGTCTTTGAGGTCAGATTCTTCACATTGACTAACTTTAGAATAAAAAAAAGAAAAAATGCATTAAATCTGTTGTCATTCTATGAATAACACTGACATTTTTGTAAGTATTATAATCATACCATCCACACAAATGGCTCATTGTAATCATACTATCCACAGAAATGGCTCATTAAACAAGAAGCAGAAGAGTAAAAAGAAGAATAGTAAAAAAAAAAAAAAAAAAAAAAAAAAAAAAAGGTATTTTTTTAGATATGTCAAATTAGGGCTTACTTATAAATAAATCTATACTTCCAAGAAATGTGTCAACAAGACTTATTTTTTTGTGGAGGGTGGATGTCCATCTTTGTAGATGACTGATTTTAATTTCTCATGGACATAAAAATAAACATGATTTTATTGAAAGTGGGTTACTTGAAAAATAGAGTTTAAATTATACGGCTTGTTGGATCATTAAATACCTGGGTAAAACAAGTCTTTTGTTTCATTATTTTGGAACTTCTATGTAAAGAAAGTCCTATGATTTTGGGAATGATGATTAAAAAGTTACTTAAGGGCTGGGCCAGGCACAGTGGCTCACACCTGTAATCCCAGCACTTTTGGAGGCCTTGGCAGGCAGATCACTTGAGGTCAGGAGTTTGAGACCAGCCTGGCCAACATGGTGAAACCCAGGCTCTACTAAAAATAGAAAAATTAGCCGGGTGTGGTGGTGCACGCCTGTAGTCCCAGCTACTTGGGAGGCTGAGGCAGGAGAATCACTTGAACCCAGGAGGCGGAGGTTGCAGTGAGCCAAGATTGCCCCACTGCACTCCAGCCTGGGTGACAGAGCAAGACTCTGTCTCAAAAAAAAAAAAAAAAAAGTTACTTAATGGCTAATAGAACATAGAATAAAATACTTTATAAATTTTTGAAATAATAGTATTTGGAATAGTATGGTAGTTGTTGGTATCAGAGCCAATCTCTTAACTTCTTAAGGAGAGAGGCTTTTCTGTGATTTATTCTGCAAGTGTTTACTGAGCTTCAATACATGCTAGGCAGTGTCAGTAAACAAAAAGACCCTTGACTCATTCATTCTTTTTAACAAGGCAGAAGATCCATTGCAATCTGGGCCATAATGTATTTAACCAACCCACTTAAGCTGTGGTCAAGTCTTCAGTGTTGGGAAAATGCGGTACATCTTGTACATCTTAGGAAGTACAGTATCTGGATGTAGGGAGTACCTGGATTTAGAGGAGTATCTGGATACAGAGGAGTATCTGGAAGCAGGCAGCATCTGGACTCAAGGGGATAACTAGCTGCAGGGAGAGTATCTGGAAACAGAGTATCTGGATGGAGGAGAGTATCTGGCTGGGAGTATCTGGGTGCAGAAGAGTACCCATCCCGATGTGGCAGGACACGGGAAAGGAAAAGAGCCCAACAAGGACATTTTGGAAATAAAGAGCTAGCATTTAGGCTGGAAATCTGCCTTAAAGCCCCAGAAGAAGAGAACTTGGAACCCATCCTGTAAATTACCACGGCCTTCTTTAACATCCACCCACGGCAAAATATTTAAGTAAAAAAAAAAAAGTACTTGGTTTCTAATTTCTTTTTATTAGTCTGATATGAAAAACAAATATCCCTACAAATGAAAGAAATATTGAAGAAACAAATTGAAGGGCTTACCTTATTTTAATTAAAAAGAAGTCGGGGCTACCAGGGGTTTCAGACGTGCTCGATGGACACGTGATTTGTAAACAGCCAAGATTCTGGGGGACGGGGGGGTGCCTCGGTGGGGTTGACATTTGAGTTACAGGGACTTAATAATGGCCAGCCTTTCACATCCCATGGGAAACCGCCCCCCCGGGCCTTGGAGAATGGGGGTCCAAGTGCCTATCCCCCTTTGGATGTAAAATTCATCGTTAGTAAACATCATCCGCCCAGCAACAAGCAAAGCACATCGCAAGATTAAAACAAAGAATCCGCCGTGAACAGAAGGCCTCCATCTCTGCTCTCAGGCAGGTGTCCTTCAGGGAGGAGCCTCAGGCAGCTGTTCTAACCCTGCTGCCAACGCCTGGGCTGTTTCTGCCGACAATCTTCTATTTCTCTAAAAGAGTACGCTGAACTGTGGGAGACAGAGACAAAAGAAAGTCATTCCCAGGTCCCTGAGCACTCACGTGGACACAGTTCCTACAACTTTCAGGAGCCAGTGGTTTTATTTCTGCATAAGAAAAATGGGCCCAAAACTCATCACGAGAAAGCAAAACCCTAAATCTCAATCAATTCAATCAATTTCATTGAATGATGCCATTCATTAAAAAAAATGGATGCTGCAGAAAAAGCAGAAGGAAAACAGCAGAAGGCAATTTCCACTAACGACGTCACAGAGACACTAACAAATGCCTATAACTTACCAAATGGAAGAATAAATCTTCTAAATGAGAGTGTGCAGTTTTTATTGATTTGCAATGATGCTGGGCTGAGATTTTCTGGTCCATTCATTTAAGTTTTGGAAACTTTATTCTGCATGTCAGTCTTAAAACTATTTTGGAGGGAGAAGCTGGGATTTGGAAGAAGGAATTAAGAACAATGGTGGCAGAAAACACTGGAATGCCACGCCCTTCAAGTCACGAGGGCTCCACACACATATACCAATGTACTGGCTAATGAAGCCAGACAACTTCATTGCAGTGGGCAGAAGGAATCTTCCTTTTCTCTTTAAGATATAGCTTGTTCTAAACATCTTTCCCTGACTCGAAAGAGCAGTCAACAAGACACTAACTTTCTTTTATTATTATTATTATTATTTTTGAGACAGAGTTTTGCTCTTGTTGCCCAGGCTGGAGTGCAATGGCGCAATCTTGGCTCACCACAACCTCCGCCTCCCGGGTTCAAGCGATTCTCCTGCCTCAGCCTTCTGAGTAGCTGGAATTACAGGCATGCGCCACGATGCCTGGCTAATTTTTTTTTTTTTTTTTTTTTTAATTTTTAGTAGAGACGTGGTTTCTCCATGTTGGTCAGGCTGGTCTCGAACTCCCAACCTCAGGTGATCCGCCCACCTCAGCCTCCCAAAGTGCTGGGACTACAGGCATTAGCCACCGCGTCTGGCGAGACACTAACTTTGTAGAAGTCTCTATCTTTAAAATGGAATGCCAGGCACGGTGGCTCATGCCTGTAATCCTAGCACTTTGGGAGGCCAAGGTGGGCAGATCACTTGAGGTCAGGAGTTCGAGACCACTCTGGCCAACATGGCGAAAGCCCCGTCTCTAGTAAAAACAGAAAGAAAATTAGTGGGGCATGATGGCGGGTGCCTGTGGTCTCAGCTACTCAGAAGGCTGAGGAAGGAGAATCACTTGACACTGGGAGGCAGGGGTTGCAGTGAGCAGAGGTCGCACCACTGCACTCCAGCCTGGGTGACAGAGAGACACTCCATCTCAAAAAGAAAAAAAATTAAAATATTTTAAATCATTTCATTAAAAATCCCTCTCAATTTGACAGCTGCTATTAAAAATAAGCACTGCATCTCTCAGGCAAATGAGAAGGTTCCAATGTATGCACAAACAAAATAAAAAAATACACGCACATATACACACACACATTTTTTTCTTGCCATTTTCAAAAGTGGTTCTGATGGCAAAATGCCTGCCTTTTACCCTGAGAAGTTTCTCACGAATTAAAGTCTCTTCTTAACCACATTTTCCACCTGGTTGAGAGGATTTTTAGAAGGTGATAGCAGGCTGGGTGCGGTAGTTCACGCCTAGAACCCCAGCACTCTGGGAAGCTGAGGTCGGAGGGTTGCTTGAGCTCAGGATGGGCAACATAGTGAGACCCTGTCTGGGCAACCTAGTGAGACCTTGTCTCTACAAAATAAAAAAAAAACAACAACAAATCAGCCGGACACGGTGGTGCACGCCTGTGGTTCCAGCTTATCAGGAGGCTGAGGTGGGAGGATCCCTTGAGCCCAGGAGATCGAGGCTGCAGTAAGTTATGATCGTGCCACTGCACTCCAGCCTGGGCGACAGAGTGAGACCCTATCTCTAACAACAAAAAAAAAGTTGACAGCAAAACTTAACGAGTTATATTTCAGGAGATGGGCTTTTAATTCCCAGTGCACACCAGCCAGCTGTGGACTTCCCAACTATGCACCAATCGTGTGCCACTTGGAACTTTTTTTTTTTTTGAAACATGTCTCACTGTGTCGCCCAGGCTGGAGTGCAATGGCACGATCTCGGCTCACTGCAACCTCTACCTCCCAGGTTCAAGCAGTTCTCTTGCCTCAGCCTCCCAAGTAGCTGGGATTACAGGCGCCCACCACCACACTCAGCTAATTTTGTATTTTTAGTACAGACAGGGTTTCACCATGTTGGCCAGGCTGGTCTCGAACTCCTGGGAAAACTTCCTTAATATTTTGTTAAACAGAGACTTAGGCACATATAGGTCTTCTCTGAAGGCCCAGGCCCTAGGAAGTTTACACATTCATTGTCTTTTGAAAGTATCCCTCCAAAGCAACGAGACATAAAGGAAGACATTCAAAGCCATGCAACCAAATTTGAGAATGTGAGCAGGACAGCAAGATGGGAGAGGATGGAGAAGATAAAATGGGAACACTGGCCACGTGTGCAAGCCATCGTTCCCCGTCCTTCTTACCAGCTGGCTCTGCGTTGGCATTCCGGTGGCTCTCCATGTCCACCTCCCCTTGTTCTGCTGAAAAGAAGAAGAAAATACACAGAGAGGCTCAGTGCAACAGATAACCCACTCCTCAAAATACACACAAAACACTTGGGCTTTCCTGAGGTCGACGCTCCTATTGCTTGGATGAGAGCACTCAGTTCTGAACCCCGAGACCCACTGGGAACATGGAGTCTAACACTCATGTAAGTGAAGACTTTGCCAGTATTTTTTCATGCATGGCACAGGCAGAGATGAACTTCAACAGGGTAATCCAAGCAGCTTCATTTTCCTCTATTTTAAGGGTTGCTTTCTTCTCCCTAAACACTGAGGAACACGCACATGGAAGCTCTTTCTATAAAAAAAAAAAAAGTACGTGCATCTGTGAAAATAAGATTCTTATTTATAACTGCCCCCAAACTCATCAAACAAATGCAGACGGCTGGGCGTGGTGACTCACGCCTGTAATCCCAGCACTTTGGGAGGCTGAGGCAGGTGGATCACTTGAGGTCAGGAGTTCGAGACCAGCCTGGCCAACATGGTGAAACCCCGTCTCTACTAAAAAATACAAAAGTTAACTGGGCGTGGTGGCGTGCACCTATACTCCCAGCTACTCGGGAGGCTGAGGCAGGAGGATCGTTTGAACCCAGGAGGTGGAGGTTGCAGTGAGCCGAGATCACACTATTGCACTCCAGCCTGGGTGACAGGGCAAGACTGTCTCAAAATAAAAATAAAAATAAATAAATAAAAATAAATGCAGAGGCTGGGCATGGTGGCTCACACCTGTAATCCCACCACTTTGGGAGGCCAGGCGGGCGGATCACGAGGTCAAGAGATCGAGCCCATCCTGGCCAACATGGTGAAACCCCGTCTCTATTAAAAATACAAAAATTAGCTGGGCGTGGTGGCGTGCACCTGTAGTCCCCGCTACTTGGGAGGCTGAGACAGGAGAATCATTTGAACCCAAGAGGTGGAGGTTGCAGTGAGCTGAGATCGTGGCACTGCACTCCAGCGTGGGTGACAGAGCAAGACTGTCTCAAAATAAAAATTAAAATAAATAAAAATAAATACAGAGAATCTCAGCAGATTAGCATCTTTTCAGTACCTAGGGAAAGGGGACTTTCTTCCTTTACCCACCTCCACCAATCATCCTTCTCAGGTTGAATTGGCTCTCCTGTCCCCCCTTCTACCTCCCTCAGAATGCAGAGAGGTGAGTGAGGACTCCGAGCACTAAGAGCTTCCCCAGCCATCAAAGGACAAGACAGCCAAGGCGTCTTGTGTACCCGGTTTTCTTCCTCCTCCAGCATTTTTTCCCAGTCTTGTTTCCATTCCCAAATTTATTTATTTATTTATTTATTTATTATTATTATTATTTCTTTGAGACAGAGTCTCGCTCTGTCGCCCAGGCTGGAGTGCAGTGGCGCGATATCAGCTCACTGCAACCTCCGCCTCCCGGGTTCAAGCAATTCTCCTGCCTCAGCCTCCTGAGTAGCTGGGATTTCAGGCATGCACCACCACGCCTGGCTAATTTTTTGTATTTTTAGTAGAGATGGGGTTCCACCGTGTTAGCCAGGATGGTCTTGATCTCCTGACCTTGTGATCCGCCCACCTCGGCCTCTCAAAGTACTGGGATTACAGGCCTGAGCCACCACGCCCGGCCCTCTATTCCCAAATTTCCATTAAAAAATGTTTCAAACATGCCGCAATGCAAACAGGGTCAAGTCCCCAAATGTTGTCGGTGTCGCTTCTTTTCTGACCCACAGCATAAGCCAACAGAATTGGAAACGCGTAAGAGATGCACAGATCAATAGGTATTTATTTATTTCCAGTGTTGGTGTGAAGGAACACCCACGTTTTCAACACAAAGGGAAGCAGCAGAAGCTCATCGAATCTGTGGCCATGCGTTTCCCCCTCACAAAGACCGTGCTATTTGTAAAACGGCCCCATCTGTGGTTCAAATGCCTTCATAAAGGAACACGTTTGTATGGTGCAGCAGCGTAACTTTTCTTTTTCTTTTCTTTTTTTTTTTTTTTTGAGACAGAGTCTTGCTCTGTCGCCCAGGCTGGAACGCAGTGGCGCGATCTCGGCTCACTGCAACCTCCGCCTCCAGGGTTCACGCCATTCTCTTGCCTCAGCCTCCCGAGTAGCTGGGACTACAGGCGCCCGCCACCATGCCCAGCTAATTTTTTGTATTTTTAGTAGAGACGGGGTTTCACCATGTTAGCCAGGATGGTCTCGATCTCCTGACTTCGTGATCTGCCCACCTCGGCCTCCCAAAATGCTGGGATTACAGGTGTGAACCACCGTGCCAAGCCAGCAGCGTAACTTTTAATGACAGCAGCAGAGACAGCCTCGCCAGTTTACGCTACGTGAACTCCACAGTTTCAACTGTTCTCCCTAACCACTAAATGACTCCCACATAAAGGGCCAAATTCTTTGATTTAAGAAAAAGAGAGGAAAACCCCCTGAAGAGAAGAACATTCGAAATGATCCGAAAATGTTCACCACAAATGTCATTTGTTCTGCCAGTCACAAGTTGTCAACACGGGTGCATTTTGCAGCAAACTGTCCTGGCTAGAAATTGAAAACCTGCATTCATTTCAGAGGACAAATAATTTCTCCCTCTCCCCTCATTGGTTAAAAAGCATAAAAGATATTCTTTTTATTCCTGTAATTTTATAAAACACTACATAAAAGCTGGCGAGTTTTAAAGAGGGAAAAACTGCATTGAAAAGTATAAAGTCTCACAAGGGCAAAGTCCATCTGGGGCAACAGTTCCAACATCACGGACCTCTCAGGAGGAGAACTGGTCTCATGAGATGCTCCGTACACCCCTACCCACATACCCTTCCTGTCAAAACTTAGACCAAGCATGCCACATCTGACAAGTCAACTTCAAACAATTCGTGGTGCTTTTCTTTCAGGCTAGAAATCATCTGTAGCTATTAGAACCATTCAGCAAAGCAATATGGCTTTAATGGGTACCTATGCTTTGTGAAGATATATTTATACACACACACACACCGTGTGCTTGGGGCCAATCCTGAGACCATATACCTGAGGATCACTGTCTAGCAGTGGCTAATCTTTAAGCGGTGTTAGGACAGACACTCTGGGAAACACGCAGGACATTCTGGACTCAGTCCTGTGGTCAATGGGGGGCAGCTTTCATTGCATCAGACTTGAGACACCTTGGGACACATCCTTCAAAGAGTTGGGGGGCTGTAAAGGTGACCTCTGTGAGAAGGTGACCAGACCCATGTGGGTCAAGGTTTTGTGCCCTCACACCATACAGTGCCCCAACACAGGAGGATCAAACCATCCGTGCTCAGCTAGAACTACGGCTCAACCATAAGGGAGGCTGTGCCTCATTTCCACAAGAGGGCAAATAAGAAAAGTAAAAGAAGTAAGAAAAAATTAAAAGGAATATGAAAAAAAAAGGAAAATAAGAAAAAAAAAGAAATCAGAAAAGTCAAAGAAATAAGAGGAAAAGAATGAGGAAAAACGGAGAAGAAATAAAAGTAAAAAAAAGAAAAATAAGTAAAAGAAATAAGATAAAAAGAAAAAGCAAAAAGGAAAACAAATAAGAAAAAAGAAATAAGAGAAAAAAAAAAAGAAAAAAGAAAAAGGGCCAGGCACAGTGGCTCACACCTGTAATCCCAGCACTTTGGAAGGTTGAGGCAGGCAGATCACCTGAAGTCAGAAGTTCGAGATCAGCCTGGCCAACATGGAGAAACCCCGTCTCTACTAAAAATACAAAAATTAGCTGGGTGTGGTGGTGTGTGCCTGTAGTCCCAGCTACTCGGGAGGCTGAGGCAGGAGAATCGCTTGAACCCAGGAGGTGGAGGCTGCAGTGAGCCAAGATTGCACCACTGCACTCCAGCCTGGGCAACAGAGTGAGACTCCAATTTAAAAAAGAAAAATGAAAAAAGAAGAAAAGTAAGAAAAGAAAAAGAAATAACATATAACAAATAAGAAAAGTAAAATAAATAGAAGGAAAAGAAATAAGAAAAAAATGAAAAGAAAGAAAAAAATAAGAAAAGTAAAAGAAAGAAAACAAGTTAAAATCAATTACATTGAAGAACAAGTTGGTGGACTTTGGAAACAGAAGGAAAATCCAGGTACAATTTGTGTTTTTCAGGGATATGAGAGAATCCAAGGAAGACGGCCGCAGAGGCTCCGTGCTCAAATGTGTGAATAGGGACCTGACCACCCACCAATTCCCAACACGCCTTACAGTGTGAAGATCAGGAGATGTTTAGGTGATTCCTCAACGTATGAATTTTGTTTTTCTAGGAACCAAGGTGTGTACCTGTTTGGAACACTGATCACAGAAAGAGTTAAGAACTGCTTCATAGGAAGTGCAGTGAGAAATGCAAGTCAACGGCCAAAAACGTTGAAGATTTAAAAATCCATGCATGACCTGGAAGGTCAAATCCTTAGGACGTGAGTGAGCTTAACCTAGGACACTGCAGGGAAGAGGGTGGCCACCCTGGGCCCCAGTTTGTTCCCTTGGCAGGGATGGACTTAGGGACAAAACTCATTAAAACATGGAAGTCACTGCCCTGTTTCTGTTAGATTCATGTTTAAAAGAAAATATCTGCATTTCTCTTCATTTTCTGAAGCTCTTATGCAGAAATATGATTTGCTATAATGAGCTTCTGTGCATCCAGAAAGGCAAAAGCATATGGAACTGAAGGCAGAGAATCCGCCATGTGATTGAGAATCCCATCGTGGTGGGAATTTGCCAGCAGGGCGAGGGGAGCGGCAGATGGAAGGGTTTGCTTTAAGGCTATGTCTTAGCAGATAAAACGATTACGGTCAGGACGCTCCGCAGGCCTGGGCTGGGTTCTCTGCTCACCCCTAGGTCTTCAGCCATCTGAAATGGAAGGTTGAAAACGATAAAAAATAATAATACAAAAAGTAAACTGGTGCTGGGTCTGCTTTTGCTGTGCGCTGGGGCTCCCAGCAGCAGGGAGGTGTTAGAAAGAGCTGCTCTGAGCAAGGAAGTAATGGGATAGAGGCTCAAAGTGTGAGAGTGGGAAGTGGAAACCAAAATTAAGGAGTGGAGGAAGGGAGAGACAGAGGAAGGCAGGGAGGGAGGCAGGGAACAGGGAGAGCAGGAGGGAAGCAGGAAGAAGGGATGGGAGGAAGGAAGGGAGGAAGGCAGAAAGAGGGAAGGAACGAGGAGGGAAGGAGGTTGGAAAAAAGGAAGCAGGGAGGTATGGAGGAAGGGAGGGAGGAAGAAGTGAAGCAGGGAGGAAGGAAATGAGGGAGGGAGGGAGGAAGGGAAGGAGAGAGGGAAGGAGGAAGGGAAGGAAGGAAGGAAAGAAGGGAAGGAGGGAGAGAAGAAAGAAGGAAGGAAGAAAAGAGGCATGTAAGAACAGGAGAGATGGATGAAGAGAGACAAAGAATAGAGAGGAAAAAAAGAAAGGAAGGAAGGAAAGGAGGAAGGGATGGAGAGGGGAAAAGGAAAGAAGGAGGGAGGGATGGAAAGAAAGGAAGGAAGGAAAGAAGAGAGAAAAAAGAAAGAGGTACATAAGAAGAAAAGAGAAGGAAGAAAGGAAGAGATAGAGAAAAGGAAGAGAGAAAAAGGAAAAGGAGGAAAAGAAGAAGGGAGGGAGGGAGGAAGAAAGAGGGAGAGTTCAAGAAAGAATGAAAAGAGAGAGAGAGGGAGAACTGAGGGCAAAGGAAGAAAGAGAAAAGCAGGGAAGGAAGAGAGAAAAGAAGGAGGGAGGGGGAAAGAAAGGAGGAGGGAAGGAAGAAAGGCAGAGAAGAAGAAAGAGAAAGAAGGAGACAGGGAGAGCCAATCGCCCATCTTGCCAAAGCCTCAAGAAACCCACTGTGAGCCCAGGACCCTGGCAAACAGAGCAGTAGGACCAGCCACCACAGCCAAAGGACAGCATCCTGAACACCCCTTGCCAGCCACGGAAGCTGGGCTCTGTGGGAAGTGGTCAGGCTCCGTGTGGTTAGTGGTCTGAGCCAGGTCCCCCGCGAAGCCAACACACCCAGATGCGAAGTCACAGACCCCGAGTGCATGAGAGAAGCAGCTTCAACAGGCCCCTTCGTATCACATGGACAAAAACCAGGAGAAGCCCAAGCACCACAAACTCAAATCTGTAGGAAGGGAGGAACGGAGGCTGGTGCAAAAGTAATTGTGGTTTTTGCCATTAAAAGTAATGGCAACATAGCAAGACTCTGTCTCTACAAAAAAAGGTAAAAAATTAGCTGGGAGCCACCACACTCAGCTAATTTTTTTTTTTTTACGTTTTTTGTAGACACGAGGTCTTGCTATGTTGCTATTACTTTTAATGGCATAAACCGCAGTTATTTTTGCACCAACCTATAACAGACAGAGCCATCTGATTCCACAAGGAGTTTCTAATCCGTGAACCCCAAAATATAACACTGCAAAGCTTCTCAGTAAATCTATATCAAGTCACAGGATTTGATAAAGGCATCTCCTTGTTGGAAAGATGCCGAAGACTCACCTATGTCTACTCACTCGCCTGGGACTCATTTTAATACAAATTTAACAAACACCACAGATTTCAATGCAATGACACAGTCCCGGAAAATGAGCCTGTCTGGTAGAATAACAGTATCCCCAAAACTGGGCATGGTTTTTCTTTTCTTTTTTCTTTTTTGAGACAAAGTCTCGCTCTTGTCCCCAGGCTGGAGTGCAGTGGCTCGATCTCGGCTCACTGCAACTCTGCCTCCTGGGTTCAAGCGATTCTCCTGCCTCAGCCTCCCGAGTACCTGGAAATACATGTGTGCACCACCATGCCTGGCTAATTTTTGTATTTTTAGTAGAGCCAGGGTTTCACCATGTTGGCCAGGCTGGTCTCAAACTCCTGACCTCAGGTGATCCACCCGCCTTGGCCTCCCAAAGTGCTGGGATTACAGGCGTAAGCCACCGCGCCTGGCCCATGGTTTCTTGAAGGACCAGGGCATGCTATACTCACATCCTTCTTATGAAATCTCCAAGCTCCCCATGAACCTATGGGGTTGCCAGATCTCAAAATCACCATCCCGGAAATCGAACCCATAAAGCAAAATCCTGCCCCAGAGGCTGAGGGCTCTGACATCTTTCGTCTTCCGGATAACTCGATCCAACATCACAATTCCATGTCTACTAACAAAATCATGTCACTGAGATAAATATTAAACTCATTTTATAATTCAGGTATAAAAACCAAGCTGTGAGTGGATGCAGTTGGAAAGGTCCTCTTTTGAGGTAGGGTCTTGGTATTTATAGAAGAGTGCCTTGTTTTTGTTTTCTTTCTCTTTTTTTTTTTTTTTTTTTGAGACAGAGTCTCACTCTGTTGTCCAGGCTGGAGTGTGGTGGCACAATCTTGGCTCACTGCAACCTCTGCCTCCCGGGTTCAAGCAATTCCCTGCCTCAGCCTCCCAAGTAGCTGGGATATTACAGGTGCCCACCATCACGCACAGCTAATTCTTGTATTTTTAGTAGAGACGGGGTTTCACCATCTCTTGCTTCTCTTTGTTATACTTTATTTTATTTTCTTTTTGGCCCTTTGCTTTGTGCATTTACAAAAGGCCAAGAAAATCAATCCCAGGATAACTAGAAAGCAAACCAGGAATTGAAAGTTGGACCTTCTGTTAATTTGGCATCAGAATAAGAGACTTATAGAAAATATTAGAAGAAAATTAGCCTAGCATCTCATTAGTATAAAGTGAATCTTGGACTCCCCTGAGCCAATTCTTCAGAAAGGATGCTTTTTTAAAAAAAATTATTTTGGGGGCCGGGCACGGTGGCTCATGCCTGTAATTCTAGCACTTTGGGAGGCCAAGGCAGGTGGATCATGAGGTCAGGAGATCAAGACCATCCTGGCTAACACGGCAAAACTCCGTCTCTACTAAAAATATGAAAAATTAGCTGGACGTGGTGGCACGCGCCTGTAGTCCCAGCTGCTCGGGAAGCTGAGGCAGGAGAGTCGCTTGAACCCGGGAGGCAGAGGCTGCAGTGAGCCGAGATCACGCCATTGCACTCCAGCCTGGGTGACAGAGTGAGACTCCGTCTCAAAAAAAAAAAAAAAGGTATTTTTATTTTTATATCTAGAGACAGGGTCTCTGTCTGTCGTCCAGGCTGGAGTGCAGTGGTGCAATCATGGCTTACTGCAGCCTCCAATTCCTGGGCTCAAGCAATCCTCACACCTCGGCCTCCAGAGTAGTTGGGACCACAGGCAGGCGCAAGCACGCCCAGCTAATTTTTTACATTTTTTGTAGAGATGAGGTTTCACTATGTTGCCCAGGCTGATCTTGAACTCCTGGGCTCAAGCAATCCTCTTTCCTTGGACTCCCAAAGCACTGGGATTACAGGTGTCGGCCACCTCGCCAGGACATATTTGCTTTTGTTCTTGAAGAATCTAGGAAAATTGTTTCTACCCAGTGAGAGCTTTCATTGTTCATGCCTGCCCCACCTCCTGCAATAAAAAAAGATAATGCTTCCACCCAAGACCAAGACCCAGGGGTGGCGGGGCGGATAAGGTAGAGGAAAAGTTGTTTTTCCTTTTCCCAATTCTATTTCAAAATTTTTGACAAAATCAAGTCTATTAAGCCTCCTGGGTGCTTTCCCAAGTTTGTGTGTCTTCAGATGTGATATGGTGAGCCTCTGTGTCCCCACCCAAATCTCATCTTAAATTGTAATTCCCATAATCCCCATGTGTCCAGGGAGAGACCAGGTTGGGGTCACTGAACCATAGCGAAGGTTCCCCCATGCTGTTCTCGTGATAATGGGATGGTGCCTTGCGTCCCCTTCTGCCATGATTGTTAAGTTTCCTGAGGCCTCCCCAGCCATGCTGAACTGTGAATCAATGAATCCTCTTTCCTTCATGAATTATCCAGTCTTAGGCAGTTCTTCATAGCAGTGTGAAAACGGACTAATACAGGATGTGAATATGAAATAGGCTTACAAGATCCCAAAAGTTCCTACGTCTGCACGCACAAGGTAATAAACATCCTTTGCAACTCATGAATCCAATTTGGGTTGACCTAAAGATTTTCAGAGAATCATCAATCAGAGACTTTGTAGTTTAATGCAAAAGTGTTCAACAATTGTCTGGGATTCTAAAAAAGAGGCCGGGTGCTTTGACTCACGCCTATAATCCCAACACTTTGGGAGGCCAAGATTGCGGGGGGGAACCACCTGAGGTCACGAGTTCGAGACCAGTGTGTCCAACATGGTGAACCCCCATCTCTACTAAAAATACAAAAATTAGCCGGGTGTGGTGATGCACACCTGTAATTCCAGTTACTTCGGAGGCTGAGGCAGGAGAATTGCTTGAACCCGCGAGGTTGCAGTGAGCCAAGATTGCACCACTGCCCTCCATTCTGGGCGATAGAGCGAGACTCCGTCTCAAAAAAAAAAAAAAAAAAAAGCCAGAGAGTTTGAAATACAACATCTAGAATATTACGCATCCTGTCCTGGCAAACAAGCCTTCCTTACCTCCTGGTTGAATATTATGCTGTGAGTTGAACAGTTTCAGAAAAGAAAAAGAAATGTCATTGAAAAGCAAACAAAAATTCCCTTCCATTGAGTCCCTACTGTTTTAACCCCTCCGCTACTTCTAGAAGAAGCAAGAGGGGAGAAGAATGTTATGCTGTTTGCTTTTTTCCAACGTGATTCTAATCGTACGTCTCTTACAGGCATCTCCTTGAATGTGGTCATCTGTCCATTTGGGTCCCGCTCAAAACTGCCATTCAATCAACCAAACACCAGCTGGGCACGGTGGCTCACGCCTGCAATCCCAACACTTTGGGAGGTCAAGGCAGGCGGATCATCCAAGGTCAGGAGTTCGAGACCAGCCTGACCAACATGACGAAACTCCATCTCTACTAAAAAAACAAAAATTAGCTGTGCGTGGTGGTGCACATCTGTAATCCCAGCTACTCGGGAGGCTGAGGCAGGAGAACCCGGGAGGTGGAGGTTGCAGTGAGCCAAGATGGAGCCATTGCATTCCAGCCTGGGTGACAGAGTGAGACTCCATCTCAAAAAAAAAAAAAAAAAAAAAAGAAACAACCAAACACCATTTCCCACTCGTCTGCCCACCAGGTAGGAGGCAACTGTCTTCCACGCACTGCCCAAAACCCCACAGCAAGAACGGGGAAATAAACACGAGCAGCTCATTTAAAGTCTTGAGATCCGAAAGCTGTTTAGGACTCTCCATTTCACGCTCTAAATAATGTTTGTGGATGTCAAATGCTGGAATGATGGGAGATTACGGGGAAACTCCACCCCTACAGTCTAACTTTGTCCACACCAGCATCTATTCAAATGTTCTAGGAATCCCTCTAAAATCTTCAGGAGGCAGTGCTTTGAGTGAATGACATCAGTGACCAAGAATGAATAAGGACTTAAGATCTAAGTAGGGTGAGAAGTTCAGACACCCAGAGGCGTGAGGGACCCCAGGGGCTCCTCCATAAAACAGTAGCTGTTGGCCAGGTGTGGTGCCTCACGCCTGTAATCCCAAGACTTTGGGAGGCCGAGGCGGGTGGATCACTTGAGGTGAGGAGTTGGAGACCAGCCTGGCCAACATGGTGAGACCCCATCTCTACTAAAAATACAGAAATTAGCCGGGCGTGGTGGCGGGTGCCTATAATCCCAGCTACTCAGGAGGCTGAGGCAGGAGAATCACTTGAACCTGTGGGGTGGAGACTGCAGTGAGCTGAGATTGCGCCACTGCACTCCAGCCTGGGCAACAGAGCGAAACTCTGTCTCAAGAAATAAAAAATAAGAGTAGCTGTTCCCGGTCGATGGGATTCCTGCAAACCACAATGCTTGGTCATGCAAGAGGGAAGGCAAGAGCTAAATGTAAGTGCCCAGTGATGCATGCACGTTAGCTGTGTTCCAAATAGCAGGGCTTACTTCCCAGCTTCACGGCGGATCCCAATACAAGGTCCCAAAGAGCCTGCCAGCTGACCTAGGAGGATTGCAATGGTGAGTACGTCCTCCTCCTAATTCCCCTGTAAATTTTAGTCCCGATCCAAGAAACTTCCCAGGTCCTGGGTGCCTGTGGGTTTTCGGTACTAACAGAAAGGGAATCCGCTGTGCTGGTTTTTGTTTTGTTTTGTTTTTTGAGACGGAGTCTCACTCTGTCGCCCAGGCTGGAGTGCAGTCACATGATCTCAGCTCACTGCAAGCTCTGCCTCCCAGGTTCACACCATTCTCCTGCCTCAGCCTTCCGAGTAGCTGGGACTACAGACGCCCGCCACCATGCCCGGCTAATTTTTTGTATTTTTAGTAGAGACGGGGTTTCACCATGTTACCCAGGATGGTCTCGATCTCCTCCTGACCTCGTGATCCGCCCGTCTCGGCCTCCCAAAGTGCTGGGATTACAGGTGTGAGCCACCATGTCCGGCCTTGTGCCGGCTTTTAACTTAACTCTCAGTGGAGAAAGGACCGTGGCGGCCCCCTGGTCACGGCTCTCCTCCTGATGATGACATCGGTTGTAAATAACAGGGCAGGAATGATCAGAGCTAAGTGTCTTCCACCTTTGCTCTCTGCAGGGTAACTTGTAGCGGCTTTCCTGCAGGACTGTCTCTAACCCCAGCAACAATTCCGCGGCATATGTACCAACCATTTCCCACTTGGTAGACGTAAACAACCCAAGCACTGCAGCAGTGGGGAACTTGTAAACTTTCACACAACAAAACACAAGGCAGAACAGCCCTGAAATCAAAGCCAGAAGGTTCGATTCCAGAATTTTAGCAGTTTCACGAACCATCAGCCATCGTGCACCTGTTTCGTGCCAGCCCGAGTTTGGTTTCTGCCTTTTAAAGAAAGCACAGTTTTCCAATCAGCAAGGCATGAAGGAGAGGCACCGGCGGACTGAGACTTACCATTTTCTTTGAAGCATAGCTTCTTTTTCTGGTAAGCAATGAAGCTAGAGATGGCTCCAGCCACGGCGACCACGACAGCCCCCACAATCCCGGGGATCACGCCTGGGGCGTCGGCTGCAGGAGGAAGCACACAGCATCGTGATTGAGACACGCACGGTGCAGAGAAGATCCCAGGGGGCAGTGGCTGGCAGAGACAGTCAGTCTGAGAGCACCAAGATCCTCAGAACATCTCAGACGCCTGAGCTGACCGATTTGCAAAGGAAGCATGCCGAGAATGATACACAGGAAGGCAAAGCAAGGCACAATCTCCCATCGCACGTGCTGGGCAGACCTGGTCAGACCATGGAGGGAGTGGAGCAGGAGAAAAGAGACATGAAGAGAGGCCAGCGAGGTACGGGCAGAAGCTCAGCAGAACCAAGGCAGAGACAAAAAAAGACAAAGACAGATGGAAAGAGAGCTGGGGCTGGGCGTGGTGGCTCACGCCTGTAATCCCAGCACTTTGGGAGGCCGAGGCAGGTGAATCGCCTGAGGTCAGGAGTTTGAGACCAGCCTGGTCAACATGGTAAAACCCGTCTCTACGAAAAATACAAAAATTAGCCGGGAGTAAGGGTGGGTGCCTTTAATCCCAGCTACTCAGGAGGCTGAGTCCAGAGAATCGCTTGAACCTGGGAGGCAGAGGTTGCAGTGAGCCGAGATTGTGCCGCTGCACTCCAGCCTGGGCGACAGAGCAATTCACCATCTCAAAACAAAACAAAACAAAAAAGAAAGAGAGAGCTGGACATCAAACCTGGAGGAAGGAGCCCAGGCAGGGGCAGAAGATAAAGAAGCAAAGACCTGCAATGCTTGGGGCATTTGCCAATGCGTTTTGTATCGTTAGAATGCTCCTTTTTCACCCCTTGAAGATAGCTTTGGGTTTCAATGCAGACATTTTAAATCTATCTCTATTTAATTAATTATTATTATTGTGTATTATTTTGAGATGGGTTCTTGCTCTGTCAAACAGGCTGGAGTGCAATGATGTAATCACAGCTCACTGCAATCTCAAACTCCTGGGCTCATGAGATCCTCCCACTTCAGCCTTCCGAGTAGCTGGGACTACAGGTGTGCACCACCATGCCTGGTTAATTACTGTGGTTTTATAGAATTGGGGTCTTGCTATGTTGCCCAGTCTGATCTCGAACTCCCAGCCTAAAGCAACCTGCCTGCTGCCTAGGCCTCCCAAAATGCTGGGATTACACGCATGAGCCACCACACTCAGCCTTTTTTTTTTTTTTTATGTTATTCCAGCAATAATTCTTTTTTTTTTGGCGGGGAGACAGAGTCTTGCTCTGTTGCCCAGGCTGGAGTGCAGTGGTGCGATCTCGGCTCACTGCAACCTCTGCGTCCCGGGTTCAAGCTATTCTCCTGCCTCAGCCTCCCAAGTAGCTGGGATTACAGGTGTGTGCCACCACCCCTGGCTAGTTTTTTTTTTTTTTTGAAATGCAGTCTTACTTTGTCACCCAGGCTGGAGTGCAGTG
The DNA here is from genome assembly GCF_000001405.40 of Homo sapiens. Taxonomy (NCBI): domain Eukaryota; kingdom Metazoa; phylum Chordata; class Mammalia; order Primates; family Hominidae; genus Homo; species Homo sapiens. The sequence goes on along the minus strand of NC_000023.11, from coordinate 2,724,856 downwards.
GCACGATTTCAGCTCACTGCAGCCTCTGCTTCCCGGGTTCAAGCAATTCTTGTGCCTCCCGAGTAGCTAGGACTACAGGTGCATGGCACACGCCCAGCTAATTTTTGTATTTTTTGTAGAGATGGGGTTTCACCATCTTGGCCAGGCTGGTCTCGAACTCCTGACCTCAAGTGATCCACCCACCTTGGCCTCCCGAAGTGCTAGGATTACAGGTGTGAGCCACCACACCTGGCCTAATTTTTGTATTTTTTGTAGAAAAGGGGTTTCACCATGTTGGCCAGGCTGGTTTCGAACTCTTGGCCTCAAGCAATCCTCCCGCCTCAGCCTCCCAGAGTTCTGGGATGACAGGCATGAGCCAGCGTGCCTGGCCATTGAAGAGATTATTCATTCCAAATGCCAGATGTGAGCTTCAGAGGACCCTTCTCCAGATAGAATCTTCTCCGCCCTCCACGACGGGGAAGGAGAATTGTCTGACTTTCAGCAAAAACACTGGCTCCAAACATGGCCTGTCGGTGGTGTGTTCACTCGGCCAGTTTTTAATATGTGCAGGACACAGTCATGTCATAGAAAGATTTTTCAAGCTTAACTACCCCTCCCTGATGAAGTGACATAGTAGACATTAACTCTCTAGAAGGCCAAGAACGATGGCCTGAGATAAACATGCCAGACATGTGTTTTCTTAGCTATTTTTTAAAAAATGACCTTGTAGTCCTAGGTGAGGGCTACAGATTACTACCTCTTCAAAGAAAGCCTAGAATTCAAGAACTGTACCCATAAAAATAATAAATACCTAAAACAAGGGTAGACTACCCACTTTTCCTCCCTTCCTTCCTTCCCTTCTTCCCTCCTTCCTTCCTTCTCTCCATCCCTCCTTCCTTCTTTCCTTCCCTCCTTCCCTTTTTTCTTCCTCCCTACTTCTCTGTTTCTCTTTCTTACCTCATTTTGTTTTCTTTACAGTTTTAAAAGGAATTCTGTCTGTCATTATTTTCTTGTCCCATCTAAGGGAAAAGGTTATGAAAAAGGAGACAGGAGATACATCACCGGCACTTCCATGGAGAACACAATGCCTGTTACAGCCAGGGTGGAAGCGATCCACATTCCCACCTCCCACCTGGTTACTGACGTTCTCAAGGGCCAAGCGCAACCGAGGATACTGCGTCACAAGCCTCTGATCGTTAGGGTGAGTGTAGGAGCTTTTGTAAACACAAGGACAAGGCGAAGCGTGATGTAGGGGTCGGGTCGCCAGCCAGGGCATCGTGGGCAGGTGACCAAACATAAAATCCGCGTCACGTGGGCACCCGGAGCAGGGCTGGTTTGCTGGGGGACCTCTGCAGCTACATCACTTGGGAGCACTTGGCACAGAACACCCGTGCCTCCTGCCAGTAGCTTTAGGAGGCCAATGCCAGTGCAGTCCGCCAGCTCTCAGACATTCTGCTTCCCCTTCTCAACACCACGTGGGAGAGACAAGAAGACAGAAGCCAGGTGCACCTACCCTCTTCCCCTTCTTTCCTGTGGCTGCCTCCACCATCACTGCCTCCTTTTCCTGCAAGACAAAAACAACGTCTGCAATGGGAAGGTTTGGGGTCAAGGAAAAATTCACAGCCAGGACCGTGAAGAGGCTGGGGTCCTGCTTCTTACACTCTACGGGGGTACATGTTACCCAGCTACAGAGCTGGGGTCCTGCCTATTACACTCTAAGGGTGCATGTTACACAGCTACAGAGCTGAGGTGCTGCCTGTTACACTCTAGGGGTACTCTGAGAACGCATACTCCCAGGCATTATCACTATTCTCAGGGCTTTAATATTCACATTCCTTAAATTACAGAAAACAGCCTAATAAAATGAAGCTGAAACAACACTAGTTATTTGCAAGAACACACAGGTGAACGGATGGGTGAGGAGGTGGTGACAAGGGCCCATTCATCACGCCCTGTCCCTCAGAAAAGTGGGGCAGCTGCCTGGGCCCTGAACTCTTCTCCGAGGACCGAACCTCTACGGGGCAGCCTTTACTTCCCACATCCTTGAAGCCTCAGCAAACAGGCGGAGTTCCCACAGAGATGGCTGAACATTTCACTGTGAGTTCACAGAGAGCTGACAGTTTAGACCCTGTAGTGATTCTACAGAGCAGGTGGGCATCATGGGATGGAGAGAGAAAAGAGACAGAAAACAAGATAACTGTACCTTCTCCACCTGAAACGCCATCCGCAAGGTCAGCATCTGAAAAGCTACCTAGGAAAGAAAATACAGCATCACCTGTCAACCTGGAACTCCTCCAAGGGTCTTCATGTCTTAGAATAAAGGAAAAACTCATGAAAACCGGCCTGTTCATCAACATGGTGAAACCCCATCTCCACTAAGAATATAAAAATTAGCTGGATGTGGTGACAGGCACATGTAATCCCAGCTACTCGGGAGGCTGAGGCAGGAGAATCACTTGAACCCTGGAGGTGGAGGTTGCAGTGAGCCAAGATGGCACCACTGCACTCCAGCCTGGGCAAGAAGAGCTAAACTCAGTCTCAAAACAAAACAAAACAAAAAACCATAAATAAAGTGGAAAAACGTGAGCATAATATTGCATGCTGGCAATATTTATGTCTGTAAATAAATGAAGAAGGCTTATAAATCAATAATGTCATATCAGAATGTAAGAATAAAAGGCAAAGCATACAATACACAAAATAAGAAGTATCCACGGCCAATTGATGCAGGTTTGTTTTTTTTTTTTAATTTTAAAAGTAAAGTCATGAAACCAGGAGAAAGTTGATAGAAAATTTCACACTATTTGCAAAGGTTTCCTAGGTGATAACTAATATTGGAGATGGTGTGAAGACAGGGACATTTGCACACACCCCTGGCATCAAAATAAATTGGTAAAAATCTGCAGCAAATTAACAACCAGGTCAAAAGCTACGAAAGTACTCATATACGTTGATCTAAACTATTTGAATGCTAGAAATGTCTTCAAAGGAATAAAAATAGCGCATGGAGTTGACTCAGATTTGCTTTGTTAATTCATAATTCTAAAATGCCAGAAGAAACATAACATTTTCAGAATTAGGGATTAGTTACAGGAAGAATATAATTATATATGTAGTATGTAATAGTACATGATTATCAGTAAAACTCATACGATAGAAATGATTACATGACATGAAAAAATGTTCATGGACTATCAGTAAGCAAAAAGTAATGTTACAATGCAGTACAAACAAAAGACTTGGAACTTTATTTAAAATTTATTTCATTTAGATTAATATATAGGCTGGGTGAGGTGACTCGTGCCTGTAATCTCAGAGATTTGGGATGCTGAGGCAAGAGGACTGCTTGAGGCCAGGAGTTTCAGACCAGCCTGGGCAACATACTGAGACCCCACCTCTACAAAAAATGAAAAAACTAACTGGTCACGATGCTGTGTGCCTGTAGCCCCAGCTACTTGAAAGGCTGAGGCAGGGGGATCTCTCTAGCCCAGGAGTTGGAGGCTGTGGTATGCTCTTATGTTTAATATGATCACAGCACTGTACTCTAGCCTGGACAACAGAGTGAGACCCTGTCTCAAAAAAGAAAAAAAAAAGATATATAAAATACTAGCACAAATAGCCATCAAAATGTCAACAAGATATGGACATCATTAATATTCTTCTGTGTTAAAAATTAAATATGTAAACAAAAAAACCTAAACATATAAACTTTCGACAACCATTCAGCTAAAAAAAAAAAACTGGTGCTATTCGAATTACGCTGAAAATGCTGTGATATGTCAGAAAAACTGACTTAAATATTTAAGGGCAGAAAGATTTAAAACACACTAGCTTCTCCACAAGGAATGTGTATGCCAATACTTTTCTCTTTATCAAGTCTACATTTAAATTATTGTATGCAATTTTTTAGAAGTTCCATAAGATGGAACTTGGAAACAAAAGTAGCAAACTAGTCCAGGCACAGTGGCTCACACCTGTCATCCCAGCACTTTTGGGAGGCCAAGGTGGGTGGATCACTTGAGGTCAGGAGTTCAAGACCAGCCTGGCCAACATGGCAAAACCCTGTCTCTACTAAAAATACAAAAATTAGCCGGGCATGGCAGTGTGTGCCTGTAATTCCAGCTACTCAGGAGGCTGATGCAGGAGAATCACTTGAACCCAGTAGGTGGAGGTTGCAGTGAGCCAAGATGGCACCACTGCACTCCAGCCTGGGTGACAGAACAAGACTCTGTCTCAAAAAAAAAAAAAAAAAAAAAAGCAAACTAAAAATAAAATCCAAGCTAAATATATATTTTTGAAATGTACATTTTCCATTACATGAACATGGGCATTACACTGCACAGGCAGTCAACAGTAAGCACACACTCATCTGAAATCACCTCCTCTCAGCTGACATAAATATCGCTGAATTCTGAACAACATGAAGACATCCCACAGGGTCAGAGACTCTTACCGGAGGAACTAGGGTGGTTGGGGTTTGGATTTGGCATCGGTTTGGGTGGGTTCGGTGGTCGTGGGTCGTCTGTTTGTGAAAGATGAGAGTTGCAATTTTAAGTGCCTTGCAGTAAAGAAAATGAAACATCAGTTTACACACAGATGGTTCCCTGAACAGAAATTGGACCTTGGCCTTTGTCCTGGTGGGGATACCTGTACACACACAGTCTCCTGCCAGTTTCCTCCCATCAACTTTCAGCCACAGTTCTTAATGTCAACTATGTTTAATAAAAATTAAAGCGGGTGTCCACACCAGCTACAGAATTTCTAGGGCCAAAATAAAAAGGTGGGACCCATTTTTCAAATTTTCTTAAGTATTCCAAGATGGCGGCAACAGAGCAGTAAACCAGTATGGTTCCCATGCCAAACCAACATGCCATGGGGTCCTGTGCCACTGCACAGGTCACATGCTGGTGAAGCCAGCCCTGGCCAGGGTAGGCACATTTGTCTCATGTCCTTCCAAAGACTGTAAGAGTTTTAAAATAAAAGCACACGTACTGGTTGTAAAGAAAAACCCAACGACAACAGCAAGAACAAACCGACACACCTATTCCCTAGGTTTCCACTGTGAAAACTGGTTCCCTTTATAATTTAAATGGGAGAATTCTCTCTGAAATGATCATAATTGGGTGATAATAAGCAGATCAGCAGCAGAAGAGATTAAAGGAAAATACTCACCATTTTCTCCATCAACAACAGCATCTCCTAAGTCAAAGTCATCCCCTAAAAGAGGGGAAAGAGCAGTTAATACCAAATTCCAGAGAGAAACGAGGAAGGAATGACCTCGTGAACAGATCAAAAACACACCACGGCCCCACATTCCTAAATACTTTTCTGAATATCAGCTTGACCAGGATCTCATTAGAAAAAGTGAATTCCTGACCATTTTTACATCACTATTCTCTCAGATAAAAAGAGGAAAAAACAGAGAGACAGAGACAGATAAAAAGCTAGGAGAGAAGCTCTCAGAGGAGAGGCAGTGGGGAGAGAGAGAGAGAAATAAAGTAATTTATAAATGAATTGTGTTGCCTGGACCAAGTTGAAATTCCAATTCTGCCTGCACATGATTTTCTCCTGTTGACTCCCCATCCCATCATCCTCTCCTCCCAGGTCCCTAACAACTTTGGAAAGGTAGACCCTAAGAGAAGGGGACAGATGACTGTGATCAGATTTAGGCTAGAGGGTGTCTAAAACATGGCTCTAGCAACCCATATGTGCTCCGCAACTGATGTGACAGTTCACCATGGCCTCAGATCTTGTCTTCTAGTATGAAGAATGATTTTGAAAACCCAACTAAGATGGAGGAATGGTTGCTGGCATCCACCCAACAGCATGTACTGAGCCATCCTGAGTGACATATGGGAATTTCCAGTCCCTTCCTCAAGGAGACTATGATAGTATAAATTCAGACGCTCAACACCTACTCATTGGTGCTATCTGCATGATTGCTTAGTTCAAGGATCTGGGGACACAGGGTCCCTTTGCTCATGAGCTGACACTCTAGACAGGAAGCCCAATAATGAAGTGGAGCTATTAATGTTTTATATTAGAAAACTCAGAAGTGCTAAGACAAGACAGTGTCTTAGCTGTAAGACACTGATGCCATAAGTTTTAGCATCATTTTTACTCTGTTTATCCGCCAGTGGGGTTGACCCTTGGGCAATTCCATCACGTGGACCTCGTTTCTGACTTTTGTTTGAAAGAACAGCATTGAGGGCTGGGTGTGGTGGCTCATGCCCGTAATCCCAGCACTTTGGGAGGCCAAGGCGCGTGGATCACAAGGTCAGGAGATCGAGACCATCCTGGCTAACATGGTGAAACCCCGTCTCTACTAAAAATACAAAAAAATTAGCTGGGCGTGGTGGCCGCTGCCTGTAGTCCCAGCTACTTGGGAGGCTGAGGCAGAAGAATGGTGTGAACCCAGGAAGCGGAGCTTGCAGTGAGCCGAGATTGCGCCACTGCACTCCAGCCTGGGCGACAGAGCGAGACTCCGTCTCAAAAAAAAAAAAAAAAAGAAAGAAAGAACAGCAAGCACTGAGAACAAATGAGGTGTGTGCCCACAGGTTGAGAGATGAGTTCACTTGTTGGTCATCATGGGGGAGATCTCAGCACCAAATGCTCTCTCTCCTAGGAAGTTGAAATCTAAAGACACAGGCCGTGCATGGTGGCTCACCGCTGTAATCCCAGCACTTTGGGAGGCAGATTGCCTGAAGTCAGGAGTTCAAGACCAGCCTGGCCGACATAGTGAAACCTCGTCTCGACTAAAAATACAACAATTAACCAGGTGTGGTGGCTGGTGCCTGCAGTCCCAGCTACTGAGGCATCTGAGGCAGGAGAATCACTGAACCCGGGAGGTGGAGGTTGCAGTGAGCCAAGATCACACCACTGCACTCCAGCCTGGGAGACAAGAATGAAACGCCATCTCAAAAAAAAAAAAAAAAAAAAAGGGAAGAAAATCTAAAGACAGAGTAACTCAGACCCTTAGAATAAAAGCACACAGAGATGTTGTCCAAATGGCCCCGAAACATTTCACATCAGCAACCATTCTTTTACTGGAATCACTACATGAAATGTAACATCATAACACAATTCCAGTATTAACTATTAACCAGACTCCAGCCGGAGCACTCAAATCACTTCTGTCTTCTTTCTAGTTGCCTAAGTCCCGTCCTGCTGTCCGAGAAAATGATTTGCTCTTTTTCTTTGCATACTAGGAAGAAGCCCTTCTCACCAGCACTGGGTTTCTTGGGGATTGCAGTGGGTTTCTTGTTTTCATTGTCTAAAGAGATAAGATATTTCAGTTAGTAAAAGTTGCAGCTGGGAAAACAAGTGTCAACTCTTTTGTGGTTAAGGATGTTTCATTTTCTTGGAAACAGTCGGAGAATGTTTTTAGCATTGTTTTTTCTCACCTGCCCACACCGAGCTGAGGTTTATACAACGACTCTTGAGCCCAGAAGACAGACACAGAGGCTGCTACCGGCCATGGTTTCCACAGAGACCAGGAGCCCCTTCTCCACTTCTTTTTTTTTTTTTTTTGAGACCAAGTCTTGCTCTGTTACCCAAGCTGGAGTGCAATGGTGTGGTCTCCGTTCACCACAACCTCTGCCTCCTGGGTTCAAGCGATTCTCCTGCCTCAGCCTCCCGAGTAGCTGGGCTTACAGGTGCATGCCATCACTCCCGGCTAATTTTTTGTATTTTTAGCAGAGATGGGGTTTCACCACGTTGGCCAGGTTGGTCTCGAACTCCTGACCTCAGGTGATCCACCCACCTCGTCCTCCCAAAGTGCTGGGATGACAGGCTTGAGCCACCGTGCCCAGCCCTTCTCCACTTCTTGACGTTGAATGGGACTATGACTGAGACATAAGCCAGGAAGGCAGGAGAATGGCAAAGTTAGGAGAAAAACTGCCCTTTTCAGAGCCCGAGATCTATGCATGAGAAGGAGAGACACCGGATTGATGGCTGAAAGGCTGTTCACATTTCTCATATGAAACACACTTTTGGCCCCGTCAGGCCTCTGCCTAGGCTGCCCCCTCTGAGAATGGAAGCCAATCAGGCAAATCAGGTGGAGGCTGTAAGACTAAGGGCACCTCCCACTGCAGGGAATGGTTGTTCCCAAGGGCCAAGAAGGGGTAGGTGGTCAGGAAAGAGATGATCCCCATCAGCACTGTTTCCGCTCAAACCATCTGCACTGCACCACAGGACATAAAATTAAAAGCTGGCGAGGTGCAGTGGCTCGTGTCTGCAATCCTCTCACGCCTCAGCACTTTGGGAGGCTGAGGTGGGAGGATTGCTCGAACCCACATGGTCAAGGCTGTAGTGAGACAAGATCCCACCGTGGCACTCCAATCTGAGCAACACAGTGAGACCCCGTGTTGCTCACTGTACCAGGTGAGGTGGCACATGCCTGTAGTCCCAGCTACTCAGCAGGCTGAGGTGGGAGGACTGCTTGAGCCCAGACGGTCAAGGCTGCAGTGAGCCAAGATCCCAACACTGCACTCCAACCTGAGCAACACAGCGAGACAGTGTCTCAGAAAAAAAAAAGTAAAACATAAAAAAGTGAAGAGGGTGGCTGGGCTCAGTGGCTCATGCCTGTCATCCCAGCACTTTGGGAGGCCAAGGCGGGCAGATCACAAGGTCAGGAGTTCGAAACCAGCCTGACCAACATTATGAAACCCCGTCTGTACTGAAAATACAAAAACTAGCTAGGCATGGTGGTGCATGCCTGTAATCCCAGTTACTCGGGAGGCAGAGGCAGGAGAATCACTTGAACCCGGGAGGCAGAGGTTGCAGTGAGCCGAGATCGTGCCACTGCACTCCAGCCTGGGTGACAGAGAGAGACTCCATCTCGGAAAAAAAAAAAAAAAAAATGAAGAGGGCTGTCCTGGGTTGAAAAGCATTCCTCCAAGATCCACACCCACCCCAAACCTCAATAGGTGATCTTACTTGGAAACAGGGTCTTTGCAGTTGTAATCAGTTAAGATGAGGTTATAATAGATTAGGATAGGTCCTAATGACTGGTGCCCTTATAGGAAGGAAATTTAGATACATGGAGACACAGGGAAGAGACCAGCGTTCACAAAGGCAGAGCCTACAGTGATGCAGCCACAAGCACAGGGACACGTGAAGCCCTCAAAAGCTGGGAGAAGCAGGAAGGATCCTCCCCTAGAGCCACCAAAAAGAACTGGATATAACTGCAGTGGATTGAGCAGTGGTCCCCGCAAAAGATATATCTACATCCTAAAGCCTAAAACCTGGTAATGAGACTTTATTTGGAAATAGGGTCTTTGCAGATGTGCTTAAGAGAAGGATCTTGAGATTAGATAATCCTGGAGTAGAGTGGCCCTAAACCCAATGACAAGTATCCTTGTAAGACAAAGAAAAGGAGACACAGACACAGAGGAGGAGGCCCCACGGAGAAGGAGGCAGAGACTGGAGTGATGCGGCCACAAGTCCAGGGACACCTGGAGCTCCCGGAAGCCGCAAGAGGCAGGAAGGACCCTCCCCTAGAGCCCCTAGAGGGAGCATGGGTCTGTCTACACCTTGATCTCAGACTTCTGTTGTCCAGGTCTGGAAGATGATAAATCCCTGTGGTTTAAGCCCCCAGTTGGTGGCACCTTTTTATGGCAGCCCCGGAAAACAAATACAAAGGGATGACAAGACCCAGAAGCTGATAGAGTGATAAGACGGAATTCCTTCAATTCCTTTTCCCATGCCCTTCACCGAGGGCTCTGGGTGAGGAGCGGGAGACAGGAAGAGCTGCAGAAGAAGGAAGGAGTGGCCCCATGGAGACAGCGGGTGCCGATTTCGAGAGGGAGGATGCCAGCACTGGATGCCCCTCTCTCCTGGGGACCTCCATTTGCTCACCTCCTCTAGACCCCTCCCCAAGGACCTGGCAAGTTTTTGCTCGGCCTCTGACCATCACAGGACTGTGAATTATTCCACCAGGGTGGTTCATTTATCTTAACAAGGGCATCTTGCTTTTCCTCGTCATCTATGAGTCTAGTTTTTATAATAAGGCAGGTGGACACATACAGGCGGACCTCCTTCACTGCACTTTGTCTTAAGGTGCTTTGCAAATACTGTGTGTTTTACAAACGGAAGGCCTGCAGCAACCCTGTGGCAAGCCAGACTCTCGGCATCATTTTTTCCAACAGCACGTGCCCCACTTCCTGTCTCTGTATCTGCATTTTTTAGCAATAAGGTATTTTCAATTGGAGTATACTGTTTTTAGAGGTAATGCTATTGCATACTTAATAGACTACAGTTGAGAGTAAACATAACATTTATATGTACTGGGAAGCCAAAAATTGCTATGACTCCTGTTATTGCGGTGGTCTAGAACCTAGCTGGAAATGGCTGGGATATGCCTGTATATACTATGTTAACATAAAATATTGACGGGATTTTAAAAAATGATGTTGATACTCACCAGGAAGGGCATCGGATAAATCGAAACCACCATCTAAGAGAGAAAAAAAGAGTCAACTTAGAAACAAGAAAAATAAAAATAAATTTGAATATTATAGAGATAAAAAAGATATGCGATTTTTCTTTTTGTGATATTTAAAACAGCAACTTAAAAAAATTTACAAGGTGCGTGATTTCTCTTCTCATTCTAAATATTCACTTCCATGCCTAAAAGTAAGAATATGTTAGCCTAGGTTTTAAATAAATGATGACCTTCAAGCTTAGTAGAAATTAAAATAGTGTAAAAACACGATCATTTTGTGTATTATTCTTAACAGGTCGTTCCTTTCAAACAGATGAATAACAATTTTGAATATGTACTGAAAACAACATGGGGAACAAAATTCTCCCTTTTTTATTGGCAACTTTCCTGTAATTACAAACCAAAATATAGTAGAAACACTAGACAACCCAGAAAGACACGTGCATTATGCATTAAAAAAAAATCTCATGGAATCCCACGGAATGAGGAAACTGGCATGCTGAATTATTGATAGGCTACCCTGTTTCTACAGTCTTTAATTACAACAATTTCAATGCTACTTCAACGTGGCTGGCCATCTCTGGCGCACTGAAGAAAAGCCAAATTCAGGAAAATTTGGAAAAGTCGACTTGGACTGTTTGGTCAACTGGAGGAAGAGTTAGGATAATCGTCAACATCCAGCGTCCCCACTCCTCAGCACCAAAGGCATACAACATCTCTCAACCGTCAGGAAGCACCTGGCGGTGGGTGGCGAGGGGTCCAAGAACAACCCGCAGGAGCCCTGTGAACACCGGAAGTGTGTCCAGTTCCACAACAGGTGCAAACGACCAGGCTATGCTCCTGCATGTATAAATGAAGCGTGCATGCATATGTCACAGGGGTATGTGTGTGTGAGTGTGCATGTATATTTGGGCATTTGCAGTGCACATGTATGTATTTGTGGGTTTTGTGTGCATGTATGGGGTGTGTAGGTGAGTTCTGTGTGTGCATATGTGTATGTGTTGTGGGTGCATATAGGCAGGTGCATGTATGTGTGGGTTTGTGTATGTGCATATGTGTAGGCGTGTTTTGTGTAAGTGTGGAGGTGTATTTTGTGGGTTTCTGTGTGTGTAGTGTGTTTTTTGTGTGCATATGTGTCAGTGCATGTTCATGTGGGTTTGTGTGTGCATATGTAGGTGTGCACAGTGTGTAGGTGTGTTTCTGTGTGCCTATGGATGCATGTATGTGTGGGTTCTGTATGCATGTGTGTAGGTGTTATGTGTGCATGTGTGTAGGTGCATGTATATGTGGGTTTGTGTGTGTATGTGTAGGCGGATGTAGTGTGTATATGTGTTTTTCATGTGCATGTGTGCATGTGTCAATATGTTTATGTGTGTAGGTGTGTTTGTGCATGTGTGGGTGTGTGCATTTGTGTGTTTGTGCCTGTGTGGGTGTGTGCATTTGTGGGTTTGTGTGTGTATGTGTAGGTGTGTGTAGTGTGCAGGTGTGTTTCCACGTGTGCATATGCATAGGTGCATGTATGCATGTGTTTGTGTGCACACATGTAGTTGTGTGCACGTGTGTGTATGGGTAGGTGAGTATAGTGTGAAGGTGTGTTTTGAGTATGTACATACAGGTAGGTGTGTCCACGTCTGCTTGTATGTCTGTGTGTGTGTGTACTCATGGCTGCGTGTGTGTTTCTGTGTGTGTCAACAATAAGTAGAAAGTAGACAAAACGCTCGGAACAGCTCTGTGGGCCCCATGCCGGCAACCAGAGTGGAGTCGTTTCCACAACCTCAGAGCCCTGAAATGGCTGTTTCCACAACAGGACACTTGCCAGACATCATAAATGCAATTACAGCTCCTCCTGCAGCATGCGGCAGATCTTTAGACGGTAGCAAGGGAGGATCCTACTGATCCAGAATAAACCATAAGGCAGGTACAGACACACGCACATATAAATATATATATGCACTCATGTTCATATGTTTCCATAGAAATCTGTAATTGTATTTTTTGAAGTATTTTTTTTCTTTATTTACATCTTACCTCGCCTATTTATTTGTGGTGCAAACAGTTCAAAGCTACTGTCTTAGGCATTTTCAAGTATGCAACGCATTCTTACTAACCACAGTCACCCTGAGTACAGTAGACCCCTGAACTTATCCCTTCCTATCTGATGGAAATGTTGTACCCTTTACCCATCATTTCCCCATTTCCCCCACCCCTCACTCCCAACCCCTTGGTCACCGCCATTCCACTCTGCTTCTGTGAGTTCAGTGGTTTTAGATTCCACGTAAGCGTGTTTGGGTCAGACGGTATTTGTCTTTCTGTGCTCGGCTTACTGCACTTAACATCATGTCCTCCAGTTCCATCCATGTTGTTGCAAATGGCAGGACTTCCTTCTTTTTTCTTTTTGAGACAGAGTCTCACTCTGTTGCCCAAGCTGGAGTGCGATGATCTTGGCTCACTACAACCTCCGCCTCCTGGGTTCAAGCAATTCTCCTGCCTCAGCCTCCTGAGTAGCTGGGACTATAGGCGCCCGCCCATCATGCCCAGCTAATTTTTTGTATTTTTACTAGAGACGGGGTTTCACCATGTTGGCCAGGCTGGTCTTGAACTCCTGACCTCAGGTGATCCACCTGCCTCAGCCTCCCAAAGTGCTAGGATGACAGGCATGAGCCACCGCACCCAGCCAACCTCCTTCTTTTTTAAAGCTGAATACCATTCCATTGTGAATATACCCTATTTTCTTTGTTCATTTAATAGCTTTATTGAGGCATAGTTTACATAGCATGAAAGGCACTTATTCTCACTGTGCAAATGAATGGCTTTTAGTGAATGTACAGAGTTGATATAGCACATTTTCTTTCTGCATTCATCCCTTGATGGGCTCTTCCATTGACTGCATGTCTTGGCTACTCCGAATGGTGCTGCAATAAACATGGGAGGGGAGTGTCTCTTTGACATACTGATTTCCTTTCCTTATCCCAAATAAACATATATATATATACACACATACACATACTATATATATATATAATACACACACATACTATATATACACATACTATATACATACATACTGTATATACACATACTATGTATACACACACTACATATATACACACCATATACATACATACTATATATACTATATATACATACTATATATACGAATTATATATTTATACAAATATATATATACACATATATATATTATATATATATAGACTTGCCCTGACTTGCTGGGAATACCCTGAAGGTTTAGAAGTCATCTCTGGGGCCGGGTGCGGTGGCTCACACCTGTAATCTCAGCACTTTGGGAGGCCAAGGTGAGAGGATCACGAGGTCAGGAGTTCGAGACCAGCCCAACCAACATGGTGAAACCCCGTCTCTACTATAAATACAAAAAAATTGGCCAGGCGTGGTGATATGCGCATGTAATCCCAGCTACTCAGGAGGCTGAGGCAGGAAAATCGCTTGAATCCGGGAAGTAGAGGTTGCAGTGAGCAGAGATCATGCCACTGCACTCCAGCCTGGGTGACAGAGGGAGACTCCATCTCAAAAAAAAAAAAAAAAAAAAAGTCATCTCTACATATCTTCATATGTAGATACATTAGTAGAGGGACTGCTAGATCAATTCGTAACTGTTTCAATTTCCTCAAAACTCTCTTCCCCGGAAATGACAGTGCTTCCTTGAAGGCTTACCTTTGTTAGTGCCTCAGCGGTAGACGTGACTTCTAAACCCTATGGGCATTCCCAGCAAGTCAGGGCAAGTCCCCACCCCCTCCACCCCAACAAAGAGATTCCAAGAGTCCATAATGTATTCTTTAGCAAGAAAGACATTCTCTTTAGAAAGGTAGGAAGACTTAATAATAAGCAGACAGAACTGTCAGAATGTTAAAGAAAAAAAAGCAGCAGCAATGACAAAAAAAAACCCCACACGTGAAAGTAAAGTACAGATATTATTTTAAGTGTAACCCTTCTTATTTCTGTAATTTCACCCTCATAAACAGAAGATGATCATAGACACCGTCACTAAAGAAACAAAACAAAGCAACATAGGACAATCCCCTTAAAGTGACTCATCCTTCCCAAGCTTCAGGAAATACTCAGAAACGGCAGTCAAGGGCGTACGAGACTCGGAAGGTTTCTAAGACCAGAGTCTTGTCTTCTCCCACTCCTCGCTCACAGCAGAACCCAGGAAACTCCAGTGTCAGGAGGTGGCCTCCATTCCCCAGGACACCCCACGGCCGGAACACAGTGGTAAAACTAGAACTCTCCTCCCAGGTTCCACCCCACACCCTGCACTCCCATGCCCAGCTGCCTGACACAGAACACGCAATCCTAGCATGAGGACTGCTATATATTTCCACAGAAAGGGCATGTCAGCTGCAAAATCGCAGGGCACAGGGAAAACACAGTATGATCTCGATGCTTCCCTCACATGGGAAATGTCACATGTGGTACACATTTTTTTTTTCAAAGACCCTCCTGGCTTGCTGGGTTTTTGCATCTGTCCCTGGGCCTCAGGGGGGCCATTTGCCCACCCAGGTGTCCCCAAGCTTCCCCCAACCACCTTCGGGTTTAGGTCCATGCTTCTTGCTGGGCACCTCTGCATTCAACAGCTCTTCATGTGCTCTTTGCAACCAAGCCACATTTTGGATTTTTTCCAATGCAGGGCCTGGGTATACGTGTGCATGTCTATGTACATGCATGTGCGTGTCTATGTACATGCATGTGTGTGTCTATGTTCATGCATGTGCGCGTGTGGATGTGCTCATGTGTACATGTGTATTTCATATACGCGTGCTCATGCATTCATGTGGTTTCTGTGTGTGCACGTGTGTGCTCCTGCACGTATGTGTGGGTGTATGGTGTGGGCACACATGTGCATGCATATATGTATTGCACTGCATGTGTGTGCACACGTGTTTTCATGTGCATTGTGAGTGTGCTGAATGCACACCTGTTTGCATGTGTATATGTGCACAAGTGCACTGCATGAATATATATGTGCATTTGTTCATGTGTCTGCGTGTTTGCCTGTGTGCTTGTGTGCATATGTGTGAGGGTGCTATCTGAGCACACACCTGTGTGCATGCATATATGGGTGTGCATGTGCACTGCAGGAGTATGTGCATGTGCTTGTGTGTTTTCATGTGTGCTCACGTGCACATGTGACTTGCTGTGTGGGTGCACACGTGTGCATGCATGCATATATGCATGGCATGAGTGTGCATGCATGTATGTGCCTGTGTATGTGTGCATGCACATGTGTGTCTGTCTGGTGTGTGTCCATGGCCTGCCACCTCCCCAGCCTAGCTTGCCCCTCCCATCCTCCTCCATCACCCTCAGAGTCCACCAGCCTTTTCCTCCACATGACTTCCCTGGTCATAGCCACTGAGCTGGGACCAGGTGTCACTTAGAAGCTTCCTCCTTTTCTTGCTCCACCTGCCCTCAGAGGCCACAGTGACGATGCTCTGGCTCACTTCATGTTCCTTCCACTGACCCCAATGCCCCCATGGACCCCACACAAACCCAGTTACAGGGGAGGGCACAGGCCCTCCCGCCACCAGTGTCACCCCCAGGCAAGCCTGGATTGCCAACTTCCCCTCTGCTTCAGGACTACGGCTGACGTCACCACTGAGTGTCCAAACCCACTGCTCCCCGGACCCCAAGCTCAGCCGACGGAGGTCCAAGACAACAAGTCTGAGAGTGGGTGGCAAAGGACACAGTATGCCCCTCACGCCCTTCTCCCCTTCTCCCACCCTCTGCCCTTAGCCCTAGTCCTTGGAGAACTCGCCTCAGCCCCGCACTTGGAGCTTGTCTTCCATTCTTATCTCTGTGCTGTTTCTACAGTTTTTAATTGAAACAATTTCAATGTCACTCCAGGATGCCTGAAGGACAAGGACACCAGAGGAGAGACAACCCCAAGCATTCTATCATCGACCTTGGGCCCTCGACCTCAGCTTCCATCGCTCAAGGCTCTGTCAGTCTGTCCCCTGCCTCCAAGGTCTCCTTTCTCCCAGATACAGAGTCCCACCCTCACCATTTTCTCCTCGGGTGACTAACACTTAAGACAGCTCCCCAAACACCACCCCACAGAGAGTAGGGAGGAAAGGGAGGTGACCCGCTCTCGATTTCATATAGACGTGGGCACCCTGAATCACCCATAATCAGACGTTCACTCCCTGGTGGAATCTGGTACTGCAGACACCTCTGAGGCTAATCTTCCAGGTGTGTGAGGGACACAGTTCCCTATGTATGTGAAGGGATGCAGTTCCCCAGGTGTGTGTGAGGGAGGCAGTCCCCCAGGTGTGTGTGAGGAAGGCAGTCCCCCAGGTGTATATAAATGGATGCAAATGCACGTGCTATTGGCTTGAAGCCTCATGGGGAAGCAAACCCAATCAATGATCATCAGTCAGTAAAGGAATCTCTGTAAATGAAGCTATCGTCTCCTAACTCAGTCCACTGCTCTCTTTATTGCCTAGGATTCATCTCCCAATTCATCACATTCCCTGAGCTTTCAGGTGGTAGGCAGGAAATTGCGGGCTCACAGCAGACACCCCCACTTGCCTTTTTGCTCCTGAAAACGACCTCCGGGGCTACAAATGTGAAGAAAACACCAACAAAACCCACCCAGCAAGAGCTGCAACCATGCCCTCAGAGAAGGAGCCTGGTGGAGAACTCAGGTGCCTGTGTTGCACGTTTACGGCATTCAGCCTCTCTGCAAATTTGCAAAGAGACCAGACCCTCAGCAGAACCCCCAACTGCCACTGCTGTTTCCACCCGGCCCTCTCAAAGCTCCAGATGTTTCCGGGACAGGGTAATGGCTCATCAGGGCAAGGCGGAACGGACGACAGATGGCATGAGTCAGTCTGACAAGACACTTTCTACTGATTCAAACCATGTTTACTTTTTCTCATCAGCCAGGCAACTCAAAAAACAGGACGAACCCAGAGTGAAGTCCCCGAGGCCACATGGGGTGTGTGAGTTCCTCTGCAACGTGACTAAGGCTTGCACTAATGCAGGAATGCACTCAACCGGGGCAAACGCAGGAGGAGAGCCAGTACCTGGGTTCTCTTTTTGCTGTTTTTTTCTTTTCTTTTCTTTTCTTTTGAGGCAGAGTTTTGCTCTGTTGCCCAGGCTAGAGTACAGTAGCATGATCTCAACTCACTGCAACCTCCACCTCCTGGGTTCAAGTGATTCTCCTTCCTCAGCTTCCCCAGTAGCTGGGACTATGGGCATGTGCCACCACATCCAGCTAATTCTTGTGTTTTTAGTAGAGATGGAGTTTCGCCATGTTGGCCAGGCTGGTCTCAAACTCCGGGCATCAAGTGATCTGCCTGCCTTGGCCTCCCAAAGTGCAGGGATTACAGATGTGAGCCGCCGCGCCCGAACACTTGGGTTATCTTAAACCCCATCATCACATCATTCAGGTGTTTCACATAAAATTAAAAATGAGCCAGGCGTGGTGGTGCACGCCCGTAGTCCCAGTTACTTGGGAGGCTGAGGCAGGAGAATCGCTTGAACCCGGGAGGTGGAGGTTGCAGTGAGCCGAGATCGCACCACTGCACTCCAGCCTGGGCGACAGAGTGAGACTCTGTCTCGAAATAAATTAATTAATTAATTAAAAAAAATTAGGCAGTTCCAAGATTCCTGTAACTTTCAGATTTTCATAAGAATAACACAATCATTACATAGTAACAGCAGCAGCCAGGGACATCATTTAAGCAGTGCTCTGTGTGTGCCTGCAGCTTTCTCAATAATGCCGTTCATCTCCATTAAGGGTGGGAGGATGAAGACCCGCCACTGGCCTGGGTGTCCCTGCTGAAAAATGTCCAATTCACTCAGCCCCAGCATCACCCCAGGGTGTTCACACCTGCTGCTGGCCACTCCAGTACTCATCTGCTCCTGCTGGTTTTCCACACCCTTTTCCAAAGCCCACTAAACACGAAACTTTCAGGACATTGTAGAAAAGGAGGAGGAGGTGGTGCAGAGGGCACGTGTGTGCTCTTTACTTGCTGCTGAGTCCTCTGATGCCAAGCAAAGGCAAAGCGTTTTTTGTTTTTTGTTTTTTCCTTTTTTTGAGACAGAGTGTCTCTGTGTCACCCAGGCTGGAGTGCGGTGGCCCGATTTTGGCTCACTGCAAGCTATGCCTCCCGGGTTCACACCATTCTGCTGCCTCAGCCTCCCGAGTAGCTGGGACTACAGGTGCCCACCACCACGCCCGGCTGATTTTTTTGTATTTTTAGTAGAGACTGGGTTTCACCGTGGTAGCCAGGATGGTCTCGATCTCCTGAACTCGTGATCCGCCCGCCTCGGCCTCCCAAAGTGCTGGGATGACAGGCGTGAGCCACCGCGCCCGGCTCTTTTTTTTTTTTTCTTTTTAACGTTTTGGAGGTCGAGTGGAACCAGTCACATGGTCTGACCCTAAAAACTTTCATTCCAGGTTTGGGGGGCCTCGGGAAGGGTCCCCAGCCTAGAGATAATTGTAGCTCAGAATGCTGCAAGAGAAAATGCCTCCACATTGGAGCAAGCACCGGAAGTCCTCCTGTGTGGGAATAGCAGGAGGCAGCTGATACATTTCATTTTACTATTTTATTCAAATGGTCAAAACACCCTTACTTTTCTGTTGCTATAAAACCGAATCGCTCTGGAAGTATTGTCCTCTTTTTCAAGATGTGTCATTTAACACCGGGCAGACGATCGGTCACAGGGCACAAAGCGTCCATGAGACAGGACAAATAACTTCAGGAAAGCTCAGAGACACCATGGCGACTGCAATTAGTAACAATGGCTTGAATATTTGAAAACGACTAAAGGAGCCCATTCTGAATAAGTGTTCTCACCACACACAAAAAAGTGCTGCAAAGTCTGTGAGGTCATGCATATTTAAATCCATCTCACCATGGATACATACATCAAGACACCATGTGCAACCGCATAAACACATACAATGTGTATTTGTCAATTAAAAGAAATAAACACATCATTTAAAAAAATCTGGCGCTGAGATCTTACCAAACATATTGTAAAATTACAGAAAAGAGCTTAATAGTGTCATAAATAGTTTCAGGAATACACCAGAGTGTCATAGTCTCAGAAATACTCCAGTGCTGGGTCCAGCTTCCCGTCAGTAACAGGATGTGTGCCAGTGACTGCATATCTGAGTACAGAAAACACAATGTGCCAGATCACAGACAAGTGCAAGGAACTCCGAGTTCACCAAACATCCTACACTTTAGATTTAACCGCTGAGTCCAGCGCAATCTGTTCACCCCATGGAAAGCTATGAACGCAGTGGGTGATAGTGGCCGCCGGGCCCTGGAAACACTCTCTGCTAGCAAACTATGGAAAGGGAAGGGCTTCATGTCTGTAGCAATAGTTAAACTCGTCTCTCTGTCTTCTTAGCTTGAAAATTATACATAGGTGGCCGGGTACAGTGGCTCACGCCTATAATCCCAACACTTTGGGAGGCCAAGGTGGGAGGATTGCTTGAGCCCAGGAGTTCAACAGCAGCCTGGGCAACATGATGAAACCCCGTCTCTACAAAAAATGCAAAAATTAGACAGGTGTTGTGACGCACTCCCATGGTCCCAGCTACTTGGGAGGCTGAGGCGGGAGGATGGCCTGCGCTTGTGGAGGTTGAGATTGCAGGGAGCTGACACTGCACCACGGCACTCCAGCCTGGGCAACAGAGAGAGACCCTGCCTCCAAAAAATAGGCAGGGCATGGTGGCTCACTCCTGTAATCCCAACACTTTGGGAGGTTGAGGCAGGCAGATCACTGAGGTCAGGGGTTCGAGACCAGCCTGGCCAACAAGGCAAAACCCCATCTCTGCTAAATTAGCTGGGCATGGTGGCGTGTACCTGTAGTTCCAGCTACTTGGGAGGCTGAGGCACAAGAATCTCTTGAACTTGGCAGATGGAGGTTGCAGTGAGCCGAGACTGTGCCACTGCACACTAGCCTGGGTGATAGAATGAGACTTTGTCTCAAAAAAAAAGAAAGAAAAGAAAAAAGAAAAAGATTATATGCAGGTGGTTAAACTGCATATACTTCCTTGTCTGCGGTGGCCTAAGGTACAAGGTAACATCTCGGCTTCATCCTAACTAGGACGACGGCACAAGGGTATAGACGTGAAAGAACAAGCTCTTTCCTGTAATTTTACAATATGTTTGGTAAGAAGTGGGAAACTTTCTTTTGTTCGTGTGCCATAACTCTGGGAACGTCCCCTGAGCTACGCCAAGTTTTACAAGAGGCCAAAGAATGGTGTGAATGTTTGGGCTGGGCTGAGCACGCCTCACACCGGCAGTTCTCAGAATCGCCCTGCGAGGGACCTGGGGAGACGTGGAATCCTGGGTCTCACCCCCAGACATTTTCGTTCTGTGGTCTGGGGTGAGGCTCATGAGCCTGCATTTTTAACAAACTCCAGGGTGATGCTGAAGGACCCCGCCTTCAGGAGTTCTGAGGCTCAGACAACAGCAAGGCAGGGCTGCTCGGGGTTCCCTGCTCTCCGTCCCTGTCACCCCTTCCACAGGCAGATGCCAGCCCAGATCCCATCCCTACAGGAAACTGAGTGATCACCCCCCAAGGCTAACGTGGAAACACCGGAAACTGACTTAGGGGCCTCAGCACTTTTTCCAACTTCATCCCAGCCACTCCCCGACTGCTGATCTCCTTTCAAAGTGGTCTCTGCCCTGCAGTTTTGGACTAGCTTGAAATAACCCCTCCGCCGGTCCCAACTATTAGCAGTTCACAGAGCCCTGTGTGTCTCTGTAAAATGATGTGAGGCCAACACACACACACACACACACACACACACACACACACACACACACACTTAACAGCTCGGTTTGTTAATTACAGCTTTGTTATTCAAAGCAGTTACGTTTTATAAAGTCTCAGCGAACACTGAATTAGCGAATAGTGAACTATTGCTCCCACGTAAATACAGGACTACGTTCCCAGAGGTCATGAACCAATCACTACCTAAGCGCGTTTTATGTGGGTTTCTGTTTAAAGACACCGCAGTGAATAGACATTGTGGAGTCACTCACATTGATCTCGAAGCCAACAGCACTATAACTCGTGCCTAAATGACGCTCATCAAATGTGTATTTTCCCCGTGAGACCATGCCAGCTTTCCTGTACTTAGGGACGCTAGGTAGCATGTCAGCACCGACTTGGGGATATTTGAAAGCGCAAAATCACTGACAAAAAGCACGAAAACACAAAACACGGGACACCAAATAGACCTTGCAAAGAACCCTGTTGACAGTACGCGCTGGCCCGAGAAGGCAGGGTCTGGCTTTGTTGAACCTCAGCTGAGAACATGTGCTATTGAGAAGCTCAATTCTGGCCAGGTGTGGTGGCTCACGCCTGTAATCCCAGCATTTTGGGAAGCCCAGGCGGGTGAATCACTTGAGGCCAGGAGTTTGAGAGCAGCCTGGCCAACACGGTGAAACCCCGTCTCTACTAAAAATACAAAAATTAGCCAGGCGTGGTGGCTGTAATCCCATGCCTGTAATCCCAGCTACTCGGGAGGCTGAGGCAGGAGAATCACTTGAACACAGGAGGCGGAGGTTACAGTGAGCCAAGATCACGCCACTGCACTCCAGCCTTGGCGAAAGAGGGAGACTCCATCCAAAAAAAATAAAAAAAAAAAGTTCAATTTTTTTGCCGTTCTGTGCATGAACAAAATAGCCGAGGGTAAGGAGAAGAACATAAAGGGTAACTATTGGGTCCTGGGTTTAATACCACAGTGATGAAATAATCTGTACAACAAAACCTCATGACACATGTTTACCTAAGTCACAAACTTTCACATGTATCCCCGAACCTAAAATGAAAGTTTAAAATAAAAAAATTAAATGCCAGGAATATTGATGTGGGGATGACAAATACATTTTAGTAAGCAGGCAAGTCACAAATACAGAATCACTGAATGATGAAGATTGCGTGTACCTAGGTTAAAACAAGTTAATAACAGTATTTCTCATGGTGTCCAAAATATATCATTGTCTTTCTCAGAAAATTTAAAATCTCTTCCCCTCTGCAGCATCTTGTGAATTTGGTTGTTACACCATGGGACTGATACAGGGGCATCCTGGGGGTGGGGTAGGGGTAGGGGGTCACAGAATTTGGGCCCCTCGTCTGCCTCATTGGATCCTCTACCTGGCCATGAAAGCCCATTCCTTCTTTCTGAACCTGGAAAATGTCTATTCACCCCTCAAGGCCCTGGGAGAATGTCACCTTCTCCAGGAAGCCCTCCGTGATCCTCTCCCTAGCCCACCTGAAGCGCTTTCTCACAAGTATTACCAGAGGTGATCTGTAAGCACATTACAGTTTAAGGAGCACAGCTCCGCACCCCAGTTCTCAACTCCAGCAGCAAATTACACACATCTGTGGGGTTTTCCTAAGTCCTGATGCCCAGGCTAATTAAATCAGAAACTTTCCAAGGTGAGATGCAGGCATCTATATTTTAAAGCCTACCCATGTGATGCAAACGTGTGGTCAACTCTGCAGGCAGGGACCTGTTACAGATTTTAACTTCCTCAATATCTCCTAAAATAGCTTGTGCCTTCTCTTCTATCTCCACTGACTTATCCACGCTCTGCCAAAAATAGCCCCAGCCCCTCCCACCTGTTCTGCATGCTGTTACCCAAAGACGGGCCTTAGGCAGGTTAAGCGTCCCCGCACAGCTGTCTGCGTCAAACCCTTCAGGGGAGCTTAAATCTGCACTCCTCAGCAGTGGCAACAGAGGTTGCCCACCATCTGGCCCCTGCAGCTCCTCTAGTCTGAGATGAACTGCAGCTGCCCCATCATCACTCTTACTGCTTGTCTACCAGGCTGAGAAGAGGCCCTTCCTCTTCCTTACACCTGGTTTCCTCTGCTCATTCTTGGAAGCTCAGTGTCCAGGGAGGGCCCCTCCTGGGAGAACTCTCTCTGACCCCCTGAACAAGTGTAGTCCCTGCTCTGTGCCTCCAGACATCCAGGCCTTCCATCCACAATGGTGCTTTTATGCCCAAATTGATGCCCTGGTTGTTACCTCCAAAGCAGAGAACAAAAAACAGGGACCACAGCAAATAGCACCAATAGTACATTTAACTTCAACCTATGCTGGCTGAAGGAATACATGAAAGAGCCATGGACTGGGAGGGTGGATGGACAGGCAGGTAAGTGGATGGATGGGTGGGTGGGTAAATGGGTGGGTGGATGGATGGATGGATGGATGCATGCGTGGGTGAGTGGATAAATTAGTGAGTGGGTGGATGGTTGGGTGGACAGCTGGGTGGATGGATGGGTAGTTGGATGGGATGAGTGGAAAGATGGGCAGTAAGGGGATGGATGGAGGTAAGGGTGGATAGGTGGATGGATGGTTGAGTGGATAGATGAGTTTAGGTGGGTGAGTAGGTAGGTGGATGGATGGATGAATGCATGGATAAGTGGATGGATGGGTAGTTAAGTGGATGAGTGGGTGGGTAGACGGATGGAGGTATGGATGGATGGTTGGGTGGATGGATGGTTGGGTGGGTGGATGGATGGGTGGGTGGGTGAGTAGGTGGATGGATGGATAGATGAATGGATGGATGGATGAACAGATAGGTGGATGGATGGACAGATGGATAGATGAATGGGTGAACGGATAAATGGATGGATGGTAGATGGGTAAATTGATGAAAGGATGGGTGAATGGATGGATAGATGAGTGGATGGTGGACAGATGGATGTATCAATTGATGAGTGGCTGGATGAACTAAAAGGATGGATGCATGGATGATGCATGGATGGAAAGATGAATGGAGAATGGATGGATGGATGGACAGGTGCATTAACGGATGGATAAAGGAATGGGACGACGGATGGATGGATGGATGGATGGATAAATGGATGGATGGATGCACGCATGGATGGATGGATGCATGGATGAATGGATGGATGGGTAAATGAATGGGAGGATGGGTTGATGGATGGATGGATGGACGAACGGATGGATGGGTAAATGAATGGGAGGATGGGTTGATGGATGGATGGATAAAAGGAGGATGCATGGCTGGATGGATGCATGGATGCATAAATGGATGGATAAATGGATGGAAGGACACATGGATACCTAGAACACGGAGACCCTGAGGAGCTGGAGAGGCCTCAGTGACTGGTCTAAGTTCACCACCAGGATTCAAGGGAGTTCTCTTCCATATCAAAATGCCCATCACTGATTCAGGACATTCTCCTCCCCTTCAAGTCACACTAGTGGTGAAGGCAGGCATCCCTCAAGGTCCACAAGGCCGTGCCTGGGGAGCTCTGTTCAGCCCACACACGCAGCCACCAACTCCCAAGCCCAGCAACCCCTGTGCCCACGTCTCACCACCAACAGAACTCATGTCCACATGCATTTTTCCCCATGCTGACCATGTGATCACCAGCAAGCTCCTGAACTCTCTGACCCCAGTGTCTTTATCTACAAAAGGCCCATGAGAAATATCTTAAGGGCTCGCTGAAGATGAAATAACAAACTGAATGCTCTTTGAAAAATGTAATCCATGGCATAGACATTCACATCCGAGAGGCGGTCATGGGAAATCTCATGTAGGAGGGAAGAAACAGAATATCTAGTAAAATAACAATGATTCTTGACAACTCAGCCACACATGAAGACCCTCCGAGGGGCTTTTTAAAAATTCCTAATAGCGGGATGCAGTGGCTCCCGCCTATAAACCCAAGACTTTGCCAGGCCAAGGCAGGTGGATGGCTTGAACTCAGGAGTTCAGGACTAAACTGGGCAACATAGGGAGACCCTGTCTCTACAAAAAATGAAAAATTTGGCTGGGCGTGCCAGCTCACGCCTGAGGGAGGCTGAGGCAGAAGAATCACTTGAACCTGGGTGGCAGAGGTTGCAGCGAGCCAAGATTGCATCGCTGCACTCCAGCCTGGTGACAGAGTGAGACTCTGTAATTTAAAAAAAAAAAAAAAAAAAAGGCTGGGCGCGGTGGCTCACACCTGTAATCCCAGCACTTTGGGAAGCCGAGGTGGGCAGATCACGACGTCAGGAGTTCGAGACCATCCTGGCCAACATAGTGAAATCCCGTCTCTACTAAAAATACAAAAATTAGCCAGGCGTGGTGGTGCGTGCCTGTAGTTCCAGCTACTCAGGAGGCTGAGGCAAGAGAGGCACTTGAACCAGGGAGGCGGAAGTTGCAGTGAGCCAAGATTGCACCAAGGCACTCCAGCCTGGGCAACACAGCAAGACTCTGTCTAAAAAAAAGAAGAAGAAGAAAGAAAAGAGAGAAGAGAAAACAAAAGAAAAGAAAAGAAGAGGAAAGAAAAGAAAAAAACAAAAAGAAAGAAAAGATTAGCTGGGTATGGTGAGGTGCACCTGTGGTCCCAGCTTCTTTCGAGGCTGAGGTAGGTGGGCTGCTTGAACCCAGGAGGTTGAGGCTGCAGTGAGCTATGACTGTACCACTGCACTCCAGCCTGGGTGACAGAGCAAAATCTTGTCTCAAAAAAAAAAAAAAATTAAAACACCTAACACGTCTATAAACCAGACTACCCAGGTAACCCTGGGCAAGAGTGACGTTTCCAAGCTTCCCGCAATGGGGCCAAAGCTGAGAACCTCGGATCTAGGTCAGCAAGAGCTACTGGAGGGTGGTCAAGCAGGTTTGTGTCTGAAACCATCACTCAGAAATCAGGAATGCAGGAGGGATGGGCATCACAGTTACTGGTGTGTTTTTAGCCTGGACTCTGTAGGATTAAAATATGTCCACCAGCCTGGGCGACAGAACAAAACTCTGTATCTACAAAAAAGGTAAAAATTAATTGAGTGTGGTGGCATGTGCCCATAGTCCCAACTACACAGAAGGCTAAGGTGGGCAGGTCACCTGAGCCTGGGGGTTCGAGGCTGCAGTGAGCTGAGATCACACCACTGCACTTCAGCCTGGGCGACAGAGTGAGATCCTGTCTCAAAAAAAATGATTGCAGGCTGAGCATGGTGGCTCACGCCTGTAACCCCAGCACTTTGGGAAGCTGAGGCGAGAGGTTTGCTTGAGCCCAGGAGTTCAAGACCAGCCTGGGCAATGTAGTCAGACTCCGATTCTACAAAAAGATTTTAAAAATTAGCTGAGGGTGGCACATGCCTGTGGTCCCAGCTCCTTGGAAGGCTGAGGTGAGAGATTCACCTGCACCCAGGAGGTCAAGACTGCAGTGAGCTACAATCGTGCCACTGCACTCCGGCCTGGGCAAGTCTAAAAAAAAAAAAAAAAAGAAACAAAGAAAAAAAAAGATTGCAAGCCACTGCCCGGTGATATGTTTATGATATGATGAGTGTCTAGGGGCTTGTGGTTTAAGAGTAGAAACCGCTTCCCATAGGTGGCTGTAGCTGTCCATCTTGTCTGTCTATCGGATGCTATGTTAGTCCCAAAGGACCACAGCCTCTTGAGTAAAGACCTCAACACAGGGGGCCTCTACCTTCATTGCCACCTCGGCACGGTCTCAAAAGACAGATGTTCATATCCATCTCCTGCTTGCCCAGATCCAAATCCCTCCCTGTCCTGCTATTCTATGAGTCTGCACTAAATGCCTAACACTTCTCTCCGAGTGTTCAATTGCTGAGAACATTTTGTGCTGAATTCATCGAAGACAGCCCTGTGTTAATTCATATTTAGAACCCAACCCATTTCCCCCAGAAGAAGACAGCTAGCAACAGCAGCAGAAGAGGCCGACTGGCAATATTTGGGTTCTGGCAGTAGTTATAAAATCTCTATGCCTCCAAGTCCATTGGCCCTAAAAGACAATGCAGTGTGTTTATTCTTG
Organism: Homo sapiens; assembly: GCF_000001405.40. NCBI lineage: Eukaryota > Metazoa > Chordata > Mammalia > Primates > Hominidae > Homo > Homo sapiens. Next base: position 2,697,636 of record NC_000023.11, on the reverse strand, counting down.
TCATCATTCCAGTCCATCGTGTTCCAGTCCATCGTGCAGAAACGAAAGCTCCTTCTGGTCAGCATCCCCTCGTGGATCAATGCTTGCCAGGGTGCATTTGGACAATAATTTTGCAGGGTCAGGCAAAGCAGAAACAAACAAGAGTCAGGCTACCTGGGCAAACTCAGGTGTCGCTGATGAGTAATGCCTGCAGAACCCTCTGGCCAGTCTGCTGCCTCCTCAAGAAGGGCTGTTAGCTCAACCAGATACACTATTATCAGCTTTTAAACAGCGCTTTGGAGCAACAGCTTTACTCCCCGAAAAGATGCAGAAAATCAGACTCTTTCAGGTGATTCTCAAAAACAGGGGACCCACCCCAGCCCACGACACCATTCAAAGTTGAGAAAGCAAAGTGAATTAAAGGGGTTTGCAACCGCTTTCAGACTCATCCAGCTGCCGTCCACAATGACAAACATATATTATATCTCAGCCCAGCCCACCGGGACAGAGGGAGCGGAACAAAAGCTTTGCCCATGCGGCTTCTTTAGCAAGGCTTTCCATGTACCCTGTGGGCATTTTCTCCTCTCCTCTGTTGAATTTTCTTCTTTGCAAGGTGGGTGGCTGCAAGCTACTTTCACAGCCCACTTGAGAAACACTGGTTTGAATCTGACTCTGGGGGAGAAGAAAGGAAGTTTCTGGTTTCCTGCTAAGCGGAAACTTTAATACTATGACTAGGAGACCGTACAAGGCATGGTGGCAACCCTGAGTCATACTAAAACAAAGCCGAAAAACACACCCATGCACCATCTCCTCAAAACTCACCAAGGAACCAAGCCAAGAAAGAATACTGAACAGGAAATTCAAGAAGAGGAAGTCCTTCTGGTCTCTAGAGATGTGAAAAGATACCGTCAGTTGGACAAATGGGAGTAGAAATGCTGGTGAGCTACCATGTTTCAGCCAAGAGACTGGGAATAAATCAAAAAAGAATACACTTTAGGAGGCCGAGGCGGGCGGATCACCTGAGGTCAGGAGTTCGAAACCAGCCTGGCCAAGATGGTGAAACTCCACCTCTACTAAAAAAATACAAAAATTAGCCAGGTGTGGTGGCGGGCACCTGTAATCCCAGGTACTCAGGAGGCTGAGACAGGAGAATTGCTTGAACCTGGGAGGCAGAGGTTGCAGTGAGCCGAGATCGCACCATCGCACTCCAGCCTGGGGAAAAAGAGCGAGACTTCATCTCAAAATAAAAAGAAAAGAAAAGAAAGAATATCAGCAAATCCTCAAGCCCTGGACAGCCTGCAGCCTGCAGCTACACCAGCAACGATGAGCCCACATTCACAAGCAATCCGAACCCCACCTCCCCAACTGGGAGAACAGAGGTGAAGCACGGAAGACAGCAGAAAATCCACATGGGCCTGGGACATGGAACACAGGACTCAGAATGAACAAGCTTCAATAACCAGCCTTTCTCTGCCATTTTGTTGCTGCCCCTGAAGACTCAAAGTCCTTTGTCTTTCTCTGCCAATTCTCTAAAAATGGACTGTTCTTTGTTGAGGGTACTAGAGCAGCTAGAATCCAAGCCACTTCCTTGAAAACTACCCATTTCTAGGTATCTCTCATGTATCAATGAAAAACGCATGTTAATAAAGTTTGGTTTGTTTTTCCCTGTCTTTGGTTAGAGGAGTCACTTCCAAATAAGAATGTAGGACAGTTGATTTTTACAATGATTTTTCAGGTGGCTCACACCTGTAATCCCAGCACTTTGGGAGGCCAAGGTGGGCAGATCACTTGAGGCCAGGAGTTTGAGGCCAGCCTGTCCAACAGGGTGAAACACCGTCTCTACTAAAAATACAAAAAATAGCCAGGTGTGGTGACATGTGCCTGTATTCCCAGCTATTCAGGTGTCTGAGGCAGGAGAATTGCCTGAGCCCGGGAGACACAGGTCGCAGTGAGCCAAGATCCTGCCATTGCACTCCAGCCTGGGTGACACAGTGAGACACTGTCTCAAAAAAAAAAAAAAGACTTTTTTTTCAGTCTGGGCAACATAGCAAGACCCTGTCTCTACAAAAAAATTTAAAAGTGGCCAGGCACAGTGGTGTGTGCTTGTAGTCCCAGCTACTACAGAGGCTGAGGTGGAAGGATTGCTTGAGCCCAGGAGGTGGAGGCTGTAGTGAGCCCTGATTGCACCCCTGCACTCCAGTCTGGGCAACAGAGACCCCACCTCAAAAAAATATTTTTCAGCCTGGTCAACATAGTGAAACCCCTTCTCTACTAAACATACAAAAATTAGCCAGATATGCAGTGCATGCCTGTAGTCCCAGCTAATTGGGAGGCTGAGGCAGGAGAACTGCTTGAACCTGAGATGGAGAGATTGCCATGAGCTGAGATCGTGCCACTTCACTCCAGCCTGGACAACAGAGGAAAATTCCATCTCAAAAAAAAAAGACTTTTCCTCCTTCGCACCCCGAGAGACACACAGGTCTTATTTCTTACTGTGTCTATAAATCACAAAGGACACGTAATTCTTTTCCCCTAAAGTAACAAGAGTGCTCAGAACATTTTCAGCAGGACTGAAAACCAGCACAAGGTCCACGTGGCTACTGAGAAGTCTATTTCCCCGGGGGAAGATATCTGAGTCCGAAAACATTCCAGACAGTATCCATGAAATCCCGCCATGATTCCTAAATGCTGAATTGGGAAAAGTATTGTATGAGCTGCATTTCTTTCTAAATGACAGCATGTACCCACCATAGGACCTTCAGGAAGAAAAATGATTTCCAGACAAACAATCATTTACTTGAGTATCTCCAAAGTGTAAAGACATGTATTTGTCTTTACATGAAAACTCTGTCTCATACACAGAGAAAGGAGAAAGAGCTAAAGCAGGAAGTTTTTTTTTTTCTTTGAGACTGAGTCTCTCTCTGTTACCCAGGCCATAATGCGGTGACACGATCTCAGCTCACTGCAACCTCTGCTTCCCGGGCTGAAGTGATTTTCCTGCCTCAGCCTCCTGAGTAGCTGGGATTATAGGCGCTCACCACCACGCCCGGCTAATTTTTGTATTTTTAGTAGAGTCGGGGTTTTGCCATGTTGGCCAGGCTGGTCTCGAACTCTTGGCCTCATGTGACCCACCGGCCCTCGGCCTCTCAAAGTGCTGGGATTTACAGGCCTGAGTCACCGTGCTCGGCCTAAAGTAGGGAGTTAAATGCAAAGCAATCAACTTTTACCAGAGCCAAACGCGCTGATGGAAAATCAAGGCAAACTCGCTGGATGATAAAACCCACTTCCTCTGCCCAGAAACATTCTCCTAATAACTTCCACACACACCCACAGGGGCAGGAGACAAGAGCTCTGGAGAGAGTTAAAAAAAAAAAAAAACAACGAAGCCCACACTTGCTCTACTGGGGCGAGGGAATCCTGAAGAGGCCTGGTATTGTTCAAGAGATGTCGGTTCCGTAGATGTTTGGAGTTTTTCAAACCGCACAGGCCGCTGTGCCGTTGCCCCGGGGGGTGGGGCAAATCAGCCTTTGCCAGAGAGCAGGGATGCATCGGATGTGTGCGACTCTACTGTCGGGACGGCAGGCTCCTAACTGCAGGGGCAGCCCTGAATCAGCGCATACATGCAACTCCCAAGCCCTCCTCAGGGTTTTCCACCCTCAACACCACTGGCATTTGGGACCAGATGAATTCTTTGTGCTGGAGGCCGTCCTGGCCCTTGAAAGATTCTGAGCAGCTTCCCTAAGCTGCCCCACCCATTGCAGGATGGTGGGATGTCCCACCCCAGGGTGGCAACCAAAAATGTCTGCAACCATCACAAAGTGTCTCCTCGGGGCCAACGTCGCCCTGTGGGGACATCCTGCTCTCTACAAAGCTGAAGCCTCCTCTTTTCCTCTATACACCTCCCTCTGTCCATCCATCCCTCACCACATCCCACCTGTACCCCTGAGAATTTATGAAGGAACCAAGGAACACAGGGTCCCCAACACTCTGAGATCAGGCCAGAGCTATCAGCACCAGTCTGAGAACCTACTTCAGGCTCAACGGGGTTTTGCAGCCTGATGCACGTTGCTATAAGAAAGTGTGTTCTGAGCATCACCAACTCAAAAGTCAACTTTCCCGATGAAACGTGTATTAATATTATTGGGACAGGCTGTTTCTGTCTCCATCTCTAGCAGGGTCAGACTGCAAAGAAGGGGTGAGAAGCGTCCCTCAAGGAGATCCATCAGTGCTGACGGCCAGGCCCTCCTCTGCAATTGGAAGGATAGGTTGGCCCCTGTTATGCCCCTATCCCACTGCTCTTCCCTACCCACCCACCCCATAGACAGGTACTCTTCCCTTTACTCAAAGCATCAGCAGCTGGAGTTCCTAAGCCCAGTCTGCTTCCAAAATCAGGAGTTCCAGATGAACACTGCTGTGGGTTTAAAAACTGTGCAACGCCAATGAGCCGACATCGTGCCACTACACTCCAGACTGGTGACAGAGTGAAACTCCGTCCAAAAAAAAAAAACCACCACCACCAACAAAAACAAAAAAACTGTGCAACGACTTGTTTGGGGCTTAGAGAATATAAGGCTTTCCACTCACTCTGCTCCAATGACCTGGAACGCCAGACCAGCCGGCAAATCTGTCCCTAGGGCTTCAAAATCCAGCCAAGCCCCTCACCAAGATTTACCACTGGGAACCCCTGAGTTATTTCGTGATGGAACTATAAAGGTCCCTGTGGCCCTGTCTCCCGTCTGCCTGTTCAGATGCCTCTGTTCTCCAGGAAACTGAATTCTTAGGCCACCAGCACTCCCTTGGATATATTTCCCTGACCCCAAGCCCACAGTAGGTGCAAAAGAAGGAAGGCAGGCATGAAGGATGAAGGAATGCATTCGCAGAGAGACAAGTGAAAAACCCGTTCATCTGCAGGTGCCTGGGGAACAAATGCAGCTGATAAAACCCTACAGAGCCATCCCGTCCGTGGTGACAGGTTGCCCGCAAGAAGGACATTTAGGAAGAAAAGGGAGAAACAGGAAGCTCTGCTTGGAACCTCCCCTGCAGGCTGGAAAGTCCTCCAAGTTTTCCTCTACGGAGCAGGCTTCATTATCTCTAATCTCTACCAAGTGAAAGCACAATTTCTAGGATACCCGGGACCCCTTTAAAGAGGGTGTAAATCCATTAGCAACTCCTCCCTAAAAATAGAGACCCGGCCTAGTCACCGCAGCTCTAGGCTGAGCTAGATCCTATCAACACAAATCGGGCCTCCTCCGTCCTCCCCAGGGCCGGGCGTTCCCGCGTCTCCTTCCTAAATACGTCCAGCCCTGATAAGGCCCGTCCTGAAGTCCACACTGCCCGCAAGCCGGTCTACTTAAAAGCCTGCCCATACGAAGAGCAAAAAATGCACTGACCATTGAAAAAAGAATTTATAACATGAAAAAAGAATTTATAACATACCACATCCGGCAGGGTCTCCGTTTCCGTTTCAAAGGGAGGGAAACAGAAAAACATGATTAAAGTAATAATTAGAAATAGGCCCGGTTTAGGGCGTGGGAGGGTGACCGTGGCTCTTTCTTCCCTGCCCACTTTTTCTGTTTTCCGAATTCTCCACCGCCGCAGATGGACAATTTGGTAAGCACACGTTTCTTTCTGCGCCCCGTGTTGCTTGGCGCACAGCACGCGCTGAAATTCCCGGAGCCCGCATCCACAGAGTATTTTTGAACATTTTCAGGGCTCAAAGTTTTTTTCTAACTTTTCCTTCCCTTCCCCCCACCACCCGGGTCTCAGGCTCCTAGCGATTCCAAATTTAGGCCCGGGACGCAGGGCGTGGCTGTGACAGGCAACTCCAGGGCGGCCTCCGCGCGCGGCCTGAAGACGCAGGTCCCCAAACCCTGGGGGTAGATAACGGGGTGGGGTGAGGGGCTCATGCAAAGGGAGAGAGATCTGTAAGAAGGTCCCCTAGATTGGGAAAAATCGGACGCACCTCTCCCAAGGCCGCCCCACATGTAAGAGTTTGCAACTCCGACAACAAACGCTGACTTTTCTCTCTGGAACGGCTCCAGGAAAAGCGTTGGGGAGAAAGTGGGCGCCTCCTCCGGGCCTGGGCCCCCGTGGGCACAGCGCGTCCTGCCGGGCAGGGAGGAGGCTCCGGGTGTCCCCGCGGGGCGCCCCCAACGCCGCATCTCAAGCGGATCCCCAGTCCCGGCCCGCGCCCTCCGCGTCCCCCAACCCGGATCCCTCCGCTCGCTCACCCGGGGCGGCGACCAGAACACCCAGCAGGCCGAAGAGCAGCAGCGCCAGCGCAGCCCCGCGGGCCATGGTGCGCCCAGAGCGCGCAGGGACGGTCCCGGAGTGCAGGGCGTGGGCGAAGGCGGCAGGACAGATACTCCCCCACGGGCCGGGTGGGGCGAAGCCCGGGGACTCGAAGGGGGCGGGTGAGGGGAGCGGCCCTGCAAGCTCAGCGCCGGCTGCGCCCGCCCCGCCCCGGCCTCCACGCGCGCACAGAAGGGGCGGGAACGCCGGGCCCGGGGAGGAGACAGAGGGGGTAGGCGGGCGGGGGTGGCCCAGGCAGCGCCGAGGGGAGTACGGTACACGCCCCGCCCCTTCTCAGGAAACTGCCCACGCCCCCTCACCCACCCACAGGGCCGTAGCCAGGGCGGCGCCGACCCGAAGCAAAGTGAACTACAACGTTCTCGGGAAAGTGCGGGTCCCTCCCGGTTTACAGCCCTCTGAATGCACGCCCGAGGGCGGCCCTTAACTGTAGTGGCACAAAACTGCCGCCCTTCTTGGAAACATAGAGCCCCCTCTCCCCACTCGCCCCTGCAGCCACTTCTCCGCCCCTCACCCCCTGGTCTCCAGTGGGAGCAAAAAAACAAACTTTCCCAGCAGCTCCCCTGCTCGGGAAAGTGCGGGTCCCTCCCTGTCTACAGCCTCCTAAATGCACGCCTGCAACTGTAGCGACACGAAACTGCCGCCCTTCTTGGAAACGTGTAGCCCCCCTCCCCACTCGCCCCTGCAGCCCCTTCTCCGCCCCTAGCAGGGACCCTCCCCTGCTCTGCAGTGGGAGCAGAGGAAACTCCCGGCTCCCCTGCTGGGAAAAGTATGGGGGCCCCTCCCCGCTGCTCACCTCAGGGAGTTCCCCAAGGGGAGCAAAGTGCAATCCTCTCCCTGCTCAGGAAGCCTAGGCCCCCGCTCCACAGGCAACCCCCGTCCCAAGTCCTTTCTAGAGCGTCCGAGCGCGGGGTGCGCAGCCGGGAGGGTGGCGGACGAACCCTTTGCGCCGGACCAAGGACAACCCTTGGAGTAGCCTCTGCGCTGGGGCAGTTTCTCCCCAGAATCCCCAGGACAAGGTTGGGAGTGGGGACTCCTGGTCACGGGAGTTAGTGAGGGGCAATAGGGAACGAGGTGCCTTCTATCTGGGGCACCTGGGCCCTAGTCCTGGTCATGGGCGACTCGCCTTCCAGTGGGCTTTGAGTTTAGACACCCTCCCGCGCCACTGGCCACAGCTGCAGTGCAGTTGTCGCCCTTCCCACACTTAACAATGTTATCTGTTAACACCTAAGCCTAAAATTGTATCCATTTTCCCGCAGGGTAGTGGAACAACTTTGCAGCCTGACAAATAACCCTGAATATTCTTGCATTCCACACTTCAAACTGTCCACGAAAAGAGTCAAACTAGGCCGGGCGCGGTGGCTCACGCCTGGAATCCCAGCGCTTTGGGAGACCGAGGCGGGTGGATCACCTGAGGTCAGGAATTGGAGACCAGCCTGACCAACAAGGTGAAACCCTGTCTCTTCTAAAATACAAAATTAGACGCGTGTGGTGGTGTGCACCTGTAGTCCCAGCTACTCAGGAGGCCGAGGCAAGAGAATCGCTTGAACCGGGGAGATGGAGGTTGCAGTGAGCCAAGATCAGGCCACTGCACTCCAGCCTGGGTGACAGAGCGAGACTCCGTCTCAAAAAAAAAGAAAGAAAAAAGAAAAAAAGAGAAAGGAGTCCAACTCTAACATATTTGAAGAGATTTATTCTGAGCCAAATATGAGTGACCATGGCCCATGACACAGCCCTCAGGAGGTCCCGAGAACGTGTCCTCAAGGTGGTCGGGGTGCAGCTTGGTGTTATACGTTTTAGGGAGGCATGAGACATCAATGAAATTTAAGAGACACATTGGTTTTGTCCAGAAAGGCGGGACAACCCAAAGCAGGAGGCTTCCAGCTTATAGGTAGATTTTAGAATTTTCTGATTGGCAATTGCTTGGGTTTCTTTAAAGTCCTGGGATCAATAGAAAAGAATGTCTGGGTTAAGATAAAGAATTGTGAAGACTCAAGTTCTTATTTGAACAGGAACCCTTCCGGTGCTAGGGTCAGAGAGAAGAGGTTGTAAAATGTTTCTTCTCAAACTTAAAGGCTGTGTGGATGTTAACGCCGGAGAGGCACCGGGAGGCATGTTCAACCCCTGCTTCCCGTCACGGCTTGAAACACTCTCTCAGGTTAAATTTTTAAAGAGCTCTGGCTGAGGAAGAAGTCCATTCAGATGTTTTGAAGGTGGGGGGCGGTGGGGGCTTAGAATTTTATTTTATTTTATTAATTTATTTAGTTTTTGAGACGGAGTCTTACTCTCTCGGCCAGGCTAGAGTGCTGTGGCACCATCTCAACTAACTGCAACCTCCACCTCCCAGGTTCAAACGATTCTCCTGCCTCAGCCTCCTGAGTAGCTGGGATTACAGGCACCTGCTACCACGCCTGGCTAATTTTTATATTTTTAGTAGAGATGGGGTTTCGCCATGTTGGCCAGGCTAGTCTGGAACTCCTGACCTCAAGTGATCCACCCACTCCAGCCTCTTAAAGAATTTTATTTTTGGTTTACAAAGCCCTGCCTCATCTATTGGCCCATTCCTGGGCTGGCATACTTGCTGCCCAGCCGACTGAGTCAGGGGCTCTGAGATAACACCTGTCTTTTTATTATTGTTATTATTATACTTTAAGTTCTGGGGTACAGGCTGGGCGCGGTGGCTCACGCCTGTAATCCCAGCACTTTGGAAGGCCGAGGCAGGTGGATCACGAGGTCAGGAGATTGAGACCATCCTGGCTAACATGGTGAAACCCCATCTCTACTAAAAATACAAAAAAAAATTAGCCGGGCGTGGTGGCGGGCGCCTGTAGTCCCAGCTACTCAGGAGACTGAGGCAGAAGAATGGCGTGAACCCGGGAGGCAGAGCTTGCAGTGAGCCGAGATCGTGGCACTGCACTCCAGCCTGGGCGACTGAGCAAGACTCCGTCTCAAAAAAAAAAAAAAAAAGTTCTGGGGTACATGTGCAGAACGTGCAGTTTTGTTACATAGGTATACACACGCCATAGTGGTTTGCTGCACCCATCAACCCATCATCTACATTAGGTATTTCTCCTAATGCTCTCTCTCCCATTGCACCCCACCCCCCAACAGGCCCTGGTGTGTGATGTTCCCCTCCCTGTGTCCATGTGTTCTCATTGTTCAACTCCCACTTATAAGTGAGAACATGCGGTGTTTGGTTTTCTGTTCCTGTGATAGTTTGCTGAGAATGATGGTTTCCAGCTTCATCCGTGTCCCTGCAAAGGACATGAACTCATCCTTTTTTATGGCTGCGTATATTCCATGGTGTATATGTGCCACATTTTCTTTATCCAGTCTATTATTGATGGACATTTGGGTTGGTTCCAAGTCTTTGCTATTGTGACTAGTGCTGCAAAAACATACGTGTGCATGTGTCTTTATAGTAGAATGATTTATAATCGTTTGGGTATATACCTAGTAATGGGATTGCTGGGTCAAATGGTCTTGAGCTATCCCCTGCCTGCGGCCATACCCACCCCTCCCTAGGTCACCTGCACCCCTAGGTCAGAAACCTGCAAGGCTAGAGGGGCTGGGCCTGTGCCCCAGAGACCTGCTCAGCAATGTGAGCTCGGTGGTGTGAGTGATGCACATCTTAAAAAGTAACAGTGTGAGCTTGCACACCGGAAGGTTTTTTCTTTTCTTTTTCGTTTTCTTTTCGGCCAGCAAAACCCCAGCAACATAATTGCACTTTAGAAGTATGAGGAAAATGTAATCGTTCTTCATGGGAACACCACCTTTAAAGTGTTACCTCTTGGAGTGAACCCGGATGAACTACCCAACCAGAGCTCCTTCTCTGGTATTTTCTCCTGCACCTCTCCCCCGACCTCCCCACGTGGCATTGACTCTCTATCAATTAGCACTTTCTTTTTCCCTGGCCACAGTCCTGGGCTGGGGTCAAGGGAGGGTGTGGATCCTAGGTCAGGGCAAGTAGGAGGACCCTGGGGGCTCATTTTGAGGAGCAAGAGGATGCTGGAGCTGCCCGGGCATTTTGGCATCCTGAGGCAAGTCTGACTTGGGATGAAGCAGAGATAAAAAGAACGCAGGGTCTTCCTGCTGTCTCACACTCCAAACACCCCTCTCCCTGTGAGCTTCCTGCTTCACCCCCATTACCGCCAAAAGAAAGGCCCTCCCCTGGACCATCTCCAGCCTCTGACATTTGGACGGCACTGCAGGTGAAGCTTCCCTCCTCTGACTGTCCATTATGTTCCAGTAGAGTCTAGACTCTGGCTGCCTTTCAGGGAGGGCGCAGGTCATTCTCGCCAGCCATAATAAAGATGCAACATCAGCTTCTGAAAGCCAGGCTTTGAGGCTTTTTATCTATGTTCTCACAGGTAAGCATTTGGAAGACTTCTGTTTCTAATTCATTTAGTTAGATGCCTTTTGCCTTTTTTCTTTATTTTTTTTTAACGCTGCCATTCTTTGGCTCCAAATATGAATTTCCATAATATTCTGCAGACCCTCTGGAACTGGCACCAAGAGGCCGTAACCTCCAGAATGAAAATTAAATTAATTGAAAAAGCCTTCTGAATTGTATCCAGGTGCCACGGGAAGCATCTTTTGAAGGCCACAAACTAGGCTGAAGAAGGGATGGGGAACTCACTGCTGGGGCAGCCTCCATGTTTCCCGTTTATTTCACCAGTGGAACCTCAAGAAATAACCATGTTCTGACCATTTCCGAGGGACCCACGTGGCCACGTTGCACATTTCAACCTAACCCTTGGTAGCTCCCAGCCTCCTGCGGAAACCTTCCATGTGTCTTTAATTTTTAAGAATTAGTTCTTCTTCTATTTATTTATTTATTGAGACAGAGTGTCACTCTGTTGTCCAGGCTGGAGTGCAGTGGCACGATCTCAGCTCACCACCTCCCAGGTTCAAGCGATCCTTGTGCCTCAGTCTCCTGAGTAGCTACGGCTATAGGCACCCATCACCACGCCTGGCTAATTTTTGTATTTTTAGTAGAGATGGAGTTTCACCACGTTGGCCAGGCTGGTCTCGAACTCCTGACCTCAACTGATCTGCCGGCCTCGGCCTCCCGAAGTGCTGGTATTACAGGTATGAGCCACCACCCACAGCCAAGGATTAGTTCTTCTGACTTTGGACTTTTCATACCCTGCTCTCCAAACCAGTTTTATATATTTTATACTGCACACACACGCAGGTTATAATTATATTCCATCTGCATGCACACACATACACATGCATGCACACACACACACATGCATACACACACACATACATGCACGTACACACACACACACATGCACACACTATTGCACACTGGCATTTTCTCCCACTTTCTATGGGGGGATCTGTGGTTTCTTGCCCACGGGGCTTTGTTTACTGGCCTGGGAAATGGGTCTAAATACACAGCTGCAGAATTCAAAGGAGGACTGAAAATCAAACTACACAGCACAGAACATGGAACTCCATGGAACAGGAAGGAAAGCATCGGGGCAGGGGAGCTGTCAGAAAGAACCACTTCCAATGATAAGTGCATCTTTGAAGAAAATACATCTAGACTGGGCATGGTGGCTCACGCCTGTAATCCCAGCACTTTGGGAGGCTGAGGCAGGCAGATCACCTGAGGTCAGAAGTTCGAGACCAGCCTGGCCAACATGGTGAAACCCCGTCTTTATTAAAAATACAAAAATTAACCTGGTGTGGTGGTGCACGCCTGTAATCTCAGCTACTTGGGAGGTTGAGTCAGGAGACTCGCTTGAACCCAGGAGGCGGAGGTTGCAGTGAGCCGAGATCACGCCATTGCATTCCAGCCTGGGTGACAGAAAAAGACTCTGTCTCAAAAAAAAAAAAAAGAAAAGAAAAAAAGAAAAAGAAAAAGGAAATATGTCAGTATGTCTAGACTGGGCACGGTGGTTCACACCTGTAATCACAGCACTTTGGGAAGCCAAGGTGGGTGGATCACCTGAGGTCAGAAGTTCAAGACCAGCCTGGCCAACATGGTGAAACACGGTCTCTACTAAAATTACAAAAAAAATTGGCCCGACATGGTGGCAAGTGCCTGTAATCTCAGCTAGGCACAAGAATCCCTTGAACTTGGGAGGCGGAGGTTGCAGTGAGCCGAGATCGTGCGTCTTCACTCTGGCCTGGGTGACAGAGCGAGACTCTGTCTCAAAAGATAAATAAATAAATAAAATAAAAATAAAATATGTCTAGAGAGAAATTTTGGCATTCTTTCTGAGTGGCAAGATGCTTGGTGCTGTGCTGGTGGTGATATGGTTTGGCTCTGTGTCCCCGCCCAAATCTCATGTCAAACTGAAATCCCCAGTGTTGGAGGTGGGGGCCTGGTGGAAGGTGACTGGATCATGGGGTCAGATCCTTCATGAATGGTTTTGCACCATCCCCCTCAATTAAACCTCTTTCCTTCATAAATTAGGTAGTTCTTCATAGCAGTGCGAGAATGGGCTAATACAGGCTCCTACTGATTCTACGTTATGGTGAGTTGTAGAATTATTTCATTATACATTACAATATAATAATAATAATAATAATAATAATAATGGAAATAAAGTGCACAATGTAATGTGCTTGAATCATCCTAAAACCATCCCTCCCACCCTTGGTTCTGTGGAAAAACTGTCTTCCATGAAACCAGTCCCTGGTGCCAAAAAGGTTGGGGACTGCTGCTCTCACCATCAAGGAGGTGGACACAGATCCCCACTTCTTCCAAAGTGTATGACATAAAAAATTAGGAAAAGAATAATTTCACCATGGAGGAGTCTCACAGACACAATTCAGATAGGATGAGTGGATGGATGGATAGGTGGATGGATGGATAGATGGATAGATGGGTAGATGTGTGGGTGGATGAATTGAGGGCGGGTGGGTGGATGGGGTGGATTGTGGGTGGATGAATGGATGGATGGATGAATGAGTTGATAGATGGAGGGTTGGATGAATGGGTGGGTGGATGTATGTATGTATGGATGGATGGATAAATACATGGGTGGATGGGTGCATGGATAGACAGACAGATGAATAGATGGATGGGTGGCTGCTGGATGTTCTTATCTCCCTGTTCTCCCAAATTGTGACCAGCAGATGCTCTCCTGATGTCTAGATTATTCTTTTTCTTTTTTTCGAGATGGAGTCTCACTCTGTCGCCCAGGCTGGAGTGCAGTGGTGCGATCTCAGCTCACTGCAACCTCCGTCCCCCGGGTTTATGCCATTCTCCCACCTCAGCCTCCCAGGTAGCTGGGACTACAGGCGCCCGCCACCACACCTGGCTAATTTTTTTGTATTTTTAATAGAGACGGGTTTTCACCGTGTGTTAGCCAAGATGGTCTCGATCTCCTGACCTCATGATCCACCTGCCTCGGCCTCCCAAAGTGCTGGGGTTACAGGTGTGAGCAACCGTGCCCGGCTTTTTTTTTTTTTTTTTTTTTTTTTTTTGAGACAGAGTTTTGCTCTTGTTGCCCAGGCTGGAGTGCAATGGCGTGATCTTGGCTCACCACAACCTCCACCTCCCGGGTTCAGGTGATTGTCCCGCCTCAGCCTCCTGAGTAGCTGGGATTATAGGCAGGCACTACCATGCCCAGCTAATTTTGTATTTTTAGTAGAGACAGGGTTTCTCCATGTTGGTCAGGCTGGTCTCGAACCCCCGACCTCAGGTGATCCACCCTCCTCGGCCTCCCAGAGTGCTGGGATTACAGACGGGAGCCACCGCACCTGGCCTGTAGATTATTCTTAGAGAGTCAGATTCAAAACGGATACATTTGCAGTATGATATATATGCACATGTATATTCCTGTACCATTACCCTGAGTCAGGTCAACTCTGCCACCCATTCAAGCTTAAGAATGTGACCTTCGGGAATGAGTAGCATCAGATCTTTCGTCCAGCTGCATTTGCCAGGGTGCAGCCCACTAGCGATTTTCTTTCATGTACCCCTAACTGCTTGGCTCCTGCACCAACAACTCAGCTTTTTTCTCCCCAGGTTCCTACAGTGCTCTATTCTTGGTGATTTCTCAACATGCCTGGTTATTCAACAAAGCTTTTTCATGTTTTTAAAAATATTGTGTTTATTTTCGCTTATTTTTATTTTTTGCAGAGATGAGGTCTCTCTGTGTTGCCCAGGCTGGTCTCAAACTCCTGTACTCAAGAGATCCTACCATCTCAGCTTCCCGAGCCTCTGGGACCACAGGAATGTGCCACCATGTCCGGCTAATTTTATAATTTTAGAGATGGGGTCTATGTTACCCAGGCTGGTCTCAAACTCCTGGGCTCAAGTGATCCTCTGACCTCAGCCTCTTGAGTAGCTGGGACCACAGGACTGCACCACCATGCCCAGGTTATTTTATTTTAGAGACAGGGTCTCACTATATTGCCCAGGCTGGTCTCAAACTCCTGACCTCAAGCGATCCCCCAGTCTCAGCCCTCCCCAAGTCCTAGGATTACAGGGAGGAGCCACCATGCCCAGCCTCAACAAAGCTTTTTGAGTATCTGCTCTGTGGGATACAGCAGTAAAATCAAACAGCCGTGGCTCTGCTTCTGAGAGCAGCAAGTGTTTATTTAAATAGGCCTTAATTTATGTGTGTTTATTTAGATTTATTCGTGTTTATCTGAGCCTCCCCATAAGCTGTGGAGCAGTCACATCTTTGTCTGTACCTCAGCACCAGGCAGAGAGCCCAACAAAGAGAGGCAGCCTTTGAGAAGCTTAATTACTCAATTGAATGCATACACAACAAAAATTAGCTCACCCGAAAGGCTAGGCATTTAGATAATGAGGCTTCCTATCTTTCCATACAGACACACGTGCACACACACATAGTATGCATGCATATATGTGCTATTAATGAGACTTCCAATCTTTCCATTGACCCACATGCACACACACATTTAGTATGCATGCTTATATGTGCCATGAGCAGAGTTGTATCTACTCCCCAAATTCGTGTGTTGAAGTTCTGTTCCCCATGTGTCTGTATTTGCAGCAAGGAAATAATTAAGGTTAAATGAAATCGTAAAGTTAGGACCCTATGCAGGAAAGTTAGTGCCTTTGTAAGAAGAAATACCAGAGGGCATGCTTGCTCTGTCTCTCCTCCATGTGAGAACACAGCAAACCAAGAAGAGAGCCCTCACCAGGAATTGAACCAACCAGCCCCTTGATCTTGGACTTCCCAGTCTCCAGAGCTGTGAGAAAATAAATTCCTTTTGTTTAAGTACCCAGTCTATGCTATTTTATTATGGCAGCCTGAGAAGACTAAAAAGTATTTACATACGCGCTCCTGTCCACCATCCTTCCATCCATTCCTCATGCACGTGTGAGACTACAGTTGCCTATCCTATATCCTTTCTTTCTTCCCTTATATTAAGAGACCTTGAATTTACTGATTTTGGCAATGTGACAGCTGAAAGACGATATCCTCATTCTCCTTTGCAGTTAGGTGTAACCAAAAATCTATGTTCTGGTTAATAAAATCAATGTAAACCAAAGTTATTGGGTGAAACTTCTGAGGAGTCCCTTAAGAGGGGGACTGGTGGCCAACAAGCCCACTTTTCGCTTTCTCTGCATCATGCTGGGCCTGCCTGGAATAATGACGTGATGTCTGGAGTTCCAGCAGCTAGCTTAGAGCAGGAAGTCCTCCAGAGGGTAGAGGTCCTATTCCAAGAATGGCAGAATATATGGAGCAAAGGTGCCAGGGTGGCTGGTGACACTGCAAGACAGCTGTGCCAGGCCCAGACCAACTCTCCTGACCTCATTACAGGACAGAAGAGTACGTTTTTAATCTTACCATTTAAAAAGTCAGGTTTGTTTCAGTGTTATTTAAATCACTTTTTATTTCTGGTCTCCACTGCCAGGGGCTGAGCCCAATTTATAGCAGAGACCTCCTGTGAGGTACTTGTGGGCAGCCAAGGCAGTTAAGAGGTGTCTGAGCCACACGCAATGTCGGCTGTACAGATGCTCAAATGAAGTTTCCTGAGTCAGTGGGAGGATGGAAGTACACATGGGTGGATGGGTGGGGGTTGTGGATGTGTGGATAAATGGACAGACATCTGGATGCATGGATTGACTGAGAGATAAATGGGTAGATGAATAAATAAATGGGTGGATGAATGAATGCATGGACAAATGGGTGGGTGAGTGGATGGATGGGTGGGTGGATGGATGAATGGGTGAATAGATGGAGGGTTGGATGAATGGGTAGGTGGATATGTGGGTGGATGAATGAATGGATGGATAAACACATGGGTGCGTGGGTGAATGGATGCATGAACGGGTGGGTATATAAATGGCTGGCTGGCTGGATGGATGATAGATAAGGTTTCAGTAAATGGGTGGCTGAATGTATGGATGGATGAATAAATGGATGGATGGATGAATGGGTAGATGGGTGGGTGGGTAGATGGATGGATGGACAGATGGATGGGTAGATGGGTGGGTGAATGGATGAGTGGATGGATCGACGAGTGGGTGTATGCAGGGATGGATGGATGGATAGATGAATAGTTTGGTGAATGGGTGGGTGGGTGGATGTGTACATGAATGGTTGTATCCATGAATGGATGGATAGATGAATAGTTTGGTGAATGGGTGGGTGGGTGGATGTGTAGATGAACGGTTGTATCCATGAATGGATGGATGGGTGGGTGTGTGGATGGATATGTGGATAGATGGATGGATAACTGGATGGATGGATAAATAGGTGCATGGATAGATGGATGGACGGGTGGCTAGAAAAATAGATGGATGAATAGATGGAAGGGTGAGTGGATGGATGGATTGACAGACTTACAAACAAGTAAATTTCTACCTGATATTTTTGTATTGTTGTATAACTTTCTAGGTGTTCATTCATTGAGGAACAACTGTGAAACAGGGGATCTGGATTCATTAGCCCACCTCTGCTGATGAGGAAACATCCTGGGGCCGTTGAGCTTGTCAGCGGTGGGCTGGGATTAAAATCAAGAGCCCTTTGCTTCTGAGTCCAGGCCGTATGCAGCACATTGCCTTGTGACTGCCTCAAAACCACCGGAATTTTCCTCAGAGCGTTCACAGCAGGCAAAGATAAAGAGTGTCTTGTAGCCCAGAGTTCATACATTGGAAATTTTACGGTGTGTGCCCATCAGTGCTGCAAATTATTTTCAAAACAATAATTTAATTTGGCAAAAACTTGATGTGTGATCCTATGTCTGTGTGTCTTTTTAATTTTCTTACCTGTAGCATTGGTTGAGTCTTCAGAAGAAATTAAAAGGCATTACGGAAGTTGCATAATATATGAACAACTACTTTGTTGATGAAGCTTATGCTTGCATTTAGTTTGGCTCAGAGTCAAGAAAGAATCAACTTCCCAGAATACTGTATTTGAAGCAGGAATCCTGTTTACCCCTAAGTCTGCTTAGATAGGTAAACAACCTTGTGGGTTAGAACCAGTGGCCCGTTAGGACTGTATCCAAGACCTAAGGTTGAGTCTTGATCATGACAAGTGCTGACTATGATGGTCACAGTGCTGAATCTGAGAAAGCCATCCTAGGGTGTTCCAAAACATAGAATGTGACAGGAGAGCTGTTAATTTGTGTTTATCTGAGTTTTCCAACAAGCTAGGAGCAGGCTCAACTTTGTTTTTAACACGGTACCTGGCAGACAGCCCAGTGTACAGACTGGGTACTTTAGATGCTTAACTGCTCAACTGAATGCAGGCAAGGCAAAAGTGAGCTGACCACAAAACACTAGGCAATAAAGCTCCCTATCTCTTTTGCCTGTGCACACACACACAAACACACACACATAAATGCACACACACATTATATATGTGTGAGAATGCTACATGGTAAAAGTTAGCTTACATATGAATTCTAAAATGCCTGATTGTTTCAGTTATTATGTATAACTAGCTATCCAAAATTTACTGGTTTAAAAAAGCCACTGTGGCTGGGCACAGTGGCTCACGCCTGTAATCACAGCACTTTGGGAGGCTGAGGCAGGCATATCACGAGGTCAGGAGTTCGAGACCAGCCTGGCCAACATAGTGAAACCCATCTCTACTAAAAATACAAAAATTAGCCGGACATGGTGGTGTGTTGACTGTAGTCCCAGCTACTCGGGAGGCTGAGGCAGGAGAATCGCTTGAACCTGGGAGGCGGAGGATGTGGTGAGCCGAGATTCCACCGCTGTACTCCAGCCTGGGCAACAGAGCGAGACTCCATCACAAAAAAAAAAATAAATAAAAATAATGTGCAGTCACAGCACATTTACAACCTGGTTTCTGAAGTCATGTGGCAACCCCTCTGCACAAAAGCAGCCACAAATATCCACCCAATTTCAAGGAAAAGGGAATCAGATTCCCACTCTTGATGGGAAGCACCAAGGTTCTGGAAGAGAGTGTGGGACAGAAATATTGCTGTGGCCATTTATGAAAAATATAATCTCTTCCAACAACAATATGTGCATCATTGTAGCTACAGAGCTGACGCAAGCACATTTAAGCACTGTAATGTAATAACATGAAAATTATGTTGATTTATCCAATAAACATTGACTTAGCAAATAGAGTGTTACAGATTGTCTCCTACATGCAAAGCATGCCAAGGTGAGTAAGTCCTTTTTCTTTCATCAAATAGCCCAATTGTTCCATTGAGGAAGAGCAAAAAACCAAACAAAACACACCACGACCACCACCAAAAATAACAATGTATCTCACACAACGTGATATAGTCTACAGATGATGGACACAGAGTGCTGCGCAGAGTGCTGTGCGAGGAAAAAGGAGAAAAATGGAGGCCATGCTGGTTGAGAAATGTTTCACGAAGGAGACTGCATTTAAGCTGGGTTGTGCGGAACGTGTAGGAGTCTTCCGGATAGAAAATGCTCCATTTCAGAGAGCATACACACATGAGCAAAAACACAGACACTGAGGGAAAAAATTATGACCTTAATGAGTAGGAAGAGAATTGGGAGGTGAGGGTGGGTAGGCAGTATGGGATCAGGTGGGGATGATCTCTTGTGGCCAGAAGTTTGAGACCAAACTGGGCAACACAATGACACCCCATCTCTATAAAAAAAAAAAATAGCAGGACATAGTGGTGCACACCTAGAGTCTCAGCTACTTGGGAGGCTGAGGTGGGATGATCACTTGAGCCCAGGAGTTCAAAGTTACAGTGAGCTATGATTGTGCCTCTGCACTCCAGCCGGGGTGACAGAGTGAGATCTTGTCTCTGAAAACAAATAAATAAGCATTTTTTAAAAATTTCTGCACTTGGGCTTTTAGAGGCTGTTCACGCCTTAGCTCCCTGGCTTGGAAACCTTCCCGGCTGCCATATGCATAAGCATGAGCTGCCTCAGCGAAGGCTGAGAGACCAGTTGGAGCTAAACCAAGCTGCCCCAGCTGAGTCATCCAAACCAGCCTGCTCCTGGCCACCCGGCAGCTGAGCACTGACTCATGAGTGAATCCAGCTGACCCCAGAGCTGCCTCACTGAGCCAAACCTGAACAGCTGAGCCACGGAATCGGGAACGAACTAAATGGGTATTGTTTTAAAGCACCACGTTTTGGGGTGGTTTGTTTTGCTGCAAAAGCTAATGGCTGCGTACCTAATGAGCTTCCCATCGTCCCCACTTCCCCATGCCAACACACACATTATGGAGAATTTGCCAGTTTTCAACGCTCTTCTAGGCACCCTGAGCGACACAAGATAAAGCATCCTCAAGGGCTTTGCAATCCTTTTTGGGGCTGGAGAAAGGGGAGGTCCACACACATGTTCAGTTTATGATCAGAAACTGTTTATCTGGCTTTGATTTCCATGGTTAATCATCTTCTGGCGATTAACACCAAACTGGCTAGTCTGTGGTTTGCAGATTCTTCCAACATTTAAGGAATATACTTTGTTCGGTCTTGGTTGGCCATATATGGGCAGACAAAAGTCCAACAGGATCACATTAATAGCTGCCTGAATTATAAGCCATGTATTTCTCATATTTTATTGCACTAGAACCTTAAGCAGGCAGTAAGAACCACCATTTATAATACACTTTATGCCATCTTTCTCTCTTCATCATCTTATGAGGAAATCACTGACATCCCTAATATTCTATTGCACTAGAACCTTAAGCAGGCAGTAAGAACCATCACATTTATAATACACTTTATACCATCTATCTCTCCTCATCATCTTATGAGGAGTCATTGACATCCCTAATATTAAAAAAAAAAAGAAAACAAGGAAATGAATCCAAGGCAGTTGACTCATATCTTGAAACTAAAAGAGCTCATCTTTGAACCTTTCTCTCTCTTCCAGGGTCAGATCAGGACACCTGCACATTCTGTTTGCAGGTTCTCGTCACCGGCAAATCAATGAACCGAATTTTAATTGATGTGTGTGCAGGTGTGCATGCATGTCTGTGTATGTGTGTGTGTTTATGCATCCATCACTTTAACCCCATCATGGGTTCTAGTTAATGCTTAACCCTGATTTCAAAGAAGCAGACAGATTTGTTACTCAATGTAATAAAACTACCTCTCCTTAACAGGGAATGATGTTAAGTCAACTTCAAAGATAAACGTGGGGCCGAGGGCTGTGGCTCAAGCCTATAATCCCAGCACTTTGGGAGGCCAAGACAGGTGGGTCATTTGAGGTCAGGAGTTCGAGACCAGCCTGGCCAATATGGTGAAACCCCATCTCTACTAAAAATACAAAAATTAGCTGGGCGTGCTGGCAGATGCCTGTAATCCCAGCTACTTGGGAAGCTGAGGCAGGAGAATCGCTTGAACCTGGGAGGCGGAGGTTGCAGTGAGCCGAGATCACGCCACTGCACTCCAGCCCAGCTGACAGAGACTCCATCTCAAAAATAAATAAATAAAAAATAAAGATGGGAAGGTTTTTGGTTCCAGACAGGATTATTTCATGACGCCCAAGCAAATTTAGATTTTGAAATATAACAAGACGTGGTAAAATGTACCACTTTTCCAAATTAGTTTTCTGCATAATGTTTACAAATTGTAATTTTATATTTTTTCTTTAAATTTCCTTTTGAGATAATTAAAGAGTCTAAGGAAGATGCAAGTACACAAGACCCCCACCTAGAGTTTCATTTGCCCTTAGCCCAGCTTCATTTTCTATTAGGATTGGGGTGCAATATCAGAGCCAGGTCACCAACACTGGTGCACTTCTGATAACAAGACTACAGACATTGATTGGTTGCCACAAGTTTAATAGCTTTAAGTCAACACATCTTCATTAACTCCAATATACACAAAGCATTACAGAGGAATATTTATCAGCCAATCCAGAACTATTTATGGAATGGTCAGCTCTGTGCTGGATTCTGGGAGAAATACCTAGCAATTGTTTCATAGGGTCATGTTGCAACGTCTTCCAACTTGAGGGCTGAAGGAGTGCTTGCAGGTCAATGCTGAAGGGTCTTGTTGCTCCATGCACACACAGTAATAAAAAGCTGTGCTAGGGCCGGGCACGGCGGCTCATTCCTGTAATCCCAGCACTTTGGGTGGCCAAGGTGGGTGGATCACCTGAGGTCATGAGTTCAAGACCAGACTGGTCAACATGGTGAAACCCCATCTCTACTAAAAATACAAAAATTTGCCAGACGTGATGGTGGGTGCCTGTAATCCCAGCTACTTGGGAGGTTGAGGCAGGAGAATCGCTTGAACCCAGGAGGCAGAGGTTGCAGTGAGCCGAGATTGCGCCATTGCACCCCAGCCTGGGCGACAGAGCAAGACTCCATCTCAAAAAAAAAAAAAAAAAAAAAAAAAAAAAAAAAGCTGTGTGATAGTTCCAGGAATTCATGAGAAGGAAGAAGAATTTAGATTCCCTTGGGTTACTTTCAGGAATTAGTTCTGGTTTGTTTACTGGGCCAAACAAACCAGGGTAGATGTAAAATGGCCCCATCAAAACCATCCTACGGAACAGTTTTCCACTGCTGGCGGGAATGTAAACTAGCACAACCACTATGAAAAAGTGTGGAGATTCCTTGAAGAACTAACAGTAGAACTACCATTTGGGGAAGCCGTCTCACTGCTGAGTATTTACCCAGTGGGGGAAAAAGTCATTATAGGCAAAAGGCACTTGCACACACATTTATAGCAGCACAATCCACAACCGCAAAGCTAGGGAAGCAAATCTAAGTGCCCATCAACCAATGCGTGCATAAACAAAATGTGGTATATATACACCATGGAATACTACTCAGACATAAAAAGGAATGAAATAATGCCTTTTGCAGCAACTTGGATGAAGCTACAGGCCATTATCCTTTCTTTTTTTTTTTTTTTTTTTTTTTTTGAGATGGAGTTTTGCTCTTGTTGCCCAGGCTAGAGTGCAATGGTGCAGTCTTGGCTCACTGCAACCTCTGCCTCCCAGGCTCAAGCGATTCTCCTGCCTCAGCCTCCCGAGTAGCTGGGATTACAGGCATGCACCACGACGCCCAGCTAATTTTTTTGTATTTCTAGTAGAGATGGGGTTTCTCCATGTTGGTCAGGCTGGTCTCACACTCCCGACCTCAGGTGATCCGCCCGCCTCAGCCTCCCAAAGTGCAAGGATTACAGGTGTGAGCCACCGCACTTGGCCCTGGAGGCCATTATTCTAAGTGAAGTAACTCAGGAATGGAAAACCAAATATCGTATGTTCTCATCTGTAAGTAGGAGTTAAGCTATGAGAATGCAAATGCACGATAATATTATGGAACTTGGGGACTCGGGGTAAGGGTGGAAGGTGGGTGAAGATAAAAGGCTACATATTCGGGCTTGGCGCGGTGGCTCACGCCTGTATTCCCAGCACTTTGGGAGGCCGAAACAGGCAGATCACCTGAGGTCAGGAGTTTCTGAGACCATCCTGGCCAACATGGTGAAACCTCATCTCTACTAAAAATACAAAAATTAGCTGGGTGTGGTGGCATGTGCCTATAGTCCCAGCTACTTGGGAGGCTGAACCAGGAGAATTGCTAGAACCTGGGAGGTGGAGGTTGCAGTAAGCCGAGATCACGTCACAGCACTGCAGCCTGGGTGACAGAGCGAGATTCCATTTCAAAAACAGACAAACAAACAACAACAACAACAACCACATATTGGATACAGTGTACATTGTTCAGGTGACAGGTGCACTAAAATCTCAAAAATCACCACTAAAGAATTTATCCGTGGAACCAAAAACCACTTCTACCCCCAAAACAATTGAAATTAAAAAAAAAAAAATCTGTCACACAACAGGGGATGTGTGAGCAAAGGCAGGAAGGAACAGAGCCCTGAGAAGGAGAAGGGATCACCGAGATGACAGGGAGGGCAGGATCGTATCAGTCAGTGTCCAAGCAGGCAATGGTGGGAAGGGCCATTCAGGGATGGGGAGGCCATGGTCAGGAGCTTCTGTGCTGGGCCTTGCGGCCACAGAGAGCTGAACTGGGGTGACATGCGGAGCCTGGGCTCATAACCAGGTGGTGCAGCCGTTGGGAGGGGTGTGCTGCTGCCTGAGGGACTCAGAGGAGACTAGAGGGTATGAAAGAGATTCCTGGGAGTGGCATAACAAATGACCACAAACAGTGGTATAGAACAACAGGAACTGATCGGGCGTGGTGGCTCACGCCTGTTATCCCAGCCCTTTGGGAGACCGAGGTGGGCGGATCACCTGAGGTCAGGAGTTTGAGAGCAGCCTGGCCAACACGACAAAACCCGTCTCTACTGAAAATACAAAAATTAGCCGGGTGTGGTAGTGCGCACCTGTAATCCCAGCTACTTGGGAGGCTGAGGCAGGAGGATCACTTGAACCCAGGAGGCAGAGGTTGCCGTGAGCCGAGATTGCATCACTGTACTGCAGCCTGAATGATAGAGCAAGACTCTGTCTCAAACACAAAACAAAACAACAGGAATTTATTCTCTCCCAGTTCTGGAGAGCAGCAGTCTGAGATCAAGGGGTGGGCAGGGCTGTGCTTCCTCTGGAGGCTCTAGGGGAGGATCCCCCCTGCCCCTCCCAGCTCCTGGGGGCTGCAGGCATCCCTGGGCTTGTGGCCGCATCACTCCAGTCTCTGCCTCCGTCTCCACCTGGCCTTCCCCTCTGTGTCTGTCTTCATCTCCTCTTGTTATAAATACAGCAGTCACTAAATCAGGGCCCACCCTAGTGACCTCAACTGCAAAGACTGTTGTGAGCTGAATTCTGTCCTCTAAATTTATCAGTTGACGTCCTAACTCCCAGGACTGCAGGGTGTCACTGTGTTTGGAGATATGGTCTTTAAAAAGGTGATTAATATAAAATGAGGTCATTACGGTGGGTCCTAATCTGATATGATTAGTGGCCTTATAAGAAGAAGATATTGGGACACAGACATGAGCTCCCTCCAGGAAAATCCCTCCTGCCCCTCCTAGCTCCTGGGGGCTCTAGGCGTCCCTGGGCGTGTGGCCAGATCACTCCAGTCTCTGCCTCCATCTCCACGTGGACTTCTCCTCTGCATCTGTGTCTCCTCTTCTGTCTCTTACAAAGATACCTGTCATTGAGTGGAGGGTCCACCCTATGCCATGATGATCTCATCTTGATTTGTTGCTGCAGTTGTTATTGTTTTGAGATGTAGTCTCGCTCTGTCACCGAGGCTGGAGTGCAGCGATGTAATCTCAGCTCAAAGCAACCTCTGTCTCCCGGGTTCAAGCGATTCTCCTTCCTCAGCCTCCCAAGCAGCTGGGACTAGAGGCGCCTGCCACCACACCCAGCTAATTTTTGTATTTTTAGTAGAGACAGGGTTTCGCCATGTTGGCTAGGCTGGTCTCGAACTCCTGACCTCAGGTGTTCTGCCCTCCTCAGCCTCCCAAAGTGCTGGGATTACAGGTGTGAGCCACCGGGCCCGGCCTTCATCTTGAGATTCTTAACTCAATTACATCTGCAAAGACCCCGCTTCCAAATAAGTTCCCATTCGCAGATTCTGGGGATGAGGACGTGGACATATCTTTTAGGAGGACCACTGTACAGTCCACTACAGTTGTATCCAGTTGCTTCCAGAGGCTCTAGCGGAGGCTCCTTTTTGCCTCTCCCAGCCCCTTGTGGCTCCAGGAGTCCCTGGCCTTGTGGCCATCTTATCTCAGTCTCTGCCTGCATCTCCACGTGACCTTCTCCTCTGTGTCTCTGTCTGTGTCTCTTCTTCCGTCTCTTAGAAGGATGCCTGTCATTGGATTTAGGGCTCACTCTCATTCATCTTAACAAATGCATCTGCAAAGGCCCTATTTCCACATAAGGTCTCATTCTGAAGTCCCTGGGAGACAGGACTTTGGAAGGGCCACTGTTCACCCCAGTACAGGTTTTACTGTCAAATTTCAGTCCCCTAGATCGGCCAACACTATTTAGAAACTCACAGGGCTGAGTCCTTCTGATACAGTCTCTAAAAATCAACTCCCAGGGCAGAAAGTGGACATAGAAGGGTGAAAAGAGGACTATAGTCCAGGGATATAGATTAAGCACAAAAATTACATGTCAAGGGCTGTCCCCCCTTGAAAGTCACAGGACAGGGCCGGGAACAGTGGCTTACACCTGTAATCCCAGCACTTTGGGAGGCCGAGGCGGGTGGATCACAAGATCAGGAGTTCGAGACCAGCCTGGCCAATATGGTGAAACCCTGTCTCTACTAAAAATACAAAAATTAGCCAGGCATGGTGGCATGAGCCTGTAATCCCAGCTACTCAGGAGGCTGAGGCATGAGAACCGCTTGAACCTGGGAGGTGGAGGTTGCAGTAAGCCGAGATCATGCCACTACACTCCAGCCTGGGTGACAGAGCAAGACTCCATCTCAAAAAAAAAAAAAAAGAAAGTCATAGGACTAAGAATGAAAAGCCCATTCAACTGGGGTTCTATCTTCTAGTACTGTTGTGCCAGGAAAATTCAACTCTTGAAAATAGATAACTATAAAAGGCATTGACTTCTGGCTCTGATTCCTAGAATGTTGCCGTTCTGTTTTAAAAGTCAAATTAAAGCCATTTTGTCTGAAAGCCTCCTAACATGCTTTTTGGAATAAATGGAGTAATAAACATTATTCTGGCAGAGGACTGATTGTATTCCAAATTATCCTCAAGAAGAGCAAATAAAATATAGAGATGAATTTGGCGGACAATTTTCTTCACATGAGGTTTCAATGTTTGTATGGTTTTGAACCGGGAGTTTTCACATAAAAACATGGGGCTTAATTTCTTACTGTCAGCATTTTTTTGTTGGGAGAGATCACTTTTTTTCTCGTCTGCCTGCGGAGATGCTGTTGTACTGCATGTCACTGTTGGAAAATTCAGCTTCTTTTTTGTTTAATTTACAGAAGAGTGGTTGAAATATTCTTTATACTTAACATATAAATAATATTTTTAATGTACAGAAAAAACTTAAAGAAAATGTAGTCAGGGGAGGAAAAGTATGAGGAAAAAAAAGAGCATAAGAAGCAAAATATTGCAGCCAAAAGTCACAGAAAATGTTTTGCGATGGAAACCATTTCCTTTTTAGATGCCAAGGCAAGGACGGGCACGGTGGCTCACGCCTGTCATCCCAGCAATTTGGGAGGCCGAGGCGGGCAGATCACTTCAGGTCAGGAGTTCAAGACCAGCCTGGCCAACATGATGAAACCCTGTCTCTACTAAAAATACAAAAATTATCTGGGCATGGTGGTGCACGCCTGTAATTCCAGCTACTCAGGAGACTGAGGCAGAAGAATCACTTGAACCCAGAGGCGGAGGTTGCAGTGAGCTGAGATTGCGCCACTGTATTCCAGCCTGGGTGGCAAAGCGAGACTGTCTCAAAAAAAAAAAAAAAAAAAAAAAGAAAGGAATATTTTTAAAGAAAAATTTTAATGTAAAGAAAATATATGCAGGGGAAGGAAAATATGAGAAAAAAAGCATAAGCAGCAAAATATTGCAGCCAAAAGTCACAGAAAATGTTTTGCAATGGAAACCATTTCCTTTTTAAATACCACTGCATGGAAATGATGGGAAGTGGAAAACACCTCATTTGTAGTGGTCACCACAGGGCCAGCAAGCATGCTTAATCTGGCTCTAATTTTATATCCCAAGGGCACACCAGGAGTGTGGGTGTTCATTATGCCGTTTGAAGAGAAATGGAAGCCAAAGGCATGAGGCTCCTCCAGTGAGGAGAGGTCCCAGGGGTGGCCTTGGCTGGGTGGACTCTTCTGTGAGCCTCCGCAGTGATGCTTGGGACTCAGGCTGGGGCCTGAGAAGGGTGCAATCAGCCCAGGTCCTGGGGCTGCTTCTTGCTGATGACTGTCACCACTGAGATATGTACAAATCAAGTCAGGGTGCCCCTTCACTAAATGTGTGTGTATGTGTGTATACATTCAGACACACATGCAAATGTGAGTGGGCACGTGTTTGAGACATAGCATATATAAGAAGTGCAAATGTATATGAAATGTAGAGATACATAGAGATACATGGATAAATGGATATAGATACATTAATGCATAGATAGGTAAATATCAATACATGGATTGATAGAGATCCAAATAGATACATGGATAGATGATTGCTAAATAGATATAGATACATGTATGGATATATTGATAGAAAGAAGTAGATTCATGGATAAATGATGGATAGAGGTAGATACATGGATGAATAGGCAGACAGGTAGGTAGATAGATAGATGGATAGAGATAGATGAATGGATAGATAGGTAGATACATAGTTATGGATAGATATATAGATGATAGATATGGATAAATGGATGAATGGATAGATATATAGATAGAAAGAATAGGTAGATATATAGATGATAGATATGGATAGATAATATAGATGGATAAATGGATATATAGATGATATAGATAGATAAATGCATAGGCAGATAGACATATAGATAGATATGGATAGATATATAGATAGATATGGATAGATGGATGAATGGATACATAGATAATAGAGAGACAGAGAGAGAGAGAAAGAGAGAGAGAGACAGATAGAGATACAAATACATGAGAGGCCAAGTGCTATGGCTCAGACCTGTAATCTCAGCATATTGGGAGGCCAAGGCGAATGAATTGCTTGAGCCCAGGAATTTGAAACTAGCCTGGACAACATAGCAAGACCCCATCTCTACAAAAAATTTAAAAACTAGCAGGAAATGGTGGTGCACCCCTATAGTCACAACTACTTGGGAGGCTGACGTAGGAGGATTGCTTGAGCCCAGGAATTTGATGCTGCAGTGAGCTATGATCACGCCACGGCAGTCTGGCTGGGGCGAAAGGGCAAGACCTTGTCTCTAACGAAAAAGAAAAAGAAGTAGATGACAGATAGACAGATGGATATAGGTAGATACCTACGGAGAAATAGATAGACAGCTAGATCAATATATGAGACAGAGAGAAAGAGAGCCAGCGAGCAAAACAGAGAGAGAGTGTATGTGTGCGTTTGAAGCTAAGACAGGGTTTCTCAGCCTCAGCACTGTGGACATTCGGGTCTGGATCACTTTCTGAGGTGAGGCCATCCTATGCACTGTATGGGAAGCCCCTGAGGCCATGGGAATAGGCTCGGGGCTGCGGTAAGGAACGGATCCACCACTAGAGCCTCCAGAAGGAACCCACCCTGCCCACACCTTGATTTCAGACTTCTGCTTCCAAAACTGCGACAGAATGAATCCCAGTTGTAAGCCACCTGGTGTGTGATGGCTTGCTACAGCAGCCCTGGGAAATGGATACAAGGGGGATGAGACACATTCTAATATACTTTCCAGCAAAGCAAGTCTGAGTCGATGTTCTTTTTTATTTTTTTTGAGACGGAGTCTCACTCTTATCGCCCAGGCTGGAGTGCAATGGTGCGATCTCAGCTCACTGCAACATCTGCCTCCCGGGTTCAAGCGATTCTCCTGCTTCAGCCTCCCGAGTAGCTGGGATTACAAGTGCCCGCCACCATGCCCGGCTAATTTTTCTATTTTTAGTAGAGACTGGGTTTTGCCATGTTGGTCAGGCTGGTCTCCAACTCCTGATCTCAGGTGACCACCGGCCTGGGCCTCCCAAAGTGCTGGGGATTACAGGTGTGAGCCACCGTGCCCAGCCCCTGGGGTCCCTTTTGTAAGGGCACTGATCCCCTTCATGAGGTTCCACCCTCATGATCACACCACCTTCTAAAGACCCCACCTCCTAGCACCATCACTTTGCGGCACAGAAATTTAGGGGAAAAACAAGCATGCAGTTTATTGTGATCAAGGAGCAAGCCCTCTAACAACGCTGGAGAATTTATCGCTCACAGTCCTGGAGGCTGGAGGTCCAAGGCAAAGACGTGGCAGATTCAGTGTCTGGTGGGGACCCACTTCCTGGTTCCTAGATGGCGCCTTCTGGCTGTGTCCTCACATGCTGGAAGGGGCGAGGGAGCTCTCTGGGGCCCCTTTTATAAGGGCACTCATCCCATCCATGAGGCCCCACCTTCACGACCTCATCACCTCCCAAAGGCCCCATGTCCGAACACCATCAGCTTGGAGGTGAGGACATCAAAATAGAAATTTTGGGGAGATATCAACATTCGGACCATAGCAAACTTTATATGCTAATTCCTAATAGGCTTACAATCATTTTTTTTTAAAAGATCATTGAACTCCCATGAAATTCCTTATCACCCCTTTGACTTGGAGGTCTAATCTGTTTTGAAATATTTCATTTAAAATAGGAAGTTTGTCACCTCCTGGGACCACACATTCTACCTGTTCAATGTTTTTGACAGGTAAGCAGTCAGGAAACATTTGTTAATAACCATGCATGGGGAACACCGTTACTCAAGTCATCTCGCTTCTTTGCCTTTAAAATCACCTTTTCTGGGCCAGGCGTGGTGGCTCACGCCTATAATCCCAGCACTTTGTGAGGCCAAGGTGGGCGAATCACGAGGTCAGGAGATCGAGACCATCCTGGCTAACACCGTGAAATCCCATCTATACTAACAATACAAAAAATTAGCCAGGTGTGGTGGCGGGCGCCTATAGTCCCAGCTACTCGAGAGGCTGAGGCAGGGGAATAGCCTGAACCTGGGAGGCAGAGGTTGCAGTGAGACGAGGTTGCACCACTGCACTCCAGCCTGGGCGACAGAGCGAGACTCCATCTCAAAAAAAAAAAAAAAAAAAAATTACCTTTTCTTTCTTGTTACTCCCTCTGCTGAAAACATTTGGAGGTGAATCACACAAAACTGTATGAACCAATTGATGACTTTAAAAATTCATATTAGCAAAGACAACTTTTACTCAAGATAAATTAAGAACCAACATCTAGGTTAAATTCTCTTTTCTAAAGGGAAATTAAGTTTTAAAAACTTAATCCTCGGCCAGTCGCGGTGGCTCATGCCTGTAATCCCAGCACTTTGGGAGGCCGAGGGGCGTGGATTTCCTGAGCTCAGGAGTTCAAGACCAGCCTGGGCAACACAGTGAAATCCCGTCTCTACTAAAATGCAAAAAATTAGCTGGGTGTAGTGGCACGCACCTGTAATCCCAGCTACTCGGGAGGCTGAGACAGGAAAATCGCTTGAACCTGAGAGGTGGAGGTTGCAGTGAGCCAACATTGCACCATTGCACTCTAGCCAGGGCAACAGAGCAAGACTCCATCTCAAAAAAATAATAAAAAAAAATCCTCACACTGGGATGAGACACCCAACATCTGGAAGACATTGGGTCTCACCAATTACATAAAAGGTCATGTGTCCTTCATACCTCATGGCAGGCTGTTCGGGAACCAAAGAAATCCAATAAGGCTGACACATGTCTGTTGCTCTCCTTGGAAGAAAACATTTGCAAAGTCAGGGGGAAATTTCAGATTTTATTTATTTATTGTGATGACCAAAAGCAACCAAACATGATCAACTTCCTCTTTTTTTTTTTTTTTTTTTGCATTTGCCATTCTTCCTTAACAAGAACATGGTAACTGCAGGTATATAACAGGAAGGAGACCAGTGGGGGCTAGTTCCAAAGACATGAGCCTAATAAGGAATGGAAAAGCCATTTCTTCTCCAGGAAGGTAACTGCCATTTTTAACATTTTTATCTCATTTCCCCAACCTCCCTGCTATGGACCATGTTCAGATCTTCATGAGCCTGGGCTCTTCCACCAGCTTCTCAGCATTGCTCTCCAAGGTGTGGTCCCTGGATCAGCAGCATCAACATCCCCTTGGTGCTTACTGGAGATGCAGAATCTCAGGCCTCGTGTCCCAGGCCTCCTCAATCAGAGTCTGCACTTCAGCCAGACTCCCCAGTGATTCCTGCACCCAATAGAGACTGGGAGTCCTGAGAGTTGTCCTGGTGCTGTGGAGTCCAAAGTTCCTGAGGCTCACTGCATAACAGCCAATGATTCACGAGACAAAAAGTTAGAGCAAGAAAAGCATCTTTATTTGGAGAGCCAGCAAGTCAGGAAGATACTGGACCCATGTCCTAACGAACCATCTTTAAAGGCATGAATCTCAAGCTTCTTTGTACATTGAAGGGGTACACTGAAGGGGAACAAGGAGGAGACTGAGGTGAGGGGGGTGGCTGGTGACCACAGACACTTGGGCATCAGCAGGGGCCCAAGGAGATTGCAAAACTTTGTCCTTGCTCAGGTCACAGCGCTCCTACAAGTCTTCAATATAACATTGTTACTTGTGTGCATGCCCTTCTTATCTCCTCAGAGGTTAGTTTTGGAAAGGAACGCTTATCATCCTTGCTTTCCAGTTAAACTGTAATCTAAGTTCTTTCCATGATTAACTTGGCCCGTGTGCAGAAGTGCCTAAAAGCAGTTAGCTTGAGGAGTCAGAAGCAACATGGAGTCAGCTATGTTCGATTTCTCTCCCTATTACACTGGCAACCCATTCTATCCTCTTCTGAGAGGCTGAGTGTTTCAAAATATGGGCCTCTCAGTGGCTTTCAGGATAAAGTCTAGGTGTCTTTAGAACTAAGCAGGGTGCAGCCCTCTGCTCAGGACCCTGCATGTGTGGCATGGTATCCTCACTCTCTCCTTACAATAAAGGTAGACAAAAAATAAAAACAGTTCTTTTCTTTCTCTTTACTCTCACTCATTAAAACAAACAAAATGAAAGAGAGAGAGAGAGAAAGAGAGAGAGAGAAAGAAAGAAAGAAAAGAAAGAAAAAGAAAGAAAAAGAGAAAAGGAAAGAAAGAGAGAGAAAGAAGGAAGAAACGGGGGGTAGGAGGAATGGAGGAAGGAAGGAAGGAAGGAAGGAAGGAAGGAAGGAAGGAAGGAAGGAAGGAAGGCCGGCCATTGCCAGCACATGGCACCTGCTCCCCTCTGCAATTTCAAATCGATCACCCAAGAAAACATCCCATCCACATAATTCCTAAAACATAAAAGTCCATTTTCAAATCACAAAATAAGTAAATGTTTCTATGGGAAAGCCATCGTTCTTCCTTTTTCTCTAAACACGGCCCCAAAATAAGTATTTATCTTTCTCAGGGGAGAGTCCTTCTCTTATAGCCTGATCCAGTGAAGGCCTTCCCTCTGGGTGAACTCTGTGGGGCTTTGTTTCTTTGCTTTGGGACCTCTGAAAAACAGACGTATCATGCAATGAATTTACAGAAGCAGCAGATAAAAACCCACCCACGCTGTCTCGCAGCCCTGATCTCTTCCAGTTGCCTGCTTTGTCACTAGAACAGACTCTGCAGGCCACTGGGCTCAGGGGGCTTCCCACCGGGTTCTTGCCTTTGGCAGATGTTTTTGTTTTTACTTTCTCGGCAGATGTTTTCTTCGGCTAAACTTGGCTTAGACACAGGATGAGGAGCTGAAGTTGAGTCAAGATTACTGTTGTGGTGTGGGTGTTTTAGAAACTATGACGGAGGCTGGCACCGTGGCTCACGCCTGTAATCCTAGCACTTTGGGAGGCTGAGGCAGGCGGATTGCCTGAGCTCAGGAGTTCGAGACCAGCCTGGGCAACAACGGTGAAACCCTGTCTCTACTAAAATACAAAAAATTAGCCGGGCGTGGCAGCATGCGCCTGTAGTCCCAGCTACCCGGGAGGCTGAGGCAGGAGAATCGCTTGAACCCAGGAGGTGGAGGTTGCAGTGAGCTGAAATCATGCCACTGCACTCCAGCCTGGGCAACAGAATGAGACTCCATCTCAAAAAAAAAAAAAAAACACAAAACTATGACAGAACTGAAAAGTTTTGGATCAGGTGGCAAGTTTATATTTTCAAAGCTACATGCCATTTGCAATGGATAATTTTAAGACGTAGCACAGAAATAGAAGAGTAACTGCAGAAATAAAAATAGTGTATGTGTTTAGCCTGAGCCAGTCACAATGATGAGGACTATTTTCTTTTTGTCATTGACAAACAAAAATTAGATATGCTTCTGATATACAACATAACATTCCATTCATATACTGAAATATGTATCCATTATGGGATGGGTAACTAAAACTAATTAACATATTACCATAAATACTTTTTTTTTTTTTTTAGATGGAGTCTGGCTCTGTCATGCAGGCTGGAGTGCAGTGGTGTAATCTCGGCTGACTGCAACCTCTGCCTCCTGGGTTCAAGCAATTCTCCTGCCTCAGCCTCCCAAGTAGCTGGGACTATAGGTGCCTGCCACCACGCCTGGCTAAATTTTTGTATTTTTAGTAGAGGTGGGGTTCCACTGTGTTAGCCAGGATGGTTTCAATCTCCTGTCCTCGTGATCCACCCCCCTCACCCTCCCAAAGTGCTGGGATTACAGGCGTGAGCCACCATTCCCAGCCCATACTTATTTTTTTAATGTGGTGAAAACAGTTAAAATCTACTGTCTTAGTGGTTTTCAAGTATGCAGTACATTGATATTAACTACAATCACCACATTGTGCAATATATCTCTTGAACTTATTCCTTAGGTCTAACTGAAATGTTCTGCCCTTTTATTATAATGTGGTGGAAGGTATCTGAGTTACCAGTGATGAATCCATACAGGCCTGCAGCCACTGGAATTCTTGCATCCTCAGAAGAAAGAATTTGACTGAGGGCCATAAGGCAGAGAGAGAGACCCGGGCAAGTTTCAGAGCAGGAGTGGAAGGCTTTTGTTTTTGTTTTTGTTTTGAGACAGAGTCTCGCTCTTGCCACCCAGGCTGGAGTGCAGCAGTGCGATCTCGGCTCATTGCAACCTCCACCTTCCGGGTTCAAGCGATTCTCCTGCCTCAATCTCCTGAGTAGCTGGGATTACAGGTGTGCGCCACCATGCAGGGCTAATTTTTGTATTTTTAGTAGAGACGGGGTTTCACCGTATTGGCTAGGCTGGTCTCGAACTTCTGACCTTCTGATCCACCCACCTCAGCCTCCCAAAGTGCTGGGATTACAGGCATGAGCCACTGCGCCCAGCCGAGTGGAAGTTTATTTTAAAAGCTTCAGAACAGAAAAGAACGGAAGTACACTTGAAAGAGACCCAAGCAGGCGCCCTGAAGAACAAGTGTGGTGTTTAACTTTACAGGACCTTATAGGCTGGTCCACTTCTAGCATCTTGTATCCCTTTCCCATGATTCTTCCCCTAGGGTGAGCTGCCCGCATGCACAGTGCCCTCCTTATGCTTGGGAGGTGAGCATGAGGTTTAGGAAGTTGTAGCGTGCCCATATCTGAGGCTTTCTTCCTGTTTCCAGTGGAGTGACCTCAGAAGGTCATATTCCGCCATGTTTTCTCCTAATGTGCATGCTTAGGAAGTTGTGTTTCCACGGCACTTGCACTCAATGAACAATTGAGTGTGACAGGTGTGGAACATCAGGAAATGGTCTCTCCCTGCCACAGGCTGCCAATTTTTTTTTTTTTTTGACACTGAGTCTCACTCTATCGCCCAGGCTGGAGTGCAGTGGCACGATCTCAGCTCACTGCAACAACCTCCGCCTCCCAGTTTCAAGCATGGGATTACAGGCATGCACCATCATGTCTGGCTAATTTTGTATTTTTAGTAAAGATGGGGTTTCACCATCTTGGCCAGGCTGGTCTTGAACTCCTGACCTCGTGATCCACCTGCCTCGGCCTTCCAAAGTGCTGGGATGACAGGTGTGGGCCACCGTGCCCAGCCGCCAATTTATCATTTTTTAGAGAGGCAATGCGATCATCGCTGAACCAGCACCTGGCATTGCTGGTGGGTGGAAGAGCCCTCTCCTGCCCGCCCATGCCTGTCTAGTGGCCTGTAATACTCTGACCAACATCTTCCCATGCCCCACCCATGCCCATCCCCTGGTAACCACCACTGTGCTCTCTGCTTCTGTGAGACCAAGGTTTCTAGACTTTTACATAGGAATGAGATCATGTGGTACTTGTCTTTCCGTGCCTGGCTTATTTCACTGAACACAATATCCTTCAAATTCACCCGTGTTGTTGCAAATGACAGATGCTCTTTTTTTTTTTTTTTTTTTTTTGAGTTGGAGTCTCACCCTGTTGCCCAGGCTGGAGTGCAGTAGCATGATCTTGGCTCACTGCAACCTCCACCTCCTGGGTTCAAGCACTTCCCTGCCTCAGCCTCCCAAGTAGCTAGGATTACAGGCACCTGCTACTACACTTAGCTAATTTTTGTATTTTTAGTCGAGACAGGGTTTCACCATCTTGGCCAGGATGGTCTCCAACTCCCGACCTCAGGTAATCTGCCCGCCTTGGCCTCCCAAAGTGCTGAGATTACAGGAGTGAGCCACCGTGCCCAGCCAGTCTGACATTCTTGAATCACCCACACTCATGGGCCATTGGACCCTCCCTGCAGGGCCACACCTTGGGCTCCCATCCCCCTGTGGCTCACTGCTCCTTCCCAAACACCGCACCTGCAAAGGAGGAGGCAGGCACATGTGCAAATCATGGAGGTTTCCGAGAAGCAGGATCTGTCCCTCCTATATCACCAATGTAAATTGCAAAGTCAATTATTCTGCCAACACGTAGTCTATTGATGTCTCAGAAAATAATGAAGAGCCTCAAATAATGCCTCTGGCCCTACCGGGTATTGATACAGGGTGTTTTTTAAGGTGGGGGGTAGTAGGTGGGCAAAGGAGAGAGGAGAAGGGATTTGGGAGGTGGGACTGGGACTCTGCATAGTTCAATCACTCTCTGGTCTGCTGTCATCTCCAGGGTCTGGGACGCTTGTATAGAAACATGGTTGGCCAGGCGCGGAGGCTCACGCCTGTTAATCCCAGCACTTTGGGAGGCCGAGCCAGGTGGATCACCTGAGGTCAGGAGTTTGAGACCAGCCTGGCCAAGATGGCGAAACCCCGTCTCTACTAGAAATACAAAAATTAGCCAGGCGTGGTGGTGCACACCTGTAATCCCAGCTACTCAGGAGACTGAGGCAGGAGAATTGCTTGAATCCGGGGGGACAGAGGTTGCAGTGAGCCAAGATCATGCCACTGCGCTCCAGCCTGGGCAACACAGTGAGACTCCATCTCAAAAAAAAAAAAAAGAATAAAAAATGAAAAGCCTCACATAATGCGTCTGGCCCTAGTGGGTATTTCTACAGGGTGTTTTTTTAAGGTAGGGGTAATAGGTGGGCAAATGAGAGAGAAGGGATGTGGGAGGTGAGGCTGGGACTCTGCATAGTTCAATCACTCTCTGGTCAGCTGTCGTCCCCAGGGTCTGGGACATTTGTGTGAAAGCATGGTCAGCCAGGCGCGGTGACTCACGCCTGTCATCCCAGCACTTTGGGAGGCCAAGGCGGGCAGATCACCTGAGGTCAGGAGTTTGAGACCAGCCTGGGTAACATAATGAAACACCATCTCTACTAAAAAATACAAAAATCAGCCAGGCGTGGTGGCAGGTGCCTGTAATCCCAGCTACTTGGGAGGCAGAGGCAGGAGAATTGTTTGATCCCGGGTGGTGGAGGTTGCAGTGAGCTGAGAACGAGCCACTGCACTCAAGCCTGGGGGACAAGAGCAAGACCCCTCTCAAAAAAATAAAAAGAAAAAAAAAAAGAAAAGAAAATAATATCTCTGAGTGTGGGGGTGCATATCTGTCATCCCAGCACTTTAGGAGGCTGAGGTGGATCACTTGAGCCCAGGAGTTCAAGACCAGCCTGCACTACATAGTGAAGCCCCATCTCCAGGAAACATTTAAACATTAACCAGGCTGGGCATGGTGGTTCATGCCTGTGATCCCAGCACTTTGGGAGGCTAAGGCGGGTGTATCACTTGAGCTCAGGAGTTCGAGACCAGCCTGGACAACATGGTGAAGTCTTGTGTCTAAAAAATAAAAAAAAATAGCCGAGCGTGGTGGCTAGTGCCTGTGGCTGCAGCTACGTGGGAGGCCAAGGTAGGAATACTGCTTTCGCCCAGGAGGCAGACGTTGCAGTGAGCCAAGAGACTGTACCACTGCACTCCAGCTTGGGCATGAAAACCTGCATGAAACGCTGTCTCCAAAAAATATAAAAATTTAAAAAATTAGGCAGTCATGGTGGTGTGCGTGTGTAGTCCCAGCTACTCAGGAGGCTGAGGAGAGAGCACGGCTTGAGCCCAGGAGGTCGAAGCTGCAGTGACCCATGATCACTTCACTGTACTCCAGTCTGGGCAACAGAGTGAGATCCTGTCTCAAGAAAAGAAAAGAAGCGAAAAGAAAAGGGAAGGGGGACAGAAGTGGAGGGAAGGGGAGGGGGTAGGGGAGGGGGAGAGAGGAGGAATGGGAGGGAAGGGGAGGGGGAAGGGGAGGGGGAAGGGGAGGGGGGAGGGAAGGGGAGAGGGGAGGGAAGGGGAGAGGGGAGGGAAGGGAAGGGGAGAGGGGAGGGAAGGGAAGGGGAGAGGGGAGGGAAGGGAAGGGGAGAGGGGAGGGAAGGGAAGGGGAGAGGGGAGGGAAGGGAAGGGGAGGGGGAAGGGAAGGGGAAGGAAGGGGAGGGGGAAGGGAAGGGGAGGGGGAAGGGAAGGGGAAGGAAGGGGAGGGGGAAGGGAAGGGGAGGGGGAAGGGAAGGGGAGGGGAAAGGGGGGAGGGAGGAGGAGAGAGGAGGGAAGGGAAGGGGAGGGGGAAGGGAAGGGGAAGGAAGGGGAGGGGGAAGGGAAGGGGAGAGGGGAGGGAAGGGAAGGGGAGAGGGGAGGGAAGGGAAGGGGAGGGGGAAGGGAAGGGGAAGGAAGGGGAGGGGGAAGGGAAGGGGAGGGGGAAGGGAAGGGGAAGGAAGGGGAGGGGGAAGGGAAGGGGAGGGGGAAGGGAAGGGGAGGGGGAAGGGAAGGGGAGGGGGAAGGGGGGAGGGAGGAGGAGAGAGGAGGGAAGGGAAGGGGAGGGGGAAGGGAAGCAAGAAACAAGGTAAAGGAAAGGGAAAGGGGGAGGGGAGGGGAAGGGGGAAGGAAGGAAGGAGAGAGAGAGAAAAGAAAGAGCTTGATCATGGCTGATGTCCACATTGA
Organism: Homo sapiens; assembly: GCF_000001405.40. Taxonomy (NCBI): domain Eukaryota; kingdom Metazoa; phylum Chordata; class Mammalia; order Primates; family Hominidae; genus Homo; species Homo sapiens. The sequence continues at coordinate 2,659,089 of NC_000023.11, read as the reverse complement.
TTGAGATCCACAGAGCACAATGGGCCATCCTGATAATACAGACAATTGTCATTTCTCTCTCGTATCACCATGAAACTAGAGATATGCTTTCTGGAGGAGCAAAGGTGCTTCAGAAATGTGGAATCCTGACATTCACAATGCAGAATCTTTCTCAGAAGCGAGCTCAACAATGTGTTCATTTTTTTTTTTTTGTTTTTGTTTTCCGAGTTATTGGTGATTGGCTTTGTAAACAAAAAAAAAGAGAATGCAACTATGAATAGAGAGATCGAATGTGTCTGATGCAAGGTTGTCGCAGTTCCTGTTTTCTGGTTAGGCCTGCATTGCCTTATGAATTACAGGGAATGGAGAACTTTTCTTGATAATAATGGTCATTCTATGTAGAGCAGGACTTGAGATGTTATGATAAATGTATAATTTCTCAAAAGTGGTCTACTTGAGAACACAGTTTCAAGGAGTTCCTCTCCACATTTGTTCCTGGGTAAAGCAGCTGTTCATAAGGTAATTCAGCTTTCAATTTATTTTAATCGGCACTTCAGCTCAGGCCAGCAATGTCACTATGCCTTCCAGCCAGGATGGTCCCAGGGTGCCTAGGACATTGAGACAGAGAGGGGTGTAAAATGACTGTCACTGAGGGGTAAAGTAGAATCTGATATGAGAAAAAAACAGAGATATGTAGAAATCACAAAAGAAGCATACTATATTTCCAGTGCAATGCCATTTTAGGTGAATACAGAAAATAATTGCAAAATTTCACATAGGCCTTCATTAATTTATGCTATAGTAATTTTCACATATGCCCAAGTTAATTCATACTAATTTATACTAACTACCACCAAGGCCATACAATTCTGCCCAAGGTAAAATTTACCTACTGTCAGAAGTAAATGTGGTGTTTTAAAACTGATTCTACAGTCAAGAGATCCCCATTAACCACACTTCTTAAAACCAGATGAGAAAGTTCTATCAGATTAACTCAGGAGCTTAAAATCCAACTACACAGAGAACTTTCGAAAACCCTGAATGATTAGTCCCACCTGTTGGAAGTGGTTCCCCTCGCCTGGGCAACTGCTAAGTCATTGTTTTATTTTGTGCAATGGAAACACAGTAATGCATTAGATATTCATAAGATTAAAATAATTTGAGGCAGGTCCAAGATGCACAGTAACGCTGAAGTGGTCATGAGCATAAAGGATATTTCATCTGCAACTCCTGTACAGGGATAGGAAAGTATTTGTGATAATGGTTGGTGAGAAATCTACAGGCAAGACTAACATTGTTGTGGGATGTTGCCTATGTCCACAGGCAATGCTGAATTTCAGTTACAAGTGAGTGAACCCAGAGATGTAGACTTTGTCCCATCTGAGTTGACAAAACCCCGGAATTTTACTCACAGACCTCTGGGTTCTCTCAACATACCAAGGCAAAGAACAAAACCTCCAATGATAGGGTAACAGAAGAGGGAACGAGTGGCCAGCCTTCTTCGTTTGAGATACCATTTAAATAATAAACTTAAAGCAGAAATAAATAAAATGAAATTGCATGTTAAACTGCTCTTCTATACGCTTACTTTTGGTTTCCCTTGTTCCTCTTTTATTTTTCATTATTATTATTATTGAGACAGAGTCTTGCTCTGTCACCCAGACTGGAGTGCTGTGGCACCATCTCGGCCCACTGCAACCTCCACCTCTCGGGTTCAAGCGATTCTCCTGTCTCAGCCTCCCGAGTAGCTGGGACTACAGGTGCGTGCCACCACACCCGGCTAATTTTTGTATTTTTAGTAGAGACGGGGTTTCACCATATTGGCCAGGCTGGTCTCGAACTCCTGACCTCATGATCCACCTGCCTCAGCCTCCTAATTTTCATTATATTTTTAATCAATAAACAATAATTGCATATGTCTCTGGGGTGCAATGTGATGTTTCTCTGTATCTTTCCTGTTGGATTCATCCTCAGCATCAGTGCAAAACCCATCATGTTTGCAGACACTTGGTTTGAAGAGATCCAACGTTCAATGGAAACGTCTATCGGACAATGAGTGAATGGCTGTGCCTTCCATATAAAAGCACGATAATGATGTGTTCTGAGTGGAGGCATGCCTCCGTGATTTTACTCCTCTCTCAGCTCGGCTGGGACTCAGATTCTTTCAGATTTACGTCTCTCTGGATTAAAAAAAAAAAAGCTGGGACCCAGATTCTCAGAGTTAAGTATAGTCTTTCTGCAAGAGGCTCTTTGTCCACATCAACAGTGAGATAATTTGCTGTCTCAGAACTGCTAGACCAGCTGAACTTTCCTTGTTTGCTTTCTTGTTAGAGTACCCATGAAAAGGCAGATTGGAGATAAAATTGATTCAAGAGAGGCCATGGATAAGAGATGTTTTGTCTCCAGTTGCATCAGAATCACAAAATATTGCAGGGGAAGGTACACAGAAGACATTTCTGTAGGTTATTCTGTGCTGAAAATGATTATGAATGACATTTGTCACTGTGGTTCATGCATATTCTTTCTGGTATGTCAACAGCAATGTGAAACCCACGAACACGGTCAACATCGTAGAGACTGGGATGCGAAGAAGGGCACAGGAGAGCACAGTGCCTTTGGAAAGCTCCCAGGTCCAATATCAACTCTACATTCCTTCAGCCTGTCTCTCTCCGATGTATCCCTCTTGTCAAGAGAGGGAAATGCAGTTAGACAGAGTCCATTTAATGTTTGCTGAGTGAGTGAAAGAATGAATGCATGATGAGTTCTTGTCTGTGGCCACGTGCCTCTCTGCCAAAGTCTATTTCTTCAAACTTAATTTCTGTCTGAACATCTCTATTCATGCTCCCTGCGGCTTTGGTATTTCAGCAAAAATCCTCCCTGGGTTCTGACTCCAGGAGACATAAACCACTCAAGTGGTCTTTAGAAATCCTTCAATGAATTTTTAAAAATTATTTGTAGAGACAGGGTCTGGCTATGTTGCCCAGGCTGGTCTCAAACTCCTGAGGCTCAAGTGCTCCTTCTACCTTGGCCTCCAAAGGTGCTGGGGTTACAGTTGTGAGCCACTGCACCTGGCTCCAATTCTGTCTTCCAGATTTACCCTCACTGATGATCCAGTCACCTGCTCACTCTCCTCTTTGGGTCATGAGAGCTGGTGACTATGCAGCCAACAGGGTACCTTCTGCAGACTTCAACAGAGTCCTGCCCTTCCATTTACATTTAACCTCATTGTTTATGGGTGGCCCCCAGGAACTCTCAGAAACAACAGTTAGAGTGGGGGGGTCCTAAGGGGAGTGGGGTGAAGTTAGACCTGAGCTTCTGAGTTATCCTTCCTCTCTTCTCCTCCGTCCCCTGCTTCTCTCACATTCCTCTCACCTTCTCTATCTCTTGACCCCCGTCCCTTCTCTCAATTCCTCTTTTTTCTCAAGCTCTGAGAATGTTCTGGCATCTTCCACCATGCAGAGAGTATGGTAGGAGGTTAGGAATTAATGGCTCTGGAACCAATGTCTCCTTCAGGTGACATGTACTTTCAATCAGCATCTCCAAGTCTGTTCATGTTCCTATGACATCAGAGAGGGAAGCAAGATTATCTGGTGACCAGCCAGTCTCCCCCTCCTCTGGGAGATGTCCAGCCTCTGCGTCCTCTCTTCTGTCTGCACCCAGGGGACCAGGTATTTGGAAGCCACACACAGAGACTCAGCTTTAGGGGGCTGGCTCCCCATCTCAAAGACATCTGGTAGCTGAGGCTGGTTGACCCATCCAATCAGTGATCTTTCAGTTGGTAGGTTTTTTGGTGGGGAAAGCGACTAACCCTATGAAGAAAAAGCACCAGATCCCCATGCTTTTCAGTCTCTCGTTCCTGACTCAGACCAGGGAACCGATCTCTGGGGGACTTTGAGCTGGGAGGAGCTGACAACGGCTGCTATTGATTTGGGGCTGAGACTTCTCCCAGTTTCTGACGAGTTTGGAACTTGTTGACTTCGGGTAGGTCCAAAGGCAATGAATGTAAGGGCTGTTTAGGCTTCTGTAGGGGGTCTTGGAGAGGTGCCTGGGGCTTTTGGTCAGGGGTGATTCCCAGGAGATGCTTCTAGGGGAAAAGGGAGAAGCAAGAACCTATAGATGGTTGTACGGCTCTGGGGACTGAGAGGTGAACTGGACAAAATGAAGATAGCAGGAGTCACTGGGCCAGCAGGTGGAGGTCAACGTCCACAAAGCAAACAGCCTTCACCAGGCGTGCTGCCAATTAAAGGGACAGCTTTGTGGAGCTCCAGAAGCATGTTGGTCTGCCACACTCCTGTCTTCTCCACTGAGATTTCTGTGGGGAAGCATGTTGTTGTGGAAAAATACCCATAACATTAATTTCATCATTTAACCTTTTCATTTGTGTACATATGTATTTATTTGTTTTAGAGATGGGGGTCTCCCTCTGTCACCCAGGCTGCAGTGCAGTGACAGAAACACCTCTCACTGCAGCCTTGACCTCCTGGGCTCAAGTGATCCTCCCACCTCAGCCTCCAGAGGAGACGGGACTACAAGCACACGCCACCGTGCCCAGCTGATTTTTTAAAATTTTTTGGTAGAGACTGGATCTGTGTTGCCCACTCTGGTCTTCAACTCCTAGGCTCAAGCAATCCTCCCACCTTGGCCTCGCAAAGAGTTGAGATTAAAAGGTGTGAGCCACTGCACCCAGCCTGTTTTCATCTTTTTTTTTTTTTTTTTTCTTTTTGAAACGGAGTCTCATTCTGTCGCCCAGGCTGGAGTGCAGTGGCGCAATCTCAGCTCACTGCAACCTTCGCCTCCCGGGTTCAAGCGATTCTTCTGCCTCAGCCTCCTGAGTAGCTAGCAATACAGGCATGCGCCACCAGAGCCAACTAATTTTTGTATTTTTAGTAGAGACGGGGTTTCACCATGTTGGCCAGACTGGTCTCGAACTCCTGACCTCATGATCCGCCTGCCTCGGCCTCCCAAAGTGCTGGGATTACAGGCGTGAGCCGCCGCGCCCGGCCCGTTTTTACCATTTTTAAGTGAACAATTCAGGCGCATTGACTACATCCACAGTGTTATGCCACCATCACTGCTATCTAGTTCCAGAACCCTGCCATCACCGCCAAAGGAAACTTCGTACCTATCAAGTAATCACTGTTCATTTTCCCTGCCCCCAGCCCTAAGCAACCATGAGTTCAATTTCTGTCTTGATGGCTTTAACTATTCTGGACATTTTATATAAATGGACTCCTACAATATGTGACCTTTTGTGTCTCTCTTTCTGCACTTAGCATAACGTCTTCAAGGTTCATTCATGTTGTAGCATGTGACTGTTTCATTCCTTTTCGTGGCTGAATAATATTCCATTGTATGGATGGAACACATGGGGTTTATCCATTTAGTATTAGATGGACATCGGACTGTTTTCACCTTTTGGCATTTTGGATATTGCTACATACATTTGTGTACAAATTTCTGTTTACACATTTGTTTTCAGTATCTTTAGGTATTAGGTAGAAGTAGGATTGCTACATCACTTGGTAATTCTGTGTTTAATTTTCTGAAGAGCCATAAAACTGCCTTCCATAGTGGCTACACCACTTTAACTTCCCACCAGCAAAGTAGGAGAATTCTAATGTTTCCACATCCTTGCCAATAATGATTCCTTTCCTTCTTTGTAAAAACAGTTATCAGAATTCTAGTGATGCTTTGAGGATTTAAACATTGCTCAGGCCTGGCACAGTGGCTCACGCCTGTAATCCCAACAACTTTGGGAGGCCGCATGGGTGGATCACCTGAGGTCAGGAGTTCAAGACCACCCTGGCCAACATGTGAAACCCCGTCTCTACTAAAAACACAAAAAATTACCCGAGTGTGGTGTCACATGCCTGTAATCCCAGCTACTTGGGAGGCTGAGGTGGGAGAATCACTTGAACCTCGGAGGCGGAGGTTGCAATGAGCCAAGATCGCACCATTGCACCCAGCCTGGGCGACAAGAGTGAAACTCCATCTCAAAAGCAAACAAACAAAAACATCGTTCAGAACTCTGGTTCTGTGCATTCAGGGGTATGGGAAACAAAGGCTCAGGTTGTCTTATTTGTAGTCCCATTATAAGAACTGAAAATACAGAACTGTGGACAGGTAGTCAAACATATTTTTCTATCTTGGTAATCTGAAATCTAAACCACTTGAAGGGCACAAACAGAATCTGCTGTCCTGGGTTTGCACAGTTAACTCTGCAGAAAAGCTATTTTGAACACAAGAAAGAGTCCATAGTCACAGACCCCACAGTTAGCAATTTGCTTATTATGCCTTTTATTTATGTATTCATTTATTTTATTTATTTATTTTTTTGAGATGGAGTTGCCCTCTTGTTGCCCAGGCTGGAGTGCAATGGTACGATCTCTGCTCACCGCAACCTCTGCCTCCCTGGTTCAAGCGATTCTCCTGTCTCAGCCTCCTGAGTAGCTGGGATTACAGGCATGTACCACCACGCCCAGCTAATTTTGTATTTTTAGTAGAGATGGGGTTTCTCCATGTTGGTCAGGCTGGTCTCGAACTCCCGACCTCAGGTGATCCGCCTGCCTTGGCCTCCCAAAGTGCTGGGATTACAGGTGTGAGCCACCGTGCCCAGCCTTATCAGCCTTTTATAATCAACTCAATGGGTGGTGCATCCATCACAAATGAAGTAAAGTGGGAGAGGCCAACAGCGAGGATATGTCTGTGCCATCATTATCCATCTGCATTATGTGACCTCCCACAGCAGGCACCAGGGGGGAAAAGAACACACACACGGACCCCCAAACACTGTAGTCTCCTTCTCCCTCTGCTGCCCCCTGGACCAGCAAGAGGAAAATACACCTTGTTGTCCACCAGAGATGAAAAAGGATCCCCAGCCAGGTGCGGTGGCTCACGCCTGTCACCCCAGAACTTTGGGAGGCTGAGGCAGGTGGATCGCTTGAAGTCAGGAGTTCAAGACCAGCCTGGCCCACATGGTGAAACCCCATCTCTACTAAAAATACAAAAATTAGCCGGGCATGGTGGCGGGCGCCTGTAATCCCAGCTACTCGGGAGGCTGAGGCAGGAGAATGACCTGAACCCGGGAGGCGGAGGTGGCAGTGAGCCAAGATCGCACCACTGCACTCCAGCCTGGGCGAGAGAGTTAGACTCCACCTCAAAACAAAAAGACAGAGAGAAAGAAGATGAGGGAGGGGGTGTGGCAGGAGTTTCCTTGAGGAGACCAGCACCATTAGTTTGTTCTCACATTGCTATAAAGAAATAACTAAGACTGGATAATTTATAAAGAAAAAAGACTCCATCTCAAAGAAAAAAAAAATGAGAAAAACCCCAAAGCTTCAGGAGACCCAGGGTATGAAACCACAGATCCACTGGGCAAGGAAGATGATGCCTCAGTATCCCAATTCTTCAGATGTTCTTCTTCTTCTTCTTCTTCTTCCTTTCTTCTTTTTTTTTTTTTTTTTTTTTTTGTTTGAGACGTAGTCTTGCTCTGTCGCCCAGGCTGGAGTGCAGTGGCATGATCTCAGCTCACTGCAACCTCCACCTCCGGGATTCAAGCGAATCTCCTGCCTCAGCCTCCCGAGTACCTGGGATTACAGGCGTGCACCACCATGGCCAGCTAATTTTTGTATTTTTAGTAGAGACGGGGTTTCACCATGTTGGCCAGGATGGTCTCAATCTCCTGACTGATCTGCCTGCCTCGGCCTCCAAAAGTACTGGGATTACAGGCGTGAGACCTGCACCCAGCCCAGACCTTCTTCTTATCAGTCACCAACTGAGCTTTCCCTGGGACCACTTCAAAAATCAGCTGTTCATGAGCCCCGGTGCCAAATGCCCGGCTTCTAAGAGATACATGAAAACCCTGATTCCTCTTTTCATGGGGAAGACGTCTCTGTCCACCCAGTGGACAGCACAAACAGCTCCTAGCACCAGAATGGCAGCGCAAGGGTAAGAGCGTGCCCAGTGGGGAGGCGGGAATGTATATACGTGCTTCCAGACAGGATGTACAAGACAAAGAATTTGAATGACTTTTTGAAACAGTCATACGGTCGCCTGTGCCAAGCCAATTCCCACTCAGGAGACAGCACTTACTCAGTGTGCTGGAACAAGCATCCCCCTGTGTGAGGAAGTGACTGCTGCCAGCAAGGGCAGCTCACTTGGCAGAGAGGAGAGGCTGGAATGAAGACTAAAGGCATTTTCAGGGTGTGGGCTCCCATCAGTGACTTCTAGAGAGGAACCCTGAACCCAGTCTGGGGTCTGGAGTGGGGGCCAAAGGGACAGAGGGGAGGCAAGAAGGGGCTCCCTGGGAGACTTGATAGATGACAGAGAACCACAGACACAGAAAAGGCAAAGCCCTGAAGCCACCATTTGAAAATCAAGGTTAGGGAGACCCAACGCAGGAGAGGATTTGGTAAAGGTCACCCAGGACAGGAGGCAGGCAGGGCTCCCTGATCAGAGCTCTCTACACCTGCATTTCTCTTTGTCCTGGTCACCAGGAGAGAGAAAAAGAGGGCCTCTGCCTGACTCAAATGAAAGATGTCTCCGTGGGTAAGGATTTAATTTTCCCCTGATGACCTAAGGAGAAAAATTCTCACTTGCATCCTCATAAATCTATCCTTCTCTTTGCATTCACCTTTGCATCTATCTACATATCTATCCAGCCACCCACATCCACCCATCCATCTATCCACTCATCCACCCATCCATGAACCTGTTTACTCATGCATCCATCCATCCAATCATCTACTTATCTACCTATCCATCTATCCATCCATCCATCCACCCATCCACCCATCTACTCATCCACCTTACCATCCATCCAACCATCCATCCATCCATCCATCCATCTATCCACCCACTCATTCATCTACTCATCCACCATACCACTCACCCATCCCTCCAATGATACATCCCCCATTCATTGACACATGTATTCAGTGATCCATCAGTCCCTCTATCCATCCACCCATCTATCTATCTATCCACCTTTCCACCTACACATCCACCCAAACACCTGTCCATCCATGTATGTGTCTATTCATCCATCAAACACTTATCCATCTCTCCATCCATCCACCTGTCTACCCATCCACTCAGCCATTCACTCATCCATCCATCCATCCATCCATCCATCCATCCATCCATCCAAATATCCATCCAAACACCCATCCATCCCTCCATTTTACCCACCAATTCACCATCCATTCATGCATCTATCCATTCGTCCACCTTTCCATCCATTTATCTATCCATCTATTCACCCATCCCTCCCTCCTTCTCACTTTCCCTCAGGTCCTGCATATGGACACCTAGACATGTCTAGACATCCATGTAGCCATGAGCCCACCTGTAACATCACTCATGCACAGCCTTGCCTGCTGTTTTGTAGCCAGATGATCACGACTATGGGTGGCAGAATATCAACAGCAGGGTGGGAAACCTGGGGCCACTGGAATTGGGCACATCTGTGAAAATGTCCCTGGATCTTTCCTTTGTGTCTCATTTCTTAGAGGACTCAGGGATTATAGCACTTGTGTTATTTATCAAGTTTCTCTACTGCTGGCCTCTGCTCAAGGGAGTTAGAAGAAACGGCAGGAGTGAGTCTCTGGAAAGCCCTTAACTCAGAGCCCCACACAGATGAAGATGCTGGTCTTGAGACCTCAAATAATAATTATTATGTGAAAATAGATCAAAGCAATATCTCTGACCTGCAAAATATTGAGAGGGGAAAATCACGTATTACATTTTCTAAAGATACAAACACTATTTTCCATTAGGCAAAACAGTCTAGAAAGCAAGGCGAAGTCTGAAGTCGACTTGAAAGAGCCAGATAAGTTGTAAGATTTATTTGCCTAAACCAGGGCCCCGGAAAACCTTGTTTATCTGTTTACACTGCTCCCCGCTATACCGGACTAGAATAATTCCCATGTACTACTTGCTGGGGGTCCAGGAAGGGAAACTGAAACTGATTCACCCCTAGGATATCAGGGCCATAATCTAGTTACAAGCATAGACTTTGAGGACAAATGTCTTGATATTTGAATTTCACTTCTGCTGTTTATTAGCAGTGCATTAGCTGAACATGTCACCAATCTGATCTTCAAGTTTCTGACTTGTAGAATGACAGCGATCATTCTTACTATAAGGTTTGGTGCAGATTTTCTGAAAGTGCTTGCAAAGCACCTGCCATGTAGAGAGGGCTCCATCAAACAGTATGGATGTTGTTATAAATTTCATTCCTGCCCCTAAAGAGGGAATTCTTGACAAGACATCCCCAGCCCCTGACTTGTGGATTGAGCCTGCTGATGTTCAGTCAGTGGTGGGAAATGAGACCTGCTAATGGGACCCTGTACCGCACCACGGTGCTGAACTGTTGGGAAGATAAAGCAAGAAGTCAGATAAAGTCTGGTAAGCCAGGTGCCTCATCATGAAAAACATCTACAAGGAGCTCTCACATACCTGGAACTAAATTCTGAACCTATGCATGAGTTGAAAAGAAAAACAGGCTGGATGCGGTGGCTCACACCTGTAATCCCAGCACTTTGGGAGGCTGATGTGAGTGGATCACAAGGTCAGGAGTTCAAGACCAGCCTTGGCCAAGATGCTGAAACCCCATCTCTACTAAAAATACAAAAATTAGCTGGGCATGGTGGTGGGCACCTGTAATCCTAGCTACTCAGGAGGCTGAGGCAGGGAACTGCTTGAACCCGGGAGACGGAGGTTGCAGTGAGCCAAGATTGTGCCACTGCACTCCAGCCTGGGCGACAGAGTGAGAATCCATCTCAAAGCAAACAAACAAAAACATGCTAGTGGAGATAACTGCATGCTCCCTGCACCCATAAAAATAAGCTATACCAGCTCATGTTTGCCCATATTTGCGCAGAAACAACAGACCTTGTTGGATCATTTAAAATGTTGCTAAGATTTCTGCATGATTTCTTCAGCCATGTAGCATTTTTTTTTCTTGGTTAGCATGTTTTCATTGGTTTTCTTTTTTAGCATTTTGAATTTATCAGCCTACTGCCTTCCGACTTCCAAAGTTTCCAATGAGAAGTCTGATGATAATCTTCTTTAGGATCCCTGGGATGGGATCAGTCACTTCTGTCTTGTGGCTTTTACTGTGCTTCAGGGTGGACTTCTGACTTCATCCTACCTGAAGTTTGCTGCCTTTCTTGGATGTTTATTTCAAATAGTTGCACTGACAGGTCTAAGAATTTCCCCTGTACCGGTGAGTGAAATGGATGAGCATGCCCACGAGAGGTCTCAGATTTTCCAACCACCCATGTGTGGGTTGTGTTCAATTTCCTCCTCCTACAACCACTTTCCTTCTTAATGAAAATGCCTGGGTCACTTCACAATGTAATCACATGACCGAATCTGGTCACACATCCTATGCTTGGCACCTGTCACATCTACTTTGCCCCCAGCCTTTGGGGTCCCTACTCCTGAGGTCCTGAACATTCATAGAGAACAGATCTCATTAAGCACAGGAGAGGGGCAGAAAGAATTTGCAAGATTAAGTGGGCCAAGTCTTGTAACACCAGTTGTAGGTAGAAGCAATAGCAGGCTCCAAAGATATCCATGTCCTGATTCCCAGAACCTGTGCAAGGGAAATGAAGGTTGCAGATGGAATGAAAGTTGCTGATCAGCTGAGCTTGAGATGAGAAGACATTACTGGATTACCCAGGTAGGACCAATGTTATCACATGGGTCTTTATCATGGAAAGAGGGAAGCAAGAGGGTCAGAGTTAGAGAGAGATTGGAAGATGCTACACTGCTGGCTTTGAAGATGGAGGGAGCAGCTACATAATAAGGCGTGTAGGCAGCCTCTAGAAGCTGGAAATGTCAAGCAAACCGTTTCTCTCCTAGAGCCTCCAGAAGGAAGCCAGCCCTGCTGACACCTTGATGGGAGCCCCAGGAAACTAATTTCAGACTTCTTACCTCCAGAACTGTAAGCAAAGAAATGTGCATTGTTTTAAGCTGCAAAGTCTGTGATGCTTTGTCCTAGAAGCAAGAGGAAACTGTTCTAACCTCCTTCGGCAGTTGAAGGAAATCAAGTCAACAGCAACTGAAGTCATTAGAGTGAGGTCTCAGATTCCCATGTGGGATTTTTTTCCTTGCTCTTGGTTTTGCTCAAGACCTAGGATCTGATTTTGGCTGGTGCAAAAGCCACCAAAGTTACTGAGATTTGGGGGAATGGGATTCAGGGCCGAGTGGGGACATAAGAAGCCCAGAGCAGAAGCTGAAGAGCCAACAGACGTCAATTTAAAACACAGCACATTCTTAGCATCGGGCGATGTGTCTGCAACTAACTGATCGGATGGTGTGTGTTTTCTGTGTCTTTTTCAATATGTTAAAGGCAAAATCACAATAGTGAGTAAGGGTGACCGCACAGCAAAACTGTTCTTCTAGACTCATCTTGCACCATAGTGGCAGCTGAAGGAATTGTGCACCACGATGCACCCCTGTGGTCAGGAAAGGCTTCTAGGATGCCTGGGAGCTGAACGAGGTGGTAAATGATGGTGTTGGAGCTGGAGAGAAGTACAGGGTAGGCATTCCAGGTGACAGGAAGGAAATAAGGAAGCCAAGCAGTGTAGTGGTGAGAAGAAGCACAGGTTCACCCATGTGTGTGGACCGCTGCTTCTTCATACCCAGGAACCCAGCCAGTCCTGGAGATGCACAGATGAGCAAACCATGGCCAGACACTCACTCCCATGTTGCTTAGCGTCTAACGAGGAAAGCGGATATTTAAACAAAATTGCCCACAGGATATAAAAGTAGTGCCGTGGTCAGAGCCGCAGTAAGGAGGTGAGGCTTCTAGATGCTTATAACATGGTCAGCTTGGGTCAGGCAGGGACACAGATATATGAACTTTTTTATTTTTTTTTAAATTTTTTTGAGACAGAGTCTCGCTCTGTCGCCTAGGCTGGAGTGCAGTGGCGCAATCTCCATTCACTGCAACCTCCGCCTCCCAGGTTCAAGTGATTCTCCTGCCTCAGCCTCCTGAGTAGCTGGGACCACAGGCACATGCCACCACATTCAGCTATTTTTTTTGTATTTTTAGTAGAGATGGGGTTTCACCGTGCTAGCCAGGATGGTCTCAATCTCCTGACCCCGTGATCCGCCCGCCTCGGCCTCGCAAAGTGCTGGGATTACAGGAGTGAGCCACTGCACCCGGCCACAGATGTGAACTTTTAAGGGCAAGTGACCATGGAGCTAACAGTGGAGCTGACAATTGAAGTATGAAGACAGCACAAGGTAGAGGCAGAAAGTTTTGTGTAGCAAGTGTGGTACGTGCAAAGGGCCTGTGGTCGATGGAACCGAGGATCCTGTGGGGCTCAGTGAGGAGGGAAAGAGGAGCTCAGGTATGGCGTGCCATGGAGGGGAACACAGTGAGGCCACAGTCAGTCCTCAACCTTGAAAATGGCCCTTTGACTGTCCTCAGGGTCTAGCCTTGCTTGCCATGTTCATTGGGTCTAGCACCCTCTGCTTGCTCCCAGACAGCTTTCTCCTGCCTCCCAGCTCTGCATCTCTCAGATCCTGGCTCTGATCCCACGCTGCTGTTGCTTCCACTCATGTACCCATTGCTAACGGCATCATTTCTTGGAGTAATTCATTGCAAAGTTCATTTCCCACGATAAACGCAGTCTGTGCTCATTACAGTCAACAGGGTGGCCCAAAAGAGTTCAGTTAAGGGAAAAAAAAATCAAATTTTCCCTTGAAAAGAAGCCAGTGATATGGCTTGGGTCCATCTTCCTGAGGTTTGAAAACTTCTCTGTTAGTGTTAGTTGCTTTTAGGCCTGGTCCTGCTGCATATACAATGTGTATCTTTCTCTCTCTCTTTTTTTTTTTTTTTTTCTTTTTTGAGATGGAGTCTCGCTCTGTCAGCCAGGCTGGAGTGCAGTGGCGTGATCTCGGCTCACTGCAACTTCCGCCTCCCAAGTTTAAGCGATTCTCGTGCCTCAGCCTCCCAAGTAGCTGGGATTACAGGTGTGTGCCACCACGCCCAGCTAGTTGTTGTTTTAAGACTGAGTCTCACTCCAGCCCGGGCTGGAGTGCAGTGGTGTGATCTTGGCTCACTGTAACCTCCACCTTCTGGGTTCAAGCAATTCTCCTGTCTCAGCTTCCCGAGTAACTGGGATTACAGGCACCCGCCACCACACCCGGCTAATTTTTGTATTTTTGGTAGAGACGGGGTTTCACTATGTTGGCCAGGCTGGTCTCGAACTCCTGACCTCAGATGATCCACCCACCTCGGCCTCCCAAAGTGCTGGGATTACAGGCAGGAGCCACTGTGCCCGGCCTATCTTTCTCTTTATATGTAGACGGTGCCCTCTCCTGGTGGGAGGCTCTCAGTGCCTGGCTCCAAATCCATGACCCTAGAGGTGGAGGGGTCCCCAGCTGCCCCACTTACTTCTCCCAAGCTGGTGCCCTTGGGAATCACCAACTTCTTGTGACCACCTGTTCTAGCTACTTGGTTCACTTTGACCCAGCCCCTCAGGGGTGACACCCTCCCTCATCAGGCTCCCAGATCCCATCAGGTGTTCAAACCCTATGTGGCAGGTACAATCCTGGTCCCCAGAGATGCCCACATCCTAATTCTTAGAACTTGTGAACTTTTAGGACAAAGAGGAATTTGCAGATAGGATTCAGGTAAGGTTCTTAAGATGGGGACATTTTTTGAATGATCTATGGAATCACAGTGGGGTCCCAGGGCTTTTATAAGGAGAGGAAGGGAGATATTTAACCGCAGAAAAAAGGGATGTGAGGATGGAAGCAGAGGTCGGAGTCATGTGCTTTGAAGATGGGGTAACGGCTAATGAGCCAAGGATGGCAGGTGGCTTGTAAAAACTAGAAAAAGTAAGAAATGAATTCTCTCCTAGAGATTCTGGAGAGACTGCAAGCCTCCCAACACCTTGATTTTAAAATAGTGAAATCCATTTCAGACTCCTGACCTACAGAAATGTAAGAAAATAAACATGTGTTGTTTTCAGTGTTGGCAGCTGACAAGTAATGAACACACTTCCTCAATTCATCCTTCTTCCTCCGCCCACTCAGGAATAAAGCTCCCTCTCTTCAAAATGGCATTTGTCTGCAGTATATGAGGAGTGTGAATACAGGTGTCATGATGTATATTTTTGTGTTTTTCTTGTTGTTTTTTTAGAGATGGGGTCTCACTATGTTGCCCAGGCTGGACTTGAATTCCTGGTCTCAAGCAATCCTCCTGCATTAACCTCCCAAAGTGCTAGGATTACAGGGATGAGCAACTGTGCTCAACCCGTATCTTTTTTGTTTTGTTTTTTTGTTTTTGAGACAGAGTCTCATTCTATCGCCCAGGCTGGAGTGCAATGGCACGACCTCAGCTCACTGCAACCTATGCCTCCTGGTTCAAGCAATTTTCCTGCTTCAGCCTCCCAAGTAGCTAGGATTACAGGTGCCCACCAGCCTGCCCAGCCAATTTTTGTATTTTTAGTAGAGACGGAGTTTCACCATGTTGCCCAGGCTGATCTCAAACTCCTGGTCTCAGGTGATCCTCCTCTCTCAGCCTCTTGAGTAACTGGGGTTGCTGACATAAGCCACTGCACCTGGCCTTTGAATCCTTTCAAGAATTAAGTCAATGGTCTGTTTCCTCAATTCTACTCACTTATTTCCCCACAGCCCTTCTCCTCCTCTTTCCCTTTTTCCACTTCCCACATGCTTCATGCCTCACACACCCTTCCTATGAGTCTCAGCATCCATGCATCCTTGCACCAAAGCGTGAGAGACACGGGGTCAGTCTTGGATGGAGAAGGAGCTCCCTTCTACACTTTCCTGAGCTCCTGGAGCTGATGTTACCGGTGCCCCATCCTCCCTTTGAATCATCTTCGCCTTCTGCCATCCCTCCCATGAAGGTCGGCCCCACCTCAAGCTATCCCCTCATATCCCTGACCTTTGCTACCATTTCTGTGCCCCCCTCCAGCCCTGTGCTCACTGCTTCTCATGCTCTATACCTGCAGTCTTTGACCGCTGCCCTTGAATTGCTGGGTTTGCTCTTTCCTGTGATCCGAAAAAGCTGAAGCACAGGGGTTTTCCTTCCTCCTCTTTGCTGTGGCGTGAACCCCCACTCCCTTGCCACGCAGGCCTGGAGGGTCTGCCCAAGTAAACCACTAGCATGATTGCATGCCAGAGTTGCATATTGTTGTGAGTCATAAAAAGATATGTGCGGCAGGCACAGTGGCTCACGTCTGTAATCCCACCACTTTGCGAGGCTGAGGCGGGCGGATCACAAGGTCAGGAGTTCGAGACCAGCCTGAGCAACATGGCAAAACCCTGTCTCTGCTAAAAATACAAAAATTAGCCAGGTGTGGTGGTGGACGCCTGTAATCCCAACTACTCAGGAGGCTGAGGCAAGAGAATCGCTTGAACCCAGGAGGTGGAGGTTTCAGTGAGCTGAAATCGTGCCATTGCACTCCAGCCTGGGTGACAGAGTGAGAGTCTGTCTCAAAAAAAGAAAAAAAAGATGTGCATGTCCTCACCCTCAAAATGTAGAAACAGGATCTTATTTAGAAATAGGTTCCTTGCAGACATACTTAAGTGAAGGATCTTGAGATGAGATCATCCCAGATTTAGGGTGGGCCCTAAATCCAATTACTAGTGTCCTTACAAGGAGATAGAGATTTGGAGACACAGAGGAGGCGGCCACGTGGAGATGGAGGCAGGGATTGGAGTGATGTGGCCACAAGCCCAGGAACACCTGGAACCCCCAGGAGCTGGGAGAGGCAGGAAGGATCCTCCCCTAGAGCCTCCAGGGTAGCGCAGCCCTGCTCACGCCTAGATCTCAGACTTCTGGTCTTTGGAACGGTGACAACGTCAATTTTCTTTGTCTGAAGTCACCCAGTGAGTGGTGACTAGCTGTGGTAACGTGATCAATTTCTCACTTCAGAAGGCATCAGAGTGACCCCGTCTGGGTCAAGGTATCCTGAGGTCTGTGTGGCATTTCTTCTAATCATACCGGTGAATGACCAGTGTCTGAAAAGCTTCCCCAGTGTGCCCTCCCTAAGATGACAATTTCTTCCCTTGCAAAATTCTCCAGAGCATCTCTTTAGTGTGGTATCCATTGTGGCATCTCCTCTTTCCAGAATTAAGATGTTTGAGCCCAAAAATGTGATCATTACTATTAGTTGTTTTTTTTTGTTGTTTGTTTTTCTGAAACAGTCTCACTCTGTTGCCATGCTGGAGTACAGCGGCGCGAGCTCGGTTCACTGCAACCTCCACCTCCTAGGTTCAAGCGCTTCTTCTGCTTCAACCTCCTGAGTAGCTGGGACTACAGGCGCCCGCCACCACACTCGGCTAATTTTTTCTATTTTTTTTTAGTAGAGACGGGATTTTGCCATGTTGGCCAGGATGGTCTCAATCTCCTGACCCCGTGATCCACCTGCCTTGGCCTCCCAAAGTGCTAGGATTACAGGCGTGAGCTACTGCACCCGGCCAGCGTTAGGCGTTTTTAATAAATAAAATTGGAGAAGCATCATTTTAGCTACAGGATACTAAGAAAAACTTCATTCTTGAGCTGAAGAAAAAAAAAAAAATACCTGGCTGGGCATGGTGGCTCAGGCCTGTAATCCCAGCACTTTTGGAGGCTGAGGCAGGCGGATCACCTGAGGTCAGTGGTTCAAGACCAGCCTGGCCGACACGGTGAAGCCCCGTCTCTACAAAAATATAATTAGTCAGGCATGATGGCAGGTGCCTGTAATCTCAGCTATTCAGGAGGCTGAGGCAGGAGAATCACTTGAACCCGGGAGGCAGAGGTTACAGTGAGCCGAGATCGTGCCACTGCACTCCAGTCTGAGGGACAGAGCGAGTCTCTATCTCAAAAACAAAACAAAACAAAACTCTTGACACTAGAACAATTGTGTTGTCAAGTAAATTAGAGGATGCTGGGACAGTGACATTCTTTCCCTCTCTCCTGGACCCTGGCAGTAAAGCACTAGAGGGGTTCACATGCACCTGAATCATGGGAAAGGTGACCCAGGGGCCGCTTTTTCACCCAAGGACATTTCCAGCCTCACAATGGCACTGTGGTTAGAACTTCATCAACAAGAGACACGCGTAACACCAAGGAATGTGGCACAATTCAGCAGTCCCGAATACAGCGGCATGAATGGTGCCTTCTAAGAGCATTCAGAGCAGCTAACGAGCAAGAGATGACGGCTGGCATTTCTCAATAAACAACTGCAGTACGTTACCCTTCGTCCATCAAGCAATATTTTTCAACATCTCCTGGTGAGAAACTTAGATAAGGCCTGATGAGAACACACATGGCAGCATAGAGTACATTCTTCCATTTGCTTCTTCTAGGCAGGGATGTTTTTCCTCTTGGAACGGACCCCAGAGTTCTAGCAGAGGCCTTGTTAAGTGGGATGGAGAATTGTTGAGAAACACTGATGACCAAGGTATGCATTTTCACATTTATATTTGTTCTCTCCGGAGCTACCAGACACCCAGTGCAACAAAACCAACCCAATTCTATGGAAAGGAAGGGAAATGTATTAGCCACACGCCTGTGGGCTCCAGGAATCTTGGCTCCGTAGCTGCCTGAATTCCAAAGTAAGAGCTGCAGTTAGGACGGGCACGGTGGCTCACGCATGTAATCGCAGCACTTTGGGAGGCCGAGGGAGGCGGATCACCTGAGGTTGGGAGTTCGAGACCAGCCTGACCAACACGGAGAAACCCCATCTCTACTAAAAATATGAAATTAGCTGGGCATGGTGGTGCATGCCTGTAATCCCAGCTATTCAGGAGGCTGAAGTGGGAGAATCGCTTGAACCCAGGAGGCGGGGGTTGCGGTGAGCCGAGATCACACCATTGCACTCCAGCCTGGGTGACAAGAGCGAAACTCCATCTCAAAAAAAAAAAAAAAACAGAGTTGCAGTCACTCGAATCTTCTGTCCTTAGTTGGTTGCATGTTTCTCCAAGTTACGTGGTTCCGTAGATGTTGAGATGTTTGTGCATCCATGTCCCCTTCGACTTTGGTCCTTTGTTTCTGACAGGGGCTGTATGGTTGACTCCAATGACCAATCATCAAATTTCCATTATGCCAAAGTTGCGTGTGCACGTGTGTGTGTGTAACTCTATGTGAGTATGTACGTGTGTATGTGGGTATCTGTGTGCATGTGCATATCCCTGTGTATGTGTGTTTGTGTATATGTGTTTGTGTATGTGTGTAGGTGTAAGTATGCATGTATGTTTGGTATGTATGTACATGTGTATCTGTGTATGTATGTGTGTATGTATTTGTGTGCATGTGTGTATATCTCTGTATGTGTTTGTGTATGTGTGTGTATAGGTGTAAGTATGAATGTATGTTTGGTATGTATGAATATGCATATCTGTGTGTACGTGTGTATATCTGCAGGCTTGTGGATATGTGTGCATGCATGTGTTATGTGTGTATATGTGTATGCACATATCTGTGTATGTTTGTATGTATACCTGTGCATGTATGTTATGTATGTGTATATCTGTATGGTTTCTGTGCATAGGTATATGTGTCTATGTGTGTGTGTCCGCATACATGTGAATGTGTGTCTGTGTATGTGTCTATATTTGTGCATGTATGTGTTTATCTGTGTATACATGTGCATGTATGTATCTGTACGGATGTAACTGTGTATATGCACGTGTATGTGTGGTATATGTGAATGTGATTGTGTATACACAAGGCTTTAAAACTTAGTGCAATAGAACCTTTGTGAAGAACCATGGGGAAACAATTGTGCTTCCTATTGGTACCAGAGAGAAAGAGGAAGAACATTTTATAAAACTCTCTTTTGTTAGTTTTCATCGTATAATGGTAGGAAGAAATATGGCATGAAGGACAGTTTTGTACATGCTGCAGTAATTTCTACCCACCCAGGAGAAACCTGGGACCACATAAATCTCAAAGATAACCAAGGAAATATCTGACTCATATTTTAGACACTGACCAAAGAAGAAAACCTTAACAATTTTATAAGCTCTTCAATGCATCTCTAGTGTATATTAATGGTTTTTATGCTTATATGCCTGATAACAAAAACTATCGTAAGAGACTGCAAAAATCTCACCCTTGCAAAGAAAAATACTTCCACGAGGACATCTGCCCAAAAACTGGCTGTCCAAACTCAGACTGGTGTCACCATGTTATTGATCTTTTTAGCCAAGGATAATCATTTGAAAAGAATTATGGAATCCTCTTCATTATTTCCTTTAAAATCCTTTTTTCCCCTTTACCTCCCTGAATATGAACACAGTTTAATATGGCACATCTATTCTCAGCGCACTACTATACTCCCAAATAAACATCTTTTCTATTACAGAGTGTATTAGTCAGTCCTTACGCTGCTATAAAGAAATACCTGAGACAGGGTAATTTTATAAAGAAAAAGAGGTTTAAATTGGCTCACGGTTCCACAGGCAGTACAGGAAGCACGGCTGGGGAGGCCTCAGGAAATTTACAATCATGGCGGAAGGCAGAGGGGAAACAGGCACATCTTACATGGCCACAGCAGGAGCAGGACGGGGTGGGGAAGTTGTTGCACCCTTTAAACAACCAGATTGGATGATAACTCACTTCCGCCACAACAGCACCATGGGGGACAGTGGTAAACCATTCAATGGAAACCACCCGCATAATGCAGTCACCTCCCACCAGGCGCCACCTCCAAACCGGGGATTCCAACTCAACCTAAGATGTGGTGGGGAACCAGATCCAAACCATCTCTTTGTTGACACCAATACTTAGGTTGACACCAATACTCTGTATCTGTTTCATCCAATTTTATTCTTTTTCATAAAAGCAATGCAGTAAAGATAAAACTAAATGTGGACCCTGGGAACAAGGAGTCCAGAGGTTGCCCAAAGAGTCGCAAAGTGCATCAGGAAACCTGAATGTGAAGATCGGTGACCGAGAGCCTGATGCCAGCCTCCTCTTGGGTCTTGACTGAAATCTTCCCAGGTTGCTATTGGATTTTGCATGTACGAGCCTCCATCAGAGGATAGACTTAGGCATATGGTTTGCCCAGTGAATTGAAGAATCTCCAGAGTTTATGAATTGAAGAGTGGGATGAATACAATACACAGAGCACCGAAGCAAACACATCAGAATCGAGGCAACTCCCCTGGGAGAAAAAATGGAAACCTTGAGCTGAATAGTTCAAAACAGGTTGTCACAAACTGGGCATCTTGGGGACCTTTTACCCCCAAGAACTGGAATCTGGAAAGATCTCTGCCTGTTTACCATGATTTATTTTTCCTGGGAGGTATAAATTCCCAGTGCCCTCCCCTCTATCGTACTGTGGAGGGTATTAGCTCAGTTTTTCAATGTTTAAACAGGTAGCACCAAAAAGCGTCTTCTCAATGCTTCCCACGCTATTCCACGTGGACGTTTGGCTTACAGTTTACTTGCATTTTACCCACTTTTTATCTGTCATCTAATATGTCAATCAATTGCCTATTAATCATCTCTCTCTCAAAATATCTTCTATCATTCATATATCTATATACCCATTTCTATCATTGATCTATCTCTGTGTATATTTATCTATCCATGTCTTCATCTATCTACCCACCTACCCTGTCTATGTACCTATGTATGTATTGGCTCTATCTATATCATGTATCTAGCCATTTATTCATTTATCCACCCATCCTGTATATATATCCATATATCTATCAGGTCTAATCTATGTATCTATATATCTATCTAATCTCTATCATCTATCAATCAATCATGTATCTAGCCATTTATTCATTTACCTACCAATCAATCAATCATGTATCTAGCCATTTATTCATTTATCTACCAATCCATCAATCCATCAATCATCAATCCATCAATCAAGCCATTTATTCATTTATCTATCCACCCACCCTGTATATATCAGGTCTAATCTATGTATCTATCTATCTATGTAATATCTATCTATCTATTTATTCATTTATCTATCCACCCACCCTGTATATATCAGGTCTAAGATATGTATCTATGTATCTGTGTAATATCTATCTATCAATCATCTATCATGAATCTATCTATCTGTATCAATGTATTTGTCTGTCTGTCTACCTATCTTTATTAACTTATTGACCACAAGTAACTTGAACAAGATAAATTCACAAATTTTCTGGGAGAAAATTTCAAGTTGATTCCAGCAGGTAGCAAACATAAAAGCTGTCTTACACCAGGAAACAGGGTTAAAGACCCAAAGGAGGAAGAACTTTTTCATCCTTTGATAAACGACCAACAAGTCTGATGGGGAAGCTGTAGCTGTACCTTCAAGTGCAAAGTGACTCAGAGAACAAGGTGCAGGTTAAAGAAGAAAACTCATAAGGTCAGAGGTGGGAGAACCAACAGAGCTCGCTTAGATGGAAACTTTTTTTTTTTTTTTTTTTTTGAGACGGAGTCTTGCTCTGTCGCCCAGGCTGGAGTGCAGTGGTGCAATCTCAGCTCACTGCAACCTCTGCCTCCAGGGTTCAAGTGATTTTCCTGCCTCAGCCTACAGAGTAGCTGGGATTACAGGTACCCGCCACCACGCCTGGCTAATTTTTGTATTTTTAGTACAGATGGGGTTTCTCCATGTTGGCCAGGCTGGTCTTGAACTCCTGACCTCAAGTGATTGACCTGCTTCAGCCTCCCAAAGTGCTGGGACTGCAGGCGTAAGCCACCGTGTCCAGCCAGATGGAAACTTTTTTTTTTTTTTTTGAGATGGAGTTTTGCTCTTGTGGCCCAGGCTGGAGTGCAATAGCACGATCTCGGCTCACCGCAACCTCCGCCTCCCAGGCTCAAGCAATTCTCCTGCCTCAGCCTCCAGAGTAGTTGGGATTACAGGCATGTGGCATCACGCCCGACTAATTTTGTATTTTTAGTAGAGATGGGGTTTCTCCATGTTAGTCAGGCTGGTCTCGAACTCCTGGCCTCAGGTGATCCACCCGCCTCGGCGCCCCAAAGTGCTGGGATTACAGGCATGAGCCACCACGACTGACCAAAACTTTTAAATCATTTAAACGAGCGCCCTGTCTGCAGCCCAATGTCCTCTGCACCTTTTCATCCTTGAAGGGTGACAGCCAAAATCCCACTCTAGGCTGACGGAATGAGGAAGCTCCATGAAATCTCTGTTTTCAAGCTGTCCCTGAGTGAAATGACCTATTTCCTTGCTTTCTTCACTGGTAGAGATGACTGGGCCAGCCAAAACCCTCCGATGCCCTCAAGCCAATGCTGAATATGAATTTTACCATTTAGTTAATATATTATTTTAGTCATTTAAAAATAAAATCCGGTCAATAGCCAGACATGCTAGCCAGAAGCAAGCTAAGGCAATGTGCCGTCTCTGTTCCGTGTGTCTTGAAAGTGTGCCTTTTTTGGATAATGAAAATCTCTACAATATTTTCTTGGGCTAATGAGAAGTGTTTATTTGTATTTTTAATATGAAAGAGAACATCTTTGCCTCTGGGAAATATTTATGAGGAACATAACTAAATGGAGACTAAGCTTTCCTTTTCATTTCCCTTCTGCGTCACAGATTCTTGTGTTTCTTCCAAGCACTAATGAAATATTTAAAGCTGTTGTCAATGCAGAAATGTTCCTCCCTAACATGTTTCAATGAGCTGGAAAAAAGCGGAGAATAATTTGCTATTGTCTACATATTCATAACATAAGGATGTCAGGAGGTATTAGAGTCACTTTCGATGTGTCTGACTCCACAGCATTGGTAATATTAGAACACTTTCAGCTTTCAAGGTGTAAATTTTTCATCTCCTCCTTTTCACTTCCTTCCATTGGTATCCAGGCCCCTTGGAGAGGTGGCTGCAGGTCACGTTTTTATATTATTTGTTTTAATTGTATTTATATTTATTTATTTTTTTGAGACCGAGTCTTGCTCTGTCGCCCAGGCTGGAGTGCAATGGTGAGATCTCAGCTCACTGCAACCTCCGCCTCCCGGGTTCAAGTGATTCCCCTGCCTCAGCCTCCTGAGTAGCTGGGACTATAGGTGTGTGCCACCATGCCTGGCTAATTTTTGTTTGTTTGTTTGTTTTTGAGACGGAATCTCGTTCTGTCGCCCAGGCTGGAGTGCAGTGGAGCCATCTCAGCTCACTGCAACCTCTGGCTCCCAAGTTCGAGCAATTCTCCTGCCTTGGCCTCCTGAGTAGCTGGGATTACAGGCGCCCGCCACCACGCCCAGTTAATTTTTTGTATTTTTACTAGAGACGGGGTTTCACCATGTTGGCCAGGATGGTCTTGATCTCCTGACCTCAGGTGATCCACCTGCCTCAGTCTCCCAAAGTGCTGAGATTACAGACGTGAGCCACCACTCCCAGCTGGTCACATTTATTTTTTAGCCAGTTTCTGTGCACCAAATAAGGGACAGCCTTCTGGAAGCATTTTAAAAGGGAGGCAGTAAAAAGCTATATGAAGTTCATTCCAAGACATATCTCCCAGATTTCTCAAAGAACTAAAAAGAGAACTACCATTTAGTTCAGCAATCCCATTCCTGGATACATACATAATGGAAAATAAATTATCCTACCAAAAAGACTCCTGCACAAGCATGTTGATCACAGTACTATTCCCCATAGCAAAGACATGGAATCAACCTAAATGCCCATCAAGGGTGAACTGGATAAAGAAAATGTGGTCCATAGACGCTGTGGGATACTACACAGCCACAGAAAAGAACAAAACCACGTCCTTTACAGTAACGTGGATGGAGCTGGAGGTTCTTATTGTAATCAAACTAATCCAGAAACAGAAAACCAAATATTGCACATTCTCATTTATAAGTGGATCTACATATTGGGTACTCATGGACACAAAGAGAGGAACAGACACTGGGGGCTCCTAGAGGGTGGAGGGAGGGATAGGGTAAGAACTGAAGAACTACCTATTGGGTGCCATGCTCACTACCCGGGTGATGGGATCGGTCATACCCCAAACCTCAGCATCACACAGTCCACCCAGGTAACAAGCCTGCATATGTTCAACAAGTCAGCAAAATAAATCATGATGAAAATAATGAAATGTTCTTAGTTTTATTTCAACCACAAATTAGAAATCAGACATTTTTCAACTATCTGCCTTGGACCTGATTCTAGGGAAAATATCCTAGGTCTGTGTTTTATAAAGATATGTGTAAATATATGTGTGTGTGTATGTATATGTGAGTGTGTATATATATATATATTACATATATGTACATAATGTGGGTATGCTTGCATATGTATATATATATGCTTGTATATGTGTATATACCTATACATATGTCTGTACATATACATATGTATACCTATACATATGTCTGTACATATACATATGTATACCTATACATACCTATACATACATGTAGAGGTATACACACATATGTATGTATATATACATATACGAGCATACACACATAAATAATCAACAGTATCTTAGTCTTCACATTGAATTTATTGTTCTGCAAATAGAATAACTGTCGATATTTTAAAATAGGACATGCATTTGCTATTATATTTCATCCATATTTTTTTAACCCCTTCTGTGTTTCAGGCAGTGTCCTAGATAGATCTGGGGATTTTGGAGTTGAACAAAACACAGTTCCTTCTTGAAACTGACATTTAGAGACCCATATCTGAGAGATAAACAAATAAAGTCAAGCATTAATAAGGCTATGAATAAATACATCAAAATGCTGAGTAAGAAATATTTATTTAAGTATTACTCATCTACTTGACAGAGAAGAAGAAAGAACATGAAAACTTGAAAGCCAACCTATCTGGTCATCAGGGAAATGCAAATCAAAACCACAATGAGATAGCCCATCATACACACTAGGATGGCTCTAATGACAAATATGGACAGTGACAAGTGTTGGCTCAGATGTGCAGAAACTGGAGCACTCTTATATTGTTTGTGGGATGGTGCAATGGTGCGGTTGCTTTGAAAAGCAGCCTGGCGGATCCTTCAATGGTTAAACATAGAGTTATCATATGACCCAGCCATTCCCCTCCTGGGTATTTACCCAAAAAATTGAAGACAGTTACTCAGACAAGTATGTACATAGAAGTCTTAACCGTATGCTAAGTGCTAAGCATTATTCATGGTAGTTACACAGTGGAAATAACCCAATGCCCAACAACAAGTGTATGGATAAACAAAATGTGGTCTACCCATACAATGGAATGTCATTCTGCCATCAAAAGGAATGAAATTCTGATGCATGGTACAAAATCGATGGACCTCGAAAATATTATGCTGAGTGAAAGAAGCCAGGCACAAAACCACATGGGAGGCCGTTTGAAATGCCCCTGATAGGCAAATCCATGGGATAGGAAGTAGATTTCTGAGTGGCTGCATAGGGCTGGAGCAGATGGCAGGATGGGGGTGATGACCCAGGGAGTGTTGCAACTATCCTTATGAACCAGGAAGTGCTACAATTATCCAGATGAACCAGGAAGTGTGGCAATGTCCCTACGAACCAGGAAGTGCTACAATTATCCCTATGAACTAGACGGTTCCAAATGTCGTTATGAACCAGGAAATACTACAATTTTCCATATGAACCAAAAAGTGTTGCAGTGTCACTATGAACCAGGAAGTGTCACAATGTCCCTCAAACTAAGAAGTGCTACAATTATCCCTATGAACCAGGAAGTATTGCAATGTCCCTGCAAACCAGGAAGTGCTACAATTATCCATATGAACCAGGAAGTGTCACAATGTCCCTATGAACCAGGAAGTGCTACAATTATCTGTATGAACCTGGAAATGTTACAATGTCCCTATGAACCAGGAAGTGCTACAATTATCCGTATGAACCAGAAAGTGTTACAATGTCCCTGCAAATTAGGAAGTTCTACAATTATCGGAATGAAAGAGGAAGTGTTACAATGTCCCTGTGAACCAGGAAGTGCTATTATCCATATGAACCAGGAAGTGCTACAATTATCTGGATGAACCAGCAAGTGTGGCAATGTCCCTATGAACCAGGAAGTGCTATTATCCATATCAATCAGGAAGTGTGGCAATGTCACTATGAACCAGAAAGTGTCACAATTTCCCTATAAACCGGGAAGTGCTACAATAATCCAGATGAACCAGGAAGTGTCACAATGATCCTAAAAACTAAGAAGTGCTACAATTATCCATATGAACCTGGAAATGTTACAATGTCCCTATGAACCAGGAAGTGTTACAATGTCCCTATGAACCAGGAAGTGCTACAATTCTCCATATGAACCAGAAAGTGTTACAATGTCCCTGCAAACTAGGAAGTTCTACAATTATTTGAATGAACCAGGAAGTGTGTAATGTCCCTGTGAACCAGGAAGTGCTACAATTATCCATATGAACCAGAAAGTGTGGCAATATCCCTATGAACCAGGAAGTGCTACAATTATCTGGATGAACCAGGAAGTGTGGCAATGTCCCTATGAACCAGGAAGTGCTACTATTATCCACACGGACCGGGAAGTGTGGCAATGTCACTATGAACCAGAAAGTGTCAAAATTTCCCTATGAACCAGGAAGTGCTACAATTATCCATATGAACCAGAAAGTGTTACAATGTCCCTGCAAACTAGGAAGTTCTACAATTATCTGAATGAACCAGGAAGTGTTGTAATGTACCTGTGAACCAGGAAGTGCTACTATTATCCATATGAACCAGGAAGTGCTACAATTATCGATATGAACCAGAAAGCGTGGCAATATCCCTATGAACCAGGAAGTGCTACAATTATCTGGATGAACCAGGAAGTGTGGCAATGTCCCTATGAACCAGGAAGTGCTACTATTATCCACATGGACCGGGAAGTGTGGCAATGTCACTATGAACCAGAAAGTGTCACAATTTCCCTATGAACCAGGAAGTGCTACAATTCTCCACATGAACCAGAAAGTGTTACAATGTCCCTGCAAATTAGGAAGTTCTACAATTATCTGAATGAACCAGGAAGTGTTGTAATGTCCCTGTGAACCAGGAAGTGCTATTTTCCATATGAACCAGGAAGTGCTACAATTATCCATATGACCCAGAAAGTGTGGCAATATCCCTATGAACCAGGAAGTGCTACAATTATCTGGATGAACCAGGAAGTGTGGCAATGTCCCTATGAACCAGGAAGTGCTATTATCCACACGGACCAGGAAGTGTGGCAATGTCACTATGAACCAGAAAGTGTCACAATTTCCCTATGAACCAGGAAGTGCTACAATTATCCATATGAACCAGAAAGTGTTACAATGTCCCTGCAAACTAGGAAGTTCTACAATTATCTGAATGAACCAGGAAGTGTTGTAATGTACCTGTGAACCAGGAAGTGCTACTATTATCCTTATGAACCAGGAAGTGTGGCACTATCCCTATGAACCAGGAAGTGCTACAATTATCTGGATGAACCAGGAAGTGTGGCAATGTCCCTATGAACCAGGAAGTGCTACTATTATCCACATGGACCAGGAAGTGTGGCAATGTCACTATGAACCAGGAAGTGTGGCAATATCACTATGAACCAGAAAGTGTCACAATTTACCGATGAACCAGGAAGTGCTACAATTATCTGGATGAACCAGGAAGTGTGGCAATGTCCCTACGAACCAGGAAGTGCTATTATCCACACGGACCGGGAAGTGTGGCAATGTCACTATAAACCAGAAAGTGTCACAATTTCCCTATGAACCAGGAAGTGCTACAATTATCCATATGAACCAGAAAGTGTTACAATGTCCCTGCAAACTAGGAAGTTTTACAATTATCTGAATGAACCAGGAAGTGTTGTAATGTACCTGTGAACCAGGAAGTGCTACTATTATCCATATGAACCAGGAAGTGCTACAATTATCCATATGAACCAGAAAGTGTGGCAATATCCCTATGAACCAGGAAGTGCTACAATTATCTGGATGAACCAGGAAGTGTGGTAAGGTCCCTACGAACCAGGAAGTGCTACTATTATCCACATGGACCAGGAAGTGTGGCAATGTCACTATGAACCAGAAAGTGTCACAATTTCCCTATGAACCAGGAAGTGCTACAATTATCCAGATGAACCAGGAAGTGTGGCAATGTCCCTATGAACCAGGAAGTGCTACAATTATCCCTATGAACCAGACGGTTCCAAATGTCTTTATGAACCAGGAAGTTCTACAATTATCCATATGAACCAGAAAGTGTGGCAGTGTCACTATGAACCAGGAAGTGTCACAATGATCCTAAAAACTAAGAAGTGCTACAATTATCCATATGAACCAGGAAGTATTGCAATGTCCCTGCAAACCAGGAAGTGCTACAATTATCCGTATGAACCAGGAAGTGCTACAATTATCCGTATGTATGAACCCGGAAATGTTACTATGTCCCTATGAACCAGGAAGTGCTATTATCCATATGAACCAGAAAGTGTTACAATGTCCCTGCAAACCAGGAAGTTATACAATTATCAGAATGAACCAGGAAGTGTTGCAATGTCTCTGTGAAACAGGAAGTGTTGCAATGTCCATGTGAACCAGGAATTGCTACTATTATCTATATGAACCAGGAAGTACTAGAGTTATTCGTATGAACCAGAAAGTATTACAATGTCCCTATGAAACAGGAAGTGCTACAATTATCCCTATGAACCAGGAAGTGTTGCAATGTCCCTGGGAATCAGGAAGTGCTAACAATTATGTGTATGAACCAAAAAGCGTTGCAATGTCCCTGTGAACCAGGAAATGCTACAATTACCCATAAGAACCAGGAAGTGTCACAATGTCCCTGTGAACCAGGAAGTGCTACTATTATCCATTTGAACCAGGAAATGTAACAATGTGAGCCAGAAAGTTTTACAATGTCCCTATGAATCAGAAAGCATTACAATCTCCAGATAAACCAGGAAGTGTTATAATGTCCCTCTAAACTAGAAAGTGCTGCAACCTTCCAATGACCCAGGAAGTTCATTTATCATGTCTAGGAAGCAGGAAGTGCTACAACCTCCCCAGTGACCCAGGAAGTTCTCTTACCATCCCCAGGAAACAGGAAGTGCTACAAACTTCGCTAGTGACCCAGGAAGTTTATTTAACATCTCCAGGAAGTTCATTGACCATCTCTAGGAAGCAGGAAGTGCTACAACCTCCCCAGTGACCCAGGATGTTCACTGACCATCTCTAGGAAAGCAGGAAGTGCTACAACCTCCTCAGTGACCCAGGACGTTTATTTACCATCTCCAGGAAGCAGGAAGTACTACAACCTTCCCAGTGACTCAGGAAGTTCATTGACCATCTCTGGGCAGCAGGAAGTGCTACAACCTCCCATGTGACACAGAAAGTTTATTTACCATCTCCAGGAAGCAGGAAGTGCTACAACTTTCCCAGTGACCCAGGGAGTTCATTTACCATGTCTAGAAAGCAGGAAGTGCTACAACCTTCCAGTTGATGGGGTACAGGACACCCCACCCTGAATAAGAATGTAGATCATTACGTGACACTCTGAAATATGCCACCTTGGCATACTGATTGCCTTGAGCAGAAATAAATCAAGAACCAGCCAAAGCACAACCCACGGTCTCTTGACTTCATCACAGTGCTCTTGTCTGACATTTCTTATTGACTTTAAAAATGTCCTGTCTGTGACATTTCTTAGGTCCAACAGGAAACCCCAAGCCAGGTAGCGGGAGCCAGGCCAGCCCCTGGATGTCAGCGGCTGCCTGCTTCTCTCACCATGCACTGAATCTTGCAAATTTGCTGTGACCTCACGTACAGGGGGGAAAAGCTGTTTTTTCCTTTGACATGCACACCCCTCTCCCCTCTCATCCTTCACTTCTGACACTGAATGTGTAGGAACAACTGCTTTTTTCTATACATACACTCAAAATATCTGTGACCAGAAGTCACAGAGATTCTGGGACTCTGTGCTGATAATCATTTTTTCCAGCCCTCTCATCCATGTGACCCAGGGCCCAGGTAGCCAGGAAAACCAGCAATTACTCAGCAGTAAACGACCACTCATTCAATCCTTGTTGTCATGTATTGGGTCCAGGTTACTGGGTCCTCACAGGCTAGATCCACCCTCCAACAGCTGCATCTAAGCTATCCAATGGGCTGGTGCATCTTCCAGGGAAAGATCATTTGGGGCTTTAGGAGAATTTGAAGGGCTGGGGGCAGCCATGGCAACCTGGGTGCCAAAGTCTTTCAATGACTTTTTTTTTCAATGGTCCTCTCCACTTTTATTTCTGTCTCTTTCCACATGTGAACAACTCCTTCATCCTCTGATGCAGGCCTCTCTAAGGAACCTGTGATTCCACTGTAATTACACAGCTCATCCTAAATAATCGTCCCATGTCAAGATCCTTAATGTAATCCCATTTGCAAAGTCCCATGTGTTGCATAAGGTCACACATTTACATGATCAAGGGGTTAGGATGTGGGCATCTCTGGGGACCAGTATTTCACCTATCACATGGGGTTTCAACACCTGATGGGATCTGGGAGCCTGATGAGGGAGGGTATCACCCCTGAAGAGCTGGGTCAAAGTGAACCAAGTAGCTAGAACAGGTGGGCACAGGAAGTTGGGGATTCCCAAGGGCACCACTTTGGCAGAAGTTAAGTGGGACCGTTGGGACCCCTCTACCTCTTGGGTCATGGATTTGTAGACAGACACTGAGAGCCTCCCACCAGAAGAGGGCACTGTCTGCATATAAAGAGAAAGATACACCTTGCTAATGCAGCAAGAAGAGGCCTAAAAGCAACTAACACTAACGGAGAGGCTTTCAAACCTCAGGGAGGTGGACCCAAATGGTATCACTGGTTTCTTTTGAGGGAAAGTTTGATTTTTTTTTTTCTCTTTAACTGCACTCTTTTGGGTCTCCCAGTTGATTGTTATTAGTACAGACTGCTTTTCAAATGGGAAATTAACTTTGCACTTAGCTGCCGAAGGGAATGATGACATTAGCAATGGGTACATGAGTGTAAGCAACAGCAGCGTGGGATCAGAGCCAGGATCTGAGACGCAGAGCTGGGAGGCAGGAGACAGCTCTCTGGGAGCAAGCAGAGGGGAGCAGGGGTAATAAGCACTGAAAACAAGGATGGCCCCTAGGGACACTCGAAGGGACATTTTCAAGACTGGGCACTGACTGTAGCCTCACTCTGTTCCCCTCCATCCCATGCCATGCCTGACTTCCTCTTTTCCCCCTCACTGAGCCCCACAGGCACCCTCAGTTCCACTGACCACAGGCCCTTTGCACATGCCACACTTGCTACACAAAACACCCTTTGACCCACTCCTTGGGATATAAGTCATCCTCATTCCTCAGCTGTTAGCTCAACTGTCATGTCCCCCCAGGGGTCCACATGTGTGCCCCTGCCTGAGCCCCAGGCAACTAATATGGAAGCATCTAGAAGCCTCAAACCTTCATCACTGCTCTTCCTACAGCACTCCAAAAACACAAACAAACTATAAGCAATTCGGCAACAGAGGAGACTTTAAAGAGTTACTCACTGTTTCGTTCACCATGAAGAAACATCTGTGAAATCAAAGTCATCCCCTAAAGAAGGGAAACAGGCTGTTAACACCAAAGTTCTGAGAGAAATGAGGAAGAAATGACCTGGAAGCAGATGGAGAAAACACCACAGGCCTAAGTTCTTAAGTGTTTTCTAAGTATCACTGTGACCAGGACCTCATAAGAAAAAGTGAATTCCTGATCATTTTCACATCACTCTTCTCTCAGACACAAAGAGTAAAAGATGAGAGCAAGAGTCAGGGGTGGAAAGAGAGGGAGAGAGAGAGAGAGAAACAAAGTAATTTATAAATGAACTGTGCTGGCTGGACGAAGTTGGAACTCTAACTCTGCCAACACAGGATTCCCTCCTGTTGATTTCCCATCCCATCACCATCTCCCTTCAGGTAACCAACACCTTCCGCCACGGAGGCCCTAAGAGGTGGGGACACATGACTATGATCAGATTTGGGCTAGAGGGTGTCTAAAAGGTGGCTCTATCAACCCAGACGTACTGGACAAACTGACGTGAAAATTCACCGTGGTTTCAGAGGTTGCCTTCTAGTTTTAAGCTTTTCAAATCCTGACTAAGGCTGGAGAAATTTTTACACTGAAAGGGGATAATAAGGAGGCTTAAATAAAAGAAACATGAGGGGCTACATCAAATCCGACATTTTTCCAAAACCATGTAAGAATATACTTACATGGTTTCAATGAGTAATCAATAACTTACGTGGTTTTAATGAGTAATCAATAAAAACCAGATGATTATCCAAATATATATATATAAAGAAATAAGAAACCTCATGGTATGAAAACCAATAATATTATATATTTGGGGAAAAATGTATACCAGAATAGAATGACCCTTCCTGAAATGACTACATTTTTTAAAAAGGCAATTTATTTTATTTAAAGGTGAGTATCTTTGGGTTTTTGCTTTAAAGTCAGGAATTTAAAATATCTGCTCTCTTCACTCATATTTAAACCTGTCCTGGGTTTACTATCAAAGGTAATACAACAAAAATACAAATAAAATGTAAAGAGAACATATAAAGATAGAAAATTGAAAAATATTTAAAAATCATGTGCAAATAATATGATTGTCTTCTTAGAAAGATAAGAAATGAGAAAAAATAGAAATTTAATAAGGGATCATAGTTCAGGATATAGTAAGGAAAAATATATTAAATCCTTTCTATGTAACAAAAATAAACAGAAAGATAGTGGGCATAAAAATATATCCAGAAAAATGAAAAAAAAGAAAAAACTAGAAATGCATTAAAAGAAATCATCAGGGAAAGAGGTACATCGAATATCAAGAAAAATCTCAATTTTGCAGGCATGTTGGTTCTGAAGTTCAAAGGAAAAAACGTCAGCTGGGCACGGTGGCTCACGCCTGTAATCCCAGCACTTTGAGAGGCTGAGGCAGGTAGATTATGAGGTCAGGAGTTCGAGACCAGCCTGGCCAATATGGTGAAATCCTGTGTCTACTAAAAACACAAAAATTAGCTGGGCGTGGTGGTGGGTGCCTGTAGTCCCAGCTGCTGGGGAGGCTGAGGCAGGAGAATCGCTTGAACCTGGGAGGGAGAGGTTGCAGTGAGTGGAGATCGTGCCACTGCACTCCAGCCTGGGCGACAGAGCAAGACTCTCTCAAAAAAAAAAAAAAAAGTCACCAAAATCAGAAAGCTCCGACAAATATAAGACACCATGAATAAAAATTTGAAGACTTGCCTGTCAAAAAATACTGTTAAACTATTCAATGGCAAAAATAAGATGAAAAAGCATTTTCATAGTAAATGGTTGGCAATATTTAATGTCTATAAAAAAATGAGGAACGTTTATAAAACAATACAGACATATCGGAAGATAAGAATAAAGGCAAAGTAATCAATACATATAGAAGAAGTAGGCTGGGCGCAGTGGCTCATGCCTGTAATCCTAGCACTTTGGGAGGCCGAGGCGGGTGGACTGCCTGAGCTCAGGAGTTGGAGACCAGCCTGGGTAACATGGTGAAACCCCATCTCTACTAAAATACAAACAAACAAACAAAAAAATTAGCCGGGCATGGTGGCATGCACCTGCAGTCCCAGCTACTTGGGAGCTGAGGCAGTAGAATTGCTTGAACCCGGGAGGCAGAGGTTGCAGTGAGCTGAGATGGTGCTCCTGCACTCCAGCCTGGCGACAGAGCGAGACTGTATCTCAAAAAAAAAAAAAAAGAAAAAAAAAGAAGTATACGTGGCAAATTGATGTACTATTTACTATTTTTTTTTAAATTGCAGAACTAAAGAACTGAAACTAGGCAAAGATTAATGTTACATGTGATAGTACATGACAAAGGTTTTCTAGGTGATCAGCAGCAGTAACGATGGTGGGAAGAAAGGGACATTTGCACATATCCCTGGCATCAAAATAAATTCATATAATTCTGGGCCAATTTCAGAACCAGGTCAAAACTACAGAAGTACTCATACACATTGATCTGAACAATTTGCATTCTAGAAATTGATTCGAAGGAATAAAAACAAGTGCATAAAGTTGATTCAAATTGACTTTGAAATCCATAATTCTAAAATGTTAGAAGAAACATAACATTGTCAAAATTAAATATTGAAGTATATAATTATGTGGGAAATAAATAAGGACATAAAATGGACAGTAAAAGTCATGTTAGAAAGACTTAAATGACATAAGAAAATCATCAAGAAATATGAATATGCCAAAAATAACGTTACTAGCACATAACTATCAAACTGTCAACAGGATTTGGACACTAGTTATATTTTTCTGTGTTACAAGTTAAACAAGCATGTAAACAAAAAAAAATCACTAACGATCTAACTATTTGAAAAGCACTCACCTCTCCACTGGGAATGCAACTATCCCTTCCTTCATATCATGTCTGTATTTAAAACCTCGTATTCAACTTTTTAGAGGTGGAATCCAAAAAATCTCAGAATTTAAGATTCTATTTAAGATTTATGACTTAAATCTTAAAATCTTAGAAGTAAAATCAGGACGCTAAAAATATAATCCAAATCAAAATTATATAGTTGAAAACTAGGTTTTGGAATTTCCTTGTACAAGGAGTGAAGAGTGAGCACAGGTTTCATGTGAAATCTCCCAGCTGACATGGATATCACTGTCCTGTAAACAACATACAGATGACCCATAGGGTTAGAGGCTCTTACCGGTGGAATCAGGCTGCTTGGGGTTTGGATTTGGCTTTGGTTTGGGTGGGTTCAGTGGTGCTGGCTCGTCTGTTTGTAAAAGATGAGAGTTGAGATTATGAGTGCCTTGAAGTGAAGAAAATGAAACATCAATTTGCATGCAGACGTTCACTAAACATATAAAAATTGGACCTTGTTCTTTGTCATGGTGGGGATACCCATACACACAGCCTCCTGCCAATATCCTTCCAACATCTTCCAGCTACAGTACTGATAAAGCATTTTCAATAAAACCTATCAGGCAGCTTTTCAGATCAGCTACAGAATTGGCAAGGTAC
Source organism: Homo sapiens (assembly GCF_000001405.40). Taxonomy (NCBI): domain Eukaryota; kingdom Metazoa; phylum Chordata; class Mammalia; order Primates; family Hominidae; genus Homo; species Homo sapiens. Next base: position 2,623,136 of record NC_000023.11, on the reverse strand, counting down.
TGTGTAAAATGAAAATGCAGAAATCCTTGCTCAACTGAATATTAAGAATTTCAAGATGACAACTAAAGACTCATAAACCAATATGGCACCCTTGTAAGCATGGGTCCCTGGGTGATCGAACAAGTCACACACTCATGAAGCCTAACTTGGCCAGGGGAGTCAGATTTGCCTTACATCATTCCAAAGACTGTGAGAGTTTTAAAATAAAACTATGCATACTGGTAAAAACAAAAACAAAGTCCAACAATATCCAAAACAAACAACAACACACCTACTCCCTAACTTTCCACTGTGCAAACAGGTTTCATTTATCATTCACAAGAGATACGTTTTTTGGAAACAATAATAATTTGGTGATAATAAGCAAGTCAGCCACAGTGGAGAGTTTAAGGAGTTACTCACAGTTTCCTTTGTCATGTAAGGCATCTGCTAAGTCAAAGTCATCCCCTAAAGGAGGGAAACAGGCTGTTAACACCAAAGTTCTGAGAGAAATGAGGAAGAAATGGTCTCGTAAACAGATGCAGAAAACACCATAACCCCACGTTCCTAAATACTTTTCTGGATATCCCTCTAACCAGAATCTCAATAGAAAAAGTGAATTCCTGATCATTTTCACATCACTCTCCCTTCTGATGAAAAGAACAAAAGATGAGAGCCAGAGAGAGAGAAATAAAATAATTTATAAATCAATTGTGCTGCCTGGACAGAGTTGGAATTCCAACTCTAACCTGCACATGGTTCTCTCCTGTTGATTTCCTGTCCAAATATCATCTCCCCCCAGGTAACCAACACCTTCCACCAGGGAGGCCCTAAGAGGGGTTAGAGGGTGTCTAAATAGTGACTCTGCCAACCCATTTATGCTGGACAAACTGACGTGAAAACTCACCATGGTTTCAGAGTTTGCCTTCTAGTTTTAAGCTTTTCAAATCCCAACTAAAGTTGGGAAAAACTTTTTTTTTTTTTTTGAGACGGTGTCTTGCTCTGTTCCCCAGGCTGGAGTGCAGTGGCACAATCTCGGCTCACTACAACAACCTCCTCCTCCCAGGTTCAAGCAATTCTCCTGCCTCAGCCTCCCGAGTAGCTGGGGCTACAGGTGCCCGCCACCACAACCAGCTAATTTTTGTATTTTTAGTAGAAATGGGGTTTCACCATATTGGCCAAGCTGATCTCGAACTCCTGACCTTGTGATCCACCCACCTCGGCCTCCCAAAGTGCTGGGATTACAGGCGTGAGCCACTGTGCCTGGCCAGGTTGGGGAAATTTTTATATTGAAAGGGGATAACAAGGAGACTTAAATAAAAGAAACATGAGGGGCTACATCAAATCCAACATTTTTACAAAACTATGTAAGAGTACATGAGTAATCAATAAAAATCAAATAATTAGTCAAATATATTATATATAAATAAGAAATTTCATGGTATGAGAAACTATACTATTATACGTTTAGGGAAAAAAAAGTATACTGGAGTAGAAAGAGGCTTTTTGAAGTGATTTACTTTATTTAAAGGTGAATCTCTCTGGGTTTTTGCCCTAAAGCCTGAAATAAAAGCTGTTTACTGTATTTACAATTCTACATATGAAAAGCTGTCCTGGGTTTATCTAGCAAAGACAGTACAACCAAATTACAAATAAACTGTAAACAAAATGTACAAATATAGAAAAGGGGAAATTAAAAAAAAATAATTTGCAAACAATTTGTGGATCGTAAAGAAAAATACACAAAATCCTTTGTATATTATAGTATAAACAGAAAAATAGTGGACTTAGAAATAGATTCAGAGAAACAAAAAACAAAAACAAAAACAAAAAACAATTGAGAAATCCATTGACAAAAATCATCAGGAGAAACAGATGCATCAAATCTCAAGGAAAAAGCTCAACTTTGAAAATGTTTCACAACTTCTTTGATCAACTTATGTTTGAAGACAATTCAAATGAAATTAAAAAGACAGTTTTACTTCTCCCAAGCAGGAGACACAATGGCAAAATTATTCTCCATTAAAATAAAAGTCACAAAACCAGAAAACCAACACAAACATAAGACACCATAAAAAAATAGGTCTTGCTTATGAAACATTCCTGTTAAAAATATTAAAAGGCAAAAATAAATAGCAAAAACATTTTCATAGTAAGTGGCTGATAATCTTTAATATCCATAAATAACTGAAGAAGACTTATAAATCAGTAGGTACATATGAGAATTTAAGAATAAAGGGGATAACATCCAATACACAAAAGAAGTAACCATGGCCAACTGGAATGCACTATTTTTTTTTAAATTTCAGAATTAGAGATGCGAAACTAAGACAAGTTTGATATAATCCTTACACTATGTGACAAAGGTTTTGCAGGTGATAACCAGTATAGAGATGGTGTGAAGACAGACATCTGCACACACCATCATCAAAATAAACTGGGACGATTCTGGGGCAAATGACGAACCAGGTCAAATACTATAAAAGGACTCATATACATTCATCTAGACAATTTGAATGCCAGAAATCTCTTCAAAGGAATAATAAAAAAAAAAAAAGTAGATGAAGTTGACTCAAATTTGCTTTGTAATTCATAATTCTAAAAAGTCAGAAGACACAATATTTTAAACATTAGGGATTAAATAAATTAATGTATTATATATTTATATAGAATATAATTGACAGTAAATGTCATATGATATAAATGATAAAATGACATGAGCAAATGTTCAGTGACTATTAATAAGTATAAAATAGGCCAGGCTCAGTGGCTCATGCCTGTAATCCCAGCACTTTGGGAGGCCGAGGTGGGCAGATCACCTAAGGTCAGGAGTTCGAGACCAGCTTGACCAGCATGGTGAAACCCTGTCTCTACTAAAAATACACACAAAAAAATTAGCCGGGCATGGTGGTGCATGCCTGTAATCCCAGCTACTCAGGAGCTGAGGCAGGAGAATTGCTTGAACCCAGGAGGCAGAGGTTGCCGTGAGCCGAGATCACGCTACTGCACTCCTGCCTGGGCAACACAGCGAGACTCCATCTCAAATAATAATAATAATAATAAAAATAATAATAATAATGTTACAATGCAGTATGAACAAAAGACTGGCTTTATTACTTAACGTTTGCTTCATTTAAACTGATATATAAAATATAAGCGCAAATAACCATCACAATGCCAAGAGGATATGAACATTATTTATGTTTCTGTGTTAAAAATTAAAAACAAAAAAGAACTAAAAACCTGAATGTTTCACAACAATTCAGTTCAAAAAACAGTTGCTAGTCAGATTACCTGAGAATGCTGTCATGTGTCAAAATAGCTGATACAAATATTCAAGGGCAAAAACATCAAAAACACCCAAGTTTCTCTACAGGGAATGCACAGGCCATTTTCTCTATACCAAGTTCATAAGAAAATCTTGTGCTCAGTGTTTTAGAAGTTCCATACAATCTTGGAAGTAAAATCAGCAAACTAAAAATAGAACGCAAGTCAAATATCTATTTCAGAAAACTGTATTTCACTCCCTGCCCACTGGAGTAACTGTACAAAAAGTCAATAGCAAGCACCTGCTCATCTGAAAGCCTGTCGTCCATCTGATGTGGATACCACTCTACCGTGGACAACATACAGACAACCTATAGAGTGAGAAGCACTTACCAATGAATCCAGGCTGCTCAGGGTTCGCATTTGGCTTCAGCTTGGGTGAATTAAGAGGTGCTGGGTCGTCTGTTTGTGACAATGAGAGTTGCAATCATGAGTGTCTTGGAGTAAAGAAATGAAACATCAATTTGCATAGAGATGGCTGACGGACCAGGTAAAAGTTGGAGCTTGTTGCTTGTCATGACAGGGATAACCGTACACACAGCCTCCTGCCAACTTTCTTCCATCATCTTCCGGCTACATTGCTTAATATCAAATTAAACTAAAGCAGGTGTCTAGATCAGTGACAGAGTTGGCAAGGTCCCGTGCAAAACAAAAATGTGGGACCCCTCGTCTCAACTGTATGAAGAAGAGCAACATGGTAACTACAGACCAGTAAACCAATATGGCGCTTTTGTAAACACAGGTCCCTGGGTGACTTCACAAGCTGCATGCCCGTGAAGGCTGACCTGGCCAGGGGAGTCACATTTGCCTTACATCATTCCAAAGACTGTAGGAGTTTCTCAACAAAAGCAAGTGGACTGGTTAAAAAAAAAACAAACAAAAGTCCAACAACATCAAAAACAGACAACAACACACTTACTCCCTAGGTTTCCACTGTGCAAACAAGTTCCATTGATCATTCTCAAGAGGTAAGTCTCTTGCAAATGATAATAATTGGGCGATAATAAGCAAGTTAGCAAGAGAGGAGACTTTAAAGAGCTACTCACTATTTCCTCCATCACGAAAGGCATCTGCTAAGTCAAAGTCAGCCCCTACAAATAGGAAACAGGCTGTTAACACCAAAGTTCTGAGAAAATGAGGAAGGAATGAGCTTGTAAACAGAGAAATCACTGGAGCCCCACGTGACTAAATACTTTATTGAACATGACTCTCACCAGGATCTCATCAGAAAAAGCAAATTGCTGACCATTTTCACATCGCTCTTCTCTCACATGAATGGATTAGAGATCAGAAGGTGGCTGGGGGGAGAGAGAGAGAGAGAGAGAAAGAAGAGATAGATACAAAGAGAGAAAGAAAGAAATTCATAAATCAATTCTCCTCCCAGACTGAGCAGGAACTCCAACTTCGCCTGCACATTATTTGCTCCTGTTTATTCCCATCCCATCAACATCTCGTCCAAGGCCCCCAACACCTTCTGTGAGGGAGACCCTAAGAGGTGAGGAAGAATGACTGTGATCAGATTTGGGCTAGAGAGTGTCTAAAAAGTGGGTCTACCCACCCAGGTGTGTTCCACAAACTGCTGTGACATTCTTGATAATTTCAGAGGCTGCCTTCCAGTTCTAAGCTTTTCAAATCCTAACTAAAGTCGAGGAACCATTTTTGTTTTGTTTTGAGACAGGGTCTTCCTCTGTCACGCAGGCTGGAGTGCAGTGGTGTGACCACGGCTCACTGCAGGCTCCGCCTCCTGGCCTCAAGCAATCCTCCTGCCTCAGCCTCCCAAGCAGGTGGGACAGCAGGTATGTGCCAACAAGCCTGGCTAATTTTTCATTTCATTGTAGAGAGGGGGTTTTGCTATGTTGCCCAGGCTGGTCTTGAACTCCTGGGCTCAAAAGATGCTCCCATCTCAGCCTCCCAAAGTGCTGGGATTATATGTGTGAACCTCTATTCCTGGCCATCATCAACTTTTTATATGGGGAAGGGAGAAAAAAGAGGCTTAAATGAAGGAAACTTTGAATCCAACACTTTTCAAAACCATGTAACAGTACATTAGTAATCACTAAAAAACCAATGACTTTTCAAATATATTGTGTATAAAGAAATAAGAAGTCTCACAGTATGAGAACCTATACTATTGTATGTTTAGAAAAAAAAGTATACTAGAATAGAGAGATCTTCTTGGAATGAGTATCTGGTTTTGTAAAGACAATTTATTTTATTTACAGGTGAACCTCTTTAGGTTTTTACCTTGAAATCAGGAATAAAAAATGTCTACTCTCTTCACTCATACTTAAAGCCATCATGTGTTCTCTAGCAAAGCCAATTCAACAAAAATACGAATGCACTCTGAAGACACTCTGAAGACAACGAAAAAACATAGAAAAGGAGACAAATTTTAAAATCACTTACAAATAATATGTCGGTCTTCTCAGAAACATTAAGAAATGAAGAGAAAACAATTGGAAGTTCACAAGGGTTCATCATTCAGTGGAGAGTAAGAGAGAATGCACAAAAATGTTGCTATAGTTCAGAAACAGAGAGACAAATAGCGCACATAAAATCGTACTCACCAAAACAAATCAATACTGACGGGAAAACACCTTAGAAATCCATTTAAATAAATCACCAGGAGAAAAAGGCACACAGAAGAATCTGCTCGATTTTACAAATATTTTAGCACTCTATAAATCAATTCATAGTTGTAAGTAATGCAAATGAAAAGAAAAAGATGGTTTTCTTTTTCCCAAGAAGGAAGAGAGACAGTGATAAAATGGTTCTGTTAAAAGGAAAAATGTGTTACACAAAGGTGGAAACTCACACAAACCTAAGACAACATAAAAAAGAAAAATTCAAGCCTTGCTTATAAAAGCTTCTGTTCAAAATGTTTTCAGAGGCAACAATAAAGTGGAAACACATTTTCATAATATATTGGGCAATGTTTACTGTCTATAAATAATTCAAAAATGACTAGAAATCAGGGAGGACATACCAGAATAGAAGAATAAAAGACACAGTATCCCATACACAGAAGAAGAAGTCTCCATGGCCCACTGATGCATTGTTTTTGTTTCAAGTTTCAGAATTAAAGACGTGAAACTAAGACAAGGTTAGCATGACATTTTGCACTACTGGATAAAGATGTTTTGGTGAACACCAATATCGGAGACGGTGTGAGGAAAGGGTCATCTGCACACCCCGCCGCCATCAAAATAAATTGGTGCAATTCTGGGGCAATTTCAAAACCATGTCAGAAGCTACAAAAGTACTCACACACATCGATGTAAACAACTTGCACTCTAGAAATATATCTTCAAACATAAAGGAAAGTGCATGAAGGGCAGTCAAATTTGCTTTGTAATTGATAATTCCAAAACATCAGAAGAAACATAACTTCAGAATTAGGGATTACTTAAAGAAACCAAAGTATGTAATTAAGTCTGTAGTATAATAATGTAAAGTCGTATGATACAAACGATTAAATGACATGAGAAAATGGTCAAGGAATATTCTTATGCCAATAATAACATAACCAGCAAAAAACCATAAAAATGTCAACAGGATTTAGACCATCTGGATAGATTTCTGTGTTAAAAATTAAACAAACATGTAAAGAAAAACACTCAGTAAAAATCTAATTGTTTAAAACAAGTTGGCTTCTCCATGGGAAACACACAGATTCTTTTCCTCATATCAAGTCTACATCTAAAAGCTCTTATTCAATGATTTGGAAGTTCCATTTATCTTTGAAGTAAAATCAAGAAAAGGAAAATAAAATCCAAACCAAAAACATATTTTCGTAATCTAGGTTTTCCACTACTTGAACACTGGAATTACCTTGTAATTCAACAGTAGGAACAGGCTCACCTGAAATCTCCTCTTCTCAGATGACACGGACATCACTGCCAGGTAAACAACATAGAGACCACCCCGTAGGGTTAGAGGCTCTTATCAGTGAAACCAGGTCAGTTGGGATTTGGATCTGGCTTTGGTTTGGGGGGATTAGGTGGTGCTGGGTCACCTGTTTGTAAAACATGAGAGTTGGCGATCATCAGTGCCTTGCAGTCAAGAAAATGAAAAATCAATTTCCATGGCGACCAGAAAAGGAAATGAAAAATCAATTTGCATAGAGACCTTTCACTAAACAGGTAAAAAATGACCCTTGTTTTTGTCGTGGTGGGGATGCCCATACACATAGCCTCCTGCCAATTCCCTTCCATCATCTTCCAGCTACAGGATTTAACTTCAAGTATTTTCAAAGAAAACTAAGCCAGGTGTCCAGACCACCTCCAGAATTTGAGAGGCCCTGCACAAAATGAAAATGCAAGATTCTGTTCCAATTTTATGACGAATTTCAAGATGGCAGCTACTGAGTAATACACCAATATGGTGCCCTTGTATGCACAGGTCCCTGTGTGACATCACATGTCACATGCCCATGAAGTCTGACCTGGCCAGGGAAGTGACATTTGCCTTATATCATTCCAAAGTCTGTAACAATTTTAAAATAAAAGCCAGCATATTGGTGGGAAAAAAAACAAAAATCCAACAACAACAAAAATAAAACACAACAAGGCATATACTTCCAATATTTCCACTGTATAAACCCAATCCATGGATTATGCAAAAGAGATAAGTCTCTTGGAAATGACAGTCATTTGGTGACAATAACAAATCAGCAACAGAGGAGACTTTAACGAGTTACTCACTGTTTCCTCCCTCACCAAAGGCATCTGCTAAGTCAAAGTCTGCCCCTAAAGGAAGGAATCGGTCTGTTCATAGTAAAGCTCTGAGAAATGAGGAAGGAATGACCTCGGAAACAGATGGAGAAATCACCAGAGACCCACATGACTAAAGACTTTTCTGAATATCACACTGACTAGGATCTCATTTGAAAAAGTAAATTCCTGATCATTTTCACATCATTCTTCCCCCAGATGAAAAGAGTAAGAGATGACAGCAAGAGAAAGAGGGAGAGAGAAAGAATGTCATTTGTAAATCAACTGTGCTGCCTGGACCCAGTTGGGACTCTGAATCTGCCTGCACACAACTCTGTCCCGTTGATTCCCCATTATCTCCTCCCAGGTCCCCAACACCTTCAGCAAGGCAGACCGTAAGAGGTAGGGCAGGTGACTGTGATCTGATCTGTGACTGACGGATTCTGATCTGTGTCTGAAAAGTGGCTCTACCCACCCAGCTGGGCTCCACAAACTAATGTGACATTCATGCTAGTTTCAAAGCCAGCCTTCTAGTTCTTTTTTTTTTTTTTTTTCATATGGAGTTTTGTCCTTTTGCCTGGCTGGAGTGCAGTGGTGTGATCTCGGCTCACTGCAACCTCTGCCTCCCGGGTTCAAGCCATTCTCCTGCCTCAGCCTCCCGAGTAGCTGGGATTACAGGCATGCACCACCATGCCAGGATAATTTTTGTATTTTTAGCAGAGGCAGGGTTTCTCCATGTTGGTCAGGCTGGTCTTGAACTCCTGACCTCAAGTGATCCAGCCGCCTTGGCCTCCTAAGGTGCTGGGATTACAGGTGTGAGCCACCTTACCTGGCCCAGCCTTCTAGTTCCAAGCTTTTCAAATCCCAATTAAGGTCGAGGCACATTTTATATTGGGAGTGATAAGGGAGGCTCAAATGAAAGAAACATGAGGGGCTACATCAAAATGAATCTTTTTTTCAAAACCATATTAAAATACACAAGCAATGAATAAAAAGCACATGATTTTTCACATACATTGTATAGAAATAAGAAATCTCATGGTATGAGAACCTATGTGTTCAGAAAAAAAGTATACTAGAAGAGAAAGACACTTATTGAAATGACTTATTTTATTTAAAGGTGAATCTCTTTGGGTTTTTGTCCTAATGTCTGGAAAAAAAGTTGTCTACCATATTTACAACTCTACATATTAAAAGTTGTCCTGAGTCTTCTAGCAAAGGCCATAGAACTAAATTACAAATAAACTGTAAAGAGAACGTATAAATCTAGGAACAGGGAAAATTTTAAAAACCCATTACCAAATAACATGACCAACTTCTTAGAAAAGGTCAGAAATGAAGAGAAAAAAAATTGAAATTTAACAAAGGGTCATCATTTCATGGATTGCAAAAAATATATACACAATCTCTTCTACATGACAGAAATAAACAGAAAAATAGTGGACATGAAAATGGATTCAGAGTAACAAAAACAAGGAAAAAACACTTTAGAAACCCATTGACAGAATCAACAAGAGGAAGAGACAAATCGAATCTCAAAGAAAAAGCTCAGGCCGGCATGGTGGCTCACACCTGTAATCCCAGCACTTTGAGAGGCTGAGATGGGCGGATCACCTGAGGTCAGGGGTTCAAGATCAGCCTGGCTAACATGGCAAAACCCCGTCTCTACTGAAAATACAAGAATTTGCCGGGCATGGTGGTGCATGTTTGTAATCCTAGCTAATTGGGAGGCTGAGGCACGAGAATTGCTTGAACCCAGGAAGTGGAGGTTGCACTGAGCCAAGATCACGCCACTGCACTCCAGCCCGGGCGACAGAGAGAGACTCTGTCTCCAAAATAAAAAAAGGAAAGAAAATAAAAGAAAAAACTCAACATTGAAAACGTGTTACCATTCCTTCAATCAACCTATGGTGATAAACAATTCAAATGAAATTAAAAAGAAGGTTTTACTTCTCTGAAGAGAAGGGACAATAGCAAAATGATTCTCAATTTAAAAGGAAAAAAAGTTACAAAAAGCAGGATATCCACACAAACATAAGACACCATAAAAAAATAAACATACCACTTGTAAAACATTCCTGTTAAAAATATTCAAAGGCAAAAATAAAGTGCAAAACCATTTTCATAATAAGTGGCTGGTAATCTTTAATATTGATAAATCACTGAAGAAGGCTCATACATCAGTAGGTAGGGAGGCTGAGGCAGGCAGAACATCTGAGGTCAGGAGTTCCAGACCAGCCTGGCCAACATGGTGAAACCCCATCTCTACTAACAATACAAAAATGAGCTGGGCCTGGTGGCGGGCACCATGAATTGAAGGATCAAAGCCAAAGCATCCAATACACAAAAGAAGAAGTCTCCGTGGCCCATTGGGATGCATTATGCTTTTTACATTTCAGAATGAGAGATGTAAAACTAAGACCGGTTTGATATAATAATTACACTATTTGACAAAGGTTTTGTAGGTGATAATTGCTACTGGAAAAGGTTCGAAGACAGGGACATTTGCAGACACCCTGGTATCAAATCAAATTGGTGCAATTCTGGGGCAAACAACCAACCAGGTTAAAAGCTATAAAAGTACTCATGAGCATTGATCTAGACAATTTGAATGCCAGAAATCTCTTCAAAGGAATGAAAAAGAGTAGACAAAGTTGACTCAAATTGGCTTTGTAATTCATAATTCTAAAATGTCAGAAGACACAATGTTTTCAACATTAGGGATTAAAGGAATTAATGTATTTTATTATATATTTAGATAGAATAGTATTTGTCAGTAAATGTCATATGATAGAAATGAGAAAACATGAGAAAATGTGAATTAATATTCTTATGAATAAGTATAAAATAAAGTTACAATAAACAATATAGAGACCACCCGTAGGGTTAGAGGCTCTTACCAGTGAAACCAGGTCGGTTGGGGTTTGGATCTGGCTTTGGTTTGGGGGCATTAGGTGGTGCTGGGTCACCTGTTTGTAAAACATGAGAGTTGCAATCATCAGTACCTAGTAGTCAAGAAAATGAAAAATCAATTTCCATAGCGACCAGAAAATGAAAAATCAATTTTGATAGCGACCAGAAAAGAAAATGAAAAATCAATTTCCACAGCGACCAGAAAATGAAAAATCAATTTCCATAGCGATGAGAAAAGAAACTGAAATATCAATTTGCACAGAGACTGTTCACTAAACAGGTAAAAACTGGCCCTTGTTTTTGTCATGGTGGGGATACCCATACACGTAGCCTCCTGCCAATTCCCTTCTGTTGTCTTCCAGGTACAGGATTTAACTTCAAGTATTTTCAAAGAAAACTAAACCAGGTGTGCAGACCACCTCCAGAATTTGGGAGGGCCTGTGAAAATGAAAATGTGCGACCCATTGTTCCAACTGTATGAAGAATCTGAAGATGGCAGCAACACAGCAATAAAGCAGCATGGCACCCTTGTGTGCACAGGTCCCTGTGTGACTGCGCAGATCTATGCCCACGAGGCCTGACCTGGCCAAGGGAGTCACATTTGCCTTACGTTGTTCCAAAGACTAACCATTTTAAAATAAAAGCCAGCATACTGGCTGGGCGTGATGGCTTGCACCTATAATCCCAGCACTTTGGGAGGCCAAGGTGAGTGCATAGCTTGAGTTTAGGAGTTAGAGACCAGCCTGCTCCACATGGCAAAACCCAGCCCCTACTAAAAAGACAAAAATTAGCCGGGCGTGGTAGTGGGTGCCTGTAATTCCAGATGCTCAGGAGGCTGAGGCACAAGAATCGCTTAAGCCCAGGAGGCGGAGGTTGCGGTGAGCCGAGATCGCGCCACCGCACTCCAGCCTGGGCCACAGAGTGAGACTCTGAACCTACACTTCAAAAAAAAAAAAAAACAAAAAAAACAAAAAAACCAGCATGCTGGTAACAAAAAAAAAATATATCAAAAATCCAACAACAAAAATAAACAACACATATACTTCCTATGTTCCCACTGTCCAAACTCAATCCATTTATCACGCAAAAGAGATGTCTTGAAAATGATAATAATTCAATGACAATCAGCAAAGTCAGCAACAGAGGAGACTTTAAAAAGTTACTCACTGTTTCCTCCATCAGGAAAGGCATCGCTAAGTCAAAGTCAGCCCTTAAAGGAGGGAAATGAGCTGTTAATACCAATGTTCTGAGAAATGAGGAAGGAATGACCCAAAAACAGGTGGAGAAAACACCACGGCCCCACGTTTCTAAATACTTCAGAAAACGTGAATTCCTATCTTCTCATCACTCTTCCCTCAGGTGAAAACAGTAAAAGATGAGCATGAGACAGAAAAAGAGGGAGTAAGAGAGAGAGAGGAGAGAGAAAGAGGGGGAGAGAGGAGATAGAGGAGAGAAAGAGGAGAGGGAGGAGAGGGGGGAGAGAGAGAGGAGATAGATGAGAGAGGCGGGAGAGAGACAAGAGAGAGAGGAGAGAGAAGGAGAGAGTGAGGAGATAGAGAGAGGAGAAAGGCGAGAGACAAGAGAGAAGGAGACAGGAGAGAGAGAGATGGGAGAGAGAAAAGAGGAGAGAGAGGAGAGGAGAGAGAGAGGAGAGAGGAGAGGAGAGAGAGACGAGAGAGAAAAGGAGAGAAAGAAGAGGGGGAGAGAGAGAAGAGGGGGAGAGAGAGAAAAGGGGAGAGAGGAGAGAGGTGAGAGAGAGGCGAGAGAAAGAGGAAAGAGGGGAGAGAGAGGGAGAGAGGAGAGTGAGGAGAGAGAAAAGCGAGAGAAAGAAGAGAGAGAAGAGAGAGAGGGAACAGGAGAGAAGAGAGAGAGAGGAGAGGAGAGAGAGAGGAAGAGGGAGAGAAGAGGAGAGAGAGAAAGGAAAGAGAAGAGAGGAGAGACAGAAAGAGAAGAGAGACTGCAGTATCCATAAGATCCATAAGAACGTCACCAGGGTTGGGGGGGAATCGGATGCCACCTCTTCCCCAGGTTCCCCTAAATTTAAGAGTTTGCGATTCTGCAAACTGTAGAAGGAAAATTAAAACTTGGAACCCCAGTTCACTCTGCCAAAATAATTAATAATAATAATAATAAAGCTGGAAGCTGAGTCAGGCAGGAAGCTGTCTTTCCTTCTGTTCCCAAGCAGACAGTGCAATAACTCTCTGTTGACCTTATCTTAGTAAAGTGCCAATTTAGTGAGCGCAAGACAAATACATAATTGACTATTCTACCTGCTGCTTTTCTTTTGCAACAGGTGAATTCGGTAAAATGAGCCTTCCTCCTTCTTTCCCCTCCAGCGTGCTTTCCCCCTTTAAATACCGAAGCTCTCAATAGTATCTTTGGAGAAAGGCATAGACCCGTCTCCCGGGCTCCTTCCTGATCTTCGCCGAATCAACTCAAAAGGATTGGGACTTGTCCCAGATACTTTTTGGTTTACGAAAGAAACGCTGGCTTTTTCCTCTGAAACGGCTCCCACCTGGCCCCAGGAAGAGCGCTGGGGAGAAAGTGGGCGCCTCCTCCGGACCTGGGTCCCCGTGGGCACAGCGCGTCCCGCCGGGCACGGAAGAGGGGCCGGGTGTCCCCGCGGGGCGCCCCGCCCCTGCACCCCACATCCCCAGGCGGATCCCCAGGCCCAGCCCGCGCCACCCCCCGCGTCCTCCCACCCGGATCCCGCCGCTCGCTCACCGGGGCGGCCACCAGACGGCGGAGCAGGCCGAGGAGCCGCAGCGCCAGCACGGCCCCGCGCGCCACGGCGCGCCCAAGGCGAGCAGAGATCGTCCGCGAGTGCAGCGCGCGGGCGAAGGCGGCGGGACGGAACCTCCCCCACGGGCCGGGTGGGGCGGAGCCCGCGGAGGACTCGAAGGGGTTGGGTGAGGGGAGCAGCCCTGCAAACTCAGCCCAGGCTGCGCCTGCCCCGCCCCGCCCCACCCCGGCCTCCACTGGCGCACGGAAGGGGAGGGAACGCCGGGCCCGGGGAGGGGACAGAGGAGGGGGCGGGCGGAGGTGGCTCGGGCCGCGCCGAGGGGACCACGGGACGCCCTCCTTCCCTTCTCAGGAAACTGTGAGTGCCCCCCGCCCACAAGCCCGTCGCCAGGATGCCGCCAACTAGAGCAAAGTGAAACCCCCAACATTCTCGGGAAAGTGCGGGTCCCTCCCTCTCTACAGCCCCTTAAATGCACGCCCCAGGGCGGCCCCTACCTGGAGCCAAGAGAAACCGCTGCCCTTCTTGGAGAGGTGTGGGCCTCTCCGCGCCCGCCCTTGCTGTCCCCTCTCTGTTCCTAACAGGCACCCCCCCCAGGCAGCCCCAACGGGGAGGAAATGAAACTCTTCCTGCTCCTCTGCTCGGAAAACTATGGGGCCCCCTTCCAGCTGCTCACGGGGCGCTCAGGGCGATCCCCAAGGGGTGCAAAGTGCAATCCCCTCCCTGCTTAGAAAGGCGTAGGCCTTGACAGGCAGCCACGGCCCCTGGTCCTTTCTGGAGCGTCCGAGCTGGGGGCGCTCAGTGGTGAAAGATGGCGGGGGTGGGGGGCTTTGAGACACACTGCGGATACCCGCTCTGCGCGGGACCAAGGACGTTCTGCCGCAAGCTCAGAGACAGGGTTGGGAGTGAGGACTTGTGGTCGTGGTTTGGGGTTGGGGGTAAGACCCCTATCTGGGTCGCCTGGCTGAGTCCTGGTCCTTGGCGACTCACCCCAGCAGGCTGCGTCAGGGGCCCTTCGGTAACACTGGTCTTGTGCTGTCTCAGGCCTGCGGGTGACTCCGTCTCTCCCCAGGCCACCTGTGCCCCTGGATCAGACACAGGCAAGGCCAGAGGGGCTGGCCCCGCACCCTGGGGCCCACCTCAGGGGTTTGAGGAATGCAGCAGTCTAACTATGCACTCCACTCCTGGAGGCAGAATCATTTTTCTTTTTTCTTTCTTTTTTTTTTTTTTTTGGTCTTTGCTTCATCCTGAACCTGCCTGGGATAATGACGTGATGGCTGGAGTCCCAGCAGCCAGTTCGAAGCAGGAAGTCTCCTACAGGATAGAAGTTGTCTGTGTGTTGTTTGTTTGTTTATTTGTTTGTTTTGAGATGGAGTCTTGCTCTGTGGCCCAGGCTGGAGTGCAGTGGCACAATCTTGGCTCACTGCAACCTCCGCCTCCCGGGTTCAAGTGATTCTCCTGCCTCAGCCTCCCCAGTACCTGGGATTACAGGCATGCACCACCATGCCAGGCTACTTTTTGTATTTTTAGTAAAGACAGGGTTTCACCTTGTTGGCCAGGCTGGTCTCGAACTCCTGACCTCATGATCCGCCCACCTCGGCCTCCCAAAGTGCTGGGATTACAGGCATGAGCCACCGCACCCGGCCAGAAGTTGTATTCTAAGCATGGCAGAACACGTTGAGCAAAGGTATCAGGGTGGCTGATGATACAGCAGGACGGCTGTGCCAGCCCGACTCACATTCCCAACTTCTTTTACAGGACAAAGGAGTACATTTTTATCTTACCATTTGCTAAAGTTAGGTTTCTATCAGCTTTCTTTAAATCACTTTTATTTCTGGTTTTCATTACCAAGGTCTGAGCCCAACTTAGAGACCTCCCGTGAGGTTCTTGTGGGCAACCAAAGCACTTAAGAGGTGTCAGAGCATCACACACCATGTCTGCTGCACAGACGATCAAATGAAGCTTTTGAAGTCAGTGGATGATGGGTGGATAGATGGGTCTGGGGGTAGGAAGTGGTGGATGGATGAATGAATGGACAGACAGCCATCTGGATGCGTGAATGGATGGATCACTTGCTGGAAGGATGGATAAAGAGATAGATGGCTGGATGAATGAATAAATGGGTGGATGGATGGAAAGATGAGTGGATGATTGGATGGATAGATAGTTGGGTGGATGGATGAATGGATGGATACATAGATGAATAAATGGATGAATGGATGGGTGGGTGGAGGAATGGATAAATGGACAGATGAATAAATGGATGGATGAAAGGGGGGATAGACGGATTGATCTATGGATAGATGGACAGATAGATAAGTGGGTGGATGGGTGGGTGGATGGATGGTTGGAAGGATAGGTGGATGGACAGATTACTGGGTGGCTGGAGGGGTAGAGAGAGATGGGTGGGTGGGTGGATGGATGGATAGATGGGTGGACAGATTACTGGCTGGCTGGATGGATGGGTAGAGATAGATGAGTGGGTGGATGGATGGATGGATGGATGGACGAATGGATGGATGGATAGATAAGTGGACAGACGGATAGATAGCTGGATAGATGGGTGGGTAGAAGAAGAATAGATGGATGAGTGGATGGATGAGTGAATAGATGGATTGATGGACAAACAAGTAAATTTTTACCTGACATTTTTGTATTGTGTAACTTTCTGTGTGTTCATTCATTGGGAAACAATTGTGATACATGGATATTGGACTTATTAGCTCACGTCTGCTGATAAGAAAACAACACAGGGCCATAGAGTTCATTAGCAGTGGACTGGGATCAAAACGAAGGGCTCTTTGATTTTGAGTTCAGGCCATTTGGACCACTTTGCCTTGTGACTGCCCCCAAATCACTGGAATTTTCCTCGGGGTTCACAGCGCCCAAAGGTAAACAGTATTTGGTAGCCTAGAGTTCATACATTGGAAATTTCATGGTCTGTGCCCCCTCAGTGGTGCAAAGCATTTTTACAGCAATAATTAATTTGGCAATAACTTAGTGTGTGAGCCTGTGTATGCGTCTTTTCAGCTGGCTAGTACAGTACCAGTGATGCCATGTTTGCACACTAAATACCAGCCAGAGACATGCAAGAAAAGAAGGGCAGGCCAGGCACAGTGGCTCATGCCTGTAATCCCAGTACTTTGGGAGGCCGAGGTGGGTGGATCACCTGAGGTCAGGAGTTCGAGACCAGCCTGGCCAACATGGTGAAGCCCCATCTCTACTAAAAATGCAAAAATTAGCTGGGCATGGCAGTGAGTGCCTGTAATCCCAGCTACTCTGGAGGCTGAGGCAGGAGAATCACTTGAACCTGGGAGGCGGATGTTGCGGTGAGCTCAGATCACACTACTACACTCCAGCCTGGGCGACAGAGCAAGATTACATCTCAAAAAAAAAAAAAAAGAAGAAGAAGAAGAGGGGCACAGCCTACCAGATCTGCTGAGACACATGTTTTTTATCTGAACTTTTGGGGGTCAACTCAAAATCCAATCAACAGATGACAATGACATCCTAAAAACTGTTCCCAGATCAGACAGTAAAATTTCACAGATTCTGTCTTTGAGTCATGGGGATTTACGTCTCTGTAGATTCAGGAGAAACATCTCATGCATACAGTTCCAGAGAGTCAGGGACCAGCCTCTTCTGTAAAGAGGGAAACAAAATGAAATTGCGCATTGGCATGGACCGGACGCAAGAAGACATCACTGATTTAAGCTCCTTTACAAACTCTATCCTAGGAAGCACTTTCCTTCTTCACTTTCAGCAGTCAAGCCTCTCCAATGTCATTGCGTCTAAACCTGTTGACATGATGGGGCTGTGGTTCACCTGGAAGATGGGCTCTATTCCTGACCATTCTGAAGGCAAAGAACTTGAAATAAGTTCAAATTCAAGTTGCAGCACATCCACGGAGCAGCTGGAAGTGCTGCCTGTGGCCTGTCGTAATGGCAGGGTAGCAGTGAGAGAGAAATATATTTCCTCACCCATCATTGGGTTCATGACTAAGGCCCCTAGAACAAAAGACAATAGCAAGAGAAAAGCAGGCCCATGTATTTAGGTTTTACGTGACACAGAAGCCATCATAAAGAAAGAAACAGGAAAATCTGAGTATTTTTACGCTTAGGTTTTCTGGTTTTTTGTTTGTTTGTTTGTTTGTTTTTGAGACGGAATCTCACTCTGTCACCCAGGCTGGAGTGCAGTGACGGGATCTCAGCTCATTGCAACCTCCACCTCCTGAGTTCAAGCGACTCTTACCATGTTGGCCAGGCTGGTTTCGAACTCCTGACCTCAGTTGATCCACCCACCTCGGCTCCCAAAGTGCTGGGATTACAGATGTGATATGCTTACTTTTAATGAAGAGTGGACAGTGATGGAGAAGTATGACTATTGGACAAAAACGTTACAGGAATGGGGTCCCAATCCAGACCGCAAGAGAGGGTTCTTGGATCTCAAGCAAGAAAGAATTCGGGGTGAGTCCATAGAGTAAAGTGAAAGCAAGTTTATTAGGAAACAAAAGGAATAAAGAATGGCTACTCCATAGAGCAGCCCCGAGGGCTCCTGGTTGCCCATTTTTATGGTTATTTCTTGATGATATGCTAAATGGGGGGTGGATTATTCATGCCTCCCCTTTTTAGACCATGTAGGGTAACTTCCTGACGTTGCCATGGCATCTGTAAACTGTCATGGTGCTGGTAGGAGTGTAGCAGTGAGGACGACCAGAGGTCACTGTTGTGGCCATCTTGGTTTTGGTGGGTTTTGGCTGGCTTCTTTACTGCAACCTGTTTTATCAGCAAGGTCTTTATCACCTGTATCTTGTACCAACCTCCTATCTCATCCTGTGACTTAGAATGCCTTAACCATCTGGGAATTCAGCCAAGTAGGTTTTAGCCTCATTTTACCCAGCTCCTATTCAAGATGGAGTGGCTCTGTTTTACATGCCTCTGGCAAAAGGATCTGATCTAATGAGAATAAACTGCGGGAACTTAGCAGGGCCTGTTTGTTCAGATTCTTCTGTGTCCCTGCATGTTCAGAGTTAAGGATATTCTCTTCCTCCTGGTATAGGGAGGGCGCCTCTGGAATGAGGGTCCCCTGACCTGCTTCAGGGTAAGGTCAGAGAGTCCTTCCGAGGTTTTATGGCCTATGCTAAAGAAGAACCATGAGGGTAAGGTGAAAGTGACCTTCTTACTTAAATTGTTTTCTCAAATGCCACAGTTCCATATTTTGGTGGAATGTTTTCTGAACCCCATCAGGAAAAGCAAAGCAATGAGAAAACAATCTGGGGGGACAAGACAAGGAGATATAACAGATGGGGGAGGTTTGTGGTTGACTACATCACTCTTGGAGGCATTCGACCGAGGAATATTTCAGAATCTCTGGTAACACACACCAGGAACAGCCTAATCTACTCCCTAAAAGGAGTCTAGTTCATTACTGAGTTTATGGCTTCCCTACATTTCCCTGTTTCTGACCACAACCATTTTTTTTTTTTTTTCTGGAGACTGGGTCTCCCTCTGTCGCCCAGGCTGGAGTGCAGTGGCGCAATCTCGGCTCACTCCAACCTCCGCCTGTCGGGTTCAAGCGATTCTCCTGCCTCAGCCTCCCGAGTAGCTGGGAGTACAGGCATGCACCACCACGCCCAGCCAATTTTTATATTTTTAGTAGAGATGGGGTTTCACCATGTTGGCCAGGCTGGTCTCAAACTCCTAACCTCAGGTGATCCCTCTGCCTCGGCCTCCCAAAGTGCTGGGATTACAGGCGTGAGCCACCATGCTCACCTCCCCCGCCTGCCCAATTTTTTTTTTTTTTTAATTAGCCAGGCATGCTGATTGCTTGAGCCTGGGAGATGAAGACTGCAGAGATGTAATTGCACCACTGCACTCCAGCCTGGGCGACGGAGACCCTATCTCAAAATACAACCAAATAAAACAAAAAACAAGAATGCAGACTCAGAGTCCAGCCAAAACCAGGTTTTAGCTGCAAGACAGGTTATAGGAAGGAGAAAGGAAAAGGCTTTCCTAGCAAAAGTGGGCTTGTTATGTACATGCAGCTTCACAGGTAGCAGCCCCCAGAGAGAAGAGATGCTGAATATTTCTTTTCAGGTCTTTAAAGGCACCATACTCTCAGTTAATCTCTCCTAGATCCGGACAAGAGAAGAGTTGGCTGCCTTACAGGAGACCCTCTGCAGATCGACAGACGCAAGGTCCCCCACAAAAGACAGTGTTTCTTCTTCTTTTTTGTTTTTCTTCAAATTTTATTGTAAATTCAAGGGTGCACGTGCAGGTTTGTTACTAAGTAAACATGTGCCATGGTGCTTTGCTGCACAGATCAACCCGTCACTCAGGTATGAAGCCAGCATCCATTAGCTCTTCTTCCTGAGGCTCTCCCTCCCCCTACCCCCGACCTTTTCACAGACCCTAGTGTGTGTTCTCCTCCCCGTGTCCATGTGCTCTCATTCTTCAGCTCCCACTTATAAGTGAGAACATGCAGTATTTTATTTTCTGTTCCTGCATTAGTTTGCTGAGGATAACGGCTTCCAACTCCATCCGTGTTCCTGCAAAGGACACGAACTCATTCTTTTGTATGGCTGCATAGTATTCCATGGTGTATATGTACTATTTCTTTTTTTTCTTTCTTTCTTTTTGAAATAGAGTCTTGCTCTGTCACCCAGGCTGGAGTGCTGTGGTGCAATCTCAGCTCACTGCAACCTCCGCTTCCCGGGTTCAAGCGATTCTCCTGCCTCAGCCTGCCAAGTAGCTAGGATTACAGGCACCCACCATCACACCCAGCACATTTTTGTATTTTTAGTAGAGACGGGGTTTCACCATGTTGGCCAGGCTGGTCTTGAACTCCTGACCTCAAGTGATCTGCCCGCCTCAGCCTCCCAAAGTGCTGGGATTACAGGTATGAGCCACTGTGCCTGGCCACCGCATTTTCTTTATCCAGCCTATTATTTAGGCATTTAGGTTGATTCTATGTCTTTGCTATTGTGAACAGCGCTGCAATGAACATACGCATGCGTGTATCTTTATAATAGAATGATTTTTCCTTTGGGTACATACCCAGTAATGGGATTGCTGGGTCAAATGGTAATTCTGCCTTGAGGTCTCTGGGGAATCGCCACACTGTCTTCCACAATGGTTGAATTCATTTACACTCCCACCAACAGTGTCACAGTGTTTCTATTTCTCCACAACCTCGCCAGCACCGGTTGTGTTTTGACTTTTTAATAATCACCATCCTGACTGGTGTGAGATGGGGTCTCATTGTGGCTTTGATTTGCATTTCTCTAAGAATCAGCGGTGCTGAGGTTTTTCCATATGTTTTTTTTGGCCATATGAATGTCTTCTTTTGAGAAGTGGAAAGATAGCATTTCAGGAGTATTCCCCAATATATTAAAGAAATATATTTTGAGATAAAATATTTTTATTTCCTTTAGTACATTTTATTTATTTATTTATTTTTCTTTGAGACAGGGTCTTGCTCTGTCACCCAGGCTGGAATGCAGTGGTGTGATCTTGGCTCTCTGCAACCTCCACCTCCCGGGTTCAAGCAATTCTCCTGTCTCAGCCTCCCAAGTAGCTGGGATTACAGGTGCCTGCCACCACAGCTGGCTCATTTTTTTCTATTGTTAATAGAGATGGGATTTTGCCATGTTGGTCAGGCTAGTCTCAAACTCCTGACCTCAGGTGATCAACCCGCCTCCCAAAGTTCTGGGTTTACAGGTGTGAGCCACTGTGGCCAGCCTGTTTCTTTTCTTATACAAACAAACCTATAATGGTAAGGTTTAATTTATGAATTAGGCACAGTGAAAGATTAACAACAACAGACTAATAATAAAATAGAACAATTACAACAATATACTGTAGTAAAAGTTATGTGAATGTAATGTGCTCTCTCTCTCTTTCATGTGTGTGTCTCACTCTCTCTCTTGAAATATCTTAGTATTTTCAGCCATAGTTGACCAGTGATAACGGAAACCACATGTTGTAGGCTGTTCTTGCATTGCTGCAAAGAAATACCAGAGACTGGGTAATTTATACGAAAAAAAGAGGTGGGCCGGGCACGGTGGCTCACGCCTGTAATCCCAGCACTTTGGGAGGCTGAGGCGGGAGGATCACTTGAGATCAGGAGTCTGAGACCAGCCTGGCCAACATGGTGAAACCCTGTCTCTACAAAAAATACAAAAAATTAGCCGGGGGTCATGGTGGGTGCTTGTAATCCCAGCTACTTGGGAGGCTGAGGCAGGGGAATCGCTTGAACCTGGGAGGTGGAGGTTGCAGTGAGCTGAGATCACACCACTGCACTCCAGCCTGGGCGACAGCAAGACTCCTGTCTCTCTCACACACACACACACACACAAAGGAGGTGTAATTGGCTCATGGTTCTGCAGGCTATGGAGAAAGCACGGCACCGGCATCTGCTCAGCTTCTAGGGCCTCAGGAAGCTTCCAGTTATGGTGGAAGATGAAGTGGGGGTAGGCACATCACACGGGAAAAACAGGAGCAACACGGGGGTGGTGAGGGTGCCACAGCACTAAAACAGCCAGATCTGGCAAGAACTCACTCACTATTTCGAGGACAGAAGTAAGCCATGAGGAATCTGCCCCCATGACCCAAACACCTGCCACCAGGCCCACCTCCAGCATTGGGCATGACAATTTGACATGAGATTTGACAGGGACAAATATCCAAACTCTTTCACCGTGGAAAGCAAAACCACAGATGGGGCGGGAGGGCTACTGTACATTGTGCAGAAATGCAGCTCCTCGGAGCCGGCTGGGGGAAGGAGCAGGTCTCTCAGCTGCTGAACAGTTTTGGGAGATTACCTACCATCACTTCTCTCTGTCCCAGAATCACACAAAATGGTCAGCTGTGCCAAGTGCCTTGCCCAGTTCTCTGCACCTTTCCTTCTGTCTCCTTCCACGTGTGACCACCCCCTTCACCATCCTGTCGTCGCGTCTAAAGCTCCCTCCACACATTGCGTGATAGCCAGTAAGTCTAGACACAAGGTGTGAAGGTAAGGACAGCAACTTTATTTTGAAGAACCAGCAAGTCAAGAAGACAGAAGACTGCTGTCCTAAAAAGCCATCTTTTTTTTTTTTAATTTATTATTATACTTTAAGTTCTGGGACACACGTGCAGAATGTGCAGGTTTGTTACATAGGTATGCATGTGCCACGGTGGTTTGCTGTACCTGTGAACCCATCATCTAGGTTTTAAGCCCCGCAGGCATTAGGTATTTGTCCTAATGCTGTCCCTCCCCTTGCCCCCCACCCTGCAACAGGCCCCGGTGTGTGATGTTCCCCTCCCTGTGTCTATGTGTTCTCATTGTTCAGCTCCCACTTATGAGTGAGAACATGTGGTGGTTGGTTTTCTGTTGCTGTGTTAGTTTGCCGAGAATGATGGTTTCCGGCTTCATCCATGTCCCTGCAAGGGACATGAACTCATTCTTTTTTACGGCTGCATAGTATTCCATGGTGTATATGTGCTACATATTCTTTATCCAGTCTATCACTGATGGGCATTTGGGTTGAAAGAACCATCTTAATAGAATTTTAGGCTGCTTTTATGCCAGGGGGAGAGGGAGGGTGGTAGAGGGCAAGAGGTGAGCAATGACCACAGACATCTGGGCGGCTATTATGGTCCAAGGGGCCTTGTGGAACTTCCTCATCCTTGGTCAGGTCACAGTGCTCTTATAAATCTTTGACATAACATTGTTCCTTCTGCGCACATCCTCCTGATCCCCTCGGGGGTTATTTTTGGGAAGGGACTATGATCATTCTTGCTTTAAAGTTAAACTGTAAACTGAATTCATGATTAGCTTGACCTATTTGTAGGAATGAGCAAATGCAGTTAGCTTGTGAGGTGAGAAGCAAGACAGAGTGAACTATGTTAGAATTTTCTCACTGTTACATTCACACATAGGTTCTTGGCCAAAGAAGCAGACGACCAACACATTCTCTCTTTTTTTTTTTTTTTTTGAGACGGAGCTTCGCTCTTGTCCCCCAGGCTGGAGTGCAATGGTGCGATCTTGGGTCACTGCAACCTCTGCCTCCCGGGTTCAAGCGATTCTCCTGCCTCAGCCTCCTGAGTATCTGGGATTACAGGTGCCCGTCACCACGCCTAGCTAATTTTTTATATTTTTAGTAGAGACAGGGTTTCACTATGTTGGCCAGGCTGGTCTCGAACTCCTGACCTCAAATGTTCCACCCACCTCAGCCTCCCAAAGTGCTGGGATTACAGATATGAGCCACCACGCCCGGCCCAACATGTTCTCTTGTTAGAGGCATTTGAACCAGAGCAACTCAATCTTGAATAGGAGCTGGGTAAAATGAGGCTGAGACCTGCTGGGCTGCATTCCCAGGAGGTTAGGCATTCTTAGTCACAGAATGAGATGGGAGGTCAGCACAAGATACAGGTCATAAAGACCTTGCTGATAAAACAGTTTGCAGTAAAGAAGCCGGCCAGAACCCACCAAAACCCAGATGGCGATGAGAGTGACCTCTGGTCATCCTCGCTGCTCATTATACCCTAATTCTAATACATTCGCTTCTCAAAAATACTCCCAACAGTGTTGTGACGGTTTACAAATGCCATGGCAACATCCAGAAGTTACCCTATATTGGCTAAAAGGGGAGGAACCCTCAGTTATAGAAACTCCCGTTTCCCAGAAAACTCTTGAATTTAGCATATAATATGGCATTCAGATTATATGCTAAATGCCCTTTGTTTAGCATATAATCAAGAAATAACCATAAGTATACTCAGTCAAGCAGCCCACGCTTCTGTTCTGTCTATGGAGTAGCCATTGTTTTACTCCTTTACTTTCTTTTTTTTTTTTTTTTCCCTGAGACAAGGTCTCGCTCTGTTACCCAGGGTGGAGTCCGTTGGCACAATCAGAGTTCACTGTAGCCTCAACCTGTTGGGCTTAAGCAATCCTCCCACCTCAGTCTCCCAAGTAGCTGGGACCATAGGTACATGCCACCACACCCAGCTAACTTTTTTATTTTTGGTAGAGACGGAGTTTTGTCATGTTGGCAAGGCTGGTTTCAAACTCTTGAGCTCAAGCATTCCGCCCATCTCAGCCTCCCAAAATGTTGGCATTACAGGCATGAGCCACCCTGCCCAGCCCTTTTACTTTCTTAATAAACTTGCTTTCACTCTGTGGACTTATCCTGAATTTTTTCTTGCATGAGATCCAAAAACTCTCTTGGGGTTTGAATTGGGACCCCTTTCCAGTAACACTTTGACTCCTCTCCTGTTCAGATGTCATCACTCCCTCCAGCAAACCTGGAGTGTTCAAACTCTTTTCCATCCATCCTTTCCTTTCAAGGCAAAGAGGCAACTTGGCTATTCTCATAGACACACAGATAGGAGATGTAGGAATTCATAGGAGACATTCAACTCAGATGTTAGATCTATTGATAAACAAGATGGCAGCTTGTCTTGCTGCTTAGATATAAAAGATGCTGTTGCTTGCTTGCAAAAAAAAAAATGAAGCACGTTCCTGGAGTTCACCAATATGGCGTGGACTTTACCTCCTCAACACTGTCAGTCAGTGCAAGATGGTCCAACCTCTGGGTGCCAAGACACGTGATCATTTTCCCAATGCCATTCTCTTATCCCTTGAGCCTGCTTTCCCACCTGCTAAGGTTTGGATCTGTGTTCCCACCCAAATGTTATGTCAAATTGTAATCCCCAACGTTGGAGCTGGGGCCCATTGGGAGATGGTTCGGTCATGGGGGTGCTTTTTCATGAATGGTCTAGCATCCTCTTCTTGGTGCTGTTCTCATGCTAGTGAGTGATTTCTCACAAGATCAAGTTGTTTAATAGTGTGTGGCACCTCCCTTCTCACTCTCTCTCCTGCTCCTGTTCTAACCATGTAAGATGCACCTGCTTGCCCTTTGCCTTCTGCCATAATTGTAAGTTTCCTGAGGCTTCCCCAGTCAGGCTTCCTGTCCAGCCTGCAGAACTGTGAGCCGATTAAACCTCTCTTCTTTATCAATTACCCATTCTCAGGTATTTCTTTATAGCAGTACAAGAAGAGCCGAATACACCACCCATTGAGCAGATTGGAAGTGCAAGAAAACTAGCATATGCCCCCATCCTGGAAGCAACCTCAGCCAACACATGTTGGGAAACGACAGAAAAAGACCCCGGCCTTCCTCACTCTTCCGGTGGGATGACCCTGAGTCTCCAAGCTCTCATTGCAGTCACTGGCCTGATAATATCTTCCACTCTCTGTCTTCACTCCCTCTCCCCTCCCACTGCTCCCTGGGACTCACCCCCGCCCACCCTCCCCAAACACAAAAGCTTTGCGGTAAAATCACGGTCTCAAGGTCTGCTTTGGGGAGAAAAGAGTCACCTCCTTGAAATCTAGACTTTCTGTGCTTCCAGAAAACATGTTGAAACGTTACCTGTCAATTAAATTCCGGGAAGCCTGGGTGTGTCACACTTTGAATCATGTGGACAGACACCATGAAGAGCCTGGAGTTTGGTGAACTTTGTTGAAACCCCTCCATCACTCTCGTGGTCGAATCCAATCCAATCCTCATGTCCTCATGAGTTCGTTTTCATTTCCTAAATGACATCCATGGAAAAATAATGGGGAGAGAGGAAACACAATTTTACATTTGTATCTGACAGGCTCTGAAAGGGAGCTAGAGAATGTAGTTAGCATCCATAAATTATGGAAGAGGGTATTTCCCATCTTCTTAACACATGCAACACTTCTAAGGGGCCTGCAAAAACCCCAGCAGCCTTTCAATGTCCCCCACATCTTAGCACACATAAATATTTACATCTGTCCTATCAAGAAACAAATATGCATGCATATCATTATTTTGGAGATATAGCGTGAGCACTTTGTTTGCAAGAAAAAAATATGCATGCATATCATTTTGGAGATATAGTGTGAGCACTTATATTTGTTTGCAAGAAACAAATATGCATGTATATCATTATTTTTGGAGATACAGTGAATGCACTTTTCAGTTACATGCTCAAAATGGTATGCTAAACTGAAAGTGGTTGTCATTACCCTTAATTTCTGCAAGGAATAAACAAGTATGTCCTGGTGGCACATTGCTATGAATAAAGCAGACTATTTCAGGGCTATGGGAGTTCTATGGAAAGCGTGAGCCAAAACATGGTTTTTCCTGTGTCTTGTTTATGATGCTTATTCATAATGGGAGGGAACAGAATATTGGCTTCATTCATGTCCTTGATTTATGATGGAATCCATAGGAATCTGCCACCTTGGGTGAATGAGCAATACCTAAAGGAATGTCCTATAAGATACCGAGATATGCCACCCAAAATATGACTTAGGAGACCAAGATACGCCACCCAAAATATGACTTAGGAGACCAAGATTGCGATTTTTATAAAAAGCTCATCAGCAATCATTAGGGTTAGTGGGCTTTTTTGGTTTTTTTTTTGTTTTTGTTTTTGTTTGTTTGTTTGAGACAGAGTCTCACTCTCTGTCACCCAGGCTGGAGTGCAGTGACATGATTTTGGCTCACTGCACACTACAACCTCCATCTCCCAGGCTAAACCAATTCTCGTGCCCCAGCCTCCCGAGTAGCTGGGAGTACAGGTGTGCACCACCGCACCTGGCTAATTTTTGCATTTTCCTTTTAGTAGAGATGGGGTTTCACCGTGTTGACCAGGCTGGTCTCAAACTCCAGGCCTCCAGGAATCCACCTGCCTTGGCCACCCAATGTGTTGGGATTACGGGAAGGAGCCACTGCACCTGGCCAGTGTATGTTTGTAAGGCTCACCCACACTGTAGCATGTGTCAGCACTTGAAACCTTTTTCTGCCTGAATCACATTCCACTGTATGGATATGCCATATTTTGTTAAATCCGTTCATTGGCTGAGGGACGTTTGGGTCACCTTCACTTTTTGGCTATTTTGAGTAGTGCAGCTATCAACATTACGTGTATAAATGTACAAGCTATTTGGTGGACACGTGTTCTCGTTTTTCTCTTGAGTATGTGCCCAGAAGCAGAATTGCTGGCTCATAGGGTGATGTGGTTTGGCTGTGTCCCCACCCAAATCTCATCTTGAATTCCCATGTGTTGTGGGAGGTAATTGAATCATGGGGACAGGTCTTTCCCATGCTGTACTCATGGTAGTGAATAAGTCTCATGAGATCTGATGATTTTATAAAAGGGAGTTTTCCTGCACAAGCTCTCTCTTTGCCTGCTACCATCCATGTAAGACGTGACTTGCTTCTCCTTGCCTTCTGCCATGATTGTGAGGCCTCCCCAGCCACATGGAACTATAAGTTCATTAAACCTCTCTTTCTTCTGTTAGTTGCCCAATTTTGGGTATGTCTTTATCAGCAGTGTGAAAACAAACTACTACATATGGTATGTCTTCGGTTAACCTTTTGAGGAAACATCAGACTCTTCCATCTCTGTATCTTTCCAATTTCAATCTAAACGGACTCAAATCTGACTCTTAGACTCCACTCCCCTGGGAAATGTGATGTCGGCTATTATTGCGGTTCCCTCTCCTCCCTAGAGTCTCCTAAGAATTTGGGTCATGCTCCATTTTCAGACAATTTGAAAATTGGTCTGTTATGGTCTCTGCTCTGAAAAGCTTCATTCTCATCCCACCTCCTGCCCCGGCTTCCAGCAGCCTCCCTTAAAATTCTGGGGATGCAGACATCTGTGCTGAGGCTGAGAAGCCAGGAGCCTGGAGACCAGCGTCCCTGGGCAGGTGCAGTGGAACCAGCTGGCCATGTGCCAAAATTCCTGTGACCCTTCCCTGGTACTGTGCTGTCTTTGCTGAGAGCTGGCCGCCTGCTCAGGGGTCCCTAAGTCTTACACTGGACAACTGGATGAGTGAGAAATAATTATTTAATTGTTAAGCCACAGAAATTCCAGGGCTCATGTGTTACAGCCAGTCATTTCTCATGAACTAATACAGTAGATGGCTTGGATCAACCCCCTCTGATGGGATGCTGCTTCTCTTCTCGGTTGGTGGAAAAAGAATTTCCATCAGTCTCTCTCTCCTTGTCTCTCTCTCTCTCTCTTTATTCCTTTTCCTTTCTGTCTCCATCTCCCTCTCCCTGACTCTTCTGGCCCCTCCCTACCATTGTCAGATAAAATATCAGGTTGCACACGGTAACGCACGTCTGTAATCCTAGCACTTTGGGAGACTAAGGCAGGAGGATTTCTTGAGTTCAAGAGTTCAAGACCACCCTGGACAACATAGTGATACCTCGTCTCTACAAAACAAACAAACAAACATATTAGCTGAGCATGGTGGCACACGCCTGTGATTTTAGCTGGTCTGGAGGCTGAGGTGGGAGGATTGCTTGCCCCCAGGATGTCAAGGCTGCAGTGAGCTGTGATGGCACCACTTCTTTCTAGCCTGGGTGACAGAACAAGACCCCCATTTCAAAAAAAAAAAGACACAACATCATCAAAAATTGTACTTAAATATAAAAGTTTGAATACTGAAAAGTCTCCCACAGCAAGCAGGCTTTAAAACTCCAAAATCTATCTGTACACAGCACTTTTTTTTTTTTCACTCTTCTCAGATCTAAGAACGATGACAGGTGGCCATGGTGCCTCGTGTCCCCTTGCAGGGGTGCAGGGGTACACACACCTTTTTTTTTTTTTTTTTTAATTTGAGATGGAATCTCGCTCTGTCGCCCAGGCTGGAGTGTAGTGGTGAGATCTCGGCTCACTGCAAACTCCGCCTTCCGGGTTCACGCCATTCTCCTGCTTCAGCCTCCCGAGTAGCTGGGACTACAGGCGCCCGACCATCACGCCAGGCTAATTTTTTGTACTTTTAATAGAGACGGGGGTTTCACCATGTTGGCCAGGCTGGTCTCGAACTCCTGACCTCGTGATCCTCCCGCCTCGGCCTCCCAAAGTGCTGGGATGACAGGCGTGAGCCACCGTACCCAGCCTCGGTGAAAACCTCAGAGGCAGGCAGCATATTCCCTGCCGAGCCGGTAGGTGGCGCAGTCAGATAAGCATTAACTAAATCACAGCTCCCTCTCCCCATCAGAATCTTTATCTAGAGGGTAACCCCAAACCTGAGAATTTGGTCAGGTCCGCACACACACAGGCATCATCATTCTTCAGCGCCATCATGAAGGGCTCTTCTCCCCCTGTTAAAGGAAACTATCACATAGTCTTCCGAAACAGCCAGTCAAAAACTTTGTGATGCAGGAAAGAACAAAAAAAAATTAAAGGACGATTACAGAATAAATATTTACATTTCTGCCTGTAACACGGACTCTGAAGCATTGGAATAATGAGGACTTGCACACCGCAAATGGGCATCAAAATCGGGCTTTATACTTGAAAAATGAAGTTTTGTGTCAAAGAAAAGGGACATTTCAAACACCACATTTATGTTTGACCCACATATACATGTGATTTTAGCTGGTCTGATATTATATTATATTATATATATATATATTTGTTTGTTTGTTTGTTTTGAGACAGAGACTCACTCTGTCGCCCAGGCTGGAGTGTTGTGGAGCAATCTCGGCTCACTGCAGTCTCCGCCTCCTGGGTTCAAGTGATTCTCCCGCCTCAGCCTCCCGAGTAGTTAGGACTACAGGCGCCTGCTTCCGTGCCCTGCTAATTTTTGCATTTTTAGTAGAGACGGGGTTTCACCATGTTGGCCAGGCCGGTCATGAACTCCTTGACTTCAGGTGATCCACCTGCCTCGGCCTCCCAAAGTGCTGGGATTACAGGCGTGAGCCACTGCACCTGGCCAGTACCTTTATACCCTTCTGGAAAGAGAACATGTTCCTTCCCCTGTTGACACTGAATTATGTCAACAGTTCTCCCCCAAGTAATGCATGGGTTTAAATCACACAGGTGATTTCAACTTGCTGCCCCCACTATTTCATTTGACAAAGGACACAGTCCTGCCTACCTGAGAGGCAGTGGCTCTACGTAAAAAGTTTTAACACACAGGAAACACCATTAAAGGGTTAGTGACTAACCCATATTTCCTGTTTTTTTGGTTTGTTTGTTTGTTTTCCCCACACATCCCCACTGGCCTGAATGAGACCTCAAGGTGTCTCATTCTTACTTTATCTTACAATCACTCTGATGGTCAAGAAGCTTGAGCACATGGGAATTCTTAAATCAAGGCACATGATTGTTACAAAGAATAGACGCTGAGGTGGGCGGATCACCTGAGGTCAGGAGTTCAAGACCAGCCTGGCCAGTATGGTGAAACCCCGTCTCTACTAAAAATACAAAAATTAGATGGGTGTGGTGGCACGTGCCTGTAATCCCAGCTACTCAGGAGGCTGAGGCGGGAGAATCGCTTGAACCTGGGAGGCAGAGGTTGCAGTGAGCGGAGATCATGCCACTGCACTCCAGCCTGGGTGACAGAGTAAGACTCCATCTCAAAACAAAAACAACAAAAACAAACCAAAAAAACAAGTTAATTAGAATGCATGGCCAACGTTGTGTTCCCCAGCTCTGTTGGTTTTCACATTTTTTTCCACAAACGAAATAAAAATGAAAGCAAAGCTTAAAGCTAAAAAGCATACCCATTTAGACAATCTGTAAATATATACTTTGTTGAAATAACACTGTGAGAGTTTGTGCACATTTCTTTGGTTGTTTTCGTCATCTGAATCCATGGCTGACTGGCTCCCACTCTGCTATTTTAAAAATAAAATGTCCTTTCTTCTATCGTTTCTGTGGTTTTGTCGCCAACCCATATTTGCTGGAATAAGGTAGTAAAAAACATACACTAAAGTCTGAAGTCCCCATCAGCTCTGCTAACTTATTACTAGTTTTCACACACACTGAGTTTAATGAATCTATGTTTTGGAACAAAGCAGTTACCTTAGGAACTTGAGAGATGTTTCCGGCCAGGCGCGGTGGCTCACGCCTATAATCCCAGCACTTTGGGAGGCCGAGGAGGGTGGATCACAAGGTCAGGAGACCGAGACCATCTTGGCCAACATGGTGAAAGCTCATCTCTACTAAAAATACGAAAATTAGCTGAGCGTGGTGGCACACACTTGTAATCCCAGCTACTTGGGAGGCTGAGGCAGGGGAATTGCTTGAACCCAGGAGGCGGAGGTTGCAGTGAGCCTAGATTGTGCCACTGCGCTCCAGCCTGGCGACAGAGTGAGACTCTGGCTCACGAAAAAAAAAAAAAACCTAGAGAGATGTTTCCTTGTAAAACCACCCCATTCTAAAAAGCAGGTGGGTTACATCTGCTTCCCTGTAAAGAGAACTCTTTCTAGTGTTAGCTGCTCTGTTCATAGATAAAAAATGCTGGACACCTAAAATGTTAGTTTAAATTTATTAATAGCATCTACATAAAATCTTAGCTATTTCACACAACACTACCCACTATCATATTTGAAATAATCTGAGCAAATAGTAAAAAGACATATCCCAAAGACAACAACACTGGCAGACTAAAGAAAAGCAGAAACCATGAACTAAGAAGGTAAAATGCTTTTGAACCTCTAAGCGACTCCTGCTATTACGGAAACATCCGTTTTCGTCCATTGGGTTTTATCGGTTTTTATCATTGGCTTTGTGTTTTGCCTAAATTAGCAAATATAGCAAGTCTGTTTATGCCTCAGTTAACCTGTAGACTTAACCTCACTAAAAATAATAACACATTAGGAAAAACTATCAGAAAAAACAATAACCACACCTCCGCCCCAACACAAAGGCACACATAAAGAGGGACTGGACACAAATCCATACCACAGACTTGATTTGGTTTACAAACTTGATTTTGTAACCCAAATCCTTTTTGTTTTTGAGACACAGCCTCACTCTGTCGCCCTGGCTGGAGTACCCTGGTGTAATCTCAGCTCACTGCAACCTCCGCCTTCCGGGTTCAAGCAATTCTCCTGCCTCAGCCTCCCAAGTGGCTGGGACTACAGGCACATTCCACCACGGCTGGCTAATTTTGTATTTTTAGTAGAGACGAGGTTTCACCATGTTGGTCAGGCTGGTCTTGAACTCCTGACCACAGGTGATCCACCCACCTTGGCCTCCCAAAGTGCTGGGATTACAGGCATGAGCCACCAAGCCCGGCTGCAACCCAGATCTTGATTTTTGACCTTGATTTGACCCACAGATTTGGGAATGAGAAGTGATTACAGAGTTGGAGCCTTGGAGGGAGAGAGGGTTTCTCATGTGAGCAGGGCATGGAGAAACAGTAGTCAAAATCCTGATTTTGACCAAGATTTTTTCCAAATCTTGATTTTTGACCTTGATTTGTAAACCAAATCAGTTTTGTTTTGTTTCCTGCTTTTTTGTTTTTTGTTGTTTGAGACGGAGTCTCGCTCTGTCACTCAGGCTGGAGTGCAGTGACGTAATCTCGGCTCACTGCAACCTCTACCTCCTGGGTTCAAGCGATTCTCCTGCTTCAGCCTTCCAAGTAGCTGGGACAACAGGTGCCCGCCACCATGCCCAGCTAATTTTTGTATTTTAGGAGAGACAGAGTTTCACCATGTTGGCCAGGCTGGTCTCGAACTGCTGACCTCAAGCAATCCACCTGCCTCAGCCCCCCAAAGTGCTAGGATTATAGGCATGAGTCACCATGCCCGGCCAAATCAGTTTCATATAGCAAATTGCGAAAGCTGGTCACTGGATCACCTGAGTTTGAATTATTTTGAATACTGATGACCCAACGTGCAGATCCAGGAGACAGAGCCAGGACCCAAGATTTTCAATCCTCCAAAGGAGCCCAGGATTGTCAAGAATTTGGGCAAGTTTCCTCTGGTTAAAAAACAAAACGCATGTTTCAGCATTCAAAGTGAAGCAGAGGAAAAGCACTTATTATTCAATTACTTTAGGCAATTGAGTCAAGCCAGAGATAGACACGATCCAAAAACTCTTGGGAAAGATGTTCCATCTTCTACATGGAATGCTGGACCTATCCCAAAGTTCTCCAGGGATACCCTGAAGAGTTGTAGCACATTCAAGAAAGTACACACGTTTCTTCAGTAAACAGACCCAGAGATAGCTGTCCACCTGGAGCAGATTCTGGTCAGCCCATGAGCAGCTCTTACTCACACAGATACTGAGCCAATCAGAAGTGATAAAATCCTTCCAATACTTCTAATCACCCAGGAATGAATTAGTCAATGGGGAACTTTTCCTGTCCTCATCTGCCTGCCCCAGGGCTCATGGTTCATCTTGTCCATGAGTTTCTACATGCAACTATGAGCTAAAATAAAAACAAACCGGCCCAGGCATGGTGGCTTACACCTGTGAGCACTTTGGGATGCCGAGGCAGGCAGATGACTTGAGGTCAAGAGTTCGAGACCAGCCTGGCCAGCATGGAGAAACTTCATCTCTACTGAAAATACAAAAATTAGTCGGGTGTGGTGGCGCATGCCTGTAGTCCCCGCTACTTGGGAGGCTGAGGCAGGAGAATTGCTTGAACCCAGGAGGTGGAGGTTGCAGTGAGTTGAGATCGTACCACTGCACTCCAGCCTGGGCGACAGAGTGAGACTCTGTCTCAAAAACAAAAACAAAAACAAAAACAAGCAAACAAAAAACCCATATACACAGATGAAAAAGGAGAAGTCCTAATCACTGATAGTAAATCAATAGATTACCGTCCACGTTAGAAGCTCTGTATCTCAGGACCAAACAACCACAAGCCACATATGGAGAGAGCGTTTAGTAGTTCACACATTGTGATTTAGGAAGCAACCACTTCTCTGATTCTAAAATAATTCACTCTAGGGAGAGTGGCTGCCCTGAAACATTGCCTTCCCACCATATTTAGTTCAAGAAGTCACTCAGGGATGAGGAAAATGAAGGATATGTACATGACTGAAGGATTAAGTGGCAGAAACAGCATTTTATTTTTATTTTTATTTTTGAGACAGACTCTCGCTCTGTTGCCCAGGCTGGAGTGCAGTGGCGCAATCTTGGCTCACTGCAACCTCCACCTCTTGGATTCACCATGTTGGTCAGGCTGGTCTCGAACTCCTGACCTCAAACAATTCACCTGCCTCGGCCTCCCAAAGTGCTGGGATTACCGGCATGAGCCACTGCACTCAGCCACTAGCTTCTAATAATGATAATTCTACTCTCTACTTCTATGAGCTTAACTTTTTTGTACCTCCCACTTACGAGTGAAAACATGGGGTATTTATCTTTCCATGCCTGACTTTCTTCACTGAAGATATTGTCTTCCAAGTTCATCTGCGTTGTCGCAAATGGCAGATTTCATTTTTTATGGCTGAATAGTATTCCATGATGGATAGATACCACATTTTCTTTGTCTAGTCATGTGTTAATGAACATCTTAGCTATTATGAAGAGTGTTGCAATAAACTTGGGGGTGCAGATATCTCTTGCATAGACAGACTTTCTTTTAAAAATGTATACAGTAGTAAGATTACGGAATCATATGGCAGTTCTAGTTTGAGTTTTTTGAGAAAGTGCCATACAGTTTTCCATCCTGGCTGTATTCATTTACATTCCCACCAACAGTACATGAGTTTCCGTTTGTCCCAATCCTCACCAGCGTTTTTCACTTTTTGTCTCTTTGATAATAGTGATTCTAACTAGGGTGAGTTGGCCATGAATCTGCCTTTTCTGGGGGAGATTTGTATTCAGATCCTTTGATTTTTTTTTTTGAGACAGAGTCTCACTCTATCGCCCAGGCCTGGCACCATCTCGGCTCACTGCAACCTCCGCCTCCCGGGCTCAAGTGATTCTCCTGCCTCAGCCTCTCAAGTAGCTGTGATTACAGGCACCCACCACCACACCCAGCTAAGGGTTTTGCCATGTTGGCCAGGCTGGTCTGGAACTCCTGACCTCAGGTGAGCCACCTGCCTCAGCCTCCCAAAGTGCTGGGATTGCAGGTGTGAGCCACCGCACCCTGCCCTTTTGGTAATTTTTAAATTGGATTACTGTTGTTTACTCTTGAGTTGTTTGAGATCCTTGTAATTTTCCAGATTCATCCCCTTTCA
This sequence comes from Homo sapiens, assembly GCF_000001405.40. Taxonomy (NCBI): domain Eukaryota; kingdom Metazoa; phylum Chordata; class Mammalia; order Primates; family Hominidae; genus Homo; species Homo sapiens. The sequence continues at coordinate 2,587,510 of NC_000023.11, read as the reverse complement.
GATGAGTCATTATTATCCCCAAATATTTGTAAATATTTTCTCCTATTCTACAGCTTGTCTGTCCACTCGGTTGATTGTTTCCTTTGCTGAGCAGAAGCTTTTCTGGTTTAATATAGACCCATTTATCTATTTTTGGCTGTGGTACCTGTGCTTTCAATTTGTTGCCCACAAAATCGTGGCCTAGACCAAGGTCCTGAAGCATTTCCTCTTCTTTTAGCTTTAGTCATCTCATCGTTTGGGGTCTTATATTTCAGTCTTTAATTCATGCGGAGTTTGTTTTTGTATATGGTGAGGGATGGGGGCTAGTTGTGTTCTTCTGAGTACAGTATCCATTTTTTCTAGCACCATTTATTCAATAGAGGGTTCTTTCCTCTGTGTACTTCCCTGCTGCTTTTGTCAAAAGTCACTTGGGTGTAAATCCATGTTTTTTTTTTTTCCTGGGATGTCTATTCTGTTCTGTGTCTTCCTACATTAAAAATCACATTATAGGCCGGGCACAGAGGCTCATGCCTGTAATCCCAGCACTTTGGGAAGCCAAGGTGAGTGGATCACCTGAGGCCAGGAGTTCGAGACCAGCCTGATCAACATGGTGAAAACCCATCTCTATTAAAAAATACAAAAAATTAGCCAGACATGGTGGCGGGCGCCTGTAATCCCAGCTACTCAGGAGGGTGAGGCAGGAGAATCACTTGAACCCGGGAGGCAGAGGTTTCAGTGAGCTGAGATCGCACCACTGCACCCCAGACTGGGTGACAGAGCGAGACTCTGTCTCAAAAAAAAAAAAAAATCAAATTCTATTTGTGAGAAAGGAATCGTGGTGTATTGGCTCTGACACCTGCCTTATACCTTTCCATCTGGATGTTCTTTTTGCTCTTGGCTTCACTGTGGGTGTCTGATAAATTGTACAGACAAAAGTAAGTTTACAAACTGTCTGAAACTTTGGTGTTTCTTCCCCTGAGGAATTCCCCTGAGGAATACCAACTCTTCATGTGCAGAGAAGTGGAAGTATAGAAATTCAATTATCCATCTTCTCTCAGCCGATGAACAGCTAGAGGCTGGAAACGCAGGTTCAATTGAAAGTTAGAAGCTGCTGCCCTGGAAATGTACACACTATCGCTGAGCGAGGACCTTTTCATGCACTGTGTGGGCACGTGCACACACACCCACCCACACACACGGGTACGCGCGCGCGCACACACACACAATTGATTTCCTCTCTAAAGTGGCAAGAAGAAGCTGCCTGGCTGCAAGCCTTGCTGGCATGGGTCATGCCATCTACAAAACTGTTCCCTTGCTCCCCACTTCTGCTCGAAAACCTTTCACAGACTGCAGATTCAAGGGAAAGCCACGCCAGCCACCCGGCTATCTGCTGGGAGACCCTGAGGTGGGCTCTTCTCTTTGCCGTCAGCAGGAAGAGGGTCTCCTCCCTCCCACCTGTGTCATCCTGGGGGAAGAGCTGTCTCTGGAATGGAAACACCGGGTAGAAGGGTGCAGAGGAGAGATTGCATCGCCACTTTAGTGCTTGATGAATTCCTTTTTCCCCGACCCACACAGCCCTCTGATATCATGGTCCATTTTCCTGGCATCCTTCCTCAGCTGCAAATCCATCCTAGACCATAGCAGGGGAGGCTATTTTTACCTGGGTCAGGTCCTATCTTCTCCTTTGTTCCTGTTTCTGAAGGTCAGGAATGCCTTACCCTCGGGAGCCAGGCTCTCAGACAAAGGCTCTCCAACCCTGAAGCTCTTTCTGTCTCCCAGAACCATGGGGCATCGGTGCTGGGGTCACTGCATGCAGGTATAAAATTTTCCCTCAGTAGTGTGTCACTGCAGGCAGGCGAAGACTTCTACCAGGCATCGTGGAACAGCTCCTGCTCACCGGTGTTAGGGGCCACAGGGAGCGGAGACAAAAATCAGGGCATGAAAGGCCTGAATTGTGTATTTGCTGGGAAACTGGGTGGTCCCTGTTCTTACCATGTCATGGATTCCTGGTGCAAGCCCTATGCCCCTGTCCAACAGCCCCAGCTCCCTCCCTCCCTTAAAGAGAGTATTCAGGATGCCCAGCTAGGGAGGAACTACCTCCTTTCCCAAGAATTTGGGCTCCTTCGGCCTTCTGTGCTGTGCCCTGACCTGTTCGTGTCTCCACCAGACATCAGCCCTAAACACAGCTCACACTTCAGGAAAAATGTGTGTGCACCCACGTGCCACCATGCCTGTCTCTCCATTCCCCAGGGCTAAGCCCCAGAGAGTAAGGGACAAACGTGGGGTGGAGGGCTTTCTGTGATGCGAGGGCAGAAACCTGGATCCTTACACTAAGGCGTCTGTGTGCATCGCCCCTTTATCACGGGACTGAGTCTCACACCAAGACGTCTGCCTCACCCCTTCATCACAGAACCCAGTCTCCCCCTTCCCCTTATAGAAGCTGTGACTCTGGGCAAGGGTGTGTACTTTTTTCCTGCCTGGGCCCATCCTGCTTGGTATCAGCAATGAGTTAGTTGCAACTTGAAACCCCCTTCCCTGTACAAGAGACACAGAGAGAGAGAGAGAAAGAGAGAAGGGGCAGCTTCTCTCCATGAGCACCTTCATTCTTTGATGAGAATATCGCAGCTCACCCATACCGGGGTGCAGGGTGAGAGTGAGGAAAAGAGGAAAGGAAGGGGACTCCCAAAGAAGGGGTGAGATGCAAGACCTGGACGAGAGAGATATCCACCGCTGCGCTGGAGAGAGGGGGCCGGGAAAAGCAGAGAGGTGGGAGAGGTGATGGAAAGGCGCGCAGTCGGGGACGCCTGCTCTCCCCCGACCCTCCCCATCTGCAAAGGGAGGCCCCCCGCCCAGTGCCGCAGCCCCTCCCCGCGCGCTCGCCCCCGCGCCTCCCTCCCGCGCCCCCGCGCCCCCCGCCGCCAGTGGACGGCTGCGCGCTGCTGCCCGCGGGGCTGGCGTTTCCACCTGTCACCGCGCCGCCTCCGCCCCAAGTTTTCGGGGGACTTGCCCGGCGCGCCGCCTTCCTCCAGCTCTCCCCCATGGCCGCCGCCCCCTCCTCCCGGCCGCCCCCAGGGCCCCCCGTGCCCCCAGCCCAGCCCAGCGGCCGCCGGGCCCGGTGAGCGCCAGCAGCTGGGGGGACCCGGGCGGTGGGAGCCCCGCGCGCAGCCGCCTGCACCCGAGCGCGCCGGCCTCCGAGCAGCCACCACTGCCACCACCGCCGCCGCCGAGCAGCCACCCAGGCAGCGTCTGTCCCGGGCACGGAGCATTGCGGATGCGGCGCGGGGCCGGCGCGGGGCTCCGGGCGCGCTCGGGGGTCGTGAGCGCCGCGCCCCGCGCCCCCGCGCGCCCCCCGCCCTCCCGCGCGCCCCGCTGGGGCCATGCAGTCTCTCATCTCGCCGGTGACCAAGGCGATCCTGGTGGCCCTCTTCATCTTCGCCATCCTCCTCATCCTCTACGTGATCCTCTGGTACATCTGCCGCGATGTGGACTGTGACCACGGCATCTGAGCGCCGCGGACCCCCGGGGTCGCCAGGCGGGGGGCGCCCCCAGCGCCAGGGCCATGGGGACTGAGCCGTCCCGCGGTGCCCCCCAGCTCGGCGCCCGCGCCCCCTACTCCGGGCCCCACCGCCCGCCCTGCACCTCCACCGCCTCCTGGCCTTGACCTTCAGGGACGCACCGGGGAGAGCGGGTGAGTGCGCTCGTGCGGGCGCTTTGGGGGGCCACGGTTGGGGAGCCCCAACTTCGGGGAGGACGCGGAATCCGGACGCGGGACTGAACCCGAGGATTCACGGAGCCCGGGGCTCCCCTATGGGGCACGGGAAGCGGCAGATGCGCGTGCAGAGAGGTGGGCGCAGGCCCCCCCTGTACCCCCTCCAGGTCCGTCCCACCCACCCCCTGGGCGCCTTGGGTCCAAGGCGCATAGGCGCTCCCGCCTGTGGCCGCCACCGGTGCAGCAGAACGCGGGCTCTCGGGTGGGTCCAATGCGCTATGGCACACCAGGCGCTATCGGGTCCCTAGCCCTCTGCTCCGGCGGTGGGGACCCCGCACTCAAGTTCCCTATAACCTCCATGGACAAACACGGTGAGCGCGAGGCTAGGAACAGAGTGAGCGTTATCCACGGCCAAGGGACACCTCTAGGGAGCAATGGGAAACAAAATTTCAACCAGGTCGGAAGGCGGTTTGCCTTTCTCACACTGCCAAGCCCCCCCTGGGAAGCCGAAGCCTTGGGGGTGGGGGGAGTAGGTGTCCTCCAAAGTCCTCTGGCCCCTGCTCCAGAGGGGAGAGGGACAGATGTGACAAGGATGAGGCTTTGCCCTACACCAAGTGTGCCGGGCAAGTTTGGGAAGGTGAAGCAATCTGTGACTTAAATAAATATCTTCTTAGCCAGAAAAATGCCTGCCTTTGAATATTTCTCTGGGAAAAAAAAAAAACTGTGAGGAAGAACACCCAGTTTAAATAGACTGCCAATTTATGCGTGGGCATGGCTTCCTTTGGTAATCAGGGCAGACAGAAGCTGTTTGGGGGCTCACTTCGGATCAGACGGAGCTCGGCTTGGTGTTATTTATGTTCATTCCTCTCTGATTAACAGTTTCCAGCCACTTGAGGGTTAAGGAAACTAAAAATCCTAGGACTTTTTTTTTTCTGGTCCCAGGATAATCTATAGATTGCTTGTCCGGGGAATCTTTGGAAATCCCGTGGGACTGCAAATGTCTGATTTGGGATGGTTAGGGTGTGAGTGTCAGTGTGACTGTGACTGTGTGTGTGTTTTCCGTAGTTAATACTGTAGTTGACACAGTGAGTGGTACTGCAGCACCTAACTCATGTCCACAGATGCCAGTGTCTGCAAAGGGTTGGGGAGGGAGCGGGGGGGCGTTAGGGGGAACAGACACCACTTTCAGGATAACAGATATGATTTGAGAAAATGAAAACATTTGCAAAGTCCCTCCACATTCTCCATTAAAATACATTCTCCTGGGACTCTGTGGCTGGGTGCGTGTATTACATCTCCCAAGATGCCAAGTTTGTCTCTGGAATTTGTTGCTTCTCCTCAGCCTGGCCCCCCAACTCCCAGCTCACATACCCAAATGTAGGACTTTTACATCTCAGTCCAAAAAGACTCTCTGACACCAGAACGGACCAATATTTTTGAAGTACTGCGTGTGCTCCAGGTATTAAATTAACTGAAAAGAAACGGGGTAGAAGCTTGATTATGAAAATCCAAAATAGGACGCTTTGCAAATTATTCCCGGCACAGAGGAAAAGCTACTGGAGCTTCACGCAAGCACATCCCACCCAGGGGGCCCAAAGTTACGCCAAGCACAAACCCACCGGGCTAGTCGAATAGGAAAAGGAAGATTTAATCCAAGAAGCCTGTTTCTCAGGTGAGGGTTTGGGAAGAAACAGGGTCGTGGAGTCAGTCACTCGCGGGGCTTGCCTGGGAACGATATGAAAATACAGTTGCAGCTGAAACTAGATGTGAGCCACTAACGAAGCTCACCCTAAACATGATAGCTGAAGTCCTGTTCACATCTGATGATTCCTTAGAGCTTGTACATTCTCAGCCTCTCTCGGATTATTTTTCTTATATAAAATTTCCATATTCCAATCGAGCACTGTTTATTCAATTTCCCAGAGAATGCCTTCTCATAAATTAGAAACTAGCCGTCTACATATTGATTCTATGAACGATTGCATTAAAATGCCTACTTAATAGTCACTACCATGTCTGCTGAAAGGCTCATCACCAAATGAGAACAAAACGCAGGGATTCAGAATTCAAATGGTAGGGCGCTCACGAAGTCACAAAGTGAACAGCTAATTAACGCTCTTGGAAAAGAACGCTCATCTCCATCACAGATAGTCTCCTTCCCCCAGATAGACAAGGCTAGAACCAGAAAGAAACCTTTAGACAAAAGGAAATCACAGTAACTCATGTCTGTGTAGCCTCCTGTGTGATCTACAAAAGACCTTCCCGTGAGGTGTTCCTCCAGATCTGCGCCACTGTCCTGGGAAGATGCCAGGTTGGTGCTAACATCCCTGTTTCAGGTCCACAAACCAAGGCAGGTAGAAGTGCTTCTTGCCCAAGGTCACGCAGTGAGTCAGTGCAGAGTTGTCACTGGAAGTGACACAGACTCCCACTTGGAGCTTTTGGCTAGAGATTGGGGGGCATTTCTTTCTACAAGTGTGACTCTTCTCTGTGGTCCTGTTTTATGTCCATCAGTGCACACTGACATCCATCAGTTCTCCAAGGGAGTGCTTAGATCATGGTGACCATTTGGGTATTTCTTTTCTTTCTTTTTTCCTTTTCTTTTCTTTTCTTTTTTTTTTTTTTTTTTTCTGAGATGGAGTCTTGCTCCGTCGCCCAGGCTGGAGGGCAGTGGCGCAGTCTCGGCTCACTACAACCTCTGCCTCCCAGGTTCAAGCGATTCTCCTGCCTCAGCCTCCTGAGTAGCTGGGATTACCGGCACGTGCCACCATGCCTGGCTAATTTTTGTATTTTTAGTAGAGATGGGGTTTCACCCATGTTGGCCAGGCTGGTCTCAAACTCCTAACCTCGTGATCCTCCAACCTCAGCCTCCCAAAGTGCTGGGATGACAGGTGTGGGCCACTGCTCCTGGCCCGTTTGGGTATTTCACACCTAAAGAAGATATGAGTATTAAAACAGCAGCATGATCCCTCAGGATGCTTTCCTGGAACCTAGAAAGATAAGCCCTGACTGGAAAAAAGGACAATCTCAGTGAAGCTGGGAAGAGCATGATGAGACAGAAACCTCTGCGCTATTATCTTAATTTTCTATGGACAACCCACACATGCAAGGGTGGTTATGATTACTGTCAAAAGACCTACAGTTTCCTATAAATAACAATTACACCTAATAGTTGCTGAGTGTTTTACTAAACACCAGATCTGGAGTGAAAATAATATTATATACATTGTATTTTACCCTCCTGACAGCAACATGAATATAATTAGTATCCCAATTACACAGAATGGAAAAATAAGGCTGGAAAAAAACAGGTTATGTAACTTCCCCAAGAATAAAAGAAAAAAACTCAATCATCAGTAACCAAGCTTTTACCAACGGACCTGTGGCACACATGTGTGTTTATGGGGTGTGTGTGTGTGTGTGTGTGTGTGTGTGTGTAAAATCTCACATCCATTGCAGTGATATTACACAAAAGTTTTAAATTATATTTCTACTTGCAACTCTCCTTTAGGGTTTAAAATTAATCATTCTCTTTAAAGTTTTTAAAAAATTGATTACAGAATAACTGCTAATTATCTGTTTCTAGACACTGCTCACACAGGTTTCCATTTTTAAAACTTTTTATGTATTTTTTTTTTAAAGACAGAGTCTGGCTCTGTCATCCAGGCTAGAGTGCAATGGTGCAATCTTGACTCTCTGCAACCTCCACCTTCTGGGCTCAAGCAATTCTCATGCCTCAGCCTCCCGAGTAGCTTGGACTACAGGCCTGAGCCACCATGCCCAGCTAATTTTTGGACTTTTTAGTAGAGACGGCATTTCATCATGTTGGCCAGGCTGGTTTCGAACTCCTGACCTCAAGTGATCCACCCACCTCGGGCTCCCAAAGTGCTGGGATTACAGGTGTGAGGCACCGCGTCCAGTCAATATATTTTATGTGTTCCAAACTGTAAAGATTTTTATGAGTCTTAAAAAAAAAAAAAATGAACCTTAAAGCGAAGCTGCTGAAAAAGTGGCCCTAAATGCATTTTTCTTGGGATCCCATATAGTGCAAAGACCCTCCTAAAATCTCCTTTACATGGTTTTGGCAGCTTCCAAACTTAAGGGGAAGGTCCCCCAAGGGGTAGAGAGGGCCTCCTGGAAACCTCAGCTTCTGTGCAAGAAGAGTTGAGGGAAGAGGGTAAATTCGATCTGTAATGAAGCTTGAGATGTAGCAAGACAAAACATCTAGACACCATAATGAGGGACATTTGGTGGCAGTGATGAGAGGGGGACGTGGTCAACTAGATGAGAGAGAATTTTCTCAAGCTGATCATTAAGGACAGGGTGAGCACAGCGGCTCACGACTGTAATCCCAGCACTTTGGGAGGCCAAGGTGGAAGGATCGATTGAGCCCAGCAGTTTGATACCAGCCTGGGCAACATAGTGAGACTCTATAAGAAAAAAAAAAAGCAGGGAGAGGGAGCGGACACAGTGGCTCACACCTATAATCCCAGCACTTTGGGAGGCCGAGGCGAGCAGATCACCTGAGGTTAGGAGTTCCAGACCAGCCTGGCCAACATGGTGAAACCCCGTGTCTACTGAAATACAAAAATCAGCCAGGCATGGTGGCACACATCTGTAATCCCAGCTACTCAGGAAGCTGAGGCAGAAAAATCGCTTGAACCCTGGAGGTGGGGGTTGCAGTGAGCCGAGATCGCGCCACTGCACCCAGCCTGGGCGACGGAGTGAGACGCCATCTCAAAAAAGAAAAAAAAGAACAGGCTGCCTCAGAAGTGGTCAGAGGTGTTTGTTTGCCTTGTTGTGTGTACTTCCCCAAGGGAAGTGTAGCGGGGAGGAGAGACGAATACGCAAGTGTTTCGGTCATAGGACTTCACACTGGATAAGAATATTGACATACCTTCCAAATTTATATCACTGAAAAAAAAAAAGATTCTTTAGCAGAAGTCAACATTTTGGAATTCAAGATAAGTGACCTGTGGGAAAAAGAATTGAGTTGAAAATCTCACTGTTGTTTTCAAAGCTGTTCTCAGTTAATGTTGTTTTCAAAGCCTGAGGTTGTGGCTTACGTTATTGAGACGCTTCTTAACCATTCTTCTCCTCCTTCACCCTAAAATTAAGATCCTTTTATATCTCCTCTTCTCAGGCTGTGTTCCACAGATGTTCATATTGGAACTTGCCTGCATTGCAGATGTCTGTAAAAAAAAAGCCGGGGGAGCGGAGAGGCAGGCTGAAAGGTAGTAGAGAATTCCAAGGTGCCGACAGAGAAGGAAAGACCAGCCTGGGTCTTACATATTAGCTCTGTGATACTCCAAGCTCCACAGTGTTAAGCTAAATCCCACTTAGAAAGTGAAGTGGGAAATAGATGTGGATTTGGAGCTAGGAGGGGCAGTGCCGCGGCCTGACTCAGAGAGCTGGGTCCTTTCAGGATGTAAGAGACACGAAACGGAGGACTCCTAAGAGGAAGAGGAGGCTGCGTTCACTTTCACGCACTTCCCAAGGCAGCATGTCAGGCCGGGAAGCTGTACAGTGGGAAGAAGAATCTGTAACAGCGCCTCAAAGCAGGAAAACAACACCGTACCATAAGCCAAACCCCTGCTGTGCTTTCTGAGTAATGCCATTTCTAAAAAGATCATGTTTCCATGAGTTATTTTTTCCCCTCCGCCGATTTGGTCTAGCAACATGTAAAGTGTAAATTCAAGGGAAACATGAGTGAAATAGAAAGGGTGACTTTGGAGGTACCTACAGTAGATGCAGTGCTGTGATGGGGCGTGCTGACCTAGAGGGGGATATTCCCCCATCAGAGAAAGGTCCCAGGGCCCTGCTGCTGTCTCACAAACCTGAGCACTTCCTTTCCGAAACTATCCCCAGAGGCAGGATCTTTCAAGAAATGTCGTCCTTGGTCCTTGTCTTGCATCCTTAGCTGGGGAGCCTTCCAGGCAGAGGCTAGGATTTTTGGAAATACCTAAGCCTCCTTCAGCGCCAAGTCTGGGGGATAACTTTAGAAGCCAATTTAATCAATATGGCTTTTAGCTCAAAATAGCGCCAGTGTAAGGTAAGGTCTAGACAGGCGCTTGGAGGCAATTCTGAAACAGTTCCAAAAATAGTTTGAAACAAACTGGGCCCTTTGAATGAGTAGCCGGCCTTCTGGAGGAAAGGGATCAAACTCACTCGTGTGCAAAACCTCAGGTGCAATTTGTGTTGTAAACTCTCCTCGGTCACCTCCTAACTAGGATTTTTCGGGTGTGGGAACAAGATGTATGCATTTATTGAACACCTACTGTGGGTTTATGACAATTTTACGCTTTTATTACGAAACCTTGGGATAGGCTGTTATGTTTTCCTCTGGGGAAGGTGAAGACTGTCTGTAATTATGCGCTCAAAAAGCTGTCCATGCCCGGGCGCGGTGTCTCACGCCTGCAATCCCAGCACTTCGGGAGGCCCAGGCTGGAGGATCACTTGAGGTCAGGAGTTCAAGACCAGCCTGGCCAACATGGCGAAACCCCGTCTCTACCAAGAATACAAAAATTAGCCAGGTGTGGTAGTGCACACCTGTAATCCAAGCTACTTGGGAGGCTGAGGCGGGAGAATCGCTTGAACCCTGGAGGCAGAGGTTGCAATGAGCCAAGACTGTGCCACTGCACTCCAGCCTGGGCGACAGAGTGGACCCTGTCTCAAAATAAATAAATAGTAAATAAATAACTGTCCACTAGGGATCTCAAGGCCAGGTTGCCAGTGGTCAGTGGTGGCTATTTTTCATGTCATTGTACTATCTCTTACCATCTGACCAGACTCATCCTTCCATTCCATCCGCCTACCCCCTGTCTCTGAGTCATCAGATGACTAAGCATACCTATGGGTTGGTACTGTTGGCGTGAATGCGGTGATTCAGGTCGTAAGTGGGCCCACCACACAGAAGGCTCCCGAAAAGATCCTCGGGGAAAATGGACAGACATCATTAGTGAAAGAGAAAAGCAAAGTATCCCCAAAGCCTACCCATTAATAGTGGTCTGAACACAGGGCATTGCCGCATTACTCTTCCTGGCTCCCTAATTCCCATGTGTGTGAAGTGTGACTGTAATTACGATGAAAGCTAAATGAATTAAATATGATTTTCTTTTTTTTTTTTTTTTTTTGGAGACGGAGTCTCGCTCTGTTGCCCAGGCTGGATGTGGCGTGATCTCGGCTCACTGTAACCTCTACCTCCCGGGTTCAAGCGATGCTCCTGCCTCAGCCTCCTGAGTAGCTGGAACTATAGGCACCCACCACCACACCCAGCTACTTTTTTTATTTTTAGTAGAGATGGGGTTTCACTATTTTGGCCAGGCTGGTCTCGAAATCCTGACCTCAGGTGATCCACCTGCCTTGGCCTCCCAAAGTGCTGGGATTACAGGCATGAGCCACTGCTCCCAGCCAATTTTCTTTAGTATCTCATCTTTTAGCATGACACCAATGGACAAGTCTAATGGGAATTACAATAACATGGAAATTGGATCTTTCCTACCGTCAGCAAAAATGTCAAGACCACAAAAGACAAAACAAACAAACAAAAAACTATCTAAGCGAATAAAATAGTAGAGGCAAACAGAAATATGAGAACAAAGGCATCTAAAAAAGATGCTTAAGAAAAAAACTTTGGGGAGGCCGAGGCAGGCGGGATCACTTGAGTTTCAGGAGTTCGAGGCCAGCCTGGCCAACATGGTGAAACCCTGTCTCTACTTAAAAAAAAAAAAAAAAAAAAAAAAAAAAACAAAAATTAGCTGGATGTGGTGGCAGGAAACTGTAATCCCAGCTACTCAGGAGACTGAGGCAGGAGAATCACTTGAACCCAGGAGGTGGAGGTTGCAGTGAGCTGAATCTGGTTCAAGCGGTTCTCCTGCCTCACCCTCTTGAGTAGCTGGGACTACAGGTGATTCTCTCACCTCAGCCTCCTGAGGAGCTGGGACTACAGGCATGTAGCACCATACCAGACTGATTTTTGTATTTTTTTGTAGACATGCGGTTTTGTCAGCGTTGCCCAGGCTGTTCTCAAACTCCTGGGCTCAACTGATCCTCCTGCTTCAGCCTCCCAAAGTGCTGAGATTACACGTGTGAGCCACCCTAACCACTGCAAACATCATTTCTTTTTCTTTTTTAATTTTTAACTTTTTTTTGGTTTTTGTTTTTGAGACAGGGTCTCACTCTGTTGCCCAGGCTGGAGTGCAATGGCACAATCTCGGCTCACTGCAACCTCTGCCTCCCGGGTTCAAGTGATTCTCCTGCCTCAGCCTCCCGAGTAGCCAGGATTACAGGCATGTGCCACTGCACCTGGCTTAATTTTGTATTTTTAATAGAGACAGGGTTTTGCCATGTTGGCCAGGCTGGTCTCAAACTCCTGACCTTAGGTGATCATCTCGCCTAGGCCTTCCAAAGTGCTGGGATTACAGGCCTGAGCCATCCTGCCCAGTGCAAACATCATTTCAATATCCCCTTGCATCCTGCAAGGGTTCTCCATCTGGGGACAGATGGTGGGGCAGTAAACCTTCAGAAGTGCGGAGAGACAACGGGTGCTTTCCTCAGGGGCAGGGGAGATGAATTCAACCAAGAACACGACTCTTGAGGAGGAAGGCAACTGCAATGTTGGAAGCACCAACCACAAGTGGCTGTTGAGTATGGTTTCATTCAAGGCTTGAATATTTATTTTTATTGAGCTATATTGATTTAAACGTAAACAGCCACATGTGGCTGGTGGCTATTCTATTGGATAGCACAACTAGAATTGTAATACATGTGCTGTTTGATTCATTCATTGTATTAGTTTGCTAAGGCTGCCATAACAAAGGACCGCAAACTTGGAAGCTTAAACAAGGGACATTGATTCTCCTGGAGGCCTGGAGGCTGGAAGTCTGAGATCAGGGTATGGGCAAGGTTGGTTCCTCCTGAGGCCTCTCTCCTGGGCTTGTAGACGCCATCTTCTCCCTGTGTACACACAGGGTCGTCCCTCTGTGTGTCTGTGTCCTCATCTCCTCTTCTTATGAAGTGTCTTAGTCCATCTCAGGCTGCTATCACAGAATACCATAGACTGGGTGGCTTATAAGCAACAGGCATTGATTCTCCCACAGTCCTGGAGGCTGGAAGTCCGAGATCCAGGTGTGGGCAGGGCTGGTTCCTCCTGAGGCCTCTCTCCTGGGCTTGTAGACACCGTCTTCTCCCTGTGTCCTCACAGGGTCAACCCTCTGTGTGTGTCTGTGTCCTCGTCTCCTCTTCTTATAAGGGCACCAGTCCTGTTGGATCAGGCCCTACCCTAATGACATAATTTTCGCATAATGACCTCTTTGAAGGCCTTATCTTCAAACACCGTCACAAATGAGGGCTAAGGTTTCAACATGGGCATTTCGAAGAGACACAATTTAGCCTGAAACACTCATTTAACAAACCTTTCCTGGCTCTTATGTACCAGCAGTTATAATACTGGACAAACCTGGTTCCTGCTCTGAGTGTAAATTCCCAGCTGGGGAGATGGCAAGGTTATTTGATAATTGTGGTACATTTTGATCCAGGGTATAACAGAAGTCCGGGCCACATGCCGTAAAACAGCTGGCAGACAGATCTCAGAGTCTCTGTGCTACAGGAACATGGAGGAAGAACCCAGGTGGGCTTGGGAGGAGATGTTTAAGGCATCGTGATGCTTGGTGTAGCCCTGAAGGTCAAGATACAGTTATCCAGATAACGCTAAGGTGAAGATTCATTTCAGGTAGAGGAAGCCACAGCACGTGAGATCATGCATGCACACATACATATGTGCGCGTGCGTGCGCGCGCGCGCGCGCGCGCGCACACACACACACACACACACACACACACATACTTCCATGCCCAAAGGCAGCAAATTCTGCAGCCCAATTTGTATTCCAGAGCCTGCTGTTGACCAGGTTGAGATATGTCCTGAGATCAAATCATGCCTCAGTGCCTTTTTTTTTTTTTTTTTTTGGAGACAGATTCTCACTCTGTCACCAGGCTGGAGTGCAGTGGTGCGATCTCAGCTCACTGCCACCTCCGCCTCCCGGGTTCAACGATTCTCCTGCCTTAGCCTCCCGAGTAGCTGGGACTACAGGTGCACACTGCCACGCACGGCTAATTTTTGTATTTTTAGTAGAGATGAGGTTTCACCGTGTTGGCCAGGATGGTCTTGATCTTTTGACCTCCTGATCCAACTGCCTCAGCCTCCCAAAGTGTTGGGATTACAGGCGTGAGCCACCACCACCCCTGGCCGGCTTAGTGCCTTTTTAAACGGGCTTCCCTCCCTCCCTCTGCAAATGCTCTATGTCTTTGAATCCCAACCTCAGTCTCTGTGTCTGGGGAACCCACCTTATGACAACACCTTATCCACACATAAGCTTTGGCAGGTAAGTAACATGATCATCACTCGACAGACATGCTGCCTTAGGCCCAAGTCACCTGGCCAAGGTCCAGCACTCATTGAGCACCATGATTCTCCATGTTGGACCTCTGCCTCAAGGATTCATGAAGAAACAGAGAAAGTAAGGGGCTGATAAATGTTCTTGTGTACTAAAATTGCACATCTGGAAACTGACTCTGAAAGCGGTGCCATACCTAGAACATAATTAGTGCAGGTCAAAAGCAAACCCATCATCCTGCGTGTTGTTCCCTCTGGCGCTTCTTCCTGCTCCCTGGAGCCATGTTGGCATTAAACAAGACAGCATGAGTGGGTATGTTTACACCTCTTGCAGTATTTTGGGGTTTTCCTGGGGCCTCCCAGAATCTCTGTGTGTGAGAGCAAGCCAGGGATGCTTTTGTGAAGGTGGCAACCCCAACTCTAAGGCCAGCCGAAAGAGTACTCTCTGTGCCTCTCAAATTACCCCAGCTTCCTGGCCGTCTGACTCAGCCCTGTTGGGCGTCAGTCTCATGGAAAGACACAGTAATGGGTGGAGACCTACCCATTCTTTTTGTTTGTTTGTTCTTTGTTTTGAGATGGAATCTAGCTCTGTCGCCAGGCTGGAGTGCAGTGGTGCGATCTCAGCTCACTGCAACCTCCGCCTCCCGGGTTCAAGCAATTCTCCTGCCTCAGCCTGCTGAGTAGCTGGGACTACAGGCGCATGCCACCACGCCCAGCTAATTTTTGTATTTTTAGTAGAGACGGCGTTTCACCATGTTGGCCAGGATGGTCTCGAACTCTTGACCTCAAGTGATCCATCCGCCTCGGCCTCCCAAAGTGCTGGGATTACAGACGTGAGCCACCGTGGCCAGCCCCCACCCATTCTTAAAGATAAGATTTATAGAGTTACAGGTGGGGAAGAGACAGACAGGAATTAGATTCCTTGCAAAAGCTGAATTGGATGCGGCTGGTTCCTGGGGCTAGCAAGTGTGATCATCATTATAATTTGTGGAGATCAACCCATTATCTTACCAATAGCAGCGATTCAGGAGGTGGTAGATAGCGTTCCCAGATGAATATTTGAGATACTCAAGTGAAGGAAAGCCCTTTTCAGTAGACTTTGAATTCTTTGAGAAGGTATCAAGGAATTCCCTATACCCCCAAGCTTCGTCCCAAGTGCTCAGAATAAATATCTAGTCACTTCCAAGTTGCTCCAACTGATTTGCCTGGAGCAAGGACAGGTCCCTGGGTCACTGAATCTTCCTTGACCCAGATGTTTGGGTCATCCTAATTGGGAAGAGTCTTTATGCCACTGTGAAAGGTGGAGGGACTGGGGTTCAAAGAGGTGAGAGGTGGAATAGCAGCCTGCCCAGCCCGGTGTCCCTGGAGATCATGGGGCTTTTGGGGGCCTCAGGGGAACACAGCTATGTGGCTACAGCCCCACCTAGTACTCCACTGAGGTACCCGGAGCCCTGTTTCTGTATTTTCCCTGGATGCCCCAGGTTTTCAGGGTCTGGAAGAACTCTACCCGTCAGAAATAAAATATAGGC
This sequence comes from Homo sapiens, assembly GCF_000001405.40. Taxonomy (NCBI): domain Eukaryota; kingdom Metazoa; phylum Chordata; class Mammalia; order Primates; family Hominidae; genus Homo; species Homo sapiens. The sequence continues at coordinate 2,571,904 of NC_000023.11, read as the reverse complement.
TGGGCACGGTGTCTCACGCCTGTAACCCCAGCACTTTGGGAGGCCAAGGTGGGTGGATCACTTGAGGTCAGGAGTTCGAGATCAGCCTGGCCAACATGGTGAAACCCCCTACTCTACTTAAAATACAAAAATCAGCCAGGCGTGGTGGTGGGCGCCTGTAATCCCAGCTACTCAAGAGGCTGAGGCAGGAGAATTGCTTGAACCCAGGAGTCAGAGGTTGCAGTGAGCCAAGATGGCACCATTGCACTCCAGCCTGGGTGACAGAGTGAGACTCGGTCTGAAAAAAAAAAAAAAGAAATACAATATGATCCACAAAAGCAATTGAAAACTCTTTGTTAAACACATTAACAAAGGAGTAAAATGAAAATGGTGAAATCAATTTTAATAATATGTGTAATCACTATATTGAAACAGTCTCCTTTTAACGGGTATATATATTTATATTTACATAAATATATGAATTTATATTTCATGTATGTTTTTAAATTTATTAAATTTGTACAAATTTTATTAAAAATATATGCAAATACGGTATTTAATAATAAATATGGTATTTAATGACACTATTTAAATAGTGTCATTTTAACATGTATGTATATTTCTATATTTACATAAATATATAAATTTACAGTTTATGTATATTTTAAAATTAAATATATACAAATTTTATTAAAATATATTTTCATATATTTATTTAATCACTATATCAAATAGTCTCATTTCAACATGTATATATTTATATTTACATAAACAAATTTATAGCTTATGTATATTTTTCAGTTTATTAAATTTGTACAAATTTTATTACAATATATTTATATATAAGATATTTATTTTATCACTATATAAAATAGTCTCATTTCAAAATGTATATTTATATAAATATATAAATTTATATTTTATTTATTTTTTAAATGTAAAATATGTACACATTTTATTAAGATATATTTCTGACCAGGCATGGTGACTTATGCCTGTAATCCCAGCACTTTGGGAGGCCAAGGTGGGTAGATCACCTGAGGTCAGGAGTTCGAGGCCAGCCTGACCAACATGGAGAAACCCCATCTCTACTAAAAATACAATTAGCTGAGCGTGGTGGCGCATGCTTGTAATCCCAGCTACTTGGGAGGCTGAGGCAAGAGAATCGCTTGAACCCAGGAGGCAGAGGTTGCAGTGAGCTGAGATCACGCCACTGCACTCCAGCCTGGGCAACAAGAGTGAAACTCAGTGTCCAAAAAAAAAAAAAGATATATTTCTATATAAACATATATGTATAAATGTCATAAATGAATATATATATTTTATAAGTATATAAAATAATTGTATACATATACACAATTTATTTCAAATTTATATTTTAAAAATATATGTGTGAATGTATTTAGAATTGTATATATAGGTATAATTATTTAGAATTATATATAGTTATTTAGAATATATTTATAATTTTATATATATAGTTATTTAGAATAGATTTAGAATTGTATATATAGTTATTTAGAATAGATTTAGAGTTGTATATATCATTATTTAGAATTATTTAGAATAGATTTAGAGTTGTATATGTAGTTATTTAGAATTATTTAGGATAGTATATGTAGTTATTTAGAATAGATTTAGAATAGTATATATAGCTATTTAGAATATATTAGAATTGTATATATAGTTATGAGTGAGATAGCGCGCATTCTTTTTTCACACCAAGTCTTCAAATCCAGTGTCTATTGTACATTTACAGCACATCTCAATTCAAATGAACTGACATCCTTTGGGTGTTTGTCCCTTCCAAATCTCCTGTTGAAATAGCATCCCCCGTGTTGGAGATGAGGCCTGGTGGGAGGTGTTTCCGTCACAGGAACAGATTCCTCATGAATGACTTGGTGCCATCCTCATGGTAATGTGCGAGTTCTCACAGTATTAGTTCATGCAAGAGCTGATTGTTAAAAAGAGCCTGGCTCCTCCTCCTCTCTCTCTTGCTCCCTCTTTCACCATGTGACGCTCTGGTTCCCCTTGCCTTCCTCCATGAGTAAAAGCTTTCTGAGGCCTCACCAGAAGCTGAGCAGATGCCAACACCATGCTTGCTTCTTATAGAGTTTGCAGAACGGTAAGCCTAATACACCCCTTTTCTTTAATAAGTCACCCAGCCTGGGATATTCCTTTATAGCAATACAAAATGGACGAAGACACCACATCCAAATGCCATTTGTGGCTGGTGCCCCCAATCTGGATAGCACAAGTCTCATTTTGTCTTCCAGCTAACCCTATGCTTTTCTTATGGAATTTCTCTCCCCTGGCCCTGAAGAAAGCATCTCTTCCCTCCCTGGCTCTTCTCTCATCTTCACTCTCAACCATCTGGTAGTTTTCCACATGCGATATTTAGCCAGAACTATCCCTGATGGAGGGGCCTCCCCACACACAGCCCAAGCAAATTCACACAGGACTAAAGTCTGTTTCTTTATTGGGTCATTGTCTTTCTGGGTAGACTGAGAGTCGGTGGGGATTCAGAATTTCTGTCAAGCTCCAGACAGGTCTTCTCAGGCTCCAGCACCCCAGATGCTTGTGTCTTGACTTCCATTTGGTTCTACCATATGCAGAATAAAGGCAATCTATAAATGGAAAAATGCAGCCAGGCGCAGTGGCTTAGGCCTGTAATCCCAGCACTTTGGGAGGCCGAGACAGGCAGATCATGAGGTCAGGAGATCGAGACCAGCCTGGCTAACACGGTGAAACCCCGTCTCTACTAAAAATACAAATAATTAGCCAGGCGTGGTGGCGGGCACCTGTAGTCCCAGCTACTCGGGAGGCTGAGGCAGGAGAATCGCTTGAACCTGGGAGGCAGAGCTTGCAGTGAGCTGAGGTCGAGCTACTGCACTCCAGCCTGGGCGACAGAGCGAGACTCCATCTCAAAAAAAAAGGAAAAATGCTAGTTATGCAGGTACTTGTTAGGGTCTCCTGCCCACCCCCCAACCCCGCACCCTTTGTAATCTAAACTCTTCTGTTTACTGGACTTCACTACTTTCCTCCTGATGTCCTCTTTCTGTCCCAGGATCTCCTCCAGAACCCACATTACATTGAGTCATGCCTCCTCTTGGCTGTGACAGTTTCTGAGACTTGCCTTGTTTTTCATGACCTCGAAGCAAGGTCTTGTACATGACTCTTGTATGGGTTTATTTATTAAAAAGATATTTATTTGGCTCACAGTTCTGCAGACTGTTCAAGAGTCAAATACAAGACCTTACTTCAAGGTCATCCAAAGCAAGGCCTGCAGACCATACAAGGGCCCCTTGCCACAAATGGCACTTGGATGTGGCTTGTGTATTAGTCCATTTTGTATTGCTATAGAGGAGTAACTGAGCTGAGTGATTTATAAAGAAAAGAGGTTTATTTGGCTCACGGTGCTGCAGACTATACGAGAAACACTGTCTTGAGGACAACGGGTCAGGTATTTTGTCAAGCTGTCCCTCTGTTGGGATTTGTCTGCAACTTTTCTCATGGTGAGACTAGGGTGGTTGGCTTTGGAGAGGATGACGGCAGCGATGAAGAGTCATTCTTATTACATCATATCAAGGTACATACTGTCAGCCTGACCTACCATTGTTGACTTTGGCCTTGATCACGTCTGAGGTGGTGTTTGTCAGATTTCTCCACTGAAAAGTTATTGATCTCCTGACCATGCTCTTTGAAAGGAAGTCTCTACATGCAACCCACACTTAAAGGAGTGGGGAGTTATGTTTCATCTTCTTGAGAATAAAATATCTACATCAATTACTTGGATGGGACTCTTCTGCACAGGGGATTTGTATCTCCTCCTTCATTTATGTTTTTATTCAATAATTGATTGCTTTGGGTTGCCATCTAATATTATTTTATTTTATTGCCCAAATTGTTTCAGCTTTGAGCACCAGGAGCTCTTTCATGTTGGCTTTTGCTTATCTTTCACGCACCCCCATTTTTTTGTGTATTTGAGCATTTTCTTATTTTCTTGTACTACAAGATGGTCCAGGCCTATCTGTATCACCCAAGCTCCGTTCTTAGAATTAACCATTATTCCAGAGAGCCCTGGTTCTTTTTTTTGAACATGATACTAGGAACCAAAGTGCTGGGTGAAATGACTTCTCAGTAGCATTAAAGAGATGTACTGGCTGGATGCCGTGGCTCATGCCTGTCAGCACAGCACTTCGGGAGGCTGAGGTGGAAGGATTACTTGAGTGCAAGAGTTCAAGACCAGCCTGGGAAACTTAATGAGACAAAAAAAAAAAAAATTAAAAATTATCTGCTTGGTGGCACACACTTGTAGCGTTAACCACTCAGGAGACTGAGATAAAAGAATTGCTTAAGCCCAGGCGTTTAAGATGACAGTCAGCTATGGTTGCGCCAGTGTGCTCCAGCCTAAGCAACAGAGCCAGGCCCCATCTCTAAAAAAGATTAAAAAGTGCAAGGGTTTGAGATTACAGTCAGCTGTGATTGCACCTCTGCACTCCAGCTTGGGTAACAGAGCCAGACCCCGTCTCTAAAGAGAGCAGGAGGCGGCGGTGGGGGGTAACCCTTCATCAGATTACCATTGATTTTTTTTTTCTTACTCTTTTTTTTCCTTCTCTTTGCATCTGCTTAGGGCCCCTAAAGTGATGGAGTGGCTGTGGAGTCTTCAGTTTGCCTGCATGCCAGGTGCAAGCCAAGGAGTTGTAAGAGCATCCCCCTCATAAGCTACCAGTAGGCCAGGACTCCAGTGTGGAGGGATGGATCTCTGAAGGTCACAGCTTGGCCCTTCTCTGAAGAACGTCCACCAGCATGTCAGCCCAGCTGCACTGCAGGAGTGAAGGGTGAGATGACTGTCAATAAGGATAAAGGCCATCTTCCCCACCCGTCACTCATCCTGCCAAGCCATCACTGGGTAACCAGGACTCATGGGCAGTGTCACCTCTGGGGCCATGCTGGCATCTGTAACCTCCATCCATCCTTGTGGTCCCATCCAGCCATCTCTGCCCCCTTGCCTGGCCCATTCTGTTGTGAAGTTTTCGTCCACCTTGCTCTTGTGCAGAGTCGGAATTCACAGGGGTTCCAATGCCCAAGGGAAGCCCATTGGAACTGTTTACTCTTATTACTGGCTAGAGACGTCCACAGGACAAATCAGCTTCAGATTATACCATCGTTAGAGTAGGTGCAACTGGGGGGCTTGCCCTACTTAACTCTCCAATGCAATCCATGCTGCCAGCTTCATACAGACTCCATCCAGTGCAAATGGCTTCCTTCTGTGTGCAGAGCAAATGCTCCAGGGAAGAGATACAGAGGATTCCCCATCATCATTGTTGCCAAGTGACCCCAAATATTCCTATCCTGTCTGTTGTAAAAAGGAAAAATCATGTCTTGGAAGAACAGCATCGCCCTACAGATACAGACTAGGCACTTTGCACATGAAACAAGAGTCCCAGAAATTTCTAGAAGCAAATCTCGCATTCGTGACCGCCAGACCTACGGGATGTGTAAGGCACATTCTCAATCTCATCACTTGTGAGAGTTGCATTGCCTAGTCCAGCAGCCGTGAAGGACTCTCTGCTGTTTTTCCTCTGCTTCATTTGACACATGAGAGAGAAGAGATGAAGATGGAGGCGGGCCCTGCCCCGGGGACATGTATATCTCTCTGAATGTCCTTGACAGACAGCAGCAGCCCAGCAATGCCCAGCCCCCATCCTGTCTGTATGCACCCTGGTGAGCATTTTCTACAGTCTCCTAAACGCTCCCATTATTCTGTTTTGCAGGTGTGATGTGTGGCACCTCAGTGTTGTCATAGCTTCTGCCTCCTCCGTGTGGAGAGAGGGCATAAAGACAGAGCTGAGATATTATGGCTATTCCAGAAAATAAAATATTTTTTGAAACCACATGGCTCAGGTGCACCTCTTTGTGTCATTGTGAAAACAGAACCCTAGCCTGTATACCGTTAGCTTGGTAGCACTTGGATAACAGACAGAGTATTCACTGGCCCTGCAGAGGAGCATGGGTGGAAACGAATTTATCGGCTGATGTTGGCACAGTTTGCTGTTGGTGCATTACTATTATTATTACTATTATTATTATTGTTAGACGGAGTCTCACTCTGTCGTCCAGGCTGGAGTACAGTGGCACGATCTCCGCTCACCACAACCTCCGCCTCCCGGGTTCAAGCAATTCTCCTGCCTCAGCCTCCCAAGTAGCTGGGATTACAGGTGCCCACCACCACGCCTGGCTAATTTTTTGTATTTTTAGTAGAGATAGGGTTTCACCATGTTGGTCAGGCTGGTCTCGAACTCCTGACCTCAGCTGATCTGCCTGCCTCGGCCTCCCAAAGTGCTGGGATGACAGGAGTGAGCCACCGCGCCCGGCCTCTCGGTGCATTCTATAGAATGAGATGCCTCTCACGTGGTCTCCTTAGCTGTGGGAAGGGATGCTTTCTATTAAAACAACAACAACAAAAAGCGGCTGGCAAAGCTCGCATGATGATTTTAACAATTGAGCTATTCTATAGTCATTTTCCTAAAGGAGGTCTGGGTTCTCTGTGTCTCGGAAAAACTCAGGAAGGCTCCTCACCCTCTGCACAGGGGAACACAGCACTCCACCCTCGCTGGTCTCAGCTTTCACTGGGCAGGCGCTCGACGTGCCAGTCAGACCACTAGGCAGAAAAAACTGCTGTAAGATTCACACAAGTACCTCACCGACCCCAGAACAGGGTCAAAAGCTAAGAAACAAAGTTTGAAAAGGCATATTTCATAAGTACAATTTTAATTGTATTTATGATTTAAAAAGAACATGTTTTTCTTTTTCTTTTTTTTTTTGAGTCAGAGTCTCGCTCTGTCGCCCAGGCTGGAGTGCAGTGGCGCGATCTCGGCTCACTGCAACCTCCACCTCCTTGGGTTCAGGTGATTCTCTTGCCTCAGCCTCCTGAGTAGCTGGGATTACAGGCTTACGCCACCATACCTGTCTAATTTTGTATTTTTTTTTTTTTTAGTAGAGACGGGGTTTCAGCATGTTGGCCAGGTTGGTCTCGAACTCCTGACCTCAGGTAATCTGCCCACCTCGGCCTCCCGAAGTGCTGGGATGACAGGCGTGAGCCACCGCATCCCATCAACTCATGTCTTAATACACGTATTTTATTATTAGCCCCAAGAAGGAAAATGTGGCAGACACATGGCTAAGGGTTAGTTTTCATATCTACATGGCTAACAAGATGGCTGGGTGTTTGAGGGAGCTGTGAGGAGGGTACATTCCTCTGGGAAGGGACCTTTATAATCTTGGGGTGACAGATGGCATAAGATAATTTTTGTTCATCTAAGAGAATGTGGGAAGATCATCAAGAAATGGCTGAGACTCGGTGCAGTGGCTCATGCCTATAATACCAACACTTTGGGAGGCCATGGAGGGAGGATTCTTCGAGCCCAGGAATTCAAGACCAGCCTGGGCAACATAGTGAAACCCCATCTCTACCAAAAATTTAAAAAATTGCCCAGCGCAGTGGCTCATGCCTGTCATCCCAGCAGTTTGGGAGGCCTAGGCGGGTGGATTGCCTGAGGTCAGGAGTTCAAGACCAGCCTGGCCAACATGGAGAAACCCCATCTCTACTAAAAATATAAAAATTTGCCAGGTGTGGTGGCAGACGTCTGTAATCCCAGCTACTCAGGAGGCTGAGGCAGGAGAATCGCTTGAACTGGGGAGGCGGAGGTTGCAGTGAGCTGAGATCACGCCACTGCACTCCAACCTGGGCAACAGAGCGAGACTGCATCTCAAAAAAAAAAAAAAAAATTAAAAAAATTAGCCAGGCATGGTGGTGTGCACCTGTAGTCCCAGTAACGCAGGAGGCCAAGGTGGGAGGATTACTTTAGCCTGGGAGGTCAAGGCTGCAGTGAACTATGATTGCAACACACACTGCACTGCAGCCTGGGTGACAAAATTTTAAAAAAAGGAAATAAAAGTGGCGGGCTTGGTGGTAGTATGGGGGCCCAAGCATTGGTGGGGAGAGCACTAGAGGAAGGCAGAGCTTCCCGACGGGTTGACGGAGCATTGTCATAAGACACAGGCAGACTCATGGGTGCGTACCCTACATTCAACATTGTGTACAGACTTGATCTCTCTACTGCTTGTCCTTAGGTATAAAAGAAGGGGAGAAGCCCCTCTTAATGGAAGGAGTCAGGGTCCCCCCAGTACGAAGGTCTGGACAAAGAACATAGTCTGGATCTAGAATCAGGTTGCTTTGGCTTAAAGCCCAGTTTGGGCATACAATTGTAACACAACCTGAGCCAATTCCTTAACCTTTGCCTACCTAAGGTGCCCCAGTTTGAAAAACAATGATAACGATAATATAATGCCTACCACAACACAGTATTTCTACATGCATATCACACAGAAATATGTTAATACGGACCGGGCGCGGTGGCTCACACTTGTAATCCCAGAACTTTCGGAGGCTGAGGCGGGCAGATCACTTGAGATCAGGGGTTTGAGACCAGCGTGGCCAACATGGTGAAACCTCATCTCTACTAAAAATACGACAACAACAAAAAATGTAGCCAGGCATGGTGGCACACGCCTGTAATCCCAGCTACTTGGGAGGCTGAGGCAGGAGAATCTCTTGAACCCGGGAGGCAGAGGTTTCAGTGAGCCGAGGTCGTGCCATTGCACTCCAGCCTGGGCAACAGATTGAGACTCTGTCTTAAAAATAATAATAATAATAAAGAAATATATTAATACATGCAGAATTTGTTTAAAATTTTCTAGCACAGTATAAGCCCAGGATACTCACAGCCATTACTGTTACCATTATTCTGAATATTTTAAATTCACCAAAGAACAAAATGAGAAAAAGTAGATGTGTGTGAACTTAAGTGTGAATCGTGTTGAATTAAGTGGGCAGGATTCTGTAATTAAGCCACAGCTGCAACTTCATCCTTGAATACTAGCTAACAAGATAAGAATTGACACTCCTCTTTAAAAAGTTTATTTTCTTTTTTGAAAAGGGCCTTGAACTTTCTCTAAAACTCTGAATGGCAAAGGTATTTCCTTTTCATTAAAAAGATTCTGTTGAAGATTGAAGTTGTGTTTTTGGCAGCAGCTGTGAAAAGATGGTGTGATGGTTAATACTGAGTGTCAACTTGATTAGATTGAACGATGCAAAGTATTGATCCTGAGTGTGTCTGTGAGGGTGTTGCCAAGGGAGATTAACATTTGAGTCCGTGGGCTGGGAAAGGCAAACCCCGCACCCCGCTTCATCAGCGTGTGCACCATCTCATCAGCAACCAATTTGGCTAGAATATAAGCAGGCAGAAAAATGTGCAGAGAGACTGGCCTAGCCTCCCAGACTGCATCTTTCTCCCGTGCTGGATGCTTCCTGCCCTTGAACATTGGACTCCAGGTTCTTCAGTTATCAGACTGGCTTCCTTGCTGCTCAGCCTGCAGACAGCTTATTGTGTGACCTTGTAATCGTGTGAGTTAATATATAATAAACTCCCCTTTATGTATGTATATATATATATATATAGAGAGAGAGAGAGAGAGAATATATACATATATTCTGTACAGACGGGAAGACAGGTGTATTTGAGATTGACCTGAAAACTCCGAATATGAATGAAAACCGGGCACATTTAAAAAGAAAAGTCATGCATGGGTTATCAGGGGTTTGCTGAAACCCCTATCGTGTCTATGAGCAGCTCTGATGAGACACACTGATTTGGGTATCTCAGATGTACTAAGTATACTGGCTACAGTGGACTCAGCACCCTTCCTATAATTTGCAGATATGATCATAGCAAAAAGAAATTGTTAATGTAATTATTGTTAATAGCTGTTTCATGCCCTATTGGGAGTTTGGAGAAAATGTTTAAAATTAAGTATTTTTGGATAATACTTTTATTTATTTATTTATTTATTTATTTATTATTTTGAGACAAGGTCAGACTCTGTCACCCACGCTGGAATGACATCATAGCTCACTTCATTGTTGACCTCCTGGGCTCAAGCAATCCTCCCACGTCAGCCTCCTGAGTAGCTGGGACTACAGGCACATACCTCCGTGACTGGCTAATTTTTTAAAGATATTTTGAGAGATGGGGTCTTGCTATGTTGCCCAAGCTGGTTTCAAACTTCGGGGCTCAAGTGATCCTCCCACCTCAGCCTCCCAAAGTGCTGGGATTGCAGGTGTAAGCCACCGCACCCAGCTGAGAAAACTTAGAGTGTTGTGAAAAAATAGAAGGGCACCATGGGAACGTGCGCCCTGCTTACTCTGGAAATGAGGAAGTAGAGAGCTCCATTTCCTACCGTCAATTCTAAGAGAGTAAAACAAGGCATCGATCTGGCATAAGCGCTTTCACAGAGCACAGTGTCTGTGGCAACATCATGTTGTAACATGATGTTAAATACAAATGTGTCATTGCAGGCCAGTCATGGTGGCTCACACCTGTCATCCTAGCACTTTGGGAGGCTGAGGCAGGCAGATCACCTGAGGTCAGGGGTTTGAGACCATCCTGGCCAACATGGTGAAACCCCGTCTCTACTAAAAATACAAAAATTAGCAGGGCATGGTGGCAGGTGCCTGTAATCCCAGCTACTCGGGAGGCTGAGGCAAGAGAATCGCTTGAACCCAGGAGGCAGAGGCTGCAGTGAGCCGAGATGGTGCCACTGCACTGCAGCCTGGGTGACAGAGTGAGACTTGTCTCAAAAAAAAAAAAAAAGTATATATATATATATACACATACACACACAAACAAACACACACACACATATAGTGATTGCCACAGTGTAAGAGTCAGTGTTCCCAGGATAAATATAATTTCATTTAATCATCAGCAAGCCTGTGAACCTGCTTGGTAATAACCCCTACCCCTATTCTCACTTGCATTTGGATTTGTTTCATTCATTGGCTGAATGGAGACAGCTTATTTTTCTTCCTGCGTGTTATACAGGGTTATTCATCTTCCACATTGTGGTTGACACCCCTGTGTTTTTATGACATGTCTTATTCCAGATAACTTTGGACTCCTGTTTCTTTTATTGGAAGAGATGTAAATTCAAAAGTAAGGTCACTTACTTTTAAGCGATACACAAATGGACAGGGTTTGCGGTCGGGAAATGACTGACCTCATTTTTTTGAGCCACGGAAGAGGACTGTCCTGAAGCACATTTGAAGAGGCACATTTAATGATCACTCTCTGAATTGTAGTAGCATCCCTTTAGCTCTCCCTACGCCACTGAGACCCAGATTTTCTCACGTCATTCTCGCAGCCATCCTGTCCTCTGCTTTAAAGATGTGACGGGGAGCAGAGAAGTTGAGTTACATGAACAAGGTAACACAGCTGGTCCCTGAGGCTGCTGAGAACAGCACACCTGCTTAGAACTACTGTATGAGACCACCCATTTTGCACCCCCTGGGACCACCAATCGACATGAAAGGTGGAGAGGAGTTGGCATTAAGCCATGAAGTTGAGAATCTTCCATCTGTCCATCCAACCATCTATGCGATTATTTATCTATCCATACATATATTCATCTATTTTTCCATCTGTAATCCATCCAACCAAGTATCTATCCAACTATCTATGCATCCATTCACCCATGCAGTCTGTCCATCTATCATCCCTTTATCTCTCCATATAACCATCTATCCAACTATCTATCCGCCCATTCGTCCAATCAACTATCCAACTATTTATCTGCCCATCATCCATCTACCCATTTATCAGCCCATCCATCATCCATATATCCATCCATTCATCTCTCCCTATAACCATCTATTCAACTATCTATCCATCCATTCATTCAATCAACTAACCAATTATGTATCTACCCATTCATCCATCCACCCATCCATCTGTCCATCCATCATCCATATATACATCCATCCATCTCTCTATATAACATCTATCTGACTATCTATCCATCCATTCATCCAATCAACTATCCAACTACCTAGCTACCCACTTATCCATTTACCCATCTATCTGTCCATCCATTAATCCACCTAATAATTCATCCATCTATGCACCCAACTTTCTATCCAGTTATCCATTCATCCACTTACCCCGCCCATCCATCCATCTATTTGTCTATCTACCTATTACTTTCTGAGACCAAATGTTGGGACCCATATATATGCAGGCCTACTCCAATATCTGGCACAGTCTAGGTCATTAATATTCATTAAATGAATGCAAGCACCCATGAATGAATGAATTGACTTTGTCTGGATCATCCTAGAGAATCTTTGCAGGGATATTCCATTCTTGCCATGGAATAAATTCAAGGAAAGAGAACAATTGGTTGGAGGAAGCCTGAGTTCCCCATTTCATTGGGAGAATTGCATTCCCCTGGAGACAGAGCCAAACTCATGATGCAAAAAGATCATAAAACACATTCTGTGAAATCTACATGAACCTCTTTACAGTTTCCTCTGCTTAACTATTCGTTCCAGCCAGAGGGGAAAAAAACAATTAGATTCCAAAGAGTTTTCATGACTTTATATATTAAACGTTGGCCATGTGTAATTGCAAAATGGATGCAAAAGCTATGGTTCATAAATAACACTAAAAAGAGGCACTGTATTCTCCTGATGGTTCAGGAAATTGGAAACGACAGGTTGCAATACTGAGTATTACTCACTGTTTAATCTCAGTCTAGTTTCCAACAATTGCAACACACTCTACACCAGAAATTTGGAAAATAAAGGAATAATGTTTATACTGTAGTGTTGACAAATGTTTGGATGGGTCTGGAGTACTTTATATGCTAACTATTGCTCATTACATGGTCCCTGGAAGATCTCATGTAATTTTTTAAAGAAATAAAATAGATCTTAATATTAATATCTTTGATTTTAGAATGTCCACCTTAATGCATTTTTTGCCAGTGCCAGTAAGTTTAAATAGCCAATTACCCTGGGTGAAATTAATCATTTCATACCACTGAGACAGAAGGATGTTGAAAAGATGGTAAAGGGTGACATTTTAGCATCTAGATGCTAGATAATTTCAGCATCACTTATTATCATCAGCAAGCACTGACCTTCAGACTTTTCTTTTTAAACCTGAGCCCCCAAGCCCTCTGGGCAAATGCACTTTTCTCAACAAAGAATGGAGCTACCCTCTCTTATCCTCCAGAGAAGTGCATGGGGAGCTCCCACACACCAACTTTGTCTCTACGAACAACGAGTTCTAAAGGCATCAACTTAGCAAGACTCCCTTTTTTGTTTCTTTCTTGGTTTTGGAAATGGTCCCTCTGTGTAGCCCAGGCTGGAGTGTAGTGGCACAATCGCAGCTCACTGCGGACTCAACCTGCTGGGCTCCAGCGATGCTTTCATCTCAGCCACCAAGCCTGGGGGCTCAGCAAAGTTTTCTTTTCTTTTCTTCTTTTTTTCTTTTCTTTTCTTTCTTTCTTTTCTTTCTTCCTTTCTTTTTTTTTCTCTCTCTCTCTCCTTCCTTTCCTTCCTTCCTTCTTTCTCTCTCTCTTTCTTTCTCTCTTTCTCTCTTCCTTTCTTTCTTTTTTTGAGACAGGGTTTTGCCATGTTGTCCAGGCTGGTCTTTAACTCCTGGGCTCAAGCAATCCTCCTGTCTCAGCCTCCCATAGTGTTGGGATTACAGGCATGAGCCACCGTGCCCAGCCAAGACTCCTTTGTCCCTGGGCGACAAGAGCCATTTCTGCTTCAGGGACCAACCTCACATCAGCAGTAGAGGAAGATGCTACCACAGAACATGAATCCAGCCAGGTAGCCATCATTTTAGTTGTTTCTACTAGTACTGATGCATTTGAGTTGATCCATCTGGGGCATTTACTTTGTTTTTCTTGTGATAAATTGCCTGGACCCATGCAATTCCTGCTAAGGGTCAAGAAAGTGGCCATCCCAAGTTCCATGCCTACCTACTGAGTTTAAGCCAACCCAGGGACCCCTAGGTTGCACTCTGCTACCATTTCTAGCCCAGGTCGTTTTCTGTAGTGAGTTTATGCAGGGCATCACCTATATACATAAACCTATATACACCTGTGTTGTAAAACCTCAAGACACAATATATGGTCCATGGATGAGCAGTATCACCATTGCCCAGGACTTAGACACATAGAATGTGAAGCCCCACCCAGATCCACTGAAACAGAATCTGCCTTGTAGCAGAACCCCAAGAAATTCACACACATGATAGACTAGGAATCACCATGTACCTGAGAGGACAAAACAAAATTAGGTAAAAGCATGCTGCTTTCCTGTGAAGATATCCATGCAGACTTTTTAAGGACAACCAAAACCCATCATTATCTTCTCTGCCCAAGACCACTTTGGGAATTTTGGAGAAGAAAGAATAAAGGCAGAAATGAGGATACAGAAAGCATGTCACTTGAAGATCAAGAAGTCAAGCTTGGATGCCAATGGTAAAGTGGTAAGCCTACTGGTTTTGATCTTGGGCATGGAATGAGTTTGCCAGACCTCAACTCTGAAGACGGCTCTAGAAGGACCTAGACTTGCTACAGAAGGAGTATTCCAAGTAGAATGAGAAGTTTGGGTAATGTATGCCACAAGACATTGGTCATTTGCAGAGTGGAGATAATCATTAAGTACTTGGCTCTCAACTACCCTTGATTATCCCAACTAGTCAGGAACTCAGCTACCAGTGATATGGAAATTTCCAACCCTAACCCCAATGGCAGCTGCATGTTTAAATCCAGTAGACAGGTGTTGTAAACGCTTTCCCTCACCAAGTACAACCTGAGTCTTCCATCCTAGACTGAATGCATTACCTAATCTGCAATACTTTGTATTCGTAATTACGTTTATGCCTGACACAGGAGTAGGTAAGATCAGAGGCTTGATTTTGTGGCTGGAATGTAAATTAAGTAGTCATTGAGCCTGTTGGAGAAAAAAACATCTAATTTGGAAGTAATGAGTGTGATGAATGAACACAGCTGTAGAGAGTCGATTCTAGGTGAGTATGGGGTTGGCTTGGTTACTTTGCTATGGAGCCTTGGAAGTTCTGTTTTTTTGGCTTGCAGATTTATAGAAGTTCTAGTCTAAGATGCAATGTGGGAAATATAATTTCATGTCATGACTGACATTGGCCTCCCATGAGTTAGAGAAACGTGTGTTTAAAGGGATAATCTGATTTTGGAAAATAATATTCAAATGCCATCATGTTTTCATGTTGATCCCTCTCCACACTGGCTCAGCGGTCTCTTAGTAAAAACAATTTCCTGCCGAGCACAGTGGCTGACGACTGTAATCCCAGCACTTTGGGAGGCTTAGGTGGGCGGATCACCTGAGGTTGGGAGTTCGAGATCAGACTGGCCAACATGGAGAAACCCCATCTCTACTAAAAATACAAAAATTAGCCGGGTATGGTGGTGCATGCCTGTAATCCCAGCTACTCAGGAGGCTGAGGCAGGAGAGTCACTTGAACCCTGGAGGTGGGGGCTGTGGTGAGCCAAGATCGCGCCATTGCACTCCAGCCTGGGTGACAAGAGCGAAACTCCATCTAAAAAAAAAAAAATCAATTTCCTGCTGATATTAATGATGTTAAGCCATTAAAATACATGTAAAGGTGAAAGACTGGTAACTGTGATTTGAAAATGGAAAGACATTGACAGCTAGACAGATCAAAATAAAGGCTTTGCTTCAGAGAGCCAGAAGAGAAAGTTTTCTGACCCTTATCTTAATTTTGTCAAATCAGATATGTCTGGCTCATGGTTCCATAGCTTAAGGATGTTATGAAGCCATTTTGAGTGGCTGACTGTATTAGCCTGTTCCCGTTACTTGAATACCATAGATCTGATGTAGGATGGATTACCCCTACAATACAGATGTAGGACCCAAGGACCTAGAGGCAAGGTCCATTGTCCAGTGTAATGAGCTAACCAATGGTAGTTCTGGGACCACATACTTATGTCCCCTCACCCTAAACCCAATACTCTTTCCTCTTCTGGTAGAAAAAGTGATGGCCCCAGTGATGTCCATGTCCTCATCCGCATGTGGTAGACAACATAATGGCTCCAGAGATGTCAACATCCTAATCCTAATGTGGTAGACAGAATAATGACCCCCAAAATGTCCATGTCCTAATCTCCATGTAGTAGACAGGTGATGGCCCCAAAGATGTCCACGTCCTAATCCCCATGTGGTAGACAGAATAATGTCCCCCAAAGATGTCCACATTCTAATCCCCATGTGGTAGAAAGAATAATGTCCCCCAAAGAGGTCCACATTCTAATCCCCATGTGGTAGACAGAATAATGACACCCAAAGAGGTCCATGTCCTAATCCCCATGTGGGAGACAGAATAATGACCCCCAAAGATGTCCATGTCCTAATCCCCATGTGGGAGACAGAATAATGGCCCCAAAGATGTCCACATCCTAATCTCCATGTGATAGACAGAATAATGGCCCCAATGACGCCCACATCCTAATCCCTGAAATCTGTGAATATGTGACCTTATATGGCAAAAGTGACTTTGCAAAAGTGATTAAGGATTTTAAGATGAGAGGATTATCCTGGATCATAATGAGGGTATCTCAATGTCATCACAAGCACCCTTATACCGGAAAGAGGACGCACGAGGGTCAGAGTCAGACAAGGAGATGTGGGGATAGAAACAGAGGTCTGAGAGGAGGGAAATGTGCTGATGTCTTTAAGGTAGAGGAAGGGGCTACAAGCCAAGGCATGGCAAAACAGCCTCTACAAGCTTCAAAAGGAAAGGGAGTAGGTTCTGCTCTGGAGACTCCAGAAGGAATCAGCTCTGACAACAACTGGGTGTTAGCCCAGCAATACTAATTTCAGGCTTCTGAACTCCAGAATCAGAAGACACTACATTTCTGTTCTTTTAAAGCCACAAAATTGGTGGTGATTTGTTATGGCAACCGGAGAAGACAAAAATGCACATCTTTTACAAAATGACAGTGATGTGGTTTGGCTGTGTCCCCACCCAAATCTTAACTTGAATTCTATCTCCCAGAATTCCCACATGTTGTGGGAGGGACCCAGGGGCAGTAATTGAATCATGGGGGAATGGTCTTTCCCATGCTATTCTTGTGATAGTGAATACGCCTCACAAGATCTGATGGGTTTATCAGGGGTTTCGGCTTTTGCTTCTTCCTCACTTTTCTCTTGCCCCCGCCATGTAAGAAGTGCCTTTTGCCTCCCGCCATGATTCTGAGGCCTCCCCAGCCATGTGGAACTGTAAGTCCAATTAAACCTCTTTTTCTTCCCAGTCTCGAGTATGTCTTTATCAGCAGCATAAATACAGACTAATACAGGCAGTGTCAGAGGGTGTTTGAACCATAGCAACTCCATCTTGAATAGGGGCTGGGTAAAACAAGGCTGAGACCTACTGGGCTGTATTCTTGGGAGGTTAGGCATTCTAAGACACAGGATGAGATAGGAAGGCAACACAAGCTACAGGTCACAAAGACCTAGCTGATAAAACAGGTTGGAGTAAAGAAGCTGGCCAAACCCCACCAAAACCAAGATGGTGATGAGAGTGACCTCTGGTCATCCTCACTGCTACACTCCCACCAAGCACCACGACAGTTTACTAATGCCATGGCAACATCAGGAAATTACCCTCTATGGTCTAAAAACAGGAGGCATGAATAATTCACCTCTCGTTTAGCATATCATCAAGAAACAACCATAACAATGGCCCACCAGCAGCCTTCAGGGCTGCTCTGCATGTGGACTAGCCATTCTTTTATTCCTCTACTTTCTTTTCTTTGTTTGTTTTGAGACGGAGTCTCACTCTGTCACCAGGCTGGAGTGCAGTGGCCAGATCTCGGCTCACTGCAACCTCCGCCTCCAGGTTCAAGTGATTCTCCTGCCTCAGCTTCCCGAGTAGCTGGGATTACAGGTGCGCACCACCACGCCCAGCTACTTTTTGTATTTTTAGTAGAGACGGGGTTTCGCCATGTTGGCCAGGATGGTCTCTGTCTCTTGACCTCGTGATCTGCCCGCCTCAGCCTCCCAAAGTGCTGGGATTACCGGCGTGAGCCATCACACCAGCCAGTTTTTATCTCTTTAAGTGTCTTTATTTCCCCAGCATTTCTTAGGTCTGGCATCTCTGGAAACCTCAATGGCAGATTCTGAACTCATTCATAAAGAACCAGGACTTTGTCAACTTCCTGGAAAACACTGATGGTTTTCCTCAGTTACTTTATAATTAGGCATAAGCAGGTGTGCCACTCTTCCCTGTTAACTGGAACTGCACCTATGTCCTGACAAGTAAAATGATTCGAAAACTAATAATTGGAGTTTTGCCTTGGCTGAAGTCTAAAATCCTCAGAGTGTGCAGTCAGTTCTCAAATTTGTGCAGGTGTGGTGGCTCACACCTGTAATCCCAGCACTTTGGGAGGCCGAGGCGGGAGGATCACTTGAGGTCAGGAGTTTGAGACCATTCTGGCCAACATGGCGAAGCCTCATCCCTATTAAAAATACAAAAATTAGCCAGGAGTGTTGGTGGGCACCTGTAATCCCAGCTACTTGGGAGGCTGAGGCAGGAGAATTGCTTGAACCCAGGAGACGGAGGTTCCAGTGAGCCCAGATCGTGCCACAGCACTCCAGCTTGGGTGACAGAGCGAGACGCCATCTCAAAAAACAAAACAAAACAACTCAAAAAAAAGAAACGCACTTGTTGAGAAAACATGACAAACTCAGATAACACAGCACTTAGCATGTGAAAATTTTCACCCACACGTGCATGAAACATAAATCTTGTGTTTCCATGGAGGGTGCATGGCACATTTATACTGCACCATTCAACTTCCTTTGAAAAGGCATCCGACTCTTGTCCAAAGTTGTTGTAACTAGTAAATTTTATCTGACTGGGATTATTGAACAAATGCTTCAGTGACTTTCGGACTTTTAAGGTTCTAGTCCCTGGAATCCCATGTGATTGAAATGTTAATAACTGACTTTAGCAAAAACAGTTCTGTGGTTAAAGAATTTTGGGCACGCGGACCACAGTACCCACAGTATCTCTCCTGGGAGATTTAATTGCCCTTCAGCAAACAAAAGACTGAGAAATCTTGCTGAAAAGAACCGCTCAACTCTGAGAAGCTCAGTCTTTTCCACATTTTTTCCCCCTGAATTTAGAGCCTCTTTTTTTCCCCAGGCACTTTTATTAGCATTCCAAGACATTTGTGTTGGAAAGAATTGCCCAATATAGTTCAGAAAATATTTAGCTACACAATAGAGAGAAAGAAACATCTGGCAGTTCCCATGGAGGGATGTGTTGCGGAAGGCACTGTTGATGGTGGTGGTGAACGTGAGTGTTTTCTTCTAGGTTTCATCTTGGGTCATGCAGCTGACCCCATCTATAATTGCAGCTCGTGCTAAAAACACTCCTAGGCTGAGTGCTCCATACACTTGCATTTATTTATTTTTATTTTTTAAAGACAGAGTTCTGCTCTGTCACCCAGGCTAGAGTGCAGTGGTGCAATCACAGCTCACTGCAGCCTTGACCTGCTGGTCTCAAGCAATCCTCCTACCTCAGCCTCCCCAGTAGCTGGGAATACAGGTGCATCCTACCACATCCAGCTAATTTTTTTTTTTTCTTTTGTAGAGATGGGATCTCACCATGTTGCCCAGGCTGGTCTCCAACTCCTGGTCTCAAGGGATCCTAAACCTTGGCCTCCGAAAATGCTAGGATTACAGGTGGGAGCCACTGTGCCCGGCCGTACTTGTACTTTTATTTACAAAAGCCACATGAGACAGCTGTCAAGTAAATATGTTAAAATAGCTCATGGAACATGGTTTTTGTAACTTCCTGAAAGTTCTACACATTTCTAAAATATTTAAGCAAGTGATACTGGGCCAGGCTCGGTGGCTCACACCTGTAATCCCAGTACTTTGGGAGGCGGAGGGGGGCGGATCACCTGAGCTGAGGAGTTTGAGACCAGCCTGACCAACATGGTGAAACCCCATCTCTACTAAAATGCAAAAGTTAGCCAGACATGGTGGCAGGCGCCTGTAATCCCAGCTACTCAGGAGGCTAAGGCAGGAGAATCACTTCAACCCAGGAGGCGGAGGTTGCAGTGAGCTGACATGGTGCCAGTGCACTCCAGACTGGGGGACAGAGCCAGACTCCATCTGAAAAAAGAAAAAGAAAAAAAAAGTGATGCCGAAACATCTTTCTCTTTTTAAAGCATGATATTTACCATGCACTTAACAGTGAGTTCACGCAATTCATGTGACCCATATGTGTTGGAACCGTGGAAACACAATATGTTTTCTGATTTTATTTGTTTACAATATTGTACAGTCTCTCATTCCCTAAATAAAAATAAGTGCCTTAAAAAGAATCTTGCTGGCCAGGCGCAGTGGCTTACGCCTGTAATCCCAGCACTTTGGGAGGCCGAGGCGGGCAGATCACCTGAGGTTGGGAGTTCGAGACCAGCCCGACCAACATGAAGAAACCCCGTCTCTACTAAAAATACAAAATTAGCCGGGCGTGGTGGCACATGCCTGTAATCACAGCTACTTGGGAAGGCTGAGGCAGGAGAATCGCTTGAACCCGGGAGGCGGAGGTTGCCGTGAGCCGAGATCGCATCATTGCACTCCAGCCTGGGCAACACGAGCAAAACTCCATCTCAAAAAAAAAAAAAAAAAAATCTTGCTAGGTACTGTGGCTCACACCTGTAATCCGAGTACTTTGCAAGCAGAGGTAGGAGGATCACTGGAGCCCAGAATTTCAGCACCAGCCTGCGCAACATAGTGAGACCTCATCTCTACCAAAAAATACAAAAATTACCTAGGTGTGGTGGCACACACCTGTCATCCTAGCTACTTGGGAGGCTGAGGTGCGAGGATCACCTGAGCCTGTGAAGTCGAAGTTGCAGTGAGCCATGATCACACCACTGCATTCCAGGTCTCCAGCCTGGGTAACAGAGGGAGACCCAGCCACAAAAAAAAAAAAAATTTTTTTTGCACAAACTTTTACGATGACTCTGCTCTATAATTAAAAGTAATTTCTGCTTTGTTGGTGTTTTCTCACACATTTATCTGGTTGACCAGATATCTGCATATGATAGAGTAAGAATGACCCATTTCCCTCCAGGGAGAATAGCATTGCAAGGGGGTTGAGGATGCATGCGTGTGGAATCCAAACATTGAATGCACTGAGACGGTGCTGCATGAAGCCTGCCTGTGAGTTTATGATGAAGCTGCACATAGATTCCTACCTGGCTCTCACTCCTCTCTCTGACCCTTTGGCTTCGGTTTAATTGCATGCACATCCTTCAAAGCTGCTCGGGGCCACCACTTCTTCAGACTTCTGGCATTTTTCCAAGAAACACTAAACCTCTTTGCAATGGTCCCCCTGGATTTTGCGTGCATGTCTTCCAGCACTGGAGCTGCCTGACCTGTGCTTGCAAGGGTTCCGTAACACTGGATAGGACAGAAGCTCCGCCCAGCCCCACATGAGAGCTCTGTGCTCTTCAGGGACCATGTCCTATTCACACTGTCTCCCTCACATCTAATACAGTCATGATACTCGGCAATATAGTACTCCACCCAACAGGCAACTGGGAGTCTGCCAGTGATACAGGAGTTAAGAAGAAATCACTTAGGCAGACAGTAAGGGTATGGGAGTCCTTGGTAAGGCTTTTCTCTTTAATGAAAAGCAGCCCCAAGTCATTTTCTAACAAAGAGCAGCCTGTCAAGTCAAGCTGCAGACATAGACAAGCCAGCTGGGAGCTTGCACGGGTGAATGCCGGCAGGAACTAGGGACTAGAGACGTTCAACAGGGTGGCTCCATCTTCCTCCTCTTTGTCGGCCACTTGTACAGTAAGGAGCAGACAAGATGGCGCCTATCAAGTGGAAAGCCCATTTGCATAATAAGATTAAGGTGGGGCAATCAGCCTTCCCCACAGGCGCTATGTAAACGTACCTGATGGAACCAATCTGTGAGCCCTACATAAATCAAACACCACCTTCTCCAGCCTGCCTATAAAATCTGCTGCTGACTGCCACCTCCCTACTTTTCAGATGTCTCTCTCTCTCTCTCTCTCTGGCAAGGAGCTGCTCTCTTCTTTCCTTTCTTTGTCTCTTAAACTTTCCACTCCTTAATCCACCCACACGTGTCTGTGTCCTGAATTCTTTCTCGGTGCGAGACAATGAACCCCAGGGTATGTACCCCAGACAATGTAGCTGTTTCATCATGATGACAGTCACAGGCAAACCAAGGTGGTGATAACTGCATTTGCTCACTGGCTCTGCAACAAATCCACTCAAGACCTAGAAAAGAGTATATTCAATCTGCGACCCTCCATGCTGCAGAGGCATCTGATGAGAGGGCTTTTTGCAGAATCAGGTTAAAGTATGGTCAGAGGTGTTTGAACCAGAGCAACTCCATCTTGAATAGGGGCTGGGCAAAATGAAGCTGAGACTTATGGGCTGCATTCCCAGATGGTTAAGGCATTCTAAGTCACAGGATGAGATAGGAGGTCGGTACAAGAGACAGGTCATAAAGACCTTGCTGGTAAAACAGGTAAAAGATAAACAGGTAAAGAAGCCGGCGAAAACACACCAAAACCAAGATGGCCACAAGAGTGACCTCTGGTGGTCCTCACTGCTACACTCCTACCAGCTCCATGACAGTTTACAAATGCCATGGCAACGTCAGGAAGTTACCCTATATGGTCTAAAAGGGGAGGCATGAATAATCCACCCCTTGTTTAGCATATCCATACAAATAACCATAATCCACCCCTTGTTAAGCATATCCAAGAAATAACCATAAAAATGGGCAACCAGCAGTCCTGGGGCTACTCTGGCTATGGAGTAGCCATTCTTGATTCCTTTATTTTCCTAATAAACTTGGCTTTCACTTTATGGACTCGCCCTAAATTCTTTCTTGGGCAAGATCCAAGAATACTCTCTTGAGGGTCTGGATCGGGACCTCTTTCTGGTGATAACAGTATGATCTGGTTTCAAAAGAAGAGCCTTTTGCTGAATCTGAATGCTTCAGGCCGTTCTCCCTCCAAATTACAGGCTGTCCGGCAAAGCTTTCAACAAAGCAACACATCCTAGCCTGCAGGATGCACTGCTTCCGGCTGTCCATCGCATGAAATGAGTGTGTGCTTTTTGTGCAGCTTAAGGAGTCTCATGCATAACAGATGTGTTCAAACTGGGGATGGAAGGAACTTAGGCATTGATGGATGATCCCTGTAGAGTTACGACTCTTTCTCATTCAGGTCGAATTTCATTTACAAATAGAAATCTTCCAGTCTTCCAACTACACAGTGTGTCTAAAATCCCATGTAAATGGAAAAAGGAAAAGAAAAACACAGACCACCCCACCTGTGTGCATGCCTAGAAGGTTCTAACTGAGGAAGGCAGGCCAGGATCATCGGCAACTGGGAACTTCACAATTGAATTATGGCCTTGTGGGCTGGGTGTGGTGGCTCCTGCCAGTAATCCCAGCACTTTGGGAGACTGAGGCGGGCAGATCACTTGAGGTCAGGAGTTTGAGACCAGCCTGGCCAACATGCTGAAACCCCGTGTCTAGTAAAAACACAAAAATCAGCCGGGCATGATGGTGCACGCCTGTAGTCCCAGCTACTCATGAGGCTGAAGCAAGAGAATCGCTTGAACCTGGGAGGTAGAGGTGGCAGTGAGCTGAGATCGCGCCACTGCACTCCAGCCTGGACAACAGAGCAAGACTCTGTCTCAAAAAAAAAAAAAAAAGAAAAAAAAGAATTATAGTTGTGTCGATCTAGATCGTTTTACTTTTATCCAAGGACACTAGTGTAGCCATAGCCTTTTTTTTTTTTTTTTTTTTTTTAAAGCAAGGTCTCATTCTAAGAGCCTGGGACTGGAGTGCAGTGGTGGAATCATGGCTCACTGAAGGCTTGAACTCCTGGGCTCAAGTGATCCTCTCTTCTTAGCCTCCTGAGAAGCTGGGACTATAGGGGTGCGTGCCACCAGGCCTGGCTAATTTTTTTTAGAGAGATAAGATCTCGCTATGTTGCACAGCCTGGTCTGAAACTGTTGGTCTCAAGCGAACTTCCTGTCTTGGCCTCCCCAAATGCTAAGATTACAGGCATGAGCCACCATGCTGCGCTGGTGAGGCCATCTTGAAATAATAGGATGCACCTGTTCCTCCCAAATTTGGTCAGGATGTCAAGACTCATGACCCCCCCACCCCACCCCCCACATACACACATACACACATACACACATACAAACAGAGTATGCAAACACATATTTCTTACATAATACAGCTTTTGCGGGAGAGCAGGAAAGATCTTCCAAGCTGATCCAGAATAGACCAAGATGGTAAAGAAAAAACTCTAGATTGAATTTTTATTGTGGGTAAGGAGCAGGGTAGGGTGAGATTCCCAAATGCAGTACAGCAGCTTGCCTGGTTTCAATTTTTGTAATTTTTTATTTTTTGAGATGGAGTCTTACTCTGTCACCCAGGGTGGAGTGCAGTGGTGAGATCTCGGCTCACTGCAGCCTCCACCTCCCAGGTTCAAGTGATTCTCCTGCCTCAGCCTCTCAAGTAGCTGGGATTACAGGCACATGCCACCACGCCTGGCTAATTTTTGTATTTTTAGTAGAGACGGGGTTTCACCATGTTGGCCAGGCTGGTCTCGAACTCCTGACCTGAAGTGAACTGCCCACCTCAGCCTTCCAAAGTGCTGGGATTACAGGCATGAGCCACCACACCCGGCCTTACCTGATTTCAAGCTCCCACTGGCACCAAAGGAGCAAGCACCTGGGCTTTATCAGCAGTTTGCCAAGATGTGCTTTGTCATCATTTGTGGGGAGAACAGACTAGATGTCTTGTGAACTCACTCATTATCACACAAACAGCAAGGGGGGAATCCACCCCTTGATCCAGTCACCTCCCACCATGCCCTTTCTCCATTATTGGAGATTACAATTGGATGTGAGATTTGGGTGGGGACACTAATCCAAATCACATCACAATGCAAAATGGACTAAGACAAGAACCAGACAAATAAAGATATCTCCATTCCACGGGAATTGAGAGGGTGCACTTGGAAGTTGTCAGCAACCAAATATCAAAAACTGGCATCACACTCTTTAATACAAACTTTCAGGCTTGCAAATTCTCATTTGATTCCCCAGCAAGCCTCAGAAGGAAGCCAAGAGAGTGTTATTCCACATTGGCCAGGGAGTCCTGGCAGATGGAGGAACTCAGCCAATGTGTAGGTGGAAGTGATGGTTAACTGTACATGTCAACTTGCCTGGGCTATGGGACGCCCAGGTAGCTGGTAAAACCCTTAGGTGTGTCTGTGAGTGTGTTTGCAGAAGAGATTTGCATTTGAACAAGCAGACTGAGTAAAGAAGACTCTCACCACTAGGAGTGGGCATCACTCAATCCATGGAGGGCCCAAGTAGAGGAAAAAGGTAGAGGAAGGGAAAACTTCCTCTCTGTTTTTGAGCTGGGACATCCATCTCCTCAGAGAGCAGAGCTCTTGGTTCTTGTGTCTTTGGACTCCAGGACTTACACGAGCAGAGCCCCTCAGTTCCCCGCACCTTCCACACCCACCCTTAGGCCTTTGGATTCTGACTGTTTTGTGCCACCCGTTTCCCTGGTTCTCCAGCTTCCAGATGGCAGATCATGAAATTTCTCAGCCTCCATAATCATGTGGGCCAATTCCCAGAGTGAATCCTGTTTTATATGTTTATTTGTCTGGTTCTTGTCTTAGTCTGTTTTGCAATGTGATGTGATTTGGATTTGTGTCCCCACCCAAATCTCACATCCCATTGTAATCTCCAATAATGGAGAGAGGGCATGGTGGGAGGTGACTGGATCAAGGGGTGGATTCCCCCCTTGCTGTTTGTGTGATAGTGAGTGAGTTCACAAGACATCTAGTTGTTTAAAAGTGTGTACCACCTCCTGCTTCACTCTGTTTCTTCTACTCCAACCATGTAAGAAGTGCCTCCTTCTTCTTCACCTTCTGCCATGATTGTAAGTTTCCTGAGGCCTCCCCAGCCATGCCTCTTGTATAGCCTATGGAACCATGAGCCAATTAAACCTTTTTTCTCTATGGATTACCCAGCTTCAGATAGTTCTTTATAGCAATGTGAGAACAAACTAATACACATTGCTCTAAAGGCATACCAGAGGCTGTGTGGTTTATAAAGAAAAGAGGTTTATTTGGCTCACAGTTCTGCAGACTGTACAAGCATGGAGCCAGCATCTGCTTCTGGTGAGGCCTCAGGAAGCTTCCACTCATGGTGGAAGGTGAAGTGGAGCTGGCATGTCACAGGGTGAGAAAGGAGGTGAGAGAGAGAGGTGCCAGGCTGTTTTAAACAACCAGCTCTCATGTGAACAAACAGAGCAAGAACTCATTAATTACTGTAGAGACAGAACAAAGACATTCATGAGAGATCTGCTCCCATCACCCAAATACCTCCCACTAGGCCCTACCACCAACATTAGGGGCCAAATTTCAAAGTGAGATTTGGAGGAGACAAATATTCAAACTATATTAGTTCTGTATCTCTGAAGAGCCTGACAATCCCAGTGTTGTTATGTGATGATAAGCTCTCAGCATGCCTGGCTCAGAGCCCTTCCTACTGCCTCATTCCACACCTTCATCCACGTGTTGAACTGAAGGTCATAGAGAGAACTCATCTGGCTTCCAAGAACTTTCTCCTTGGAGGCACATGTCTGGGTAACAGAGGCCATTTCCAGTATATATTAGTCAGGGTGCTCTTGAGGGACAGAACTAATCAGATAGATGTATATATGAAGGGGAATTTACTAGGATAACTGACTCACATAATCACAAGGTGAAGTCCTACAATAGCCCATCTGCAAGGTGAGGAGCCAGGAAGCCAGTCCGAGTCCCTAAACCTAAAAAGTAGGGAAGCTGAAAGTGCAGCCTTTAGTCTGTGGCCAAAGGCCCGATAGGCCCCTGGCAAACCACTGTAGGTCCAAGAGTCCAAGCACTGAAGACCTTGGAGTCTGATGTTCGAGGGCAGGAAGCAGCCAGCACGGGTGGAAGATGGAGGCCGGGAGACTCAGCAAGTCTTCTCATTCCATGTTCCTCTGCCTGCTTTTATCCTAGCCACACTGGGAGCTGATGAGATCGTTCCCACCCACAATGAGGGTGGGTCTGCATCTCCCAGTCCACTGACTCAAATGTGAATCTCCTTTGGAAACACCCTCACAGACACACCCAGGAACAATGCTTTGCATCCTTCAATCCGATCAAGTTGACCCTCAATCCTAACCGTCACACAGCAGGACTCTGGCCAGAAGATTTTCAGAAGGAGGGGAGAAAGGTCTGCACCAGTGGTCCCCAAACTTCTTGGCACCAGGGACAGGTTTTGCGGAAGACAATTTTTCCGTGGACCAGGGGATGGGCAGATGGTTTCAGGATGATTCAAGTACCCTGCATTCATTGTGCACTTTATTTCTATTACTATTACATTGGAATACATAGTGAAATAAGTCTACAGCTTGCCATCATGTAGAATCAGTGGGAGCCGTGACTTGTTTTCCTGCAACTACATGGTCCCATCTGGGGTTGATGGGAGACAGTGACAGATCATCAGGCACTAGATTCTTATAAGGAGCATGCAACTTCGATCTCTCATATGGGCAGTTCACAATAGGATTCATGCTTCCACGATAATCTAATGCCACCACTGACCTGACGGGAGGCAGAGCTCAGATGGTAATGGCAGTGATCAGAAGCAGCTGCAAATACAGATGCTGTAAATACAGATGTAAATAGAGGTGCCTTCTGCTCACCTCCTGCTGGGCATCCCAGTTCCTAACAGGCCACAGACTGGTACAAATCTGCAGCTAGGGGTTGGAGATCCCCGGTCTAAACACATCTTCCCAGGAGCATTGAACTCCATATCAGATTGTGCTCCTGCTGCAGTGGTCATAGCGCCCTTTGAACCAATCACCTGTGGGGACTAAGGTTTTCCCTCCCAAGATCACCAGCTTGTCATCTTTCTCTGCCTTGTACACCTTGACATACAGGGGTGCTAGGAGTAGCTCGTATGAGCTTATGAGAACCAACAGGGCATTATCTCTTTCCAAATCCGCATTCCATAATCTCACCTGAGTACCTTTAAATCAACCACAAGAGGAAAATTTACACCAGAGAAATTGGCATAGGCTCTGACCAGGGTTTCTTTTTTTTTTTTTTTTTTTTTGCAGAATTCATTGTTAAAACTTTCAGCAAGCCGCTGTCCTGACGGTATCAGCCCCCTAGGAGAAAGGAAAAAGTTGGGTTGAATATAGGCATTTAAAATTCATACAAAAATGTATTGAAATGATAAGCCACTATTCAAAGGGTAACTATAACATTCTAAAGAAAAAGCAGTTTCTATAACCAGGTAGGAAAAAGGGAATAGCTTTCTGTGAAATTCCCAGCACCCTGCCGCAGCTTCTTGTTGGCGGCACTTGCAAAATTCAGCACAGTGCTGTGCAGAGATGCAGAAGAATTTCAAGCTGGAGGCACCGTCCCAGGCAGCTTTTAACTGAGAAAACTTCTGTGTGCAAAAATGTTGGGCTAGCAGAAGTGCCAACTTTTCTGTTACTAAAAAAAAAAGAGGGTGGAAATGTTTTGCAAACACCTGATCGCCTTATCAAGCCAAAGCAGACCTTTTGCAGCATGAGGAAACATTGGTCTATTTCCAGGTTATTTTTTTCTTTTTGGCCACAAAACATCTTTCAGCTGAAAGTGAATGCATTTTGGTAAACATCTGGAGTCAAAGTGAGATTTTGATGCCAATTTTTTGGGGGAGTGAGGATGGACACATCATGAGTAACATAATTATGTTCAATAATTTTTTCTTATTATAAATTTCTTTTAAAACGTACATGTCAAACAAAGTAAAACCATCACTAAAATTATGGCTTGGAGGTTACTTATTTATTTATTTATTTATTTATTTATTTATTTATTTATTTATTTTTGTGAGATGAAGTCTTGCTCTGTTACCGAGGCTGGAGTGCAGTGGTGCGATCTCAGCTCACTGCAACCTCCGCCTCCCAGGTTCAAGCTATTCTCCTGCCTCAGCCCCCCAAGTAGCTGGGATTACAGGCACCCGACACCCCACCTGGCTAATTTTTGTATTTTTAGCAGAAATGGGTTTTCGCCATGTTGACCAGGCTGATCCTGAGCTCTTGACCTCAAGTGATCCGCCCACCTCAGCCTCCCAAAGTGCTGGGATCACAGACCTGAGCCACTGCACCCAGCCTAGAGGTTATTTTAGTTTATTTTATTTTTTGAGACTGAGTCTTGCCCTGTCGCCCAGGCTGGAGTGCAATGGTGCCATCTCGGCTCACTGCAACCTCCACCTCCGGGTTCAAGCAATTCTCCTGCCTCAGCCTCCCGAGTAGCTGGGATTACAGGCGCCATGCCACCATGCCTGGCTAATCTTTTGTGTCTTTAGTAGAGACGGGGTTTCACCATGTTGGCTGGGCTGGTCCCAAACCCCTGACTTCGTGATCCGCCCACCTCAGCCTCCCAAAGTGCTGGGATTATAGGCATGAGCCACCGCGCCTGGCCTAGAGGTTATTTTTTTAAGCACTTAAATTGAGGAAGGATGGTGAGTACACGTTTTTGCATTGAGGTATTCCCATGAATGAACGTTTATTATTTGTACAAAAGAACACGAGCAGGTTATGACATTAATAAGAGAGAATTAAACAGGAACATCTGGTGAAAGGAATAAAATGGAAGTGCCTGGGGTAGTCGTCCATCAATGAAATTGAAGTTCCATAAACTCCAACACACGTGAAAGACATTACATCAGGTTAAGTAAGAAAGTAGGCCGGGTGCGGTGGCTCACACCTGTAATCCTAGCACTTTGGGAGGTCGAGGTGGGCGGATCACCTGAGATCAGGAGTTTGAGACAGCCTGGCTAACATGGTGAAACCCCGTCTGTACTAAAAATACAAAAATTAGCCAGGAGGGGTGGCGGGCGCCTATAATCCAGCTACTTGGGGGGCTGAGGTCAGAGAGTTGCTTGAACCTGGAAGGTGGAGGTTGCAGTGAGCCAAGACTGCACCACTGCACTCCAGCCTGGCAACAAGAACGAAACTCCATCTCAGAAAAACCCCAAACAAAACCCCAAACAAACCCCAAACAACTCCCAAACAAAACCCAAACCACGGAGAGGAGGGGTTCACGTGACATGGAAACATCTAAGCAAACGCCTCTCGGAGAAAATTAATGAAATCTCAGGTCAAACGAAACCTATCCTCCAACAGACCCAGAGGAAATGTCTGAAGGCACATCTTGGAGATTCAATATGACAAGAAAAAACCAGCAGTCAGTGTGACTTAAGCTTTTTTTTTTTTTTTTTTTTTTTTTTTTTCAGAAACCTGAATGCAAGATGCAGGGAGCTGCCCATTTTTGCCTTTTGAGGGCGTAGCTTTCAATGATCCACAAGGAAAACAGCTCAGCAATCAAATAAAGAAAGCCCCAGAGGCCAGGCATGGTGGCTCACGCCTGTAATCCCAGCACTTTGGGAGGCTGAGGCGGGAGGATCACCTGAACCCAGGCGTTTGAGCCCAGCCTGGACAACATGGTGAAACCCAATCTCTACAAAAAAAAAAAATATAAAAATTAGGCTGGATGCAGTGGCTTATGCCTGTAATCACAGAACTTTGGGAGGCCAACGTGGGAGGATCAACTGAGGTCAGGAGTTCAAGACCAGCCTGGCCAACATGTTGAAACCTGTCTCTACTAAAAATACAAACATTAACTGGGCCTGGTGGCACGTGCCTGTAATCCTGGCTACTCGGGAGGCTGAGGCACAAGAATCGCTTGAACCCGAGAGGTGGACATTGCAGTGAGCTCAGATCAAGCCATTGCACTCTAGCCTGGTGACAGAGTGAAACTCCGTCTCAACAAAAAAAAAAAAAAAAAAGAAAGAAAGAAAAAGAAAAAACAATTAGCTGAGCATTATGTTGTGTGCCTGCAGTCCCCAGCTAATCGGGAGGCTGAGATGGGAGGATCATTGAGCCTGGGAGGTCAAGGCTAAGGTGAGCCATGATCCTGCCACTGCACTCCAGTCTGGGTGACAGAGCTAGACCCTGTCAAAAAAAAAAAAAAAAAGAAAAACAGAAAGTTCAAGAAAAATGTGCATCCATTCTCCAGTAGTTTATCAGTAATAAAACAACTTGCACTGATAAATCATTCTCCTAGCCGGGCGCAGTGGCTCATGCCTGTAATCTCAGCACTTTGGGAGGCCGAGGCGGGCGGATCACCTAAGGCCAGGAGTGCGAGACCAGCCTGGCCAACATGGTGAAACCCTTTCTCTACTAAAAAAGCACAAAAAATTTGCCGGATGTGGTGGCTCGTGCCTGTAATCCCAACTATTTGGGAGGCTGAGACATGAGAATCGCCTGAACCTGGGAGGCGGAGGTTGCAGTGAGCCAAGATTGCACCACTGCACTCTAGCCTGGGCAAGAGACTGAGACTCAGGAAAAAAAAAAAAAAATCAGCCAGGTGCACGGTGGCTCATGCCCGTAATCCCAGCACTTTGGGAGGCCGAGGCGGGTGGATCTCCTGAGGTCAGGAGTTCGAGACCAGCCTGGCCAACATGGTGAAACCCTGTCTCTGCTAAAGAAGTACAAAAAATTTACCGGGCATGGTGGCTTGTGCCTGTAATCCCAGCTATTTGGGAGGCTGAGACATGAGAATCACTTGAACCTGGGAAGCGGAGGTTGCAGTGAGCCGAGATCATGCCACTGCACTCCAGCCTGGGCAACAGAGCAAGACTCCATCACACACACACAAAAAAATTATTCCCCCAATATAACTGGAAGCCCTGTATTTTAAAATCACTTAAAACTCCTATGAAACTATAAACAGAAGGGAATGTCCATGAATTGCTCTCAGAGTAAGAAAGATATAGATTTCTTTCAGCTCCCATTTTCATTTACTTTAAGGCACAGACATCTGAAACAATCTAAAATATCATTTTTCAATTCTAATGAAAGAAACTAGTAAATAATTCAAAACTGTGACTAATAAAAATGAGGCTGGCTTTGAGAATGAATACATACTAGCAGATATCACAAATCTACAATTTAAATTACATTTCAGAAGCCATTATCAGTGTTCAAATTCCATGACTAATTGAACAAGGACGAACCCACAGCTTCCTAACAGGTGACTGGGAAAAGGAGACTGAAATTAAATAAGCACCACAGCGCATCCCACTTGGAGAACTGAAAGCCTGTGATGTAGCAGAGGACAAAGGAATGAAAACAATAACAACAAAAAGAAAGTGTGTAACCATCTCTGAATTTTGCTATTTTTACTCTTCTCTCTGCCCTCCTTGGAGATGATATCTATAGTAAAACGTATGGTACTGAGGCCGAACGCAGTGGCTCACGCCTGTAATCCCAGCACTTTGCGAGACCAAAGTGGGAGGATCACAAGGTCAGGAGTTCGAGACCAGCCTGACCAACATGATGAAACCCCGTCTCTACTAAATATACAAAAATTAGCCGGGTGTGGTGGCATGTGCCTGTAATCCCAGCTACTCAGGAGGCTGAGGCAGGAGAATCGCTTGAACCTGGGAGGCGGAGGTTGCAGTGAGCTGAGATTGCATCACTGCACTCCAGGCTGGGTGACAGAGCGAAACTCCGTCTCAAAAAAAAAGAAAGAAGCAAGTCCCAGGTCTTGTCCATACTCAATGGGAGGGGATCATGCAAGAAATGAATATCACAATATGAGAATCATGGTGAGCTATCTTCAAGTCTGTCCTTCACCAGAAAACCTTCTTCCACTTCTGCTGTAGAAAAATCTCTGCAGTTCGAACATCAAGGCTTCCAATATCCAACACTTTTTGGAGATCATCACAACTCTTAGCTGTGACAGTTGACTCCGGATGGAGTAGAGGAAATGGGGTAAGCTTGCTTTGTTTTTCAGCAAGTCTTTTTAAACAATGGTGCCTGAAAGCCCAGTCAATAATTAATATATTGTTCAATTTCCCTTAATGTTGATTTTGGTTTTGTTTTTTGTTTTTTGAGACAGAGTCTCAGTCTGTCGCCCAGGCTGGAGTGCAAAGGCGTGACCTTGGCTAACTGCAACCTGTGCCTCCCGGGTCCAAGCAATTCTCCTGCATCAGCCTCCCGAGTAGCTGGGTCCGCAGGCGTGCACCACCATGCCCAGCTAATTTTTTGTATTTTTGTAGTGATGGGGTTTTGCCATGTTGGCCAGGCTGGTCTCCAACTCCTGACCTCAGGTGATCTGCTTGCCTCGGTCTCCCAAACTGCGGGAATTATAGGCGTGAGCCACCACACCCAGCCCCCTTAATGCTGATTTTACACATGGCCATGAGCTAGCGAGGCAGCTGTGTCAAACAGTAGAGAGAGTCAGCCTAAAAGAAACGGATAGCAGCACACTGGCTGAATTGAATCTGGTGTGACTCCCAGCTCTTACCTCTCACGAGGGTAGAAGCAGCAAAAAAGATGAGTTGCCTGAGTGTAAAAATAAATCAGAAAAACCACGCACCTGCATCTTGTCTAGATTCAGGTCAAATATTTATGCAGACACAAGCTGAGTCCCTAACTTTATGTGCACTGCAGTCTCTGCTACTTGGGGGCAGGAAAAAAAGCTGACTGGAAATAAAAAGAAAAGGGGTTACTGCTCCAATTCTGAAACAAAGAGGCACTGTGGAAAATTGCAGCTGGAACAGGAGAGCCGATCTAAGAGTCAATGAGAAGCAGGCTTGCAGAGACAAAGACTGGACGCCGTCTGGAATTCCATCCAGACTACTGCAGACTTAGCCGGTTATTGGCACGGTTGAAAGGCCTGGATAGACCGTGAAAGGATTGGGACTTTCAAGTGACAAATCCCAGTAAAACAAAAGTTCCTAAATCACGAAGCAAATTAAGTATGAGAAAAACACAGACGATAAAGGAAAATGAACAAGAACAAGGAAAAGGGGAAAAAAGGAATGTTGGTGAAGCAGATGTCACTAGAGAGGAAATTTGAGAGATCTGAAGGAATACGTATCTTCTACAAGAATTACTTTTTCTACTAAAAAAGGGAGAATGAAGGAAAGGACAGAGTTCTCCTCTTTGAATGAAAAAACATGAAGAGTTCATGTCAAAGAATCTCACTTTGACTGAGTTTATATTATCCTAAGCTTTGTATTATGAGAGTTTCAAAGATTGAATTCTTACTGCATTCAAAAGGTAACACATTATTAAAGTCCTAATAGATAGCAGAGCAACGCAGCCCTGATTTAGTGAGTAGAATGAAATGATTTATAATCAGCTTTTCAAATATCATCTCATTCTAGGGAAATGCATTACTTTTTTTTGAGAGTTTACTAGGTCAGAGTAATTTTAAATCTCTCTCCTACTTATTTGAAATCCGAAATAGGCTCAGTTTTCTCCACACTAAGAGGTCCTTTGAACGGTGATAAAATGTCCCAAACGTACTGGGGATATTGTCCAAAATAATGACAATAAATAAAGCCCTGGCATTCGCATTTCAAACTAATTTTGTCAACTGAATTTTTCAGAGCAAAGGGTGTGGTGAAGGTGTCAGCAGGCAAAGACGGCATCAGCTGGTGCTTTTTTTTTTTTTTTTTTAAGGACTTAATATATGAGTTCTCATTATCTGATGGGTTGGCCAGGTGGTTCTGCTGAATGTGGTGGTGGTGGCTGGAGCACTGAGGCAGGTGCAGAGTCCGAAGTGACTTCATTCACATGGCTGAGAGTTGTTGCTGGCAGGTACCTCGGAAGAGCTGGGGGTGTTGGCCAGAGGCCTTGTTTCTCTTCCGTGGGGTCATTCCCAAATGGTTGCTTGGGTTTCCTCCCAACTTGGCAGCTGCATTTCCAGAAACAGTCTTTCAAAAGGACATGGGGTTACTTCACAGAAAAGCCAAATACTCCGGGAAAAACTTGCTCATAGGCAAAGATAACAACGCTTTTCCAAAGCATCAACATTTAAAAAAATCTAGCATATTAAATAAAGATTTCACAAAAGCAAACAGAATATTGAGGATTTTTGTTTGTTTGTTTTTTGTTCTTGTTTTTGTTTTTCTGAGATGGAGTTTCGCTCTTGTTGCCCAGGCTGGAGTGCAATGGTGTGATCTTAGCTCACCACAACCTCCACCTCCCGAGTTCAAGCGATTCTCCTGACTCAGCCTCCCAAGTAGGTGGGATTACAGGCATGCACCACCACACCTGGCTAGTTTTGTATTTTCAGTAGAGACGGGGATTCTCCATGTTGGTCAGGCTGGCCTTGAACTCCCAACCTCAGGTGATCAGCCCGCCTCGGCCTCCCAAAGTGCTGGGATTACAGGCGTGAGCCACCACACCCACCCTGAGAATTGTTAAATCAAACTAAATATTGCCTGGGAAGCAGTCCATACTTCTATATTTGAGTCCTTGTGGATGAACTCTTACCTAGCTTAATAGGCAGGCAAGATTGAAAACCTAACTTAGGCTTATGTGGCTGTAACCGTAACTGAGTGTTGGCCAATCCCAGCGTCCATACTTCAACCATTCATACACTGCTGAGAGTTCAGCCCGTGTTCAAATAAGGCAAATGCCAACCTGTAACCAAGCCAGCTGTTTCTGTACCTCCCTGCTGATTTCTGTATGTCATTTCCCTTTTATTTTTGTATGTCTATAAATCTTCTTGCATCACATGGCTGCGGTGGAGTCTCTGTGAATCTGCAGTGATTCTGCCCGATCCGTTAAATTCATTGCTTAATTGAACTCCTTTAAATTTAGTTTGGCTGAAGTTTTTCTTTTATCAGGATAATAATATATAATCCATCGAGTAAGCATACTAAAAAATAAAAAAGGGGCCGGACTTAGTGGCTCACGCCTGTAATCCCAGCACTTTGGAAGGCCAAGGTGGGTGGATCACCTGAGGTCAGGAGTTCGAGACCAGGCTGGCCGACATGGAAAAATCCCGTCTCTACCAAAAATACAAAATTAGCCAGGTGTGGTGGCGCATGCCTGTAATCCCCGCTACTTGGGAGGCTGAGGCAGGAGAATCGCTTGAACCTGGGAGGCGGAGGTTGCAGTGAGCTGAGATCGCATCATTGCACTCCAGCCTGGGCAAAAAGAGTGAAACTTCATCTCAAAAAATAATAATAATAAATAAATAATAAAAAAGGAAGATATAAGCAATATGAAACAGTACACAAGAAGATGAGGAAGGAAATCATATTAGGTTGCAAAAATATAATCAATGAAATAAATTTTTCAGTAGATAAACAGCAGAATGTATATAGGTGAGGGAGAAATCACCAAAATTATAGACAAGATAGAAGAAATTTCATAGAAAGAAAAAGGAAAAAGAAATAGGAAGTATAAAAGCAAAGCTAAGAAATATAGGGGATAGAAGTAAGTATCATATCTGAAGAAAAAAAATGGTAGAATGAAATAAAGCAATAATGAGTACATCCTCCTCTCCAGCACCTGTTTTGCTAGCATAGGACCTCGAAGAATGAGGTCCACCCTCAGGGACATATCTCTGTTGTTCCTGCTCAGCTTCTTCCAAACTCACAGAGTGGAAACCCTGGTTCCTTGCTTCTGCTATATGTCAAGGTAAGTCCTGACTTCTAACAATCTTTGGTAACCCCCCTCTTCTTCCTTCATGCTTGGAGAAACCTTCGGTTTCCATTCAAGCAGAATGTCTTTCTCCTCTTGCCCACAAAGGGACAAGAAGCCAGAGCCAGGGAGGTCACCACTTAAAGATGCAGTTTCAACTATGTCCTTTCATCAAAAAAAATTATTATTATTTTTTATTATTATACTTTAAGTTCTGGGGAAATGTGCAGAACGTGCAGTTTTGTTACATACATACACACGTGCCATGGTGGTTTGCTGCACCCATCAACCTGTCATCTACATTAGGTATTTCTCTTAATGCTGTCCCTCCCCCAGGCCCCCACCCCCTGACAGGCCCTGGTATGTGATGTTCCCCTCCCTGTGTCCATGTGTTCTCATTGTTCACCTCCCACTTATGAGTGAGAACATGCAGTGTTTGGTTTTCTGTTCCTGTGTTAGTTTCCTGAGGATGATGGTTTCTAGCTTCATCCATGTCCTTGCAAATGACGTGAGCTCATCCTTTTTTATGGCTGCATAGTATTCCATGGTGTGTATGTGCCACATTTTCTTCATCTAGTCTATCATTGATTGGCATTTGGGTTGGTTCCAAGTATTTGTTATTGTGAACAGTGTTGCAGTAAACATACATGTGCATGTGTCTTTATAGTAGGATGATTTATAATCCTTTGGGTATATACCCAGTAACGGGATTGCTGGGTCAAATGGTATTTCTGGTTCTAGATCCTTGAGGAATCGCCACACTGTCTTCCACAATGGTTGAACTAACTTACACTCCCACCAACAGTGTAAAGGCGTTCCTATTTCTCCACATCCTCTCCAGCATCTGTTGTTTCCTGACTTTTTAATGATCAAGTTGATGAATGAGCAACATCATCTGGTCTTCAGGAGATGAATAATGCTCCATAAAGATGTTCTGTTACTCAATGAAGACTGGGTTTTAAGAAAGATGTGCTTTTTATCCTCTTTTTCTTCCACAGAAGGAGGTACACCAACAGGAAGCAGATTTTAGGATGTCAAAATATTTCTGCAGAGACCCTGTGAGCAACAGGCCTTGTGAAAACTGTCTATTGTTGAGAACTGGAGCTAAGTGCCAGCGTTGAGTAACACGGTGAAAAACCTGGTGGTCTCTTTAGCACCCAGGTGGGAAAATCTCATCACCA
This sequence comes from Homo sapiens, assembly GCF_000001405.40. Lineage (NCBI taxonomy): Eukaryota > Metazoa > Chordata > Mammalia > Primates > Hominidae > Homo > Homo sapiens. The sequence continues at coordinate 2,534,196 of NC_000023.11, read as the reverse complement.
AATGACAGTCTAGATATCTGACGGGTGGGACCAACACTGGCTGTGAATGAAAATATCAAATGAGAGAGAGTTGCATGGGTGGCTATTTTTCTTTATTTTTTTAAGCATATTATTTTAAAATAGAAGGATTTAAATGCACAAAAACAAAAGACAAAAAAACTCTAGTTTTAACTTGCAGTTTTAGCTGAAAGGCAAGAACATGTAAAGACTACTGATTTGGCAATCAGATCTGTTATATAAATTGGCTTTCTTCTGTCTCCCATTAAAGAAAAAAAAACTCAGAACAGGAAATAAGCTAAGATGAATAATGTATTTGTTCAATTTTTAAAACAAGTCAAGCCCTTCAGAAACATGCCCTAGAGATCCAGTTCAAATAATTCACTGAAGGATAAGAAGTCCCACAGAACGTGAAACAGAGAGACGCAGGACACACAGATAAAATCTAGTGACATAATTTATATTCTCTCTGGGGAAGCTTCCTGGTTTTTTAAGGGGCGATGTTTGGTCTGTGCTGAAAGGTGAAATGACAACAGCCTCCCTCCAAAAGTCCTGTTGAGATTTAATCCCCGATGCAACCTTATTAAGAGGTGGGACCTTTAGGAAGTGATGAACTCATGAGGGATCTGCCTTAATGGATGGGATTAGCGCTCTGTAAAAGAGCTGGAGGGAACAGGCTGGGCTCTAAGGCTACGTGAGGACACAGCAACAGGGCGCCATCTTGGAAACAGAGACAGTCCCCTCGAGTCACTCAATCTGTCATACCTTGATCTGGCACTTCCAGCGTCCAGAAGGTGAGCAATAAATGTCTATTGTTTATAAGCCACCCGGTCAACAAGTATCTGTTGTTTATAAGCCACCCAGTCAATAAACGTCTGTTGTTTATAAGACACCCAGTCAATCAATGTCTGTTGTTTACAAGCCACCAAGTCTATGATATTTTCGTGATAGCAGCACAGACAGGTGATTGGATCAGGGCCCACCTTAATCCAGTATGATCTCGTTTTCATGTAATTAATAATATGTAGAAGAACTCTGGTTTCAAAGAAAGTCACACTCATAGGTCCCAAGGGTTATCATTTTAGCGTATCTTTGGGGGACAGGAAATATACTTCGACCCGTAACCAATTCATGCATCAAATATTTAATTACCAGCTGGGTGCGGTGGCTCACACCTGTAATCCCAGCACTTTGGGAGGCCAATGCGGGTGGATCATCTGAGGTCAGGAGTTTGAGACCAGCCTGGTCACCATGGTGAAACCCCAACTCTACTAAAAATACAAAAATTAGCTGGTCATGGAGGAGGACGCCTGTAGTCCCAGCCACTCAGCACACTGAGGCAGGAGAATCACTTGAACCCAGGAGGCAGAGGTTGCAGTGAGCGGAGATCACACCACTACCCTCCAGCCTGGGCGACAGAGTGAGACTCCACCTCAAAAATAAATAAATAAATATTTAATTACCACCTACTGTGTGCATTGCTCGGTTCTGAGCACTGGGAATATTGTAAAGAACAACTTACAGCAATTAAAGCTGTTGTGGAATTTCTAGCTGTGTGTGTGTGTGCGTGTGTGTGCACACACGTGTGTGTGCACGCATGTATGTGCATGTGCACATGGGTATATGGCAAAACTTAAACAAAATAAGTTGAATATTTATAATTTTTTTGAGACAGGGTCTTGCTCTGTCACCCAGGCTGGAGTGCGGGGGCTTGATCATAGCTCACGGCAACCTCAAACTCCTGGGATCCAGCAATCCTTCTACCTCAGCCTTCTGAGTAGCTGGGACTACAGGTATGTACCACCACGCCCAGCTAATTTTTTATATTTTTTTTATTTTTTGTAGAGTCAGGATCTTGCTATATTGCCCAGGCTGGTCTGGAACTCCTGGGCTCAAGCAGTCCTCCTGCCTCAGCCTCTCAAAGTGCTGGGATTATAGGCATGAGCTGCCACACTTGGCCTGTTTAGAATTTATATTAGCAGCTATGAGGTGCAATGCAGAAAACAAGGAAGTAAAATCATAGAGGCCACATTTTTTTTTTTTTTTGAGAAAGGGTCTTGTTCTGTTGCCCAGGCTGGAGTGCAGTGGCACGATCTCAGCTCACTGCAACCGTCGCCTTCCAGGTTCAAGCAATTCTCATGCCTCAGCCTCCCGAGTAGCTGAGATTACAGGCGCTCACCACCACACCCGGCTAATTTTTGTATTTTTAGTAGAGACAGGGTTTCACCATATTGACCAGGCTGCCCTCAAACTCCTGACCTCTGGTGATCCACCCACGTCGGCCTCCCAAAGTGCTGAGATTACAGGCGTGAGCCACTACGCCTGGCCTGAGGCCACATCTTAGTAAAAGCACAAATCGAATTTGGATCTTGGGGACGTCTCAAAGGGCATGTGTCCATCCTGTTCCATTTTGCAGACAAGAAAACCAAGGCCATCTGGGGGTGGTGGCCTGTCAAATGTAATGTAGGTACTTGGCTTGAGAGAAGCACTAAGTTTTTGGTGTGAGGTCCAGTAATTTTATTTTAAATTACAAAGGAGAGGCCAGGAGATGAGAAAATATTGGAGACTCTTTGGAAGTTTCATATCCTTTCATGCTGATCTTTTTAGCATTCGGGTCAACAACGCAGAGCCTCAAATATAGATTTTGCACATGTTTTTAGGATAATTTCCTTTTTTTTTTTTTTGAGACGGAGTCTCACTCTGTCACCCAGACTGGAGTGCAATGGCATGGTCTCAGCTCACTGCAACCTCTGCCTCCCTAGTTCAAGGGATTCTCCTGCCTCAGTCTCCTGAGTAGCTGGGACTACAGGTGCGCACCACCACACCCAGCTAATTTTTGTATTTTTTTTAGTAGAGATGGGGTTTCACTATGTTGGCCAGGCTGGTCTCAAACTCCTGACCTTGTGATCCGCCCGCCTTGGCCTCCCAAAGTACTGGGATTACAGGCGTGAGCCATGACACCCGGCCGAGAATTTCCTTATTTCTTACAATTCCAGAAGGCATTATTGACCTATTTAGAGTAGAAACTTTGCGTCTCTACCAATTCATTTGCAAAGGCTGGTTCAGACTGGACCAAGGCCTGTTCCAAGAGTGGCAAGCACCACTTTATTTTTTTAATTGTTTTTCAACTTTTATTTTAGAATCAGTGGGTACCTGTGCAGGTTTGTTATAAAGGTATATTGTGTGATGCTGAGATTTGGCGTACAGATGAAACCGTCACCCAGGTAGTGAGCATAGTGCCCAAAAGGAGCTTTTTCAACCCTTATCCTCCTATTCTCTACCCCCACTTGTATTCCCCAGTGACTGCTCTTCCCATGACATAAGTCCATGTGTACGCAATGCTTAGCCCCACCCTTATAAATAAGAATATGTGGTATTTGGTTTTCTGTTTCAGCATTAATTGACAGGATTATGGACTCCAGCTGTATTCATGTTGCTGCAAAAGATATGATTTTATGCTTTTTTTTTTTTTTTTTTTGAGGCAGAGTCTCACTCTGTCACCCAGGTTGGAGTGCAGTGGCATGATCTCGGCTCACTGCAACCTTTGTCTCCTGGGTTGAAGTGATTCTCTTGCCTTAGCCTCCTGAGTAGCTGGGACTACAGGTGCACATCACCAGCCTGGCTAATTTTTGTATTTTTAGTAGAGACAGGGTTTCACCAAATTAGCCAGGATGGTCTCGATCTCCTGACCTCGAGATCCACCAGCCTCGGCATCCCAAAGTGCTGGAATGACGGGCGTGAGCCACCATGACAGGCTTTTTTTTTTTTTTTGAGACAGTCTCGCTCTTGTCCAGGCTGAAGTGCAATGGCGCCATCTCGGCTCACTGCAGCCTTTGCCTCCCGGGTGCAAGCGATTCTCCTGTCTCAGCCTCCCAAGTAGCTGGGACTACAGGCATGCACCACCACACCTGGCTAATTTTTGTAATTTTATGTTTTTATTTATTTATTGAGATGGAGTCTCGCTCTGTCGCCCAAGCTGGAGTGCAGTGGCATGATCTCGGCTCACTGCAACCTCCGCCTCCTGGGTTCAAGCCAATTCTCTTGCCTCAGCCTCCCTAGTAGATGGGATTACCGGTGCACACCGTCACACCCAGGTAATTTTTTTTTTTGAGACAGAGTGTCACCCTGTCGCCCAGGCGGGAGTGCAGTAGTACGATCTTGGCTCACTGCAACCTCTGCCTCCTGGGTTCAAGCGATTCCCCTGCCTCAGCCTCCCGAGTAGCTGGGACTATAGGCACACACCACCACGCCCGGCTAATTTTTGTATTTTTAGTAGAGACGGGGTTTTACCATATTGGCCAGGTTGGTCTTGAACTCCTGACCTCAAGTGATCCACCCACCTCAGCCTCCCAAAGTGCTGGAATTACAGGTGTGAGCCACTGTGCCTGGCCCATTCTAGTAAATTTTCAAACCTTATGTCAGTTTTAGCCTCAATAGATATACAGCCATGCAGAGGAAACATTTGGAAAGCACCATTAATAAAACTCACCAATGGGCTGGGCGCAGTGGCTCACACGTATAATCCCAACGTTTTGGGAGGCTGAGGCACGTGGATCACCTGAGGTGAGGAGTTCCAGACCAGCCTGGCCAACATGGTGAAACCCTGTCTCTACTAAAAATACAAAAATTAGCAAGGCGTGGTGGCGGGCGCCTGTAGTCCCAGCTACTTGGGAGGCTGAGGCAGGAGAATTGTTTGAACCCGGGAGGTGGAGGTTGCAGTGAGCTGAGATTGTGCCACTACACTCCAACCTGGGCAACAGAGCGAGACTCCGTCTCAAAAAAAATAAATAAATAAAAATAAAAATAAACTCACCAAGAGTGATGAGTCTTTAATCATGGAGAAAGGCCTGGGTTTTCTTTCTATGTTTGGTAGTTCCACTCTGAAAATGTTGACCCATTCTCTATCCAATTCTCACCTATTCCCCAATCACCTGTAGTGATACTGCTGCCAATACAAAGCTTTACCTAATTGGCCTAACTAAATGGCTTAACTTTGTTGACATATGGTAACATATGTTTATAGATTTTTAGAAGAAAAATTGTAAAAGAAAACCAATGATTTGAAAACAGCACTCTGGAAGGTGACCCAGCCATGACGGTGCAATGCCTGGGGGAATCTTTGCCAAACCAATTCACAAGAATCTTGCAATCCTTGGGCTGTAAATGCATTTAAAACTTGGAAAGACATTTTTTTTAAAGAGGTTCAGACATTATTTTCAGCTATCAATGCCATGGCCATTTTAGAATAAAGTAGGGTAGAAGCTATATATAAACACGACAACAAACAAACATCCATTCATGACTAAACTGCCTCAGGAAAAGCACCTTAGCTTCTAGTTGGATGTCTGATATTCTGATATTAGGCTGGGAATTGTGGTGTGAATTCTTCCCCCTATTCTCTCATGGAGAACTCAAATCTTTGATCATGTGATTCTTCCAGAAAAGGTGAGAACAAATTTAGTTTGTATGAAGATTAATAGTATAGTTTAAGTAAACACACATTCAAAAAATAGAATCATTAAATCCTTGAGTGTGTGTGTGTCTGTTTGTGTCTATGCATTTGTGTGTCTTGTGTTTTGGGGGTGATATGGTTTGGCTGTGTCCCCAGCTAAATCTCATCTTGAATTATAGCTCCCATAATACCCATTTATTGTGGGAGGTACCCAGTGGGAGATAATTGAATCATGGGGCGGTTTCCCCCACACTGTTCTCATGTAGTAAATAAGTCTCATGAAATCTGATGGTTTTATAAGAGGTTTCCCCTTTCACTTGACTTTCATTTTCTTTCTTGCCTGCTGCCATGTAAGACATCCCTTTCGCCTTCCGCCATGACGGTGAGACCTCCCCAGCAACGTGAATCTCTGAGTCCATTAAACCTCTTTTTCTTTATAAATTACCCAGTCTTGGCCAGGCATGGTGGCTCACGCCTGTAATCACAGCACTTTGGGAGGCCGAGGCAGGCAGATCACCTGAGGTTGGGGGTTTGAGACCAGCCTGGCCAACATGGTGAAACCCCATCTCTACTAAAAAATAAAAAAATTAGCCAGGCGTGGTGCTGCACGCCTGTAATCCCAGCTAATAGGGAGGCTGAGGTAGGAGAATCGCTTGATCAAAGGAGATGGAGGTTGCAGTGAGCCAAGATCGCACCACCGCACTTTAGCCTGGGCAACAGAAGGAGATTCTGTCTCAAAAAAATAAGTAAATAAATAAAATAAAAAATAAATTACCCTGTCTCAGGTATGTCTTTATCAGCAGCATGAAAATGGACTAATACGTGGAGGGAGGTAAAGGATGCTAAAATGTAATATGTATTAATTATGATAATATATATATAAAACATCCGGGGCCCCGTGTTAATCATGTTTAAGTGTACCATGCAGTGACATTAATTACATTCACATATTAGCACTATTTCCAAGTATTTTTTCATGTAGTGATCCAAGGGGAAAAAAACGTGCTTGCTTTCTAAAAACATATTTGGGCAAATGCTTTTAGAGAGGATGCCAACGAATCTTTCCCAAAACGATGAAATCTCGCCGGAGTCGGGGCTAACGTTGAGTGCATTCGAAACAAACAGGGCTGAGTTTGATTCACTACAGTCCCTGGGTGTTTTTCAGGTCCTGCGTCCGCCTGGCAGTCAGACATCTCTGCTAAATGAATAAACGCTCTCCCTCCCCGCCTTCCTCAGTCCCTTCTGTTTTTCCTTTGTCACATACTAATTAGAGTTTTTTGTTCCCCTATTAAAATGTTTCAATGGTACAAAAGCATGGCACATCCCTTTCTCCTATACCTGCTATCACTTTTCTTGAATGCTTGTGCCAACTTTCTTCCTTTTGTTTCTCTGACCCACTTTGTACACTTCTCCAACCTTCTCAACCCAGGGGAGAGTGGCAGGGGGAATGGGGAGGCAAGGAGGCTGAGGATGACTCACAGATACTACATCCATAGGGTTCTCTTGCCTTCTGGCTGCCATTTTTGGTTCTGACCCTGGGGAATTGCCACTGAGGTTGGAGACAGGAGGAGAGTAAAGTTGGAGGGATTTAGCCCTGGGTTCCATCTGACATTGGCTTTCTCCTCTAATCCAGTGTCCTAGCACCTGTCAGGTGGCGTTGTTCATTGAGTTCTCCCTCGCTGGGTTCTAGCCTCTCTCTCTTTCCTTTGCCATCATTCTCGAGTTGGGGGTGAGCGCTCCTGTTTCCCAGCCTGCAGGTTCTGCACCATCTCTGAATGCTTTCCCTAACATTCTGGCTAGACTTCAGTAAAGAGTCCCTGCACTAAATCCTCTTTCACTGTTCAGCTTGCCTGCACCACCTTCTTCCTGCTACACCCATCTGTGTGTGCACAGCCCCTGCCCTCTTGCCCTAGAAATATGTGTCTATGCACTGCACAGACCCTTTGGCTATCACTGCAAATTACCAGGAAACCAACTGTGTTCACACTCTGCTGATAAAGACATACCTGAGGAGACCCGATAATTGATCATGAAAAGAGGTTTAATGGACTCGCAGTTCCACGTGACGGGGAGGCCTCACAGTCATGGTGGAAGGCGAAAGGCACATCTTACATGGTGGAGGCAAGAGAAAATGAGAGCCAAGTGAAGGGGGTTTCCCCTTATAAAACCATCAGTTCTCTTGAGACTCATTCACTACCACAAGAGCAGTATCGGGGAAACCGCCCTCATGATTCAGTTATCTCCCACCTGGTCCCTCCCACACCACGTGGGAAATACGGGAGCTACAATTCAGATGAGATTTGGGTGGGGACAGTCAAACCATATCACCAACATTCTTCCGTGCCCTTAAATTCCAGAGGATTCCTCCAATATGTGTCTATTTTTCCCAAGTCAAGTCTAAACACACTACCTCTAAGGCAAACCTTCACCTAACTAGGCTTAACTCAACAGCTTAACTTTGTTGACATATGTATTTATGGATTTCTAGAAAAAAATTTTTAAAGGAATTTTGTTGTCGTTGTGGTAAAATAACACTATGGAAGGTAACCCAGGCATGGATATGTGATGAAATATAAGAAAAAAATAACTCTATCACCCAGGCTGGGTGCAGTGGCTCATGCCTATAACCCCAGTGCTTTGGGAGGCCAAGGTGGGAAGATTGCTTGAGCCCAGGAGTTCAAGACCAGCCTGGGCAACATAGTGAGAACCCCCAGCTCTACAAAAAATAAAAAAATTTAGCTGAGTATGGTGAGTGCTTGTCTATAGTTCCAGCCACTCAGGAGGCCGAGATGGAAAGACAAACTGACCCCAGGGGTTTGAGGCTGCAGTAAGGTGTGAGTGTGCCACTGCACTCCAGCCTGGGTGATAGAGCAAGACCCTGTCGAGAAGGAAGGAAGGGAGGGAGGGAGGGAAGAAAGAAGGAAAGAGAGGGTGAGAGAGAGAGAGGAAGGGAGGAAGAGAGTGAGGAAAAAGGAAAGGGGAGGAGAGGAGAGGAAATGGGAGGGAAGCGAAGACTAACCTACAATGTCTGGGGGAATAACAGACACACTGTGTGTAAGATGCCAATAAAAGTGCTAAATACCACATTTTTCATGGGAAAATAATTATTAGAGTAATTCCACCAATTTTAAAGTGAAGCGTTGACATGTATCGCACATCACAAAAATCACATTTAGTATTTATTGAACACTTACTGCATACAATCATTATGGTTGATATTTCACAGAATATCACTTACGTAATTTCAAAAACCTCACGTTTACAATGTTATCTCCGTGTCAGGGAGGATGACACAGGACCCAAGAGGATCAAAAATATGCAGATTCCCCAGAAACTCATGCTGGAAAGATTGCATTTTTATTATGATGATTGTATTCATTTCTTTTAAATAATGATATTTGAATGCAGTGATATTTTAAACACTGGGTGATCTGTGATGCTTCTCCTATAAACTTGTTTCACAGAAAACCAGCTTACCCAGGTATAGGCTCAGTTTTTAGAGTATTGCAGTCAGCACAGTTTCTGAAGACAGAATCAATCTGGGACACTTCTGCATTGAATAAAAGATGAACTGACATGTCGCCTCTGCTATCAGAGTCTCCTTGGGCGAAATAGTGAATCAGGGCATGTTGAACGAACATAGGTCTTTTGGGGCTCTGTAATGCTGCCTGCTGCTATAATATTTACAGATTCTCATGCATAGAGTTAGAAGAGATTGAGGAGATCGTTGGAGGGTTTTTGTTTGTTTGTTTTTTGTTTTTGTTTTTGTTTTGACACAGAGTCTTGCTTTGTCTCTAGGCTGGAGTACAACGGCACGATCTCAGCTGACTACAATCTCCACCTCCGGATTCAAGCGATTCTCCTGCCTCAGCCTCCCGAGTAGCTGGGACTACAGGTACACACCACCACACATGGCTAATTTTTGTATTTTTAGTAGAGATGGGGTTTCACCTTGTTGGCCAGGCTGGTCTCAAACTCCTGACCTCAGGTGATCCACCTGCCTCAGCCTCCCAAAGTGCTGGGATTACAGGGCATGAACCACTGTGCCCGGCCCTTTGAGGGGTTTTTAATCTGTAGTTTATTGAGAGGAACTTGAATCTTAATCTTGATTCTTTAACAGAGTGCAATTTGACATTTAATGTCGATTTAAGTTACATTTTTTGTTTCAGAATGATTTCAGATTTGCAGAAAAGTTTCAAACATACCACAAGGAGCTCTTTTATACCCCCGTCATAAACATCTTCAATTAGTACGGTGCATTTGTGGCAATTAACCAACCACTCTTGATACATTACTATTAACCAGCCCATACCCTATTCAGATTTCTTTAGTTTTTTTCTAATGTTTAGGATCCCATCCAGGGTCTGTCAGTCAAGAAAATTAGAAGACAATTGTCAATCATTTTAGGAAGTTTATTTGCCAAAGTTAAGGATGCGCACCTGTGACACAGCCTCATGGGGTCCTGATGACATGTGCCCTAGGTGGTCGGGGCACAGCTTGGTTTTATACATTTTAGGCACACATGAGCCATCAATCAATATATGTAAGAAGTCCATTGGTTCCTTCCAGAAAGGCGGGGACAACTGGAAGCAGAGAGGGAGCTTCCAGGTCACAGGTAGGTGGGAAACATATGGTTGCTTCTTTTGAGTTTCTGATTAGCCTCTCCAAAGGAGGCAATTAGAATATGCGTCTATCTCAGTAAGCAGAGGGGTGACCTTGAATAAAATGAGAGGCCGATTTGCCCTGGGCACTTCCCAGCTTGTCGGGGCCCGGGTTAGTTTCCTTTCACAGGCCCCACAGTTCCACAGGGTGTTTAGTTATTACTTCTACCTGGGTTCCCTCTTGGCTGGGACAGTTTTCCAGACGTTTCTTGATTCAGATGAATGACCTGGACAGCTTTGAAAAGCACTGGGCAAGCCTTTTGACGGAAGTCCTTTTATTGGGATTTTTCTCATGTTTTCTTTCTTTTTCTTTGAGATGGAGTCTCACTCTGTCGCCTAGGTTGGAGTGCAGTGGCGCAGTCTCGGCTGACTGCAACCTCTGCCTCCCGCGTTCACGCCATTCTCCTGCCTCAGCCTCCTGAGTAGCTGGGACTACAGGTGCCCGCCACCATGCCCACAGCTGATTTTTTTAATTTTAATTTTTTAATTATTACAGGAGTGAGCCACCGCCCCTGGCCTTTTCTGATGTTTTCTTCATGATTAGATGGGGTTTGGGGGCCGGGCGTGGGGGCTGACCCTTATAATCCCAGCACTTTGGGAGGCCGAGGCGGGCAGATCACGAAGTCAGGAGATCGAGACCAGTCTGACAAACATGGTGAAACCCCATCTGTACTAAAAATACAAAAATTAGCCAGGTATGGTGGTGCCCACCTGTAATCCCAGCTACTCGGGAGGCTGAGGCAGGACAATCGCTTGAACACAGGAGGCAGAGGTTGCAGTGAGCCGAGATCATGCCACTGCACTCCAGCCTGGGCGACAGAGTGAGACTCCATCTCAAAAAAAAAAAAAAAAAAAAAAAAAGATGCGGGTTGTGGGTTTTTTGGGGGAACGACCACAAGTTGGACAGGCCCTTCTCGTCATATCCTAACAAGGGTACACACTCTCACAACCACAAGACTTCTCACAGTGCATGTTGACCTCAGTTATCTGGTCGAGATGGTGTTTGTCAGCTTTCTTCACTAAAAAATTATCCTTCCCCCGGCCTCTTTCCCATGCTGTACATTTTAGGAGAAAATCATTATGTCCTACACACACTTAAGAAACGCGTCAGTAGATTTTTGAAAACGAAACACTTCTAAGTGATTTAATTTCCTTATTGAAACAGTGGATAATAGGTTTCTGGTGTTATTACGGTGGAGAAAATATCCAATATTGAGTATGAGAAGGCTTAACAATGAGCAAACTTCTGTGTAATAATAATAATCGCATTTTGTGGGGTTTTTTGTTTTCTTTTGTTTTGTTTTAGCTTTTGTTTTTGAGATGCAGTCTTGCTTTGTTGCCCAGGCTGGAGGGCAGTGGTATGATTTCAGCTCACTGCAACCTCCGTGTCCTGGGTTCAAGCGATTCTCCTGCCTCAGCCTACCAAGTAGCTGGGACTACAAGTGCACGCCACCATGCCCGGCTAATTTTGGTATTTTTAGTAGAGACAGGGTCTCACCATATTGGCTAGGCTGCTCTTGAACCTTGGCCTCAAGTGATCCCCCCACCTTGGCCTCCCAGAGTGTTGGGATTACAGGTGTGAGCCACTGCGCCCGGCACATTTTGTTTTTAATAGTAAAATAATCACAAGTGTAATTCGACCAATTTTTAAAGTGAAGCATTGAAATGTATCGCACATCACAAAAATCACATTTAGTATTTATTGAGCACTTACTGCATACAATCATTATGACCGATATTTTATATAATATTACTTATGTAATTTTAAAAACCTCACATTTAGAATGTGAGATTTCTCTCAAATCATCTCACTTCAAAGGCCTCGCCATACCAGGAGCTAAGTCATAAGACATGACGTAATGTTTTCATGACAGATGAAAGTGCTGAGACTCGAATTCTGAGGCCAAAGCCTTCTCTTGCTTGACCACTTGAAACTTGAATCCTTTTTTTTCTCCTTTTTTTTTTTTTTTTTTGAAATAGAATCTCACCCTGTCACCCAGGCTAGAGTGCAGTGGCACGATCTTGGCTTCCTGCAACCTCCACCTCTTGGGTTCAAGTGATTCTTCTGCCTCAGCCTCTGAAGTAGCTGAGATTACAGGCATGCACCAGCATGCCCGGCTAATTTTTGTATTTTTAGTAGAGACAGAGTTTCACTATGTTGGCCAGGCTGGCCTCGAACTCCTGACCTCAGGTCATCTGCCCACCTCAGCCTCCCAAAATACTGAGATTACAGGCATAAGCCACTGTGCCTGGCAAATCTGAATCCTTAAAGTTGCTCTTAATTCTCGACTCTCACTTCCAGTCGTTGAAGAATAGTGTGTATTGGACAGAACGTCCCGGAGATCACAAGGATAAACTCTGGATGAAGCCTTTTAAAAAACGATGTGAAGACCCTTGGCCCCAAACAGGCAGAAATGTGGGCAGAGGAACTCTCTGACAAATGGGGAACTGCCCTGTGAAGATTAGCATTTGCACGTCCTTTCTGCAGGGGGCTTCCCAAAGTCGCTTAATTCTGGGGAAGTGAGAACTTCTGCAGGTTTACTAGCCTGAAGAGTCACGAGAGAGCTGGCAGCTGCCAGAGACCCTGCAACACGAGGAGGAAATGTTTAAAAGGGGAATATGCAACGGTTTAAGGGAACTCCAAGTCTGGATTTGAACGCTGCCCAAATATTTGGTCATCTGGATTATGCATGTGTGGGGAGACCTCAGAGAACCAAGAGGAATCCATCAGTGTGATGTTGAAAGAACTGAGCAGATATTTAAACTCCTGCCCACTTCAGCAAACACAAAGATTAAAGTGTATATCCAGCGAAGCTAACTGTCTGATAGACTCTTCTATAGAGGAATAGACTCTTTCTATAAAGGAAAATACCTGACTGCACCACAACGTATCATCCTCAATGTCCATGATAAAATTGTTTTTTTAAAAAACAGACACGTAGGAACAGGAAAAGTAAATACCCAATGTTAATATTCATGTTCAGAGCTCTTAGCACGGTTTTGACACATTCAGGCAGAATACGTCCACCGTGATTCCTCTTACTCTCTTAGAAAAAACAATCAGAGGCCACATAATTACGAAGACTTTTCTGGTACACACAGTAAAACCAGAGGTCAAGAGTCTCTGGAAAAGAGGGCAAAGCAAGCATTTAAGCTTGGTGATAATAATGATGATGGTGATGGTGATAATGAAGATGGTGATGATGATGGTGACGATGAGGATGATGGTGATGATGATGGTGACAGTGGTGATGGTGATGGTGAGGATGATGATGGTGATGATGGCGACAGCGATGATGATGGCGAGGATGATGATGGTGATGATTATGGCGAGAGTGATGATGGTGAGGATGGTGATGATGATGGTGAGGATGATGATGATGTGTATGAGGATGATGGCAGTGATGATGTTGGTGAGGATGATGACGGTGATGATGATGGTGAGGATGATGATGGTGAGGATGATGATGGTGAGGATGATGGTGAGGATGATGATGATGTGTATGAGGATGATGGCGGTGATGATGACGGTGATGATGATGGTGATGATGATGGTGAGGATGATGATGGTGAGGATGGTGATGGTGATGATGGTGAGGATGATGATGGTGAGGATGATGATGGTGATGATGATGGTGAGGATGATGATGGTGATGGTGAGGATGATGATGGTGAGGATGATGATGGTGAGGATGATGATGGTGATGATGATGGTGAGGATGATGATGGTGATGATGATGGTGAGGATGATGATGGTGATGATGATGGTGATGATGATGATGGTGAGGATGATGATGGTGATGATGATGGTGAGGATGATGATGGTGAGGATGATGATGGTGAGGATGATGGTGAGGATGATGATGGTGAGGATGATGATGGTGAGGATGATGATGGTGATGATGATGGTGAGGATGATGATGGTGAGGATGATGATGGTGAGGATGATGATGGTGAGGATGATGGTGAGGATGATGATGGTGATGATGATGGTGAGGATGATGATGGTGATGATGATGGTGATGATGATGGTGAGGATGATGATGGTGAGGATGATGATGGTGACAGTGAGGATGATGGTGAGGATGGTGATGATGATGGTGAGGATGATGATGGTGACAGTGAGGATGATGGCGATGATGGTGATGATGATGGTGAGGATGATGATCATGGTGATGATGGTGAGGATGATAATGGTGATGGTGATGATGGTGATGATGATGGTGAGGATGATGATGATGGTGAGGATGGTGAGGATGATAATGGTGATGGTGATGATGGTGATGATGATGGTGAGGATGATGACGATGGTGATGGTGATGATGGTGATGATGATGGTGAGGATGATGATGATGGTGAGGATGATGATGATGAGGGTGATGATGATGGTGACAGTGAGGATGATGATGATGATGGTGATGACAGTGACGATGATGAAGAATGTTGTTGGTAATTACAGACTTCCTGAGCTACCAACTTGGACATCTGTACAACGATACAAATTTTGAGGAAAACTGTCAGACATTTTCTCATCAGGAAAAAATTTTCTTTCTGTATTAGTTTGTTCTCACATTGCTATAAAGAACTACCTGAGACTGGGTATTTCATAAAGAAAGGAGGTTTAATTGAGTCACAGATTCACAGGCTGTACAGTAAGCATGGCTGTGGAGGCCTCACAGTTCTGCCGGCTGTACATGCTTCTGCTCCTGGGGAGGCCTCAGCAAACTTACAGTCGTGGTGAAGGGAAAGGTGAAGCGCACACATCTTCACATGGTGGAGCAGGAGAGAGAGAGTGAAGGAGAAGGTGCCACACACTTTTAAACAACCAGATCTCCTGAGAACTCTATCACGAGGCCGGGTGCGGTGGCTCACGCCTCTAATCCCAGCACTTTGGGAGGCTGAGGCAGGGGGATCACTTGAGGTCAGGAGTTCAAGATCAGCCTGACCAACATGGTGAAACCCCATCTCTACTAAAAATAGAAAAATTAGCCAGGCTTGGTGGCAGGCGCCTGTAATCCCAGCTACTCTGGACACTGAGGCAGGAGAATCGCTTGAACCCAGGAGTCAGAGGTTTCAGTGAGTGGAGATTGTGCCATTGTACTCCAGCCTGGGCTACAAGAGCAAAACTACATCTCAAACAAACAAAATTCTATCACAAGACAGCACTGGGGGATGATGGTAAGCCATTAGAAACAACCCCTGTTATTCACCCACCTCTCACCAGGCCCCACCTCCAACACCACAGATGACAATTCAACGTGAGCTTTGGGCAGAGACACAAATCCAAACCATGTCACATTCCATATCATAGAAATAAAGAAGAGATGGAACATACATAGGATTTTTTTTTTTTTTTTGAGAAAGAGTGTCGCTCTGTCGTCACCCAAGCTGGAGTGCAGTGGCGCGATTTCTGCTCACTGCAACCTCTGCCTCTCGGGTTCAAGTGATTCTCCTGCCTCAGCCTCCTGAGTGGCTGGGACTACAGGCACCCGCCACCATGCCCAGGTAATTTTTTGTATTTTTAGTAGAGACGGGGTTTCATCATGTTAGCCTGGATGGTCTCGATCTCCTGACCTCGTGACCCACCAACCTTGGCCTCCCAAAGTGCTGGGATTACAGGCATGAGCCACCATGCCCGGCCTCACAGATAGGATATTTAAACTGGAGACCAAAATGCACCCTGAAAAATGAACGTGCGGTCATCGTTCAGACAAAAATGTTGAAAGTGAAAGCACTGAGAATGACTTTAAGACTTAGAATGTGAGAATAATGTACTCTCCCTCAGTCCTTAGAATTCCGACAGGAGCAGATCATGTCTGAGAACTTAGCCTTTTCTGGATTTCATACATGGAACATATGGGAATGTAAAGCAAAGAAAAACTGTTTTTCCATTATGATGCTTTTACAGAACATGTAGTTGAATAGACTCTATGGTGGACAAGCATGCAATGGAGAATGAAGACAGAAACCTCAGGCTGGACACAGTAGCTCATGCCTGTAATCCTAGCATTTTGGGAGGCCAAGACGGGAGGATTGCTTGAGGCCAGGTGTTTAAGACCAGCCTGGTTAACATAGCAAGACCCCATCTCGAAAGAAAGAAAGAAAAAAAAAGAAAGGAAAAGAAAAAAGAAGGAAGGGAGGGAGGGAGGGACGGAGGGAGGGAGGGAAGGGAGGGAGGGAGGGGAAGAAGAAAAAAGAATAAGAAGAAGGAGAGAAAGAACAAAGAGAAGAAAGAAAGAAAGAGAAAGAAAGAGAAAGAAAGAAAGAGAAAGAAAGGAAGGAAGAGAAAAAAAGAAAAGAAAGAGAAAGAGAGAAAGAGAAAGGAAGGAAGGAAGAAATCTGACCTTAGAAAGATACATTGGAGCTGAAACAAAAATGTAGTCATCATTAGCTGTTTAAAGTACATTTTCTTTTTTTTTTTTTTTTTTTGGGACGAAGTTTTGCTCTTGTTGCCCAGGCTGGAGTATAGTGGCGCAATCTCA
The DNA here is from genome assembly GCF_000001405.40 of Homo sapiens. Classification (NCBI taxonomy): domain Eukaryota; kingdom Metazoa; phylum Chordata; class Mammalia; order Primates; family Hominidae; genus Homo; species Homo sapiens. Next base: position 2,517,604 of record NC_000023.11, on the reverse strand, counting down.
GCTCACTGTAACCTCCTCCTCCTGGGTTCAAGTGATTCTCCTGCCTCAGCCTCCCGAGTAGCTGGGATGGCAGGTGCCTGCCACCATGTCTGGCTAATTTTTTGTATTTTTAGTAGAGATGGGGTTTCATCATGTTGGCCAGGCTGGTGTTGAACTCCTGACCTCAGGTGATCCACCCGCCTCGGCCTCCCAAAGTGCAGGAATTACAGGCGTGAGCCACCATGCCCAGCCTAAAGTATACTTTCAATGAAAGCACACAGACAGGTTTATGTGGGGTTTGGTGACTGCCAGCCCCTGAATCTTACGAAGCTTCCCACTCTGAAGAAAGAACAACACAGCCTGCCTTCTCTGCACCTGTTCTTATTGTCTTTCTGCTCGTTACAATGAAAGAGAATTTTAAACTGGATAACAGATTTAGAAACAGATTTCAAAGACACCATCTCTTTAATCTCCCCCCCAACACCAGACACTTCAGATATAAACATTCTATGAGTGCCCACATAGTCACTGAAACGATCACAGCTGCTTCCAAAACTAAGGATCTCAAAAGGTCAAAAACAACAAAAAAACCCTACAATGTTCATTGTCTGAAATTTGCTAAAGTAAAACTGTGCAGAACTTTGAATAAATACAGCTTCAGAAAACTGACCATCCCTTGTCTAAAGCCCAGAGTAGGAAAGACCAATCAAGCTTGAGGCTGAAAAGAAGCATTTCTTTTTTGTTTTGTTTTTGTTTTTGAGACAGGTTCTCGCTCTGTGGCTTAGGCTGGAGTGCAGTGATGCAGTCACGGCTCACTGCCATCTCCGCCTCCTGGGCTCAAATGATTCTCCCACCTCAGCTTTCAAGTAGCTGGCATCACAGATGCATGCCACCATGCCTGGCTAATTTTTTGTATTTTTGAGAGACAGAGTTTCGCCATGTTACTCAAGCTGGTCTTGAACTCCTGAGCTCAAGTGATCTTCCCACCTCGGCTTCCCAAAGTGCTGGGAATACAGGCATGAGCCACTGCACCTGGCCAGAAAGGGAAAAATTTATAATCATTTTTATCCTTCACAAGCAAAGATGGGCCATAACTAGCATGTTTTTTTGGGTTTTTTTTTTTGTTTTTTTTTTTTTGTTTTTTGAGACGGAATCTCACTCTGTCACCCAGACTGGAGTACAGTGACACGATCTTGGCTCACTGCAACCTCTGCCTCCCGGGTTCAAGAGATTCTCCTGCCTCAGCCTCCCAAGCAGCTGGGATTACAGGCGCCCACCACCATGCCTGGCTAATTTTTGTATTTTTTTTTTAGTAGAGACGGTTTTTTAGCATATTAGCCAGGCTGGTCTTGAACTCCTGACCTTGTGATCCACCCGCCTTGGCCTCCCCAAGTGCTGGGATTACACTAGCATGCTTTTTTATGCACAGGTCATGAAGTCATGTTACAATCAATGGCTTTGCATGTGCAGCTGTTATTATATCATGGTGGCATCATGGTAAAATGAGGTTTGTTTGATGGAATGAAGGACAGGGGAAAATGTCAAAGAGAACATTGCTTGTCGTCACTCATATGTGAGAGCTTAAAAAATTGAACTCACGGAGATAGAGAGTAGAATGATGGTGACTGGGGACTGGGAAGGTTAGTGGGAGGGGATGATTAAGAGAGGATGGTTCATGGGTACAAAAATACAGTTGGATAAAAGAAATACAGTCTAGTGTTTGGCCAAACCATAGGGTGACTGTATTCACAATAATTTATTGTGTATTTCAAAATAACTGAAAGAGTGGAATTGGAATGTGATTTCCACAAAGAAATTATAAATGCTTAAGGTGATGGGTACCCTAATTATCCTGATTTCATCATGACACATTCTATGCTGATATCAAAATATCACATGTGGGGTGGGTGGGGGGCAAGGGGAGAGAGAGCATTAGGACAAATACCTAATGCATACGGGGCTTAAAATCTAGATGATGGGTTGATGGGTGCAGCCAACCACAATGGCACATGTATACCTATGTAATAAACCTGCACGTTCTGCACCTGTATCCCAGAACGTAAAGTAAAAAAATATATATATGTATATGTATGTATATATATATATATCTCACATGTACCCCATAAATTTGTACAACTATTATGTATGTGTGAAAGGAAAATAAATCTCGGGATCCCAGAATCACTTAGCCAAAGGGAAAAGTCGATCTGGGAGCTGTTTTGGGCAAACCCGTCTCCCATTCTATTCTAAAATAAGATAGTTACAAAGATTTGTTTAAAAGCTACATGCTTCCCTCATAATATCCCCACAGGGAAATTCCTTGTAGACAAAGGACAGAAATAACTCATAGTTAAGGCGGGTGTGGTGGCTCACACCTGTAAATCCTAGCACTTTGGGAGGCTGAGGCAGGTGGATCAATCACCTGAGGTCAGAAGTTCGAGACCAGCCTGGCCAACATGGGGAAACCCCATCTCTACTGAACATACAAAAATTAGCCAAGCATGGTGGCAGGTGCCTGTAATCCCAGCTGCTCGAGGAGCTGAGGCAGGAGAATCGCTTGAACCCAGGGTACAGAGGTTGCAGTGAGCTGAGATCGCGCCACTGCACTCCAGCCTGGGCAACAAGAGCAAGATTCTGTCTTAAAATAAATAAAATAAATAAATAGAACTCAAAGTTATCCCTCTGCTCACGTGAGACAAATGCATACCTGATTGCTTCCTCTACCCTCTTGTTTCACTAAGCCAGACTAAGGCATAAGTGAGTATTCCTGTACATCGTGCTTTCAGTACAAGGCTAATCAGAAACTCGAAAGAAAGCAACCATTTGTCTCTTATCAGCCTATGAAATGCAGGCTCTCTCCCTGCCTCGAGTTGTGCCACCTTTCCGGACAGAACCAATGTACATCTTCCATAGACTGATTGATGTCTCATGCCTCCCTAAGATGCATAAAACCAAGCAAGCTGTGCCCCAAACACTTTGGGGACATGTTGTCAGGAGTTCCTGAGGCTGCATCTTCAAATTTGGCAAAATAAACTTTCTAAATTGATGGAGACTTGTCTCAGGTACTTTTTGGTTTTCATACGTAGAATAACTAAAAATTTTAAAAAAAGAAAAACAGAGAAGGCTGTCGGCAGCACTCCCGTCTGTCTGGGAGATCCTGACTTATTGTTTTGGAAATGATACCAGCATCAGCAGCCCCCACGCGCGATAGAGATGTGCTCAGGGACTCTGGGGGGAGCTCACAGCTGTTGCAGCTTCTATGTGCTCTACCTGACTATTTTCAGACTTCCTGTGAGTTCCTGTGGGCAAATGAGCCATCCTGGCTCCAAACAACTTCTTCTGCTTCTTTTGTGTGTGTGTGTGTCTGAGACAGGGTTTTGCTTTGTTGTCCAGGCTGCAATAGTACCATCACAGCTCAAGCCATCCTCCCACCTCAGCATCCCAAGTAGCTGGGACCACAGGTGCAGGCCACCACAGCCAGCTCATTTTTTTTTTTTTTTTTTTTTAATTTTCAGTAGACATGAGGCTTCGCTCTGTTGCTCAAGCCGGTCTTGAACTCCTGGCCTCAAGTGATCCTCTTGCCTCGGCCTCCCAAAGTGCTGGGATTATGGGTGTGAGCCACCGTGCCCAGCTGAGGCTCTGCTTCTGAAAAAACCACCTCTGGAACTCAGAGTTAGAAACAGCAAGAATCATGCACCTTCAGCATCAGAAGGAATGCCCCAAATTGGCGATGTTCTCCCTCCCTTGTTACAGAGTCCTTAAGAAACTGAGCTGGGGCCGGGTGTGGTGGTTCATGCCTGTAATTCCAGCACTTTGGGAGGCCGAGATGGGCAGATTACTTGAGGTCAGGAGTTTGAGACCAGCTTGGCCAACATGGTGAAACCCTGTCTCTACTAAAAATACAAAAATTAGCTGGGCGTGGTGGTGTGTGCCTGTAATCCTAGCTACTCAGGATGCTGAGGCAGGAGTATTGCTTGAACCCGGGAGGCAGATGAGCCAAGATTGTACTACTGCACTCTAGTGAGCCAAGATTGTACTACTGCCCTCCAGCCTGGGCAACAGAGTGAGACTCCGTGTCAAAACAAACAAACAAACAAACAAGAAACTGAACTGGTATGCAACTTCTCTAAAGTCAAATTTCAGGACAGGGGCTGGAAAGTTTCATCAGACCCACCTGTGGCAGGCCAGGTCTCACTAACAGCTGAACAGGCAGGCCTCCGTGGCAACCGTTTCAGCACTCACTGACCAGTGGAGTTACATATTAAAAGCTGAAACAACCAGTGCCCTTATACAAAGGCTGGAATGTAACAAAAGCCCACCAAGAGTTTTGCCCGGGGCTTTCCTGGGCCTTAAAGCATGAAAAGATAACGAAGGAATTCTTAACAGGACCTGTTTCAGATTAAACAAGTTTTACTGGGGTTCTGAAGGAACTCTGCAGGCCTCCACAAACAAGTTTTATTGGGGGTCTAAAGGAACTCCCCAAACCTCCATGATTTAGCAGGAGACAAGATAAGGGTAATCACCCCAGCACCTGGAACCATCTAGATTAAGTCAATTTACTGAGGCTCCAGAGGAAGGTCTTCAGGACTCAGACCTTAGTTACAGATTAGAAGAAGTGAATCACTTATGTCTTTTTTTTTTTTTTTTGAGACCTCTCGCTCTTGTCCCCCAGGCTAGAGTGCCATGGCGCAATCTCAGCTCACCGCAACCTCCGCCTCCCGGGTTCAAGTGATTCTCCTGCCTCGGCCCCCACCCCCACCCCCAAGTAGCTGGGACTACAGGTGCATGCCACCACTCCCAGCTAATTTCTGTCTTTTTAGTAGAGATGGGATTTCACTATGTTGGCCAGGTTGGTCTAGAACTCCTGACCTCAGGTGATCCGCCCATCTTGGCATACCAAAGTGCTGGGATGACAGGCGTGAGCCACCGCGCCCGGCCTCACTTATGTCTTTAGATGGATACACACTTATATGTAGACATATATTTTAGAAGATACATAAGGTCTGGAAAATTTTGTAATTTGGAGTTGGTCTGGCGATATTTTCCCAGCCTTCTCCCTGTACCCAGTTACAGAAATAAACTCTGTTCTTTCCCAATTCATCTGCGTCTCATTATGGGGCCATGACAATAAGCGGTCTGACACTCGGTTCGGTCTGGGAACACACCTGCCAGACTGGGCAGGGGGTTGTCTCTGCATATCGTTCTCATAGGTGGAAACCTGTGATTTGTATTCCTGGAAACTCCAATCTCTAAAACTCCTTGTAAACAAAACCAAAGTGAAAATAAACCTCTGCCCTGAAATAGCAGTTCCTTGATGCTTTCATGTCCTTGTGGATGAAAATCATAGTTCTGTGCCCATCAAAGCTTTGTGGGCTCGAGAGATGCAATTGTGATACTGATTAAAAATAATAATAAACATACTAATGACCATAGCATCAATCCCAACAATGAGCTGTCAGGCTTGCCCCCAAGGCATGAGGAAATGATCACCCTGAAGGTGATACAGGCAGGAGACAGGGAAATACTGGGTAGAAGAGGGTGGTTCCCCAGCAAAGGCCCCACCCTCACGCCTGGAAACCCACAGCCTGAAATGAGAACAGGCATGCCTGTATTCACACCCAAACGTTGCCTTTTGGCCCCCCACTCCCCCCATCCTGTACCCATATAAATCCCAAACCCCTGGCTCCAGGAGGAGACGAACCGAAGAGCAAAAGATTGGCAGAAAGAAGAGAAGGAGTGTCTGAATGCTGAGAGGAGTTTAGCTGGGGACGGTTGGAGAGATCGGCTGCTGGACGGCCAAACTCCAGGGGAAGACCATCTTCCCACTCCATTCCCTTTCCAGCTCCCCATCCATCCAGCTGAGAGCCACCTCCACCACTCAATAAAACCCCTGCATTCATCATCCTTCAAGTCCATGGGTGACCTGATTCTTCCAGGACACTGACAAGGACTTGGCCACCAAGGAGGCACAAGCTGTCCACAGAGAGCAAACACTCAAGTTGTCTGCGGACAGCAAAGCCAAAAGAATGCACTGTAACACACAACAACTTGGGCTTCAGGAGTTGCAGGCACCCAGCCCTTCATGCTACCATGGGGCCAGATCCCCAAAGTGTTTGCCCCGGCTTCTGCATCTGTCCGTCTGCGTGCTCTCCATCCTGTAAGGGGTTTGAGCACGCAGCGGCCAAACAGATGAGCCATACCTTTGTTGCACATACTGCCCAGATCTATCAATCAATCAATTATCATCTGGTTATTATCTATTAATATCTATTTGTCTATCCATCCATCCCATTGTATCTATCATCTATGTATTATCTATTAATATCTATCTATTGCTGGGTGCAGTGGCTTACGCCTGTAATCCCAGCACTTTGGGAGGCAGGGGCAGGTGGATCACGAGGTAAGGAATTTGAGACCAGCCTGGCCAATATGGTGAAACCCTGTCTCTACTAAAAATACAAAAATTAACAGGGCATGGTAGTGGGCACCTGTAGTCCCAGCTACTCAGGAGGCTGAGGCAGGAGAATTGCTTGAATCTGGGAGGTGGAGGCTACAGTGAGCTGAGATCATGCCACTGCACTCCGGCCTGGGTGACAGAGTGAGACTCTGTCTCAAAAAAAAAAAAAAAATCTATCTATCCATCCATCCCATTTTATCTATTATCTATGTATTATCTATTAATATCTATCCATCCCATTGTGTCTATCATCTATGTATTATCTATTAATATCTATCAATATATCTATCTATTGATCTATGTATCCATCCATCCATCCCATTGGTACTGTTTCTCTGGAGAACCCAGATTAATATAGATGCTAATAACACCTTTAATGGAACTTAACAGAGCAATGCTGTCTCCACACATTCCAGCTGGTGGATATTATTTGTGATGGAAACAGATTTGATACTTGGCACTCTAAAAATATAAAGTATCACAGGCATGTATTGTAGAACATCCTTATTGTCAAAAAGTTGCCCAAATAATTTAGAATTTTTTGATAAAAAAAGCATTGAGGGCCGGGCGCAGTGGCTCACACCTGTAATCCCAGCACTTTGGGAGGCAAAGGTGGATGGATCACCTGAGGTCAGGAGTTTGAGACCAGCCTGGCCAACATGGTGAAATGCCATCTCTACTAAAAATACAAAATTAGTTGGGCATGGTGATGGGCACCTGTAATCCCAGCTACTGGGGAGGTTGAGGCAGGAGAATCACTTGAACCCGGGAGGTGGAGGTTGCAGTGAGCTGAGATCTGCCACTGCACTCCAGCCTGGGGGACGAGAGCGAGACTCCATCTCAAAAAAGAAAAAAAAGGAAAAAAGAAAAAGCCTTGAGGATGTTTCATGCTCACAGCCAGTTGAGAACACCAGCCAAGACAGAGGCTGAGATATACATGAAATGGTATTGACTTTTCATTAACATCTTACCCTATGAATTCTGGGGATTTTTCACAATGATATTCAAAGATGTGCTCAGGGATCATTAAGGTGTGAGGAGTCTGATAATGTGAAGCATTATATAAAGCGGATGGCGGATAATTCAGCTCAGAATCTTTCAGCACTTCCCAGACATTGTATCCCAAACTCCACGGAAACCATCCACTAATGCACAGGACAACTTTTTTTTTTTTTTTTTTTTTTTTTTTTTAAGATGGAATCTCACTCTGTCGCCAGGCTGGAGTGCAGTGGCATGATCTCGGCTCACTGCAACCTCCGCTTCCCAACTTCAAGGGATTCTCCTGCCTCAGCCTCCCGAGTAGCTGAGATTGCAGGTGTCTGCCACCATGCCCGGCTAATTTTTGTAGTTCTTAGTAGAGACAGGGTTTCACTATGTTGGGCTGGCTGGTCTCAAACTCCTGACTGCAGGTGATCCACCCGCCTCAGCCTCCCAAAGTGCTGGGATTCCAGGCGCGAGCCACTGCACCCGGCCCAGAATACCTCTTTATGAGAGTTTACTCTGGGGATAACCTCTGCCTAGGCATGTACCAGTGCTCAGCCACAGGGCCCATGACTTTGAGGAATTAAACACTGAAACACAAAATAAAACATGAGACCAGGTGTGGTCGCTCATGCCTGTAATTCCAGTAGTTTGGGAAACCAAGGAGGGAGGATCCTTGAGGCCAGGACTTTGAGACCTGCCTGGGCAACATGGTGAGACTCCATCTCTATAAATTTTTTTTTTTTTTTTTTTTTTAGTTGGAGACTTGCTCTGTCGCCCAGGCTGGAGTGCAGTGGCACGATCTCAGCTCACTGCAACCTCCACCTCCCGACCTCCCTAGGTTCAAGTGATTCTTTTGCCTCAGCCTCCTCAGTAGCTGGGACTACAGGTGCATGCCACCATGCCCGACTAATTTTTGTATTTTTAGTAGAGACGGGTTTTCACCATGTTGGCCAGGCTCGTCTCGAATTCCTCAAGTGATCCACTCGCCTCAGCCTGACAAACTGCTGGGATTACAGCAAAAAAAATTTTTTTTAATTAGTCACACGTGGTGGCGTGTGCCTGTAGTACCAATGACTTGAGAGGCTGAGGCAGGAGGATCCGTTGAGCCTGGGAGATTGAGGCTGCAGTGAGCTATGACTGTGCCACTGCACTTAAGCCTGAGCAACAGAATGAGACCTCAACAGGAAGAGAGAGACACAGAGACAGAGAGAGAGAGAGAGAGAGAGAAGAGAAAGAAAAAGAAAGAGAAAGGAGAAAGAGAAACAAAGGAGAAAGAAAAAGAAAGAGAAAGAGAAGAGAAAAAGAGAGAGAAAAAGAGAAGAGTAAGGAGAAAAAAGAGAAAAGGGAAAGAAAAAGAGAAAAAGAAAACGAGAGAGAGAGAAAGCAAGCAAAAGAAAAAAGAAAGAGAAGAAAGAAAGAGAGGAAGGAAGGAAAAGAGAGAGAAACAAAGGCAAGCAAAGAAAGAAAGAAAATAAAGAAAAGAATAAAGGAAACATGAATCACAGCTAAGGTCAATTGGGACATCAAAATGGATTACAATAGTCTATTATATTATTACTAATGAATTACATGGTTATTTACTGGGATTCTACTATGTGCACGAGAGAATTAGCACCAGGAATAGGAGAGAGATACAGAGGCTGTGTCCCCACGCACAGGGAGACTGGCCCACATATCTTACAACCAGGAAGGTTGCTTTCCAGGCTGCTAAATTTCAAGGAGAATCTCACGGGAGGGAGGCACTGCGCTATCAGGAATTGTTGCTAGTGGGCTGAACTTTGACCCCACAGGTGCTATTTAACAGAACAAGATTCCCTGGAGAAACCTCAAGCTGTTTCTGTTTAGAATGTGGCTAACATCACTGAAGCCCTCCTGCATGACCAGGGGCTGACAGGAACAGACCACCCCAGCCCACGGTGATGTTTTCGGATCAGGCCCCCTGAAGGGCCACACTGTGGCCATCTTTGCCTCTTCCACTAAAAAATATACCAGATATGGTGGCTCATGCCTGTAATCCCAGCTCTTTGGGAGGCTGAGGCAGGACGATTACTTGAGCCCTGGAGTTTGAGACCAGCCTGGGCAACATAGCAAGATCCCATTTCTACCAAAAGAAAAAAAAGAGCCAGGCATGGTGGTGTGCACCTGTGGTCCCAGCTACTTGAGAGGCTGAGGCAGGAAGATTGTTTGAACCCAGGAGATGGAGGCTGCAGTGACTGGAGATCGCAGCACTGCACTCCAGCCTGAGCAATAGTGTGACCTCATATATCTTTCTTTCTTTTTTTTTGAGACGGAGTTTCGCTCTTGTTGCCAAGGCTTTAGTGCAATAGCTTGATCTCAGCTCACTGCAGCCTCCGCCTCCCAGGTTCAAGCAATTCTCCTGCCTCTGCCTCTCAAGTAGCTGGGATTACAGGCGCCTGCCACCATACCCAGCTATTTTTTTTGGTATTTTTAGTAGACATAGGTTTTCACCGTGTTGGCTAGGCTAGTCTGAAACTCCTGACCTCAGGTGATCTGCCCACCTCGGCCTCCCAAAGTGCTGGGATTACAGGCGTGAGCCACTGCTTCCGGCCTATGACCTCATAAATCTTACAACTGTGTTGATAAAAAGACATATTTTCTGGACTGTGTGCATGATTTATATTCATTATTATATATATTTTTTCTGATTTGAGACACATTAACTTAAAGCATTGTTATGGACCCTGAAGAGTTTCATGAGATCCTCACACTCAGCTTAGGATGCGTGATGGGGAAGTTGGCCCTGGGTCAACCAGAAGTCCTAAGGACAGGGCCCCCACCCTGCAATATCCTTCTCTCTCTTCCAGTAGGGGTGTCCTTCATGTAAGCTCCTCCAGGGAGCATCTCCTGCCCCTGCTGTCCTGGCCTGTTCCGGTTTAGGTGAATGCAATTTCAAACCTGCTTATGAAATCCTGAAATAGACAGGAATTTGTAAACCACGCTACTGTAGGCTGAATAATCTCCTGTCCTTCCCAAAGTCTTCCACACCTGAATCTCCCGGAACCTGTCACTATGGTAATGTCATATATGGCACCAAGGAACACTGCAGGTGCAATTGAGGTTATAAACTATTTATTTATTTATTTATTTATTTATTTATTTGAGATGGACTCTTGCTCTGTTGTCCAGGCTGAAGTGCAGTGGCTCCAGCTTGGCTCACTGCAACCTCCGCCTCCCATGTTCAAGTGATTCTCCTGCCTCAGCCTCCCGAGTAGTTGGGATTACAGGCACCCACCACCACGCCCAGCCGATTTTTGTATTATTAGTAGAGACATGGTTTCACCATGTTGGCCAGGCTGGTCTCGAACTCTTGGCCTCAGGTGATCTGCCTGCCTCGGCCTCCCAAAGTGCTGAGATGACAGGCGTGAACCTTTAAATAGGAAGAGTATGCTGGATTTCCTTGGTGGGCCCTATCTGATCACATGGGAGCCCTTGAAAGAACAGAACTTTCTCTGGCTGGAGGGAGGAGAGAAGGTGAGGGACATGGCACACAAAGTCAGTGAGATTCTAATGGTGAACTGGACTCTAAGTGGCCCCTGCTGGTTTCAAGATGAAGCAGAGCTGGCTTACAGATGGAGCAGACACTTTCAAGGACCAGAGAGAGGACTCTAAGAGCTCAGGGTTGTGCTCCCCACACCCCTTCTATGACAATCAGTGAGGAAAGGATGACTTCAGTCCCATGACAACAAGAGACTGAATTTTCTAAAAATGGGAATAAGCTTGCAAACCAATTCTTTCCAGGGCCTCCTGCGAAGAGCCCAGGGGGTAGACATCGTCATTTTGACCTTTTGTGACTGTATTAGTCCATTTTCACGCTGCTGATAAAGACATACCTGAGACTGGGTAATTTATAAAGAAAAAAAGGTTAAAGCCAAGGCGGGTGGATTACCTGAGGCCAGGAGTCTGAGACCAGCATGGCCAACATGGTGAAAACCTGTCTCTACTAAAAATACAAAAATTAGCCAGGCGTGGTGGTGGGCACCTGTAATCCCAGCTACTCCGGAGGCTGAGGCAGGAGAATTGCTTGAACCTGGGAGGTAGAGGCTGCAGTGAGCTGAGATCATGCTATTGCACTCCAGCCTTGGCAACAAGAGCGAAAACTCCATCTCAGAAAAAAAAAAGACCTTTAATGGACTCACAGCTCCATGTGACTGGGGAGGCCTCACGATCATGGCAGAAGGTGAAAAGCACGTTTTATATGGCTGCAGACAAGACAGAGAGAGCCAAGCGAAAGGGATTTCCCCTTATAAAACCATCAGATTGCTGGGCACGGTGGCTCACGCCTGTAATCCTAGCACTTTGGGAGGCCAAGGTGGGTGGATCAGCTGAGGTCAGGAGTTCGAGACCAGCCTGGCCAACATGGTGAAACCCCATCTCTACTAAAAATACAAAAAATTAGCCAGGCATGGTGGCACAAGCCTGTAATCCCAGCTACTCGCAAGGCTGATGCAGGAGAATCTCTTGAACCGGGGGGCAGAGGTTGCAGTGAGCCGAGATCCTGCCATTGCACTCCAGCCTGGGCAACAAGAGTGAAACTCTGTCTCAAAACAAAACAAAACAAAACAAAAATAACAAATAAAAAAAAACCCCATCAGATCTCATGAGACTTATTCACTGCCATGAGAACAGTGTGCGAGAAACCGCCCCCATGACTCAGTTATCTCCCACTGGGTCCCTCCCACAACACATGAGAATTATGGGAGCTACAATTCAAGATGAGATTTGGGAGGGGACACAGCGAAACCATATCAGTGACCTTGAGCAAGTGACCCGGTTGAGCCCGTTTTTGGGACATCTTACCTGCAGACTTGAGATAATAACTTTGTGTTGTTTAAAGCTGCTACATTCGTGGCCATTTATTACAGCAGTGGCTAAAAACATTCACATGGAAATCAAAGTCAATATATGACAGATGATGAAATGAGCCTCTGAGAAGATAAGTGGGTTGTGGGGAAGGTAGGGGTGTCTCCCAAACCATTGCTGGAAGCACCAGGTGATGCATTCTGCTTTTAGCCCCCCAATTCATGGCTCTAGACGTCACTATCCTTTTGCTCACAAACATCCTTTTAGATAACTACCAGAAGTCCCCAAAGGGAGGAGCATGTCGGGCTACAATAAGCCCACTCCCCTGCTGCTCCTGGTGGAATCCTTGGTCCTTCTGAATTTGGCAGTGGGGTCACGGTTTCACACCCCATGCAACGGCAGCTCTCCTGGGAAAACTTTAAGGTGGGGACAGGGGTGACTGTGGATTTTCCCAATGCTTCTGGCTGGGTGCCCTGGCCACACCTAGGCATACCTGGTCACACCTGAGGATACCTGGGCACGCCTCAGGATATCTGGACACATGGCCAAACGAGAAAGCTTCAGTTTTCTCATCTGTAGGACAGAAGGTTGCAAAGGCTGGAATAACCTTTTTTTTTTTTTGAGATGGAGTTTCCCTCTTGTTGCCCAGGCTAGAGTGCAATGGAGCAATCTCGGCTCACTGCAACCTCCGCCTCCTGGGTTCAAGCAATTCTCCTGCCTCAGCCTCCTGAGTAGCTGGGATTACAGGCATGCGCCATTATTTCCAGCTAATTTTGTATTTTTAGTAGAGACAGAGTTTCTCCATGTTGGCCAGGCTGGTCTCGAACTCCCGACCTCAGGTGATCTGCCCGCCTTGGCCCCCCAAAGTGCTGGGATTACAGGCGTGAGTCACTGTGCCTGGAGAAGCCCTCTTTTTTAATTTAATTTTTTTATATAAAAATAATAAAGACAGGTTTTGTTATGTTGCCCAGGCAGGTCTCGAACGCCTGGGCTCAAGCAATCCACCCTTCTCAGCCTCCCAAAGTGCTGGGATTGTGCGCGTGAGGCGCTGCACCTGGCCCACAAGGAGCCTTCTTAATCCAACCTGGTTACTGAATCACACCTGAGCATACCTGGCGACACCTGAGCATACTTGGGCACATGTGAAGATACCTGGCACACTTGGCCAAATGGGACAGCCCCATCCCTTGGTCTTCCTGGCCTCAGTTTCCTCATCTGTAGGACAGAGGGTTGCAAAGGCCACAAAGACCCTTCTTAACCCAGCTTGGTCACCTGGCCACACCTGAGGTCGCCGGGTAGGTCTCTGTATTCCAATCATCTTAGATCTGCACCAGAGCCCACCCAGTGGCTGGGTGCAACCTGCACACTGGGGGTGCCCCTTAGTGCCTGTTGAGGTTCTGTGGGGAGTGAGGCCTGGAGGGTTCAATTCCTATGGGAGTGGGGATGCATCCCAATGGGGGCCAAAGTTCCAGATAGGTTGTGGCCCTGCAAGGTGCCAGGGTCCCAGTGAGATGTGGAGTGTGGGGTTCTGGCTCCCAGCAGGGATAGAGTTCCTGGCTAGGGTCAGGTGACTTGCTGGTGGAGATTCTCACTCCTGGACCTCGGCAGGGGCTGGGGGGTGCCCATCGGCACGTGTATGAGGGTGCAGACCTAGAGTGAAGGTGGAGGTCTGGGTCCTGGGGATGATAGGGTTGGTGATTTAGGGTCCCAGTGTTGCAGGAGAGGGGTCCCGATCTAGCCCCCAAGAGTGGGTTCTTGGATATTGCTCAAGAAGTAATTCAAGGTAAGTCATAAGAGTACAGGGAAGTTTTAGTTTATTAGAAACTATTCCATTACATGCTGGGTGTGGTGGCTCATACCTGTAATCCCAGCACTTTGGGCGGCCGAGGTGGGCAGATTACCTGAGGTCAGGAGTTTGAGACCAGCCAGGCCAACATGGTGAAATCCCATCTCTATTAAAAATACGAAAATTATTTGGGTGTGCTGGTGCATGCCTGTAATCCCAGCTACCAGGGAGGCTGAGAGAGGAGACTCTCTTGAATCTGGGAGGTGGAGGTTGCAGTGAGCTGAGGTTGCGCCACTGCACTCCAGCCTAGGCCACAGAGCCAGACTCTGTCTCAAAAAAAAAAAAAAAGAAAAAGAAAGAAAGAAAAAAAAAGAAACTGTTTTGTCATAGAGGTGTAACACCTTGTGTTTGTTTTAAAGCTTCCTTCTATAGGGGTCTGTCTTATCTATGTAAAAGCTAGGTTATGTCTGACGGCGTGACATTTATTCCTTAGTTGATTTAGAGAGAGCCATCCTTTGCATTTTCGCGCCCAAGCACGTCCATGCATGACTGTAATTATCTTTAACAGCATATGTGGTTACGCGATATGGCGACATCCAGACATTCCGCTGTCGTCTGTGTTTGTCCTTGGAGGCATTATTAAGTCATTTCTTCAGCCGTAAACATCTTATGACCATGGGCCGTGACCGGCAAGGAATGTGTCTTCCTGGTTTTTAAGATGGAGTTGATGATTAAAATGGTGTCACCCCAGCTCTCCCAGGCTCCTGTCTCCCAAACACAGCGGGTGTTAGGATCTGTGTGGAGTCCCGGATGCCAGGTCTGGGGTCCCCTGGGGGACCAGGTGTGGGACTGGGAGGGTTGTGGTGGGGTGAAGGTCTGAGTGTCTGGGTGGGGGGTTCCATGAAGAATTCCAGTAGGAGTCTGCTGGGGGGTCCATGTGGGATTTCAGCCTTGGCCCTGGTAAGGGTCTGGGTGGGGGTTCTGTGCTGGTCTGGGGTTCCCTGAGGGAGCCCAGGTAACTCTGTGGTTGTCTGGGGTTCCCAACCAAGGTCTGAGTAGGGGTCTGCTGTCCCAGTAGGGATCAGGGTGGGGAGGGGGCTCGTGGTCCCTGAAGTAGTCTGGAGTTCTCTGCAGGGGCCGGGAAGGGGGTCTGTGATCCCTGCAGGGTTGTTGGGGGCAGGGAAGTGGAGGGGTAGGTTTGGTGGGTGGTGTCTGTGGCCTGGCAGGAATTGGGGTGGGGTCTGTGGTCTCAGTAGGAACTGGGGTGTGGGGTCCGTGCTTGGGGCAGGTTCTGTGGTGTCAGCAGGAACTGGGGTGTGGGGTCCGTGCTTGGGGCAGGTTCTGTGGTGTCAGTACGAATTAGGGTGTGGGGTCCATGGTCCTTACAGCTGTTCAGAGTCCTCTGTGGGAGTCCTGGTCCATAATCCTGGCATGGCTCTGGGTGGTTGTCTGGGGTTCCCTATGGGGTCCAAGTCCTTGTGGTCCCTGCTGAGGTCTGCGTGGGGTTACATGATTCTGGCTAAGATGGGGAGGGTGGTTCCCGTGGTGGTCCTGGTCCCCTGCAGGGTCTGGGTAGGGGATCTGTGATCCCATGGTGGGGGTCCTGGCTGGGGCTTGAATGGGGTTCCATGGTCTTGGCTGGAGTGTGGGGTCTTGGAGAGGCAGTCCAGCTGGGGTCTGTAGTCCTGGGGGGCGTCCTGGCAGGGGTCTGTGGTCTTGTGGGGTGCTGGCTGGGGCCTGTGGTCCGGGGGGTGGTTGTGATGGAGGTGGAGGTCCTAGAAGGGGGCCCCAGTAGGGGTCTGTGATCCTGGAGAGGGGTCCTGGTGGTGGGGGTCCCAGTGGAGGTCTGTGGTCCTGGGGGGCCCTGGGAGGATCTGTGGTACTGGGGAGTCCTGGTGGAGGTCTGTAGTCCTGGTGGGGTTCTTGGTGGGGTGTCTGGGCGTGCCCCAGTGGGGGGGCCTGTGGTCTTGGGGGTCCCAGCAGGGGTCTGGGGTCCTGGGGGGTGTTCTTGGGAGGAGTCTATGGATCTGACTTGGGTGCTGGCTGGGGTCTGTAGTCCTGGGGGCGTCCTGGCTGGGGCTGTTGGTCTTGTGGTGGTGGGGATCCCTGCTGGGGTCTGCAGTCCTGCCGGGAGGGGGAAGGGTCCCTGCTGGGGTCTGTGGTCCTGGAGGAGGTGTGGAGGGTCCCTGCTGGGGTCTGTGGTCCTGGGGGGGATTCCTGGCTGGGGTCTGTGGTCCTGGCTGGGGGTGTGTGTGGGGGGTCCCTGCTGGGGTCTGTGGTCCTGAAGGGGGGGTCCTGACTGGGGTCAGTGGTCCTGGGGGCGTCCTGGCTGGGGTCTGTGGTCCTGGGGGGGGGGGTCCTGGCTGAAGTCTATGGTCCTTGCAGGGGGGGGTTCCTGGCTGGAGTCTGTGGTCCTGGGGGGGGTGTCCTGGCTGGGGTCGGTTGTCCGCTCGGGGTCCCCAGTCCTGCAGGCGGTGCGGGATCCCAGAGGGCCCGGGCGGGGTCTGGGGTTGGGGGTTCCCCGCAGGCCGGGGCGGTTCGGGGCGGGCAGGGGGCGGTCCGGGGCGCGCGCGTTTCCGCCGTCCGTCCGGGCGGGCGGGCGCAGAGTCCCGCGGGCGGCGCGGAAGCGGCGGCGGCGCGGCCGGGGCAGCCATGTCGCCATTGTCTGCGGCGCGGGCGGCCCTGCGGGTCTACGCGGTAGGCGCCGCGGTGATCCTGGCGCAGCTGCTGCGGCGCTGCCGCGGGGGCTTCCTGGAGCCAGGTCAGCGGGGCGGGGCAGGGGTCAGGGCTCCGGGGACCCGGGTGGGCGCGGGCTGGCTCGGGGGCGGGGGCGCGGGGGCTCCGCGTGACCTTGGCGAGGCGGTGGCGCTCCCGGAAGTGGGGCTGGGCGGGGGTCGAGGTGTGGCCGGGGGTGGGGGGGGGGCGGCGTGCGCGCTGGGACCTCCCCGCCCCGCGCTTTCCGTCCCCGCCGGCTCTTCTGCGCGCCTGGCCCGGCCCGACCCGGCCCGACCCTTCCCTCCCCGCGCGTGTGGCCTCCCCGCCTGTCCCGGGTCGGGCTCCAACCAAGCAGCCCCCGTGCAGCCGCCCCCCCGCGCACCCTGACACCTCCGGGCCATGGCCGGGGACCCGGGGGCTCGCACGCCCCGCGCCCAAGACATCAGGCGGCTCTGCCTGCCGCCTGCGGTCGGCCAGTGACCGCGCGCCCCCGCCAGGCCCCGGAGGGGAGGAGCGGGCGTCCCAGGGACCTCGACCCCTACCCACCCCAGGGTAAGTGAGGATGGGCCCTTCTCCGGAGGACGTCTCCAGAGGGGGCCCAGAGGCGGCTTCTCGGGCACTGGGGAGCCACGGAGGTCTGGTGGGGAGGGCAGGCCCGTTAAGTGGCAACTTTGTTTCCTTGGCCTTTGTAAACATCTCTGAGTCACAGATCTCCAACTTTGCAGGACTCGTTCACTGTCTGAACTCATCAGTGATGACCGCCACTGTGTTTTGTGTATGCAGATAACTTCTGTTCCTAGATTTGCAGGTTCAGAATTTATTATTATTATTATTTTTTGTAATAGGAAGTAGAGATGAAGTCTTGCTCTGTTGCCGAGGCTACTCTCGAACTCCTGGGCTCAAGCAGTCCTCCTGCCTCAGCCTCCCAAAGTGCTGGCATTACAGGCACCAGCTACTGCATCCGACTAATGTTTTAAAGTTTTGTAGACGGGGTCTTGCTATGTTGCTCAGGCTGGTCTCGAACTCCTGGGCTCAAGCGATCTTCCTTCCTTTGCCTCCCAAACTGTTGGGATTACAGGTGTGAGCCACCACACCTGTCTAATGTTTTAATTTTTTTGTGTAGCAATAGGGTCTTGCTACGTTGCCCAGGCTGGTCTGAAACTCATGGGCCGAAGCAATCCTCCTACCTGGGTCCCCCAAAGTGCTGGGTTTACAGGCGTGAGCCACCACGCCTGGCTAATGTTTTAAATTTTTTGTAGAGATGGCATCTCACCATGTTGCCCAGGCTGGTCTTGAACCCCTGGCCTGCAGCAATCCTCCAGTCTGGGCCTCCCAAACTGCTGGGATTACAGACAGAGCGCCACTGTGCCCAGCCCATATTCTCAATTTAAACCTAGAAACCTGTAAACAATTATTTGTGAACTGGAATAAAGGGAATGTTAATTCCATGTTAGGTTAAATGATACTTTGTTTCAAAAATAACAGTTTTCCAAAACAGAGCGTTCAGAGGGTCAGTGTGGTGGGGGTGGGGGTGTACGTTGCCCTGAATGTCTTAAATGTCCAGCCTAAGAAGAGAGCTGTTATTTCTGCCTCTGTAGACAGTTTCATGGCATGTCAGGAGGCCTCTGGAAGACACTACTGCACGCCTCTGGGAGACTGGGAGTCAGCCAGGCGAAGCGCTTGGGTGCCTTATTGTGAAATGACTTTTGACTTCCACTCTGCACCCACTGAAGGAATCCCAGGGGTCCCAGCGCCACCCTTTGAGAAGCGTGCCTGGAGTGGATGTTTTAAAATGAGCCTCTCTCTCCCGCCTCTAGCCAGAGAAAAAGAGCTTTGAGTTTTCTGTGAGCTAAGCTTTTCTTTTTCTGCCAAACTGGCCTTCAGTATTTTTTTTTAAACCCACTTAGCATAATTACAAATGCATAGAAGAAGGAGAGTAAAGGGAACTGTAGTCAGGCTTTCGGAGGGCAGGAGAGCATGTTTGTTTGAAGTAAGTAATCAGTTGCAAGGTGAACGGTTTACAGCTGCTGAACAATTGTGTGGAGTCTCGCAGAAGATTATGTTTATCCGGGCAGTTTTGCTTACAGAAAGGTCCCCTTAAACCTCCTTAAGGGCCTGTGTGGGCCCTGGCAGAAGAGGCCGGGGTTCCTGCAGCAGCTCACCAAAATGCTGGCCTTTGAAAAACTTGCTCTTTGTGCATTAGAAAAAGGGCTGGAATCTTTTTTTTTTTTTTTTTTCCCATTTACTGATTAAACAACAACAGAAGGTTGTTAAAGAGGACGAGCTTCTGGTGAAGTCACGTGTCTGCCAAGGGAATCTGTACCCGGGTGTGTATCGAAACAGAATGGCCTTCTCTAAAGATTAACTTAAGTGGCTTGCCCTCATCGAGCCCCTTCCTATGTATGGATTAAAAATAATTTTCGATACCAGTGGAGGAATGCTGTTGTCCTTGGTCTGCTGGTGGCCAGCTTCCTAAACGGCATTTTTTATTTGCTTCTCTCTGGTAGGCCTTCGCTGTTGGTGAGGAAACATTGAACTTTGTCCAGGGCATTTGAGCTAAGCTGTTTGAATAACCAAGAGGGCCAATTTCCCCACTGCAGATTGGAAGCAAGGGCAGTTTTTTCTTAGAACTTCCAAATGGAGCGTGTTCTTCTTAGGTATCGTACAAAGGAAATGCCTGGGTTACACCTTCCACATGAGTTGACTTACATGGTATGAGAAGGAAGAAATTGTGGCTGGAATCCACTCCTAAATGGTGTCTTCTTACAGTTCATCATGGAAAAACAAGATAATTACAAATTAATCATAGATGTTGGTCATGCCTTTACAGAGGGGGTTTAGAAGCAAATTGAGAATTCCCATAAGAGGGTCTGTCTCTGTGTTCTTAAGACTATATCCATGCGGCCCATTCAGTAAGTTGTATCTGTTGGTTGGATTTTAAAATAGATGATTTAATCAGTGCATTTAATATCCTAATATGGCATCAAAACTTGAACATTGATATGGCCTGAAATCTGTTGAAAATGATCATATTGAGTAAAGAAAGTCTCTACCCACCGGTATTAATAACAGGGTGATCTGTTTAGAAATTACATTTTCTCTGATACATCAATGAGTTTTGCAAAGGAGAGAAAATTGATGGTACCTGTAGTCAAGTCCAGTTCCAATACTGCCACAGAATTTTTCTTAAAAGTTCTATTGTAAATAATAGGCCACAGAATATTCCTTCACTTTCTGGGATGCAAAATGGATTCGTAAATGCTGTACCACAGGAGTGAGTATTTACAAAAAATATGCCAACTGGCCCACTTACAAAGCTATTTATAGAAGTCCTACTTTTCAAACTATTTTTTTTTTAACCTGTAAAGGGAAAGTTAATTCTTGTTGGTTTTATGAGTAGTGAACAGTGGCTATTAGAAATCAGGTAGAAGTAAAAACAGCAGTTTTCCAACTTCTTCTTCTTTTTCTTGAGACCAAGTTTCGCTTTTGTTTCCCAGGCTGGAGTGCAATGGCGTGATCTCAGCTCACCACAACCTCTGCCTCCCGGGTTCAAGCGATTCTCCTGCCTCAGCCTCCCGAGTAGCTGGGATTACAGGCATGTGCCACCATGCCTGGCTCATTTTGTATTTTTAGTGAGATGGGGTTTCTCCATGTTGGTCAGGCTGGTCTCAAACTCCTGACCTCAGGTGATAGTCCACCTTGGCATCCCAAATTGCTGGGATTACAGGGGTGAGCCCCTGCCCCCGGCCTCCAATTCCTTGATCATAGAATCTCTTTCAAAAAAAATGAGGACCCCAGACAGTTTTTGTTTTTGTGGATTATAACAGTCAATAAGTCATCCTGTTAGACATTAAAACAGAAATTTAAAACATATTTAACAATCTATTTAAAAGTAATGGTAACAGGCCAATTACATGTTACATACAAAAATGTATGTAATATATTTATTGTTTTTATATTTTATTTTTATTAAATATATATATTTTTAGAATAATTTATACTTTTCTATAAATATAAAATACAAATAAGTTATATTTATATAATTTAGATGTAAATAAAAACAATTGATATTTTTATATAAATATATAAATGTGTACACTTATGGGGCACAGTGTGATGCTTTGCTGTATGTTTGCATTGTGGAATAATTAAACTAATATCTATCACCCGCTATTTTTCCTTTGCGGTGGGAACATTTAAAATCTCTTTTAGCTATTTTTGTTTTTTATTTCCATAGGTTATTGGGGAACAGGTGGTGTTTGATTCCATGAGTAAGTTTTTTAGTGGTGATTTGTGAGATTCTGGTGCACCCATCACCCAAGCAGTATACACTGCACGCAAGACATTTAAAATCTCTATTGGCGGGCCGGGTGCGGTGGCTCATGCCTATAATCCCAGCACTTTGGGAGGCTGAGGCGGGTGGATTGCCTGAGCTCAGGAGTTTGAGACCAGTCTGGGCAATACAGTGGAACCCCATCTCTACTAAAATACAAAAAATTAGCTGGGTGTGGCAGTGTGCGCCTGTAGTCCCAGCTACTTGGGAGGCTGAGGCAGGAGAATGGTGTGAACCTGGGAGGTGGAGGTTGCAGTCAGCCAAGATTGCGCCACTGCACTCAAGCCTGGGCAACAGGGCGAGACTCCGTCTCAAAAAAAC
The DNA here is from genome assembly GCF_000001405.40 of Homo sapiens. Taxonomy (NCBI): domain Eukaryota; kingdom Metazoa; phylum Chordata; class Mammalia; order Primates; family Hominidae; genus Homo; species Homo sapiens. Next base: position 2,496,208 of record NC_000023.11, on the reverse strand, counting down.
CAAAAAAACAAAAAAACAAAAACAAAAATAAAAACCTCTTTTAGCTATTTTGAAATATGTAATACACTATTAACTATCGCCACCACGCTGTGCAGTAGGTCACTGAAACGGATTCCTCCTGTCGAACAGAAACTTGGTACCCTTTGGCCATGTGCTGTATGTTTTTTAAAAGAAAAATGATTGTCATTTCCAAAATAACAAAAACCTAGGGAGAAGAGTGGCTGAGTTTTAGGGTTTTGTCAGTCTCATCCATAAAGGGACGGATGGCGGCTGGCTCCTTCCTCTGCTTCTTCACACTGGTCTCTTGCGACGTGTCGTTCTGGTAAGAGTCATGTGAGGCACATCCACTGGCCTCTCATGGATGTGCAATTGGAAACGTGAAATCGCCGGCCCCCTGAGAGCGTTTTGGGGAGTGTCCCCCCCAAACCCCCCTCCCCCCGCACTGGGGATGCTGCACCAGTCTTGAAGAATGAGGCAGTGAGAGGCTGGTTTACAGCAACCTTTATTCGTGGCCTTGTGTGCTCGGAAGCGCTGCAAGGGAGGAGGAAGGAGGAAGGAGGGTACTCACTGCAGAAGGTCAGCTCTGCTGTGGCTGTTACGTGGGTTCAGGTGGAACCCACCTACTGTGTGGACGGTTCTTTACCTGGGAATCCCATGGAATTCTGACAGCAGGAGACGTGGGAGGGAGCTTCTTGTTTCTCCTTCCAGGAGTCACTTGGTTAGGGGTTTGGGAATTTTGGCTCTTAGTACAAAACTTCACTCCAGGTACTAGACCTGTTTCAGCCAAATGATGATCATCATAATAGAATAGAAACCTTTGTTCACCTAAATAATAACAATAATATTAATAATAATAGAATATAAACCTTTGTTCATGGTACTGGGGCGTCTTTCAGCCCAATAATAATAACAACAATAGGAATAATGATAATAATGATAAAATATAAACCTTTGCTTCACGTCCTGGAACGTCTTTCAGCCAAATAATAATAATAATATTAATGATAATAGAATATAAACCTTTGTTCAGGGTACTGTGACTTCTTTCAGCCCAGTAATAATAATAATAATAGTAATAATGATAATAATGATAGAATATAAACCTTTGCTTCATCTCCTGGAACGTCTTTCAGCCAAATAATAACAATAATAATAATAATGACAATAGAATATAAACCTTTGTTCAGGGTACTGTGACCTCTTTCAGCCCAGTAATAATAATAACAGTAGTAATAATGATAATAATGATAGAATATAAACCTTTGCTCCAGGTCCTGGGAGCTCTTTCAGCCAAATAAGAATAATAATAGAATATAAACCTTTGTTCACAGTACCAGGACCTCTTTCAGACCAACAATAATGACAGTAATAATAATTATAATGATAATAGAATATAAACTTTTCTTCTAGGTACTGGGACCTCTTTCAACCAAATAATAATAGTGGAATATAAAACTTGGCTCTAGGTACCAGAACCTTTTTTCAGCCAAATAGTAATAATAAGAATAGTATTAATAGAAAACAGACCTTTGGTCCAGGTACTGGGACACCTGTGAGCCAAATAATAATAATAATGATAATAATAGAACATAAACCTTTGACTGAAGTGCCAGAACCTTTTTCAGCTAAATAATAATAATAAAATATAAACTTTTGTTCCAGGTACCCGGACTTCTTTCAGCCTAATAATAATCATAGAATATAAACCTTTACTACAGGTCCTGGCACCTTTCTCAGCCAAATAGTAATAAAATAGAATATAAACTTTTGTTCTGTTACTGGGACCTCTTTCAGCCTAATAACAAAAGTAATAATAATAGAATAAAAACCTTTGCTCCAGGTTCTAGAACCTCTTTCAGCCTAATAATAATAATAATGATAGAATGAAAATTTTTGTTCCAGGTGTCGAGACCTCTTCCAGCCTAATAATAATAATAATGTAATAATATAAGCCTTTGCTACAGGTACCAGGACCTGTTTCAGCCAAATAATAATAACAGCAATGATAATAGAATATAAACCTTGGCCCCAGGCACTGGGACTTCTTTCAGTCAAACAATCACAATAATAATAATAATAATAGAATATGGATGTTTGCTCCAGCTTTCAGGACCTCTTTCAGACAGATAATAATAACCGAGTACAAACTTTTCTTCCAGGTATCGGGACCTCTTCCAGCCTAAAAACAATAGTAATAATAGCATATATATCTTTTTTTTTGTTTTCTTCTTTCTTTGAGACGGAGTTTTGCGCTTGTTGCCCAGGCTACAGTGCAATGGCGCCATCTCGGCTCACTGCAACCTCTGCTTCCCGGGTTCAAACGATTCTCGTGCCTCAGCCTCCCGAGTAGCTGGGACTACAGGCATGTGCCACTACCACGCCCGGCTAATTTTGTATTTTTAGTAGAGGAGGGGTTTCACCATGTTGTCCAGGGTGGTCTCAAACTCCTGACCTCAGATGATCCACCCACCTTGGCCTCCCAAAGTGCTGAGAGTACAGGCGTGAGCCGCTGTGCCTGGTGCCAGCATAAAAATCTTTGCTACAGGTACTGAGACCTTTTTCAGCCTAATAATAATAACAACCGTAACAATAATAATTAGAATATAAACCTTTGTTACTGGTACTGGGACCTCTTCCAGCCTAATCTTCATAATAATAAAAATAATAATAATAATGGAATTGAAACCTTTCCTTCAGGTTCCAGAACCGCTTTCAGCCACATAATAATAATAATAATGATAATAATAATAATAAATAGAATTTAAACTTTTGTTTGAGGACTGGGACCTCTTTCAGCCCAATAGCACAAATAATAATAATGGAATGTAAACCTTTTCCTCCCAATTACCAAAACCTGTTTCAGCCAAATAATAATATGATGATGATGATGATGGAGGATCTGATACAGCTGTGTCCTGTCACTCAGGTCGGACTTAGGAGGCCTCTTGAGATTCTTTTCCCCCTCCGTTGACTGTGTAATCCAGGGGCCCCACCCTAACTCGGCTGCAGAAGATGCAGTTTGGGGGTTCCTCGTTTTGTGGAAGTCCCGGTCATGTTATTCATTCTCTCAGCACCTTAGAACAAACCAGGGTGCTGGCATTGGCCACAGGACCCCCCTCCTTGCACCCCAGTCTTGGGAAGTGGCACTGCTGGGCTCTGGCAATGCCCAGCTCACCTGGCACGTGGCGGCGTCTCCCTAAAAAGCACTGGGCGGGCACCGTTGACGGAAAGCCAGCAACGCAGGCCGCGACTGCCCGTGAAGACGGGGGGCCTTTCTAAGACCTCCACTCATTATTTCGGGCAAAATTAACCTTCAGAATACCTTGCTTTAATAAAGTACCAGAAACCGGAGGGCTTAAAACCATAGCTTATTCTCTCCCAGTTCTGGAGGCCAGAAGTCTGTAATCAAAGTGTCTCAGGGCTGCGCTCCCTCCGGAGGCTTACGCGGAGGGTGCTTCCTGCCTCTCCCAGCTCCTGGGGGCTCCTGGCGTCCCTGGGCTTCAGGCCAGCCACATCATCACTCTAGTCTCTGCCTCTGTCTCCATGTGGCCTTCTCTGTGTCTGTGTCTCCTCTTCTGTCTTTTATAAGGACATCTGTCACTGCATTTAGGGCTCACTCAAATCCCGGATGATCTCATCTCCAGATCCTTAACTCATGAGATCTACAAAATTTCTAATAACCAAGTAAGATCTCATTCCACATCCTGGGCTTTAGGCTGTGGACAGATCTTTCTGCGGGCCACTGTTCAATCCACCATGATTTTATCCAGTTCATTGTGGAGGCTCTAGAGGAGGATCCTTCCTGCCTCTCCCAGCTCCTGGGGGCTCCAGGCGTTCTGGGTTTGTGGCCGCATCACTCCAGTCTCGGCCTCTGTCTCCATGTGGTCTTCTCCTGTGTGTCCGTGTCTCCTCATCTGTCTTCTATTAAGGACACTGGTCACTGCATTTAGGACCACCTCAATTGAGAATAATCTCATCTAAAGATCCTTACCTTCATTATTAATACATCTGCAAAGACCCTTTTTCCAAACAAGGTCCCATACACAAGTACCAGGTGGATACAGATTTTCTTTGGTAGGGGAGGACGCTTTTCAACCCACTATAGTCATCATTGAAATATGCCTCCTTGCACTGACTGTATCCCAACACTCTGAACGTGCCTGGGTGGTGCATTTTGATATTTACCCTCCTGAGCACTGTACTGGACACTTGGAGACACAATTACACCTTTTAACAAAGCCCAGCTGTCATTTTGGGCAACCCAGTCACAGAGGTGGCCTCCTGAGTGGCAGCTGGAAGGGCCTGTATGTGTGAGCATTCAACCTCAACAGGAACCCTGGGGACTGGCTTCTGGGTCATCTAAGCCTCCACACCGACTGCCTGATGTTTGCACAGGTGTGTGATATTTGCCCAGTTGGGCCTTTCTGCCCACAGGTGTGACTGGACACAATGGGCATTTTGAGAAGTTCCAGGGATTGAGAAATCCATGCTTCTTCAGACGTGCTTACAGATCACGGATGCACCTGTGACGTTCCACATGGCTTCATTTTAAACCATAAAGTTTGAGAAGAGTGTGCAGTGCCTCTTAGCCATAGGAAAGCTGGCTTTAGTCAGATGGAGGTCCTGTTTGGCTTCTTTAATGCAGTGAATGAAGCTCAGGTGGCATTCAGAGAGTCCTGCTGTGATGGTTGGCAGTGGGGGGTCTGCCTGGCCACTTGTGGATTCTTCTATGTAGGCTTCATCCCCAGAAAAGATCTACGCAGCTTTCCCACGTGGCAGGTGCTTGGGAAACTCTTAGGACAGGAACAACAAGCCCCTGCGATGACAGAGGCATTGTCAGGCTGGGCGCGGTGACTCACGCCTGTCATCCCAGCACTTTGGGAGGCCAAGGCGGGTGGATCACCTGAAGTCAGGAGTTCGAGACCAGCCTGACCAACATGGTGAAACCCTGTCTCTACTAAAAATACAAAAATTAGCCAGGCGTGATGGCAGGTGCCTGTGATCCCAGCTACTGAGGAAGCTGAGGCAGGAAGATCGCTTGAACCCGGGAGGCGGAGGTTGCAGTGAGCTGAGATCACGCCATTGCACTGCAGCCTGGGTGACAGAGCGAAACTCTGTCTCAAAAAAAAAAAAAAAAAAAAACTAAAGGCACTTGTCAGGTACAGCCCTGCAAAAATGCCGTGCTCACTCGCAAACCTGTATGTTGACACGTGCGGCATCGCTGCAGTCGGATTAACGTGGAAGAAAGAGCGTATTCCTGCGCTAGGTTCCCTCCTCCACTCTGCAAAAGTGACCCGCAAGGAAGGTCCAGCCGTCCGGCCCCAGTGCCCTTTGGTTGAAAGCGGAGCTGCCCCGGCACCCTGTCTGTCTCCCCGGCAGGGCTCCCGTGCGTGCCTGGGTCCCTTCTCATGCTGTGTTTGTCTTGGCCCTTCTCAGCAGGTCCCCACGCATGAGCAGCCGTCCAGCAGGCAGGCTCCGGTGGAGAAGCAATGGAGAATAAAAGCCTGGAGAGCTCCCAGACAGACCTGAAGCTGGTGGCCCACCCCCGCGCCAAGAGCAAGGTGTGGAAGTATTTCGGCTTCGACACCAACGCCGAGGGATGCATCCTGCAGTGGAAGAAAATCTACTGCCGCATCTGCATGGCCCAGATCGCCTACTCCGGAAACACCTCCAACCTGTCCTACCACCTGGAGAAGAACCACCCCGAGGAATTCTGCGAGTTCGTCAAGAGCAACACGGAGCAGATGCGTGAAGCCTTCGCCACCGCCTTCTCCAAGCTGAAGCCCGAGTCGTCCCAGCAGCCCGGGCAGGACGCGCTGGCCGTCAAGGCCGGCCACGGCTACGACAGCAAGAAGCAGCAGGAGCTGACGGCCGCCGTGCTGGGCCTCATCTGCGAGGGGCTGTACCCAGCCTCCATCGTGGACGAGCCCACCTTCAAGGTGCTGCTGAAGACGGCCGACCCCCGGTATGAGCTGCCCAGCCGGAAGTACATCTCTACCAAGGCCATCCCTGAGAAGTACGGGGCCGTCCGGGAGGTGATCCTGAAGGAGCTGGCCGAGGCCACCTGGTGTGGCATCTCCACCGACATGTGGAGGAGTGAGAATCAGAACCGCGCCTACGTCACGCTGGCCGCCCACTTCCTGGGCCTGGGCGCCCCCAACTGCCTGTCCATGGGCTCCCGCTGCCTGAAGACCTTCGAGGTGCCCGAAGAGAACACGGCGGAGACCATCACGCGAGTGCTCTATGAGGTCTTCATCGAGTGGGGCATCAGCGCCAAGGTCTTCGGGGCCACCACCAACTATGGCAAGGACATCGTGAAGGCGTGCTCCCTGCTGGACGTCGCAGTGCACATGCCCTGCCTGGGCCACACCTTCAATGCCGGCATCCAGCAGGCCTTCCAGCTCCCGAAGCTGGGGGCGCTGCTGTCGCGCTGCCGCAAACTGGTGGAGTACTTCCAGCAGTCTGCCGTGGCCATGTACATGCTCTATGAGAAGCAGAAGCAGCAGAACGTGGCCCACTGCATGCTGGTGAGCAACCGCGTCTCCTGGTGGGGGAGCACGCTGGCCATGCTGCAGCGCCTCAAGGAGCAGCAGTTCGTCATCGCCGGGGTCTTGGTGGAGGACAGCAACAACCACCACCTCATGCTGGAGGCCAGCGAGTGGGCCACCATCGAGGGGCTGGTGGAGCTCCTGCAGCCCTTCAAGCAGGTGGCCGAGATGCTGTCGGCCTCCAGGTACCCCACCATCAGCATGGTGAAGCCGCTGCTGCACATGCTCCTGAACACCACGCTCAACATCAAGGAGACCGACTCCAAGGAGCTCAGCATGGCCAAGGAGGTCATCGCCAAGGAGCTTTCCAAGACCTACCAGGAGACGCCCGAGATCGACATGTTTCTCAACGTGGCCACCTTCCTGGACCCCCGCTACAAGAGGCTGCCCTTCCTCTCCGCCTTCGAGCGGCAGCAGGTGGAGAATCGCGTGGTGGAAGAGGCCAAGGGCCTGCTGGACAAGGTCAAAGACGGCGGCTACCGGCCGGCTGAGGACAAGATCTTCCCGGTGCCCGAGGAGCCTCCCGTCAAGAAGCTCATGCGGACATCCACGCCGCCGCCCGCCAGCGTCATCAACAACATGCTGGCCGAGATCTTCTGCCAGACAGGCGGCGTGGAGGACCAGGAAGAGTGGCATGCCCAGGTGGTGGAGGAGCTGAGCAACTTCAAGTCCCAGAAGGTGCTTGGCCTCAACGAAGACCCCCTCAAGTGGTGGTCAGACCGCCTGGCCCTCTTCCCCCTGCTGCCCAAGGTGCTGCAGAAGTACTGGTGCGTGACGGCCACGCGCGTCGCCCCTGAGCGTCTCTTCGGATCCGCCGCCAACGTGGTCAGCGCCAAGAGGAACCGGCTGGCTCCCGCGCACGTGGACGAGCAGGTGTTTCTGTATGAGAACGCCCGGAGTGGGGCAGAGGCGGAACCCGAGGACCAGGACGAGGGGGAGTGGGGCCTGGACCAGGAGCAGGTGTTCTCCTTGGGGGATGGCGTCAGCGGCGGTTTCTTTGGCATTAGGGACAGCAGCTTCCTGTAGCGAGGAAGCGTGTTGTCTTACAAGTCATCCCCGCAGCAGCCCATTGGATGCTTTGCTGTAAATACTTACCCGGTCAGCTTGGTTTTGAACCTCAGAGACCATCCACTGTCTTTGACACCTAGAAGGTGGAAAAAGGAAAGAGATTTGAGAAGTGAGAGAGGGTCGGGGGCGGTGGCTCCTGTCTATAATCGCAGCACTTTGGGAGGCCGAGGTGGGCAGATCAGCTGAGGTCAGGAGATCGAGACCAGCCTGGCCAACATGGCGAAACCCCGTCTCTACTAAAAATACAAAAATTAGCCAGGACTGATGGCATGTGCCTGTAATCCCAGCTTCTGGAGGCTGAGGCCAGAGAATCGCTTGAACCTGGGAGGTGGAGGTTGCAGTAAGCTGAGATCGCTGCACTCCAGCCTGGGCGACAAGAGCGAGACTCTCTCAAAAAGAAAAAAGAAGACACAAGAGAGGTGGCTTTGAGTGGGTTTCCTTTCCTCCCCTATTCCCGGGGCCCGGACGACTTCTGCTTGGGAACTGCCAACGCTTCTGCTTGGGAATTGCGTGCAGCAGAGCCTAGAGGAGCTGTTCCTTCCTTCACAGATACTTAAGACCTCCACCATGTCTGATTCGAGTTCTCCCTGGGAGGGTTTAGAAGAAACGCAGGAACATTCTGGGTGGCGTCGAAGGAGCCTTTCCCGATCATCATGTGTGACTTCTGCGAGGTCCAGATCACTGAATTCATGTTTACATTCTCGTGCAAGCAGGGACCTCTTGCTTCTGAGAAATGGGGAAGAGACCTTTTAGCCAAAATGCCCTTCTTAAAAAGAGAGACCTTTTTTTTTAATGTTCGGTTAAAAATGTGACAGATGAGTACAAAAATGCAGACACTTAACAAAAAGCAAACAGAAAAAAAAGTGTGGAATGTGTTGTATTTTCGACAGGTTGCTGCCAGAGAGCCTGCTTCCTGCTGCCTGCCGAAATTTCACTTTGCGGAGTTGGTCCTTAAAACTGGGCGGTGGCCGGGCGTGGTGGCTCACGCTGAGGTCAGGAGTTCGAGACCAGCCTGGCCAACCAACATGGTGAAACCTCGTGTCTACTAAAAATACAAGAAACTAGCCAGATGCGGTGGCACCCGCCTGTAATCCCAGCTACTCGGGAGGCTGAGGCGGAAGATTCGCTTGAGCCCAGGAGGTGGAGGTTGCAGTGAGCCAAGACTACGCCACTGCACTCCAGCCTGGAGGCCAGAGTGAGACTCCGTCTCAAAACAAAACAAAAGTGGGTGGCTCACGGGTCCGGAGGTTATGTCTTCGGTGTCTCAGCCCTAAAAGTCCAGTTCCCCCGTGCGGCCAGCTTTTCCACATAAGGTGTTTTTGATTTGATTACCGGAAAGGACTCTTGATTCTTCTCTTTTAAACTGAATACCATAGGGGAAATGAATTTTAAAATATTGCCCCCGGAGGGGTTTTCCGTGGCTGGATTCCTGCGAGTTGCTTTCAGTCATTCAGGGAAACAGAAAGACGTTTTCCAACATGTAGAACTGCTTTTTAACTGGAGGAAAAATACTTCAGGAGGCTTAGCATATTGCTTGGATTCTACGTGCAGCGGGTTCTCTGCCTCCGTGAAGACAAGCTGGGCTGGGGAGAACGGTGTCTAGGAGGGATGACCCCACTCAGCTCCAGGCAGTGTTCTGCCGAGACCCCAAGAACTCGGGGTGTCAGAGGGCAAAGGAACTACCTGCCTTTCACGGCTGCTGACTTCTCAGGGCTGCAAGCAGCACAGAATGTTATCCTTACGTCCTGAGCCGGTTTAAGTCTGTGGAAAAGGAAGCACGGGAGAAATCCACGTAACCTTTGCTTTCTTTTTAAGGGAAGCGGTTCCGCCGTGAACTTGGAACCCTCAGCTCCGGGTGTTCTCGGCAGAAGGGCAGCTGGAAGGGACACAGTGGGGCAGGCTTTGGGGTTGCTCCCTGTTCTGCCCCGAGGCCGGGGACGCAGGGCAGCCCACGCCTCCGTGGGCTCCATTCTGTAGCATTGCCAGCGTTCTCTTCACGTCTCTAACAATCCTTCGCTTTTCCTCACTCACGTGGAAATGTGAACTGTCCCGGCTCTGTCTTCATTTTTATTTTTAAGCCATCGTTCCCCTCCTGAACGGTTGCCCCTTATTTAATGCTGTAAAGTTGGACTGTTGTTCAATAAACCAGAGCAATGCATTAGCTCCTCATTCATTTGTCTGCCGCGTGTCCGTCTGGACTGCAGTTTGTCTGAACCCCTTGATCCTGGGAGTGGAGGGAGGTTTATCATTATTATTATTTTTATTTTTGTTGTGGTCCTTGTTGAAAGCAACTTTTTCCAGGGCACCCACGGTCAGTTCTGTGCTCCTCTTTCTTGTCTGTAAATCCTCAAGTTATGATGTACTTTCGGGTGTTTTGGCATCAAAATTTCTGAGTGAATAAAGCCGGCAGCTGGTGAAAGTGTTCCCCGGGAGCAGAGATTTTTGCCGGTTCCTTCACTTAGTGGATAGTTGTATAAACGGAGGCCCCATGGACGAGGCAGCCTGGATGGATCCGGATGGCATCAGCGCCTTCCCTCTCCCCCCAGCCTCCTTATCACCCCTCTCTTCCTGTCTTCCTCACCTCCTCTCACATGGTCTCTTCCTTCCCTCCTCCTTCCGTCCAACCCTCCCTCTCTTCTTCAGCCAACAAATCCTTCCTTTCTTCCTTCTTTCCTTCCTTCCTTCCCTCCCATCCTTGTCTCTTCTTCTCTCCCTTCCTTCCCTCCCTTCCCTTCTTTCTTTCTCTCCCTTCCTTCCTTCTCTCCCTTCCTTCCTTCTCTCCCTTCCTTCCTTCTCTCCCTTCTCTCCCTTTTCTCCCTTCCTTCCTTCTCTCCCTTCCTTCCCTCCCTTCTCTCCCTTTTCTCCCTTCCTTCTCTCCGTTCCCTCCCTCCCCTCCCTCTCTGCCTCCCTTTCCTCCCCTCCCTCCTTCCCCCATCCCTCCCTCCCTCCTTCCCTCTCCTCCCTCCCTCCTTCCTTCCCTCTGTCCCTCCCTGTCTCCCTCCCTTCCTCCTTCCTTCCTTTCCTCCCTCCCTCTGTCCCTCCCTCCCTTTTCTCCCTCCCTCCCTTCCTCTTTCGTTTTCCTTCCATCCCTTTTTCCTTCCTCCCTCCCTCTTTTCCTCCCTCCTGAGAAAACAATGGCCCCCAAGAAACACAGGAAGGCCGGGATGTGCACCTCTGCCCAGACTTGCCCTTTCCAAGTGCTGTTGGTTGACTGCCTGTCCTTGGGCATCATTAAAATGCCGAAATTTCTCTTTCTTGCACGTTTTGGGTTGAAAGGGGTTCATTTTCAGTCCTCATAACTAAGCATTTGCATCGTGATGTTCATTTAAGTGGGACATGTTTACACGTTTTTCCCATTAGGAGTAATTCTAGTCCTTGAGGGTTTCTTACAGAGACATTTCCCTAACCCCGACGGTTCTCATCCCAGCCTGTGTGGCACTCCTTCCGCACAGTGGTGGGATTTTTCGGTTCGGTTTTGTTTTCACGCTTGCATCTGGCTGCACAGCCCTAACTCTGAGCTGGTTGTTTTTGTTTCCCCCCCACTTTGCAGAATTGCCTGCTTCGAACTGTTTTCCCAGCAGGCCTCTGAAGGGTGAGGAAAACAGCTTGGGGAAAGTGAGAAAAAGGTTTCGGATGTTTTAGTAAAGAGGCAGCTGGTGGGAAGGAGCCGGTTGGGCTGTTTCTGGGGTGCCGAAATCTCGGTGGTGACGTTCATTTGCTCGTGAGTGCAGAGGAGGCCCAGAGACCGGGTTCCTGGCGCAGCCAGCTCCTGCTTTTGTTCCGACCATCTTCCTGCGCCTTCTGCGAGTCTCAGATGTGCTTGGGCAGCAGTTCTACTGTTTTCCCCTCTGTGATCTCAGGCCCGCCGCCCCGTCCTTTCCCAGTGATTTCTGCTCCGTCAAATCGTGGGGCTCACCTGAGAGTTTTATAAAATGAACTCGCCATGCCCCTGCCTGGTGAACAGAGAATGCAAACTCTCACAGGACCGTCTGCAGCAAAACGGCAGTGTTTTGCTCATTTCTTCAGACGACGAAAACAGCAGGGTTTGGCTCGTTTCTTCCAGATTTTCTCAAACTGCATGAGTTCCTTTCTGAGCAACTTCTGGGAAGCTTTCGGGTTTCAGGGCTTTGCAGCCAGGCTCCTTCCTAGCTGCGGCTGCCTGTCCTTTTGTGTTGCAGTCAGATGCGGGAGGTCCTTGGCATGAGTACCCTGATGGTGTCAACTTTAAGGGGTCAGAGAGGAAATATTTTTGGCTCCGCGGACCATGCATTCTCTGTCTCTCAACAACTTAGTTTTGCCGTTGTGTCTAAAAGCATCCATTGCTGGGTGTGGTGGCTCACATCTGTCATCCCAGCACTTTGGGAGGCCGAGGCGGGTGGATCGCCTGAGGTCAGGAGTTCAAGACCAGCCTGGCCAACATGGTGAAACCCCATCTCTACTAAAAATACAAACATTAGCTGGGCATGGTGGTGGGCACCTGTAATCCCAGGTACTGAGGCTGAGGCAGGAGAATCGCGTGAACCAGGGAGGCGGAGGTTGTAGTGAGCTAAGATCGTGCCACTGCGCTCCATCCTGGGCGACAAGAGCGAGACTCCGTGTATTCCACTCCCACTTCGTGGGCACTAAATTTTATATAAATGTTGTGTCAAGAAATATTATTGCTCTGTTGACTTCTTTTTTTCCCCCAACCATTAAGAAATTCAGAAAAAAAATGTACGAATGTAAACACTGTTCTTGGTGAGTGGGCCTTCCAAAAATAACCGCTGGACTTTGTTGAAACTACTTTTTTTTTTTTTTTTTTTTGCCACTTTTTCCCTTTTTTTTCTCGAGGCACCAATTGGAATCCACTTATTTGTCCTGGTTTGAGAAACAGCTCAGATCGCACACTCTGGGCTCTGTGTTTCTTTAGGTAACACACGTGAGGTTTTTGTCACTGGAATTCAGTAATCTGTGTTAATATTATCACAAAAGAACCGGGGGGCATTTGTGTCTTCTCAGAATTGCTGATTAAAACAGCTGCATGGCCAGGTGCAGTGGCTCTCATGCCTGTGATCCCAGCACTTTGGGAGGCCGAGGCAGGCGGATCGCTTGAGCCCAGGAGTTTGAGACCAGCCTGGGCAACATGGCCAAACCTCATCCCTACTAAAAATACAAAAAATTAGCCAGGCATGGAGGCGCATGTCTGTAGTCAGTCCCAGCTACTCAGGAGGCGAAGGTGGGAGGATCACTTGAGCTTGGGAGTTGGAGGCTGCAGTGAGCTGTGAACATACCACTGCACTCCAGCCTGGAAAATAAAGCAAGAGATGCTGCCTCTAAAAATAATAATAATAATAATAAAAATTAGCCAAACATGGTGGCACGCATGTGTGATCACAGCTACTTGGGAGACTGAGGTGGGAGGATCGCTGGAGCCCGGAAAGTCGAGGCTGCAGTGAGCTGAGATTGCATCACTGTCGTGCAGCCTGGGCAAAAGAGTGAGACCCTGTCTCTAAATAAATAAATAAATGAGTTCACGATTAAGCAGAAGTTGTGCTTGTTCTGCCAGGATTTCAGTTGGGTTCTTTGTGCCCTAATTTACGTGAGCTAGTAGGTTGTGCGTTATCTTAGAGGGCTTGCATGAAAGAAAGAGGGTAGCCTTTCTTTTCCCTGTTTTGGTAGCATTGCTGAGGTGGCTTTTGGCTGACGGGTGGACCCGTGGGTGCAGATGTTTTGATGCAGAAGGAATGATTGCCTTTTCACATTCAGGCTCCAACTGGCTTTTAGCTTGTGCGTTCTTACCCTGGGGTGTTCGAGGTCACCGGACTCCTATTTTATTTGTGTTTAACTGGAAAGGCAGGAACTCTGAGAACGTATCAAATAGGCAGTTACTGCAGGATTTCTAGAATTTAAATTGCTTCCAAAACTGTATCCACAAGCTAAGAATTATGTTTAGGTTTTAAAAGGTGTTGGTTTGCTTCTTACATGTTTAAATTCTTGAGGGAAAGAAATGCAAAGAATAATAAAGTTTCATGATACAAAAATGGTATGAGACCGGGCACAATGGCTCACACCTGTCATCCCAGCACTTTGGGAGGCTGAGGCAGGAGGATGATTTTTGAGCCTGAGTTTGAGATCAGCCTGGGCAAACAGCGAGATCCTGTGCCTACAAAAATAAAATAAAAATAGGCTGGGTGTGGTGGCTCATGCTTGTAATACCTGCACTTTGGGAGGCTAAGTCAGTAGGATCACTTGAACTCAGGGGTTTGAGACCAGCCTGGTCAACATACTGAGACCTTGTCTCTAGTAACAATAAAAAAATTAGCTGGACATAAGGTGTGCATTTGTAGTCCCAGTTACACAGGAGGCTGAGGTGGGAGGATCACTTGAGCCAGGGAGTTGGAGGCTGCAGTGAAATGTGATCGCACCACTGCACTCCAGCCTGTGCAACAAGGAGAGAGATGCTGTCTCTAAAAAAAAAAAAAAAGCCAGACGTGGTGGCACACGTGTGTGGTCACAGCTACTTGGGAGGCTGAGGCTGAAGGATCGCTTGAGCCCAAGGAGGCTGAGGCTGCCATAAACTACGATCATGCCACTGCACTCCAGGCTGGGCAATAGCCTGGGCGACTGTCTCAACCAAAATAAATTTAAAAAGATAGGAAATTTCAATGTGAAAATCAGTGTCCCCCAGAACGTTCCATTTCTTCCCAGCTGGGCTATTTTTGGAGTTCCATGGGGAGCCGGCTCAGTGCAGTTTGCATGTACTCGGGAGGATGAGCCCTGCCATGGTGTGTGTTAGGGGACAGCCTGATCTCACCAACCCTCCTGAGCAGGCCCAGCCCTCCGAGTAATAACTGGGAACACTCGCCGCTTTGTGAGACGACCTCGTGTGCTCACTGGAAGGTCATCTCTTCTGGTCCATGCTGCAGTGTGGATACCATTTTTTTTTTTTAAGACAGTTTCACTCTTGTTGCCCAGGCTGGAGTGCAATGGCACGATCTCGGCTCACAGAAACCTCCGCCTCCTGGGTTCAAGCCATTCTCCTGTCTCAGCCTCCTGAGTAGCTGGGATTACAGGTGTCTGCCACCACAGCCAGCTAATTTTTATATTTTTCGTAGAGACGGGGTTTCAGTACATTGGTAAAGCTGGTCTGGAACTCCTGACCTCAGGTGATCCACCCGCCTCAGCCTCCCAAAGTGCTGGGATGACAGGCGTGAGCCACCGCGACCAGCCCAGTGTGGATACACCTTGAGCACATAACTGGAATCCTTTCCTTGGAAACTTGGAGCCCCTTGTGTCATGGTCATATAAACTGTTGAATTAAGAGGAGACACCATTAAATATGTCACAGCTGTCCTCGAAACTGGGACTTGTTTTGCTTTCTGCCTGGAAATGCGAGCTATCTTTATAGAATTATTTTATAGAAAATAATTGTATACATATATAGGAGGTACGACGTGATGTTTTAATCCGAGTACACATTGTGCAATGATTAAATCAAGCTGGTTACCATATTATTAACCTAATTAACATATCAATAATCAAGCTAATTAACACATTAACATTCAAGCTAATTAACATATTAACAAGCTAATTAACATATTCACATAATCCTAACTCTGACCTATATCACCTCACCTACTTTTTTTTGTGGTGAGAATGTGTAAAATCTACTTTTAGTCATTTTGAAAAACGCAATGTATTATTATTAATGATAATCACTGTGTGGTGTGGTAGAACTTTGAATTTATTTCTTCTATCTAACTGGAAAAATTTAATTTTAATGTAATTTATTTTTTTTGAGACAGTCTCACCCTATCACCCAGGCTGGAGTGCAGCATCATGTTCATAGCTCATGGCAGCCTCCAACTCCTGGCTCAGGTGACCCTCCCACCACAGCCTCCCAGGTAGCTGGGACTACAGGTGCACACCACCACACCTGGTTAATTTTTTAAGTTTTTTGCAGAGATGGGGTCTTGCTATGTTGCTCAGGCTGGTCTTGAATTCCTGGGCTGAAGCGATCCTCCTGCCTCAGCCTCCCAAGTAGCTGGGACTGCAGGTGCATGCTACCATACCCAGCTAATTTTTTTTTTTTTTTTTAAAGATGCGGTTTCATTATGTTGCCCAGGCTTGTCTCAAACTCTTGGCCTCCAGTGATCCTCCTTCCTCAGCCTTCCATAGCATTGTGATTCCAGACATGAGCCACCGCTCCTGGCCTCCAACTGAAATTTTATGTTCTTTGACAAACACTTCATGAAGCATTCTTCCCTGGCAACCACCATTGCACTCTCTGCGTTTATGCGTTCAGCTTTTTTAGATTCTACATACGAGATGATACAGTATTTGTCTCTCTGTGCCTGGTTCATTTCACTTCACATTGTATCTTCCAGTCCCATCCATGTTGCTGCAAATGGCAGGATTTCCTTTTTCATGGCTGCATACTATTCCATTGTGTGTCTATGCCACATTTGCTTGATACGCTCATCTGTTGATTGACACATGGGTTGATTCTATATCTTGGAAACTGTTAGTAGTGTTGGCAGTGCACAGGGGGTGCAGGTATCCCATTGATGGGCTGATTTCCTTTCCTTTGGGCACACACCAAGCGGTGGGATGACTGGATCCTGCACAACATTCTTTCCTTTGGTGTTTCGCAGGCCCGTTTCTGGACTTTAGTGAACGTCTTCCCAGTGTCCATGGCGTCCGTCCCTTGGCCACATGCTTAGGGAACATCTTCAGTGTGTACATGGCGACAGTCCCATAGCCACATTCTTAGGGAATGTCTTCAGTGTGTACACGGTGGCAGTCCCTTTGCTGCATGCTTAGGGAACGTCTACAGTGTGGTCCATTGGCCACATTCTTAGAGAACGTCTTCAGTGTGTACACTGTGGCGGTCCCTTGGCCACATTCTTAGGGAATGTCTTCAGTGTGTACATGGCGGCAGTCCCTTAGCCACATGCTTAGCGAACATCTTCAGTGTGCACAGGGCAGTGGTCCCTTGGGCCACATGCTTAGGGAACGTCTTAAGTGCCGTCCCTTGGCCGTTTTCTTAGGGAATGTCTTCAGTGTGCACATGTGGCGGTCCCCTGGTCGCATTCTTACGGAATGTCTTCAGTGCGTACACGGTGGTCCCGTAGCCACATGCTTAGGGAATGTCTTCAGTGTGCACAGGGCCATATTCTTACGGAATGTCGTCAGTGTGCACATGGTGGTGGTCCCTTGGCCACATTCTTAGGGAATGTCTTCAGTGTGTACGTGGCGGAGGTCCCTTAGCCACAAGCTTAGGGATCATCTTCAGTGTGCACAGTGCGGGAGTCCCTTGGGCCACATGCTTAGGGAATGTCTTCAGTGTGTACATGGTGGTGGTCCCTTAGCCACATGCTTAGGGATCATCTTCAGTGTGCACAGGGTGGGAGTCCCTTGGGCCACATGCTTAGGGAACGTCTTCAGTGTGTACAGGGCAGCAGTCCTTTGGCTGCATTGTTAGCGAACATCTTCAGTATGTACATGGCTGTGGTCCCTTAGCCACAAGCTTAGGGAACATCTTCAGTGTGCACACGGTGGTGGTCCCTTGGGCTACATGCTTAGGGAATGACTTCAGTGTGTACATGGTGGCCATCCCTTGGCCCCATGCCTAGGGAATGTCTTCAGTGCCTTGCCTTGGCTGCATTCTTAGGGAACGTCTTCAGTGCGTACATGGCGGTGGTCCCTTAGCCACATACTTAGGGAACGTCTTCAGTGTGTACACCGTGGTGGTCCCTTGGCCACATTCTTAGGGAGCGTCTTCACTTCTTACATGGTGGTGGTCCCCGGGCCACATTCTAAGGGAACGTCGTCAGTGCCTACACAATGGTGGTCCCTTGGCCGCACGCTTGGGGAACGTCTTCAGTCACAGCCCTGGTTGGTCCCTTGGCCACATTCTTAGGGAATATCTTCAGTGCATACACGGTGGCAGTCCCCTGGTGTCATTCTTAGGGAACGTCTTCAGTGCGGTCCCTCAACCACATGCTTAGGGAATGTCTTCAGTGCTGTTTCTTAGCCATATTCTTAGGGAACCTCTTCAATGTGTACACACTGGTGGTCCCTTGGCCGCATGCTTAGAGAACATCTTTAGTGCAGTCCCTTGGCCACATTCTTAGGGAACGTCTTCAGTGTGATCCCTTGGCCACATTCTTAGAAAACGTCTTCAGTTTGTACAAGGTGACAGTCCATTGGCCAGAATGTGTCCCTGCCACATTCTTCTGAGTGTCTGTGTCTGTGTTCTTTCCACCCTGTAAGCTGCTTTTGCTTCTTCACTGGGTGTCTGTGACTCTCATGTGGAATCCCTTTCCTCTGTCACCGCCCATCCCAGGCACAGTGAGAGACGCAGCCAGCCTGCTCCTCTCTGCACCTCGCCATCCCAGACATCCTCCAGCCACCGTGCTGACCGCATTCATTCCTTCTCCTGCCCTGTCCGCATCCTTCTTCCCCTACACGTTTGATACCAAGAAATGGTCTGAATCACAGCCAAGGCTTCATTTGCTTTCTGGAACTGCAGCTCCCCAGCCCCACCCAGATCAGAGATTCAGAACCTGAATCTTCGGATTTCTGGAGATGCCCCCATCCTATCAGAGACTTCTAGTGTGTTTCTTTATATCCGTGTAGACTTGGGAGGATGACAGGAGAGAAACCTTAGAAGGTGGTCTGTGCATTTCCCGGGCCCGGGGTGGAAGGGGCTTGTGTCCTGGCTGCCTCTGTGCACCTTTCATTCTTTTTTTTTTTTTTGAGACGGAGTCTTGCTCTGTCACCCTGTCACCCAGGCTGGAGTGCAGTGGAGGGATCTCGGCTCACTGTAACCCCTGCCTCCCAGGTTCGAGCAATTCTCCTGCCTCAGTCTCCTGAGTAGCTGGGAATACAGGCATGTGCCACCACGCTCGGCTAATTTTATATTTTTAGTAGAGATGGGTGTTCTTCATGTTGGTCATGTTGGTCTCGAACTCCTGACCTCAGGTGATCCATCCGCCTCGGCCTCCCAAAGTGTTGAGATGACAGGTGTGAGCCCCCGCGCCTGGCCGCACCTTTCTTTCTTGATCCACCTGGTTTTAAACTCACAGATAAACTGTTTCCACCTGTGACAAATGAGTCATCCACCTTCCATGTGGTCTGGACTTTGTCCCTGTTACAATATTCCTGTCTCTTGTTTCTGGTTTTTTGCATCCCACATGTTGTCCCTGTAACAGTCCTGTCTGTTGTTTCTGGGGTCACCCGTGTGGCGAGCTGACTGTGCCACGTTCCTGAGGCTGGTGAGGATGCTGTGGGCACCTTAATCACGGCTGTGAACAAACTGGCTAGAGCTAGGTGCCATGGAGCTTTGCAGTGGACACTAAGTCGTGGTACCCATTCTTTGATCAGTGACGGAGCCAGGTGTCTTATTAGGTCTTGGGGATTTGTGGAAGCCCAGAGCAGGGAAACAGCTTCTACATTGAAAGGAATCCTTCTCACACTCATGTTGGCATCGTGAAGTCCCTGATTTCCTAAGACACTACCCTAATATTTTAAAAGACTTACAAAAAATTTAGTAAAATATTCCTAATAGCAGCACATGTGGTGTTTTTTTGTTTGTTTGTTTGTTTTCGAGATGGAGTTTTGCTACTGTTGCCAAGGCTGGAGTGCAGTGGTATGATCTCGGCTCACTGCAGCCTCCGTCTCCCAGGTTCAAGGGATTCTCCTGCCTCAGCCTCTCAAGTAGCTGGGATTACAGGCATGCACTACCACACCCGGCTAATTTTGTATTTTTAGTAGAGACGGGTTTTTCCATGTTGGCCAGGCTGGTCTTGAACTCCCGACCTCAGGTAATCCGCCTGCTTTGGCCTCCCAAAATGCTGGGATTACAGGTGTGAGTCTCCACACCTGGTCAATCCCATTCTTTTTCAAGAATGCATAGTATTCTGTGGTGTATGTACACCACCTTTTCTTTATCCAGTCTACGTGGCGTTGTTTTGAGGAATGGATGAAATGATTTGCATAAAAACAGTGAATGCTTTCTATTGGAATGGTGTTTGCCTCCTGGGAAACTGTGGAGTCATTGCAATTGCAATTTCCTAGTAGATTTGATTAATTAAGAGCATTGGGAATTTTTGGGGTGCCTGATGCACTATTACAGATATTTTTTTCACAGTGTAGATATCTCAGCATGAATATGTCTGTTTTCTTTTCTTTTCTTTCTTTTTTTTTTTTTTGAGATGGAGTTTCTCTCTTGTTGCCAAGGCTGGAGTGCAATGGCTCAATCTTGGCTCACTGCAGCCAACATCTCCTGGGCTTAAGCAGTTCTCCTGCGTTAGCCTCTGGAGTAGCTGGGATTACAGGCATCTGCCACCATGCCTGGCTAATTTTTTTTTGTGTGTGTGTTTTTAGTAGAGACAGGGTTTCACCATGTTGGCCTGGCCGGTCTCAAACTCCTGGCCTCAAGTGATCCACCTGCCTTGGACTCCGAAAGTGCTGGGATGACAGGCCTGAGCCATGGCGGCCAGCTGTCTGTTTTCTTTCCATAAGAGGTGCTGGTCTCACCGTGGCTCTGTGCTGTGATGAAATGGCATTGTCCAAGTTTTACTCCTCACAGCCTGATTTTGTATGTTAAAGACGTCTTCCTTGGTGTGAATCAAGTGGGCTGGGCAGAGTTAAGGGAGCCATTTATTTAGAAGGCGATTAGATCGAATTATGTCTTGGTAATTACTGCAGTTACACCACCCCATTCTTTCCGTGGCTCTCCTAGCTGGGTTTGTGGCTAGTCATGGAGGTGCCCTGAAGAGCCTCATTTTCCCACAGCTGTAGGAAGTGTGTGGTACACCCACAATGTCTTAGCTTTTGTATTAGGGAAGGTCTTCAGTGCATTCCCTTGGCCACATTCTTAGGGAACATCTTCAGTGTGTACATGGCGGCGGTCCCTTAACCACATTCTTAGGGAACGTGTTCAGTGTGTACACGGTGGCAGTCCCTTGGCTGTATGCTTAGGGAACGTCTTCAGTGAGTGTGATCCCTTGGCCACATGCCTAGGGAACATCTTCATTGTGTACCTGGCGGCGGTCCCTTAGCCACATGCTTAGGGAATGTCTTCAGTGTGTACACGGTGGCAGTCTGTTGGCCCCATGGTTAGGGAACATCTTCAGTGTGCACAGGGCGGCGGTCCCTTGTGCCACATGCTTAGGGACTGTCTTCAGTGTGTACATGGTGGCGGTCCCTTGGTCGCATTCTTAGGGAACCTCTTCAGTGTGTACATGTCGGCATTCCCTTAGCCGCATGCTTAGGGAACGTCTTCATTGTGTTCTTGGTGGCAGTCCCTTAGCCACATGCTTAGGGAACGTCTTCAGTTGTATACAGTGGGGTCCCTTGGTCATTATGCCTAGGGGAACGTCTTCAGTGCCAGCTGCATTCTTAGGGAATGTCTTCAGTGTGCACATGGCGGAGGTCCCTTAGCCACATACTTAGGGAGTGTCTTCACTGCACACAGCAGTGGTCCCTTGGTTGCATTCTTAGGGAACATCTTCAGTGTGCACATGGTAGCAGTCCCTCACCCACATTCCTAGGGAATGTCTTCAGTGTATACATGGTGGCAGTTCTTTGGCTGCATGCTTAGGGAACATCTTCAGTGCATTCCCTTGGCCACATGCCTAGGGAACATCTTTAGTGCTGTCCCTTCCCTGCATTTTTAGGGAACGTCTTCAGTGTGTACATGGTGGCGGTCCCTTGGCCGCATTCTTAGGGAACGTCTTAAGTGTGTACATGGCGGCGGTCCCTTAGCCACAAGCTTAGGGAACGTCTTCAGTGTGTATATGGTGGCAGTCTCTTGGCCACATGCTTAGGGAACGTCTTCAGTGCCATCTTTTAGCTGCATTCTTAGGGAACGTCTTCAGTGTGTACATGGCAGAGGTCCCTTAGCCACACACTTAGGGAACATCTTCAGTGTGTGCACAGCAGTGGTCCCTTGGCCTCATTGTTAGGGAACGTCTTTGGTGTGTAGATGGCCGCCGTCCCTTAGCCACAAGCTTAGGGATCGTCTTCAGTATGCACAGCGTGGCAGTCCCTTGGGCCACATGCTTAAGGAATGGCTTCAGTGTGTACACCGTTGTGGTCCCTTGGCCACATTCTTAGGGAGCGTCTTCAGTGCCGTCTTTTGGCTGCATTCTTAGGGAATGTCTTCAGTGCGTACATGGGGGCGGTCCCTTAGCCACATACTTAGGGAACGTCTTCAGTGTGTACATGGCAGTGGTCCCTTGGCCCCATTCTTAGGGAACATCTTCAGTGTGTACATGGTGGCAGTCCCTTAATCACATGCTTAGGGATTGTCTTGATTGTGTACATGGCGATGGTCCCTTGGCCACATGCTTTGGGAACCTCTTCAGTGCATACGGAGTGGCAGTCCCTTGTCCACATTCTTAGAAAACGTCTTCAGTTCGTACACGGTGGCGATCCCTTGGCCACATTCTTCTGAGTGTCTGTGTCTGTGTCCTTTCCACCCTGTAAGCTGCTTTTGTTTCTTCATTGGGTGTCTCTGACTCTCATGTGGAATCCCTTTCCTCTGTCACCGCCCATCCCAGGCACAGTGAGAGACGCAGCCAGCCTGCTCCTCTCTGCACCTCGCCATCCCAGACATCCTCCAGCCACCGTGCTGACCGCATTCATTCCTTCTCCTGCCCTGTCCGCATCCTTCTTCCCCTACACGCTTGATACCAAGAAATGGTCTGAATCACAGCCAAGGCTTCATTATCTTTCTGGCACTGCAGCTCCCCAGCCCCACCCAGATCAGAGATTCAGAACCTGAATCTTTGGATTTCTGGAGATGCCCCCATCCTATCAGAGACTTCTAGTGTGTTTCTCTATATTCGTGTAGACTTGGGAGGATGACAGGAGAGAAACCTTAGAAGGTGGTCTGTGCATTTCCGGGGCCCGGGGTGGAAGGGGCTTGTGTCCTGGCTGCCTCTGTGCACCTTTCATTCTTTTTTTTTTTTTTGAGACGGAGTCTTGCTCTGTCACCCTGTCACCCAGGCTGGAGTGCAGTGGAGGGATCTCGGCTCACTGTAACCCCTGCCTCCCAGGTTCGAGCAATTCTCCTGCCTCAGTCTCCTGAGTAGCTGGGAATACAGGCATGTGCCACCACGCCCGGCTAATTTTATATTTTTAGTAGAGATGGGTTTTCTTCATGTTGGTCATGCTGGTCTCGAACTCCTGACTTCAGGTGATCCATCCGCCTCGGCCTCCCAAAATGTTAGGATGACAGGCGTGAGCCCCCGCGCCTGGCGGCGCCTTTCATTCTTGATCCACCTGGTTTCAAACTCGCAGATAAACTGTTTCCACCTGTGACAAATGAGTCATCCACCTTCCGTGTGGTCTGGACTTTGTCCCTGTTACAATATTCCTGTCTCTTGTTTCTGGTTTTTGGCGTCCCACGTGTTGTCCCTGTAACAGTCCTGTCTCTTGTTTCTGGGGTCACCCCTGTGGCGAGCTGACTGTGCCACGTTCCTGAGGCTGGTGAGGATGCTGTGGGCACCTTAATCACGGCTGTGAACAAACTGGCTAGAGCTAGGTGCCATGGAGCTTTGCAGTGGACAGTAAGTTGTGGTACCCATTCTTTGATCAGTGACGGAGCCAGGTGCCTTATTAAGTCTCGGGGATTTCTGGAAGCACAGAGCAGGCAAGCACCTTCTACACTGAAAGGAATCCTTCTCACACTCATGTTGGCAACGTGAAGTCCTGCCTTTGGAAATCCCTGATTTCCTAAGACACTACCCTAACATTTTAAAGGACTTAAAAAAAATTCAGTAAAATATTCCCAATAGCAGCACATGTAGTGTTTTATTTATTTATTTATTTTTGAGATGATTTGCACTCTTGTCGCCCAGGCTGGAGTGCAATGGTATGATCTGGGTTCACTGCAACCTCCGTCTCCCGGGTTCCAAGGATTCTCCCATCTCAGCCTGTAAGGTAGCTGAGATTATAGGCATGCGCCACCATGCTCGGCTGATTTTGTATTTTTAGTAGTGACAGGGTTTCACCATATTGGTCAGGGTGGTCTCGAACTCCTGGCCTCAAGTGATCCACCCATCTTGGCCTCCCAAAGTGCTGGGATTATGAATCACTGCTCCTGGCCTACTTTTTAAACTTTCAGGTTCAGGGGCACGTGTGCAGGTTCATTACACGGGTAAATTGCATGTCCTGGGGGTTTAGTGTACAGATTAATTCATCAACCAGGTAGTAAGCCTACTACCATCTGATAGGTAGTTTTTTGATCCTCTCATTTGTCCCACCCTCCACCCTCCAGCAGGCCCCTGCAGCTGTTCCCTTCTTTATATCCACCAGTGCCCAATGTTTAGCTGTCACTTATCAGTGGGAACAGGTGGTATTTGGTTTTCTGTTCCTGTGTAAGTTTGCTAAGGATAATGGCCTCCACCTCCGTGCATGTTCCTGCAAAGGACATCATCCCATTTTTTTTTTTTTTTTGAGACAGTTTCCTTTTTGTTGCCCAGGCTGGAGTGCAATGGTGTGATCTCGGCTCACCGCTACCACCAGCTCCCGGGTTCAAGCAGTTGTCCTGCCTCAGCCTTCTGAGTAACTGAGATTACAGACACATGCCACCACGCCCGGCTAATTTTGTATTTTTAGTAGAGACGGGGTTTCTCCATGTTGCCCAGGCTGGTTTTGAACTCCTGACCTCAGTTAATCTGCCCTCCACGGCCTCCCAAAGTGCTGAGATTATAGGTGTGAGCCACCACACCCAACCAATCCCATTCTTTTTCATGGGTATGTAGTATTCCATAGTGTATATGCACCACCCTTTGTTTATCCAGTTTACATGGCGTTGTTTTGAGAAATGGATGAAGCGATGTGCATGAAAACACTGAATGCTTCCTACTGGAGGGGTGTTCACCTTTCCGGGAAACTGTGGAGTGATTGCAATTGCAATTTCCTAGTAGATTTGATTGGTTAATAGCATTGGGAATCTTTGGGGTGCCTGATGCCCTATTGCAGATCTTTTTTCACAGTGTAGAAATCTCAACGTAAATGTCTTTTTTTTTTTTTGAGATGGAGTTTTGCTCTTGTTGCCCAGGCTGCAGTGCAATGGCTCAATCTCGGCTCACTGCAGCCAACATCTCCCGGGTTTGAGCAATTCTGCCTCAGTCTCCTGAGTAGCTGGGATTGCAGGTGCCTGCCACCACACCCGGCTAATTTTTGAATTTTTAGTAGAGAAGGGGTTTCAGCCTATTGTTCAGGCTGCTCTCGAACTCGTGACCTCAGGTGATCCACCCACCTCGGCCTCCCAAAGCGCTGGGATGACAGGCGTGACCGCGCCCAGCCCAGTGTGGATACACCTTGAGCACATAACTGGAATCCTTTCCTTGGCAACTTGGAGCCCCTTGGGTCATGGTCATATAAAGGGTGTTGAATTAAGAGGAAACACTGTTAAATATGTCACAGCTGTCCTTGAAACTGGGACTTGTTTTGTTTTCTGCCTGGAAATGCGAGTCATTTTTCTGGAAAATTCATTTTTCGTTAAAAAAAGTAATTGTATACACGTATATGAGGTACAACGTGATGTTTTAATCCACGTACACATCATGCAATGATTAAATCAAGCTAGTTACCATATTAACAATCACATTAACTAACATATTAATAATCAGGCTAATTAACATATTAACATTGAAGCTAATTAACATATTAACAATCAAGCTAATTTACATATTCACATAATTCTAACTCTAACCTATATCACCTCACCTACTTTTTTTTGTAGTGAGAATATGTAAAATCTACTTTTAGTCATTTTGAAAGACGTGATGTATTATTAACTATCATCACTGTGTGGTGTGATAGAACTTGGAATTCATTTGTTTTATCTAACTGAAAAAAATTAATTTTAATGTAATTTATATGTTTTTTGAGACAGTCTCATCCTATAGCCAGGCTGGAGTACAGCATCATGTTCATAGCTCTCAGCAGCCTCCAACTCATGGCTCAGGTGACCCTCCCACCTCAGCCTCCCAGGTAGCTGGGACTACAGGTGCACACCACCACACCTGGTTAATTTTTAAATTTTTTGTAGAGATGGGGTCTTGCTATGTTGCTCAGGCTGGTCTTGAATTCCTGGGCTAAAGCGATCCTCCTGCCTCAGCCTCCCAAGTAGCTGGGACTACAGGTGCATGCCACCATATCCAGTTAATTTTTTCAGTTTTTTTTTTATTTGTTTAGAGATAGGGTTTCATTACGTTACCCAGGCTTGTCTCAAACTCCTGGCCTCCAGTGATCCTCCTTCCTCAGCCTTCCATAGCACAGTGATTCCAGACATGAGCCACAGCGCTCCTGGCCTCCAACTGAAATGTTATGTTCTTTGACAAACACTTCAGCATTCTTCCCTGGCAACCACCATTGCACTCTCTGCGTTTATGCGTTCAGCTTTTTTAGATTCTACATACGAGATGATACAGTATTTGTCTCTCTGTGCCTGGTTCATTTCACTTCACATTGTATCTTCCAGTCCCATCCATGTTGCGCAAATGGCAGGATTTCCTTTTTCATGGCTGCATACTATTCCACTGTGTGTCTATGCCACATTTGCTTGATGTACTCATCTGTTGATTGACACATGGGTTGATTGTATATCTTGGAACCTGAGTAGTGCTGCAGGGCACAGGGGATGCAGGTATCCCATTGATGGGCTGATTTCCTTTCCTTTGGGTACACACCCAGTGGTGGGATGTCTGGATCCTGCACACCATTCTTTCCTCTGATGTTTTGCAGGCCTATGGCTGGACCTTTGGAACGTCTTCACTATGTACAAGGTGGCGGTCCCTTGGCCACATTCTTAGGGAACGTTTTCAGTGTGTACATGGTGTCGGTCCCTTGGCTATATGCTTAGGGAACATCTTCAGTGGGTACATGGTGGCGGTCCCTTAGTCATATTCTTAGTGAATGTCTTCCGTGTGTACACGGTGGCAGTCCCTTGGCTGCATCCTTAGGCAACGTCATCAGTGCAGTCCCTTGGCCACATGCTTAGGGAACGTCTTCAGTGCATACACGGTGGCGGTCCCTTGGCCACATTCTTAGGGAATGTCTTCAGTGTGTACATGGTCGCAGTCTGTTAGCCACATGCTTAGGGAGCGTCTTCAGTGTGTATAGGGTGGCGGTCCCTTGGCCACATGCCTAGGGAGTGTCTTCAGTGCCGTCGCTTGGCTGCATTCTTTGGGAACGTCTTCAATGTATACATGGCGGCGGTCCCTTGGCTGCATTTTTAGGGAACGTCTTCAGTGTGTACATGGCGGCGGTCCCTTATCCACATTCTTAGGGAATGTCTTCAGCGTGTACACGGTGGCAGTCCCTTGGCCGCATGCTTAGGGGACTTCTTCAGTGCGGTCCCTTGGCCACATGCCTAGGGAACGAGTCTTCAGTGCCGTCCCTTGGCT
Organism: Homo sapiens; assembly: GCF_000001405.40. Classification (NCBI taxonomy): domain Eukaryota; kingdom Metazoa; phylum Chordata; class Mammalia; order Primates; family Hominidae; genus Homo; species Homo sapiens. The sequence continues at coordinate 2,469,183 of NC_000023.11, read as the reverse complement.
GCATTCTTAGGGAACGTCTTCGGTGTGTACATGGTGGTGGTCCCTTGGGCGCATTGTTAGGGAACGTCTTCAGTGTGTACATGGCAGTGGTCCCTTAGCCACATGCTTCGGAATGCCTTCAGTGTGTACATGGCGGAGGCCCCTCAGCCACGTGCCTAGGGAATGTCTTCAGTGCTGTCTTTTAGCGGCATTCTTAGGGAACGTCTTCAGTGTGTACATGGTGGTGGTCCCTGAGCCACATACTTAGGGAACGTCTTCAGTGTGCAACGGCAGCGGTCACTTGGCCTTATTGCTAGGGAACTTCTTCAGTGTGTACATGGCGGTGGTCCCTTAGCCACAAGCTTAGGGAACGTCTTCAGTGTGTACATGGCAGCAGTCCTTTGGACCACATGCTTAGGGAATGTCTTCAGTGTGTACACGGTGGTGGTCCCTTGGCCCCATCCCTAGGGAAAGTCTTCAGTGCCGTCCTTTGGCTGCATTCTTTGGGAGCGTCTTCAGTGTGTACATGGTGGAGGTCCCTTGGCCACATTCTTAGGGAATGTCTTCAGTGTGTACATGGCGGCGGTCCCTTGGCCGCATACTTAGGGAACGTCTTCAGTGTGTACATGGCAGTAGTCCCGTGGCCGCATTCTTAGGGAACCTCTTCAGTGCATACACAGTGGCGGTCCCTTGGCCACATTCTTCTGAGTGTCCGTGTCTGTGTACTTTTCATCCTGTAAACTGCTTTTGTTTCTTCATTGGGTGTCTCTGACTCTTATGTGGTATCCGTTTCCTCTGTCAGCGACCATCCCAGGCACAGTGAGAGACGCAGCCAGCCTGCTCCTCTCTGCAAGTGGCCATCTCAGACATTCTCCAGCCAGCGTCCTGACCGCATTCATTCCTTCCCCTGCCCGGTCCACATCCTTCTTCCCCTACACCCTTGCTACCAAGAAATGGTCTGAATCACATCACAGGCTTCCTTTGCTTTCTGGAACTGCAGCTCCCCAGCCCACCCAGATCAGAGGTTCAGAACCTGAATCTTCGGATTTCTGGAGATGCCCCCATCGCATCAGAGACTTCTAGTGTGATTCTTTATATTCGTGTAGACTTGGGAGGATGACAGGAGAGAAACCTTAGAAGGTGGCCTGTGCAGTTCCAGGGCCCAGGGTGGAAGGGGCTTCCATCCCTGGCTGCATTTGTGCACCTTTCATTCTTGGTCCAACATTTTTTTTTTTTTTTTTTGAGACGGAGTTTTACTGTGTCGCCCAGGCTGGAGTGCAGTGGTGTGATCTCAGCTCCCTGCAACCTCCCCGCCTCCTGGGTTCAAGCGATTCTCCTGAGTGGCTGGGAGTACGGGCATGCACCACCATGCCTGGCTAATTTTATATTTTTAGTAGAGATGAGGTTTCTCCATGTTGGTCAGGCTGGTCTCAAACCCCTGACCTCAGGTGATCCATCCACCTTGGCCTCCCAAAGTGCTGGGATTACAGGTGTGAGCCACCACGTCCGGCTGCACTTTTTATTCTTGATCCACCTGGTTTGCAACTCACAGATAAACTGTTTCCACCTATGACACATGAGTCTTCCACCTTCCATGTCCTCTGGACTTTGTCCCTGTTATAATATTCCTGTCTCTTGTTCTGGTTTTTGGCATCTCACACATTGTCCCTGTTTCAGTCCGGTCTCCTGTTTCTGGTGTTTGGTGTGCCGCACGTTGTCCCTGTTACAGTCCTGTCTCTTGTTTCTGGGGTCACCCGTGTGGAGAGCTGACTGTGCCGCGTTCCTGAGGCTGGTGAGGATGCTGTGGGCACCTTAATCACGGCTGTGAACAAACTGACTAGAGCTAACTGCCACGGAGCTTTGCAGTGGACGCTAAGCTGTTGTACTCATTGTTTGATCAGTGACGGAGCCAGATGTCTTATTAGGTCTCGGGGATTTGTGGAAGCCTAGAGCAGGCATGCACCTTCTACGTAGAAAGGAATCCTTCTCACACTCAAGTTGGCGTCGTGAAGTCCTGCCTTTGGAAATCCCTGATTTCCTAAGACACTACCCTAACATTTTAAAGGGCTTAAAAAATTTCAATAAAATGTTCCCAGTAGCTGTTACATGTAGTCATGTAGCGTTTTTTTTTTTTTTTTTGAGATGGACTTTTGCTCTTGTCTCCCAGGCTGGAGTGCAATGGCGCGATCTCGGCTCACTGCAATCTCTGTCTCCCGCATTCAAGGGATTCTCCCACCTCAGCCTGTCAGGTAGCTAGGATTATAGGTGTGCGCTACCATGCCCTGCTACTTTTGTATTTTTAGTAGTGACAGGGTTTCAGCATGTTGATCAGGGTAGTCTGGAACTCCTTGCCTCAGGTGATCCACCCGCCTTGGCCTCCCAAAGGGCTGGGATTATGAATCACCGCCCCCAGCCTACTTTTTTCACTTTGATTTCAGGTTGAGGGGGACGTGCGCAGGTAAATTGCATGTCTTGGGGGCTTAGTGAACAGATTATTTCATCATGCAGGTAATAAGTCCAGTACCACCTGATAGGTAGTTTTTCGATCCTCTCATTTCTCCCACCCTCCACCCTCCAGCATGCCCCTGCAGCTGTTCCCTTCTTTGTATCCATGAGTACCCAATGTTTAGCTGCCGTTTATGAGTGAGAACAGGTGATATTTGGTTTTCTTTTCCTACGTGAGTTTGCTAAGGATAATGGCCTCCACCTCCATGCATGTTCCTGCAAAGGGCATCATCCCATGTTTTCTTTTTTTCTTTTTCTTTTGAGACTGGGTTTCCTTCTTGTTGCCCAGGCTGGAGTGCAGTGGTGTGATCTCAGCTCACCACAACCTCCTGTTCCTGGGTTCAAGTGATTCTCCTGCCTCAGGCTACTGAGTCGTTGAGATTACAGGCGCATACCACCACGCTGGGCTAATTTTGTATTTTTAGTAGAGACGGGGCTTCTCCATGTTGGCCAGTCTGGTCTTGAGCTACCGACCTCAGGTAATCTGCCTGCCTCGGCCTCCCAAAGTGCTGGGATTACAGGCATGCGCCGCCACGCCCAACCAATCCCATTCTTTTTCATGGGTCCATAGTATTCCATAGTGTATATGCTCCACCCTTTCTTTATCCAGTCTACATGGCGTCCTGTTGAGGAATGGATGTAACAGGCGTCGTGTTCAGGAATGGATGTAACAATGTGCATAAAAGCAGTGAATGTTTTCTATTGGAATGGCGTTTGCCTTTCTGGGAAACTGTGGAGTCATTCGAATTGCAATTTCCTGGTAGATTTGATTAGCTAAGAGCATTGGGAATTTTTGGGGTGCGTGATGCCCTGTTGCAGATATTTTTTCACAGTGTAGAAATCTCAGCATGAATATGTCTGTTTTCTTTTCTCTTTTTTTTTTTTTTTTTGCGATGGAGTTTTGCTCTTGTTGCCCAGGCTAGAGTGCAATGGCTGAATCTGGGCTCACTGCAGCCATCATCTCCTGGGTTCAAGCAATTCTCCTGCCTCAGCCTCTGGAGTAGCTGGGATTGTAAGTGCCTGCCCCTACACCCTGATTTTTCTTTTTTTTTGTATTTTTAGTAGAGACGGGGTTTCACCTGTTGGGCAGGCTGGTTTCGAACTCCTGGCCTCAAGTGATCCACCTGCCTCAGCCTCCCAAAGTGCTCGGATGACAGGTGTCAGCCACGGTGCCTGGCCGTCTGTTTTCTTTTCATAAGAGGTGCTGGACTCACAGTGGCTCTGTGCTGTGATGAAATGACATTGCCAAAGTTTTACTCCTCACAGCTTGATTTTGTATGCTAAACAGGTCTTCTTTGGCGTGATTGAGGAGGGATGGGGAGACTTAAGGGAGCCATGTATTTAGAAAGCGATTAGATCCTGTTATGTCTTGGTAATTACTGCAGTTACAACACGCCATTCTTTCCGTGGCTCACCTAGCTGGGTTCGTGGCTAGTCATGGAGGCGCCCTGAAGAGCCTCATTTTCCCACAGCTGTAGGAAGTGTGTGGTACACCCACAATGTCTTAGCTTTTGTATTAGGGAACGTCTTCAGTTTGTTCCCTTGGCCACATGCTTTGGGAATGTCTTCAGTGTGTACACGGTGGCTGTCCCTGGGCCGCATGCTTAGGGAACGTCTTCAGTGAGGTCCCTTGGCCATATGCCTAGGGAACGTCTTCGGTGCCATCCTGTGACTGCATTCTTAGGGAACGTCTTCAGTGTGTACATGGCGGGGGTCCCTTAGCCCCATTCTTAGGGAATGTCTTAAGTATTTACACAGTGGCAGTCTGTTGGCCTATGGTTAGGGAACATCTTCATTGTGCACATGGTATCAGTCCCTTGCGCCACATGCTTAGGGAATTCTTCAGTGTGTACATGGTGGCCGTTCCTTGGCTGCATTGTTACAGAACGTCTTCAGTGTGTACATGTCAGCGGTCCCTTAGCCGTAAGCTTAGGGAACGTCTTCAGTGTGTATAAGGTGGCGGTCCCTTGGCCACATGCCTAGGGAACGTCTTCAGTGCCCTCCCTTGGCTGCATTCTTAGGGAACGTCTTCAGTGTGTACATGGCTGCCTTCCCTTAGCCACATACTTAGGGAACATCTTCAGTGTGCACACGGCAGCTGTCCCCTGGACGCATTCTTAGGGAGCGTCTTCAGTGCGAACATGGCGGGGGTCCCTTACCCACATTCTTAGGGAACATCTTCAGTGTGCACACGGCAGCAGTCCCCTGGACGCATTCTTAGGGAGCGTCTTCAGTGCGAACATGGCGGCGGTCCCTTACCCACATTCTTAGGGAACATCTTCAGTGTGTATATGGTAGCAGTCCCTTAGCCACACACTTAGGGAACGTCTTCAGTGTGTGCACATCAGCGGCCCTTGGCCGGATTGCTAGGGAACCTCTTCAGTGTGTACATGGCAGCGGTCCCTTAACCCAAGCTTAGGGATCGTCTTCAATGTGCAAAGGGCAATGGTCCCTTGGGCCACGTGCTTAGGGAATGTCTTAAGTGTGTACACGGCGGTCCCTTAGCCACATGCCTAGGAAACGTCTGCCATCTCTTCGCTGCATTCTTAGGGAGCGTCTTCAGTGCGTACATGGCGGCCGTCCCTTAGCCACGTACTTAGGGAACATCTTCAGTGTGTACATGGCGGTGGTCCCTTAGCCACATACTTAGGGAACGTCTCCAGTGTGTACAGGTGGCCGTCTCTTAGCCATATTCTTAGCGAATGTCTTCAGTGTGTACACAGCAGTGGTCCTTTGGCCACATGCTTTCCGAACGTCTTCAGTGCATACAGTGGCAGTCCCTTGGACCCATTCTTAGAAAACGTCTTCAGTTCGTACTCGGTGGCGATCCCTTGGCCACATTCTTCTGCGTGTCTGTGTCTGTGTCCTTTTCACCCTGTAAGCTGCTTTTTTTTCTTCATTGGGTGTCTCTGACTCTCATGTGGAATCCCTTTCCTCTGTCACCGCCTGTCCCAGGCACAGTGAGAGACGCAGCCAGCCTGCTCCTCTCTGCACGTCACCATCCCAGACATTCTCCAGCCAGCGTCCTGACCGCATTCATTCCTTCTCTTTCCCTTGTCCACATCCTTCTTCCCCTACACGCTTGATACCAAGAAATGGTCTGAATCACAGCCAAGGCTTCCTTTGCTTTCTGGAATTGCAGCTCCCCACCCCCACCCAGATCAGAGGTTGAGAACCTGAATCTTCGGATTTCTGGAGATGCCCCCATCGCATCAGAGACCTCTAGTGTGTTTCTTTATATCCGTGTAGACTTGGGAGGATGACAGGAGAGCAACCTTAGAAGGTGGCCTGTGCAGTTCCAGAGCCCAGGGTGGAAGGGGCTTCCATTCATCACTGCCTTCGTGCACCTTTCATTCTTGATCCAACCGTTGTTGTTGTTGTTTTGAGACGGAGTCTTGCTGTGTCGCCCAGGCCGGAGTGCAGTGGTGTGATCTCAGGTCACTGCAACCTCCGCCTCCCATGTTCAAGCGATTCTCCTGCCACAGCCTCTCTGAGTAGGGAGCTGCTAAAATAAAATACCTTCAGTTGGGTAATTTATAAACTAGAGACATTTATCACTCACAGTTCTGAAGGCTGGAGGTTCAAGATCATGGCAGATTCAGTGTGTGGTGGGGATGCACTCCCTGGTTCATAGACGACGCATTTTCTCTGCCTGCTCACATGGTGGAAAGGGCGAGGGAGCTCTCTGGGGCTCCTTTTATAAGGACAGTGATCCTATTCATGAGGCTTGATCCCCATGAAGTCATCACCTCCCAAGTCTCCCACCTCCTGACACCATTGTCTTAGGGGTGAGGATTTCAATGCAGGAATTTGGGGGAGGAACACAAACTTTCAGATTGTAGCAAATACCATTCTTTAAAAAAATGCAGTAATAGTTAAGCTTTTTTTTTTTAATTTGATAAATTTTCCAAGAAGGAGGAGACACAGAAACCCTCCGTGTTTTGAAGGTTAATATTAGTGCTGTAAAATACACGTGGGACTTGGGCTTATAAAAAATTCCTGGTCATGGCAAAATATAGGTGGTTTGCAGTACCTGGGGAAGCCCACCTTTCCTGTTTCTGACATGTAACTTTTGTGGAAATTGCCTGAAAGTTGTTTCTAGTTACCCTTCAGTCCTGTGTCCAACCCAGCATGTCCGATACTATCTAACATTGTTTTTTTTTTGAGATGGAGTTTTGCTCTTGTTGCCCAGGCTGCAGTACAGTGGCACGATCTTGGCTCGCTGCAACCTCCACCTCCCAGGTTCAAGCGATTCTCCTGTCTCAGCCTCCTGAGTAGCTGGGATTACTAAATTTTATATAAATGTTGTGTCAAGAAATATTATTGCTCTTTTGCCTTTTTTTCCCTTAACCGTTGAGAAATTCAGAAAAAAACATTTATGAACGTCAACACTGTTTTTGACAAGTAAACATTGTTCTTGGCAAGTGGGCCTTCCAAAAATAAGGGCTGGCGTTTGTGGAAACTGCTCTACTGTTCTTTTTTTTTCTTGCTACTTTTTTCTTTTTTTTTTTTTTTGAGGCACTAATTGGAATCCACTTATTCGTCCTGGGTGGAGAAAGAGTTCAGATCTAACACTGGGGGCTCTGTGTTTCCTTAGGTAATACATATGAAGTTTTTGTCACTGTAATTCAGTAATCTGTGTTAATATTATCACAAAAGAGCAGAGTGGCATTTGTGTCTTCTCAGAATTGCTTATTAAAACAGCTGCATGGCCAGCCGCGGTGGCTCTCATGCCTGTGATCCCAGCACTTTGGGAGGCCGAGGCCGGTGGATCGCTTGAGCCCAGGAGTTTGAGACCAGCCTGGGTAACATGGCCAAACCTCATCTCTACTAAAAATACAAAAAGTGAGAGCGTGCCTGTAGTCCCAGCTACTGAGGAGGCAGAGGTGGGAGGATCACTTGAGCGTGGGAGTTGGAGGCTGCAGTGAGCTGTGATCACAGCCTGGGAAACCAAGCGAGAGATGCTGTGTCTAAAATTATAAAAATAAAAATTAGCCAAACATGGTGCCACGCGTGTGTGGTCACAGCTACCTGGGTGGCTGAGGTGGGAGGATCACTGGAGCCCACAAAGTCGAGGCTGCAGTGAGCTGAGATTGCATCACTGTCGTGCAGCCTGGGCACCAGAGTGAGAGACACCCTGTCTCTAAATAAATAAATAAGTTCATGATTAAGCAGAAGTTGTGCTTGTTCTGCCGGGATTTCAGTTGGGTTCTTTGTGCCCTAATTTACGTGAGCTAGTAGGTTGTGCGTTATCTTAGAGGGCTTGCATGAAAGAAAGAGGGTAGCCTTTCTTTTCCCTGTTTTGGTAGCATTGCTGAGGTGGCTTTTGGCTGACGGGTGGACCCGTGGGTGCAGATGTTTTGATGCAGAAGGAACGATTGCCTTTTCACATTCAGGCTCCAACTGGCTTTTAGCTTGTGCGTTCTTACCCTGGGGTGTTCGAGGTCACCGGACTCCTATTTTATTTGTGTTTAACTGGAAAGGCAGGAACTCTGAGAACGTATCAAATAGCCAGTTTACTGCAGGCTTTCTAGAATTTAAATCGCTTCCAAAACTGGATCCACAAGCTAGGAATTATGTTTAAGTTTTAAAAGGTGTTGGTTTGCTTCTTACATGTCTAAATTCTTGGGGGAAAAACTGCAAAGAATAATAAAGTTTCATGATTCAAAAATGGTATGAGGCCGGGCACAATGGCTCACACCTGTCATCCCAGCACTTTGGGAGGCTGAGGCAGGAGGATGATTTTTGAGACCAGGAGTTTGAGATCAGCCTGGGCAAACAGCGAGATCCTGTGCCTACAAAAATAAAATAAAAATAGGCTGGGTGTGGTGGCTCATGCTTGTAATACCTGCACTTTGGGAGGCTAAGTCAGTAGGATCACTTGAACTCAGGGGTTTGAGACCAGCCTGGTCAACATAATGAGACCTTGTCTCTAGTAACAATAAAAAAATTAGCTGGACATAAGGTGTGCATTTGTAGTCCCAGTTACACAGGAGGCTGAGGTGGGAGGATCACTTGAGCCTGGGAGTTGGAGGCTGCTGTGAAACGTGATCGCACCACTGCACTCCAGCCTGTGCAACAAGGAGAGAGATGCTGTCTCTAAAAAAAAAAAAAAAAGCCAGACGTGGTGGCACACGTGTGTGGTCACAGCTACTTGGGAGGCTGAGGCTGAAGGATCGCTTGAGCCCAAGGAGGCTGAGGCTGCCATAAGCTACGATCATGCCACTGCACTCCAGGCTGGGCAATAGCCTGGGCGACTGTCTCAACCAAAATAAATTTAAAAAGATAGGAAATTTCAATGTGAAAATCAGTGTCCCCCAGAACGTTCCATTTCTTCCCAGCTGGGCTATTTTTGGAGTTCCATGGGGAGCCGGCTCAGTGCACCTTGCATGTACTCAGGAGGATGAGCCCTGCCATGGTGTGTGTTAGGGGACAGCCTGATCTCACCAACCCTCCTGAGCAGGCCCGGCCCTCCGAGTAATAACTGGGAACACTCGCCGCTTTGTGAGAGGACCTCGTGTGCTCACTGGAAGGTCATCTCTTCTGGTCCACGCTGCAGTGTGGATACTTTTTTTGTTTGTTTGTTTGTTTGAGAAGGATTATTGCTCTTTTTGCCCAGGCTGGAGTGCAATGGCATGATCTCGGCTCACTGCAACCTCCACCTCCTGGGTTCAAGCCATTCTTCTGTCTCAACCTCCTGAGTAGCTGGGATTACAGTCGCCCGCCACCACACCCGGCTAATTTTTGTATTTTTAGTAGAGACAGGGTTTCAGCATATTGGCCTTGCTGTTCTCAAACTCCTGACCTCAGGTGATCCACCTGCCTCAGCCTCCCAAAGTGCTGGGATGACAGGCGTGAGCCACCGCGCCCGGCCCAGTGTAGATACACCTTGAGCACATAACTGGAATCCTTTCCTTGACAACTTGGAGCCCCTTGGAACATAGTCATATAAACTGTATTGAATTAAGAGGAGACACCGTTAAATATGTCATAGCTGTCCTCAAAACTGGGTCTTGTTTTGCTTTCTGCCTGGAAATGGGAGTCACTTTTATAGAAAATTTATTGTTCGTTAACAAAAAATAATTGTGTGTGTGTGTATATATATATTGTATGTGTGTGTATATATATATATATATATATATATATATACACACAGACACACATTCTCTCTCTCTCTCTCTCTATGGTACAATATGATGTTTTAATCCAAGTACACATTGTGCAGTGATTAAACCAAGCTAGTTACCATATTAGCAATGAAGCTAATTAACATTAATAATTAAGTGAATTAACATATTAACCATTGACCTAATTAACATATTAACAATCAAGCTAATTAACATATTAACAAGCTAATTTACATATTCAGATAACCCTAACTCTAACCTATATCACCTCACTTCGTTTTTTTGGTGATGAGAATATGTAAAATCTAGTTTTAGTCATTTTGAAAGATGCAATGTATTATTATTAACTATAATCACTGTGTGGTATGATAGAACTTTGAATTTATTTCTTTTATGTAACTGAAAAAATTTAATTTTAATGTAATTTATGTTTTTGAGACAGTCTCACCCTCTATCACCCAGGCTGGAGTGCAGCGTCATGTTCATAGCTCATGGCAGCCTCCAACTCCTGGCACAGGTGACCCTCCCACCTGAGCCTCCCAGGTAGCTGGGACTACAGGTGCACACCACCACACCTGGTTAATTTTTAAAGTTTTGTAGAGATGGGGTCTTGCTATGTTGCTCAGGCTGGTCTTGAATTCCTGGGCAGAAGTGATCCTTCTGCCTCAGCCTCCCAAGTAGCTGGGACTGCAGGTGCATGCCACCATATCTAGCTAATTTTTTCATTTTTTTTTATTTTTAGAGATGGGGTTTCATTATGTTGCCCAGGCTTCTCTCAAACTCCTGGCCTTCTGTGATCCTCCTTCCTCAGCCTTCCATAGCATTGTGATTCCAGACATGAGCCACCGCTCCTGGCCTCCAACTGAAATGTTATGTTCTTTGCCAAACACTTCATGAAGCATTCTTCCCTGGCAACCACCATTGCACTCTCTGCGTTTATGCGTTCAGCTTTTTTAGATTCTACCTATGAGATGATACGATATTTGTCTCTCTGTGCCTGGTTCATTTCACTTCACATTGTATCTTTCAGTCCCACCCATGTTGCTGCAAATGGTAGGATTTCCTTTTTCATGGCTGCATACCATTCCATTGTGTGTCTATGCCACATTCGCTTGATGCACTTATCTGTTGATTGAACATGGGTTGATTCTATATCTTGGAAACTATTAGTAGTGCTGCAGTGCACAGGGGGTGCAGGTATGCCATTGATGGGCAGATTTCCTTTCCTTTGGGTACACACCGAGCGGTGGGATGACTGGATCCTGCACAACATTCTTTGCTCTGATGTTTTGCAGGCCAATGGCTGGACCTTAGGGAACGTCTTCACTTTGTACAAGGTGGGGGTCCCTTGGCCACATTCTTAGGGAACGTCTGCAGTGTGTACACGATGTTGGTCTCTTGACCACATGCTTAGGAAACATCTTCAGTGTGTAGCTGGCAGCAGTCCCTTAGCCACATTCTTCCCGAATGTCTTCAGTGTGTACACGGTGGCAGTCCCTAGTCCTAATTCTTCGGGAATGTCTTTAGTGTGTACATGGCGGCAGTCCCTTGGCCGCATTCTTAGGGAACGTCTTCAGTGTGCACACTGCGGTGGTCCCTTAGCCACAAGCTTAGGGAATGTCTTCAGTTTGTACTTGGTGGCGGTCCCTTGGCTACATGCTTACGGAACATATTCCCTGCCGTCTCTTGGCTGCTTTCTTAGGGAACGTCTTCAGTGTGTACATGGTGGTGGTCCCTTAGCCACAAGCTTAGGGAACGTCTTCAGTGTGCACACCGTGGCTGTCCCTTGGGCCACATGCTTAGGGAACGTCTTCAGTGTGTACATGGTGGCAGTCCCTTGGCCACATTCTTAGGGAACGTCTTCAGTGTGTACAGGGCGGCAGTCCTTTAACCACATGCTTAGGGGAACCATCTTCAGCATGTCCACGGTGGCGGTTCTTTTGCGGCATTCTTAGGGGATGTCTTCAGTGTGTACATGGCGGCTGTCCCTTAGCCACAGGCTTAGGGAACGTCTTCAGTGTTTACATGGTGGCGGTCCCTTGGCCACATGCCTAGGGAATGTCTTGAGTGCTGTCCCTTGGCTGCATCTTAGGGAATGTCTTCAGTGTGTAAATGGTAGCAGTCCCTTAGCCACATGCTTAGGGAACGTCTTCAGTGTGCACACAGCAGAGGTCCCTTGCGCCACATACTTAGGGAACGTCTTCAGTGTGTACATGGTGGTGGTCCCTTGGCCACATCCTTAGGGAACATCTTCAGTTTCTACACAGTGGCCATCCCGCTGCCACATTCTTAGGGAACGTCTTCAGTGCCTACATGGTGGTGGTCCCTTGGCCACATTCTTAGGGATCATCTTCAGTGTGGACCCTTGGCCACATTCTTAGAAAACGTCTTCAGTTCATACATGGGGACGATCCCTTGGCCACTTTCTTCTGAGTGTCTGTGTCATTTGCTCCCTGTAAGCTGCTTTTATTTCTTCATTGGGTGTCTCTATCATGTGGAATCCCACTCATCTGTCACCACCCATCCCAGGCACAGTGAGAGACACAGCCAGCCTGCTCCTCTCTGCACGTGGCCATCTCAGACATTCTCCAGCCACTGTCCTGACCCCATTCATTCCTTCTCCTGCACGGTCCACATCCTTCTTTCCCTACACCCTTGCTACCAAGAAATGGTCTGAATCACAGCCAAAGTTTCATTTGCTTTCTGGAACAGCAGCTCCCCAGCCGCACTCAGATCAGAGATTCAGAACCTGAATCTTCGGATTTCTGGAGATGCCCCCATCCCATCAGAGACTTCTAGTGTGTTTCTTTATATTCGTGTAGACTTGGGAGGATGACAGGAGAGAAACCTTAGAAGGTGGCCTGTGCAGTTCCAGGGCCCAGGGTGGAAGGGGCTTGCATCCCTGGCTGCCTTTGTGCACCTTTCATTCTTCATCCAGCTGTTTTTTTTTTTTTTTTTTGAAGAGGAGTCTTGCTGTGTCCCCCAGGCTGGAGTGCAGTGCTGTGATGTCAGCTCACTGCAACCTCCGCCTCCTGTGTTCAAGCCATTCTCCTGCCACAGCCTCCCGAGTAGCTGGGATTACAGGCACCTGCCACCACACATGGCTAATCTTTGTATTTTTAGTAGAGATGGGGTTTCATCATGTTGGCCAGGCTGGTCTTGAACTCCTGACCTCAGGTGATCCACCTGCCTCAGCCTCCCAAAGTTCTGGGATAACAGGCATGAGCCACTGCGCCCGGCCGCACCCTTCATTCTTGATTCACCTGGTTACAAACTCGCAGATAAACTGTTTCTACCTGTGACAAATGAGTCATCCATCTTCCATGTGGTGTCGACTTTGTCCCTGTTATAATATTCCTGTCTCTTGTTCTGGTTTTTGGCGTCCCGCACATTGTCCCTGTTACAGTCGTGTCTCTTGTTTCTGGGGTCACCCCTGTGGTGAGTTGACTGTGCCCTGTTCCTGAGGCTGGTGAGGATGCTGTGGACACCTTAATCACGGCTGTGAACAAACTGGCTAAAGCTAGGCACCATGGAGCTTTGCAGTGGATGCTAAGTCGTGGTACCCATTCTTTGATCAGTGACGGAGCCAGGTGTCTTATTAAGTCTCGGGGATTTGTGGAAGCCCAGAGCAGGCATGCACCTTCTACATTGAAAGGAATCCTTTTGACACTCAACGTTGGTGTCGTGAAGTCCTGCCTCTGGAAATCCCTGATTTCCTAAGACACTAATCTAACATTTTAAAAGAGTTAAAAAAAAATCAGTAAAATGTTCCCCATAGAAGCATGCAGTGTTTTGTGTGTGCTTTTTATTGTTTTTTTTTTTTTTTTTTTTGAGACGAAGTTTTGTTCTTGTCGCCAAGGCTGGAGTGCAGTAGCACAATCTCGGCTCACTGCAACCTCCGTCTCCAGGGTTCACGGGATTCTCCCGCATCAGCCTGTCACGTAGCTGGGATTATAGGTGTGTGCCACCATGCCCGACTAATTTTGTATTTTTAGTAGTGACAGGGTTTCATCATGTTGGTCAGGGTGGTCTCGAACTCCTGGCCTCAAGTGATCCACCCGCCTTGCCCTCCCAAAGTGCTGGGATTAGGAATCACTGCTCCCGGCCTACTTGTTTTTACTTTTATTTCAGGTTGAGGGGCACATGCGCAGGTTCGTTACACGGGTAAATTGCATGTCCTGGGGGTTTAGTGTAGAGATTATTTCATCAACCAGGTAATAAGCCTACTACCACCTGATAGGTAATTTTTCAATCCTCTCGTTTGTCCCACCCTCCACCTTCCAGCAGGCCCCGGAGTCTGATCCCTTCTTTATATCCACGGGTACCCAATGCTTACCTACCACTTATCAGTGAGAACAGGAGGTATTTTGTCTTCTGTTGCTGTGTAAGTTTGCTAAGGATAATGGCCTCCACCTCCATGCAGGTTCCTGCAAAGGACATCATCCCGTTTTTTTTTTTTTGAGATGGGGTTTCCCTCTTGTTGCCCAGGCTGGAGTTCAATTGTGTGATCTTGACTCACCGCAACCTCTGGCTCCCGGGTTCCAGTGATTCTCCTGCCTTAGCCTTCTGAGTAGCTGAGATTACAGGTGCATGCCACCACGCCCAGCTAATTTTGTGTTTTTAGTAGAGACAGGGTTTCTCCATGTTGGACAGGCTGGTCTTGAACTCCGGACCTCAGGTAATCCACCCGCCTCGGCCTCCCAAATTTCTGAGATTACAGGCGTGAGCCACCACGCCCAACCAATCCCATTCTTTTTCATGGGTGCATAGTATTCCATAGTGTATATGCTCCCACCTTTCTTTATCCAGTCTACATGACGTCGTTTTGAGGTATGGATGAAATGATTTGCATAAAAACAGTGAATGCTTTCTATTAGAATGGTGTTGGCCTTTCTGGGAAACCGTGGAGTCATTCCAATTGCAATTTCCTAGTAGATTTGATTGGTTAATAGAATTGGGAATTTTTGGGGTGCCTGATGCACACTATTGGAGATCTTTTTTCACAGTGTAGAAATCTCAACATGAATATGTCTTTTTTTTTTTTTGAGACGGAGTTTCTCTCTTGTTGCCCAGGCCGGAGTGCAATAGCTCAATCTCGGCTCACTGCAGCCAACATCTCCCGGGTTGAAGCAATTCTCCTGCCTCAGCCTCCTGAGTAGCTGGGATTACAGGTGCCTGCCACCACACCTGGCTAATTTTTGTATTTTTAGTAGACACAGCGTTTCAGCATATTGGTCAGGCTGGTCTGGAACTCCTGACCTCAGGTGATCCACCCGCCTCAGCCTCCCAAAGTGCTGGGATGACAGGCGTGAGTCACAGCGCCCGGCCCAGTGTGGATACACCTTGAGCACATAACTGGAATCCTTTCCTTGGAAACTTGGAACCCCTTGTGTCATGGTCATATAAACTGTGTTGAATTAAGAGGAGACACTGTTAAATATATCACAGCTGTCCTCGAAACTGGGACTTGTTTTGCTTTCTGCCTGGAAATGCAAGTCATTTTTATAGAAAATTTATTTTTCGTTAACAAAAAATAATTGTATACATATATATGGTACAATGTAATGTTTTAATCCAAGTACACATTGTGCAATGATTAAATCAAGCTAGTTACCATATTAACAATAAAGTTAATTAACATATTAAAATAAAGCTAATAACGTATTAACCAAGCTAATTAACATATTAACAATCAAGCTAATTAACATATTCACATAATCCTAACTCTGACCTATATCACCTCACCTAGTTTTTTTTGTGGGGAGAATATGTCAAATCTACTTTTAGTCATTGTGAAAGACGCGATGTATTATTAACTATCATCACTGTGGTGTGATAGATCTTGGAATTTATTTGTTTTATCTAACTGAAAAAAATTAATTTTAATGTAATTTATGTATTTTTTGAGACAGTCTCACCCTATAGCCAGGCTGGAGTACAGCATCATGTTCATAGCTCTCGGCAGCCTCCAAGTCATGGCTCAGGTGACCCTCCCACCTCAGCCTCCCAGGTAGCTGGGAGTACAGGTGCACACCACCACACCTGGTTAATTTTTAAATTTTTTGTAGAGATGGTGTCTTGCTATGTTGCTCAGGCTGGTCTTGAATTCCTGGGCTGAAGCGATCCTCCTGCCTCAGCCTCCCATGTAGCTGGGAGTACAGGTGCATGCCACCATACCCAGCTAATTTTTTGTTTTTTTTTTTTAGAGATGGGGTTTCATTCTGTTGCCCAGGCTTATCTCAAACTCCTGGCCTCAAGTGATCCTCCTTCCTCAGCCTTCCATAGCATTGTGATTCCAGACATGAGCCACCGCTTTTGGCCAGCAACTGAAATTTTGTGTTCTTTGACAAACACTTCAGCATTCTTTGCTGGCAACAACCATTGTACCCTCTGCATTTATGTGTTCAGCTTTTTTATATTCTACATATGCGATGATATGGTATTTGTCTCTCTGTGCCTGTTTCATTTCACTTCACCTTGTATCTTCCAGTCCCATCCATGTTGCTGCAAATGACAGGATTTCCTTTTTCATGGCTCCATACTATTCCAGTGTGTGTCTATGCCACATTTGTTTGATGCACTCATCTGTTGATTGACACATGGGTTTATTCCGTCTCTTGGAAACTGAGTAGTGCTGCAGTGCACAGTGGGGCAGGTATCCCATTGATGGGTACACACCCAGTGGTGGGATGACTAGATCCTGTACACCATTCTTTCCTCTGATGTTTCGCAGGCCCATGACTGGACCTTTGGAACGTCTTCACTGTGTACAAGGTGGTGGTCCCTTGGCCACATTCTTAGGGAACGTCTTCAATGTGTACATGACGGCCGTCCCTTGGCCACATGCTCAGGGAACATATTCAGTGTGTACTTGGCAGTGGTCCCTTAGCCACATTATTAGGGAATGTCTTCCGCGCGTACACAGTGGCAGTCCGTTGGCCGCATGCGTAGGGAACGTCATCAGTGCGGTCCATTGGCCACATGCTTAGGGAACATCTTCAGTGTGTACATGGTGGTCTCTTGGCCACATTCTTCGGGAACGTCTTCACTGTGTACATGGCGGAGGTCCCTTGGGCGCATGGTTAGGGAACGTCTTCAGTGTGTACATGGCGGAGGTCCCTTATCCACATTCGTAGGGAATGTCTTCAATGTGTACACGGTGGCAGTCCCTTGGCTACATGCTTAGGGAACATCTTCAGTGCGGTCCCTTGACCACATGCCTAGGGAACGTCTTCAGTGCCGTCCCTTGGCTGCATTCTTAGGGAACGTCTTCAGTGTGTACATGGTGGTGGTCCCTTAGCCACCTGCTTAGGGAACGTCTTCAATGTGCACATGGCAGCAGTCCCTTGGCCACATTTTTTGGGAACATCTTCAGTGTGTACATGGCGGCGGTCCCTTAGCCACATTCTTAGGGAATGTCTTCAGTGTGTACACGGCGGCAGTCCCTTGGCCGTATGCTTAGTGAACGTCTTCAGTGAGTACATGGCGGCGATCCCTTAGTCACCTGCTTAGTGAACATCTTCAGTGTGTATATGGCGGCAGTCCCTTAACCACATACTTAGGGAACGTCTTCAGTGTGTACATGGCAGTGGTGCCTTAGCCACATACTTAGGGAATGTCTTCAATGTGTACATGGCAGTGGTTTCTTAGCCACATGCCTAGGGAACGTCTTCAGTGTTGTCTTTTAGTTGCATTCTTAGGGAGCGTCTTCAGTGTGTACACGGCAGCAGTCCCTTGGCCGCATTCTTAGGGAACCTTTTCAGTTCATACACAGTGGCGGTCCCTTGGCAACATTCTTCTGAGTGTCAGTGTCTGTCTGTGTCCTTTTCACCCTGTAAGCTGCTTTTGTTTCTTCACTGGGTGTCTCTGACTCTCATGTGGAATCCCATTTCTCTGTCACCGCCTGTCCCAGGCACAGTGAGAGACGCAGCCAGCCTGCTCCTCTCTGCACGTGGCCGTCTCAGACATTCTCCAGCCACCGTCCTGACCGAATTCATTCCTTCCCCTGCCCCGTCCACATTCTTCTTCCCCTACACGCTTGCTACCAAGAAATGGTCTGAATCACAGCCAAGGCTTCATTTGCTTTCTGGAACTGCAGCTCCCAGCCCCACCCAGATCAGAGGTTCAGAACCTGAATCTTCGGATTTCTGGAGATGCCCCCATCCTATCAGAGGCTTCTAGTGTGTTTCTTTATATTCGTGTAGACTTGGGAGGATGACAGGAAAGAAACCTTTGAAGGTGGCCTGTGCAGTTCCAGGGCCCAGGGTGGAAGGGGCTTGCATCCCTGGCTGCCTTTGTGCACCTTTCATTCTTGATGCAACTTTTTTTTTTTTTTTTTTAAAGATGGAGTCTTGCTGTATTGCCCAGGCTGGAGTGCAGTGCTGTGATCTCAGCTCACTGCACCCTCCGCCTCCCGGGTTCAAGCGATTCTCCTGCCACAGCCTCCTGAGTAGGGAGCTGCTAAAATAAAATACCTTCAGTTGGGTAATTTATAAACTACAGACATTTGTCACTCACAGTTCTAAAGGTTGGAGGTTTAAGATCGTGGCGGATTCAGTGTCTGGTGGGGACCCACTTCCTGGTTCATAGATGATGCATTTTCTCTGCGTGGAAGGGGCGAGGGAGCTCTCTGGGGTCCCTTTTATAAGGACACTGATCCCATTCATGAGGCTCGATCCCCATGATCTCATCACCTCCCAAGTCTCCCACCTCCTGACTCCATTGTCTTAGGGGTGAGGATTTCAATGCAGGAATTTGGGGGAGGAATACAAACTTTCAGACTATATATAGCAAATACCATTCTTTAAAAACATACAGTAATAGTTAAGCTTTTTTTTTTTTTAATTTGATAAATTTTCCAAGAAGGAGGAGACACAGAAACCCTCCTTGCTTTGAAGGTGAATGTTAGTGCTGTAAAATATACGTGGGACTTGGGCTTATAAAATCTTGGTCACGGTAAAATATAGGTGGTACGCAGAACCTGGGAAAGCCCACCTTTCCTTTTTCTGACATGTAACTTTTGTGGAAATTGCCTAAAATTGTTTATAGTTAGCTCTTCAGTCCTGTGTCCAACCCAGCATGTCCGATACTATCTAACATTCTTTTTTTTTGAGACAGAGTTTTGCTCTTGTTGCCAAGCCTGGAGTACAGTGACGCGATCTTGGCTCGCTGCAACCTTCACCTCCCGGGTTCGAGCGATTCTCCTGTCTCAGCCTCCTGAGTAGTTTGGATTACTAAATTTTATATAAATGTTGTGTCAAGAAATAATATTGCTCTTTTGACTTTTTTTCCCTAAGCATTGAGAAATTCAGAAAAAACATTTATAAACATAAACACTGTTCTTGACAAGTGGGCCTTCCAAAAATAAGGGCTGGAGTTTGTTGAAACTGCTCTACTGTGTTTTATTTATTTATTTATTTATTGGTACTTTTTTCCTTTTTTTTTTGAGGCACTAATTGGAATGCACTTATTTGTCCTGGGTGGAGAAACAATTCAGATCTAACACTGGGGGCTCTGTGTTTCCTTAGGTAACGCATGTGAGGTTTTCGTCAGTGTAATTCGGTAATCTGTGTTAGTATTATTACAAAAGAGCAGGGGGGCATTTGTGTCTTCTCAGAATTGCTTATTAAAACAGCTGCATGGCCAGGCGTGGTGGCTCACGCCCGTAATCCCAGCACTTTAGGCCGGTGGATCGCTTGAGTACAGGAGATTGAGACCAGCCTGGGCAACATGGCCAAACTCCATCTCTACTAAAAATAGAAAAAATTAGTATGTGCTTATATTCCCAGCTACTCAGGAGGCAGAGGTGGGAGGATCACTTGAGTGTGGGAGTTGGAGGCTGCAGTGAGCTGTGACCACAGCCTGGGCAACCAAGCGAGAGGTGCTGTGTCTAAAAATACAAACATAAAAATTAGCCAAATGTGGTGGCACGCGTGTGTGGTCACAGCTACTTGGGAGGCTGAGGCTGAAGGATCGCCTGAGCCCAAGGAGGTTGAGGCTGCAGTGAGCTAGCATCATGCCACTGCACTCCAGGTTGGGCAATCGCCTGGGTGTGACCCTGTCTCAACCACAATAAATTTAAAAAGATAGGAAATTTCAATATGAAAATCAGTGTCCCCCAGAATGTTCCATTTCTTCCCAGCTGGGCTATTTTTGGAGTTCTATGGGGAGCTGTCTCAGTGCACCTTGCATGTACTCAGGAGGATGAGCCCTGCCATGGTGTGTGTTAGGGGACAGCCTGATCTCACCAACCCTCCTGAGCAGGCCCGGCCCTCCGAGTAATAACTGGGAACACTCGCCGCTTTGTGAGATGACCTCGTGTGATCATTTGAAGGTCGTCTCTTCTGGTCAGGGTGCAGAGTGGACACATTTTTTTTTTTTTTTGAGACAGAGTTTTACTCTTGTTGCCCAGGCTGGAGTGCAGTGGTGCGATCTTAGCTCACTGCAACCTCCACCTCCTGGGTTCAAGCCATTCTCCTGTCTCAGCCTCCTGAGTAGCTGGCATTACAGGCGCCCGCCACCACACCCAGCTAATTTTTGTATTTTTAGTAGAGATGGGGTTTCAGCATATTGGTCAGGCCAGTCTGGAACTCCTGACCTCAGGTGATCCACCCGCCTCAGCCTCCCAAAGTGCTGGGATGACAGGCGTGAGCCACCGCGCCCGGCCCAGTGTGGATACACCTTGAGCACATAACTGGAATCCTTTCCTTGGAAACTTGGAACCCCTTGTGTCATGGTCGTGTAAACTGTGTTGAATTAAGAAGAGACACCATTAAATATGTCACAGCTGTCCTCAAAACTGGGACTTGTTTTGCTTTCTGCCTGGAAATGCGAGTCATTTTTATAGAAAATGTATTGTTCATTAACAAAAAATAATCGTATACATATATATGAGGTACGTGATGTTTTAATCCAAGTACACATTGTGCGGTGATTAAATCAAGCTAGATACTATATTAACAATCAAGTCAATTAACATATTAATAATCAAGCTAATAAACACATTAACAATCAAGCTAATTAACATATTAACAAGCTAATTAACATATTCACATAACCTTAACTCTAACCTATATCACCTCACCTACTTTTTTTTGTGGTCAGAATATGTAAAATCTACTTTTAGTCATTTTGAAAGATGCGATGTATTATTAACTATGATCACTGTGGTGTGATAGATCTTTGAATTTATTTCTTTTATGTAACTGAAAAAATTTAATTTTAATGTAATTTATATTTTTTTGAGACAGTCTCACCCTATCACCCACGGTGGAGTGCAGCGTCATGTTCATAGCTCACTGCAGCCTCCAACTCCTGGCTCAGGTGACCCTCCTGAGCCTCCCAGGTAGCTGGGACTACAGGTGCACACCACCACACCTGGTTAATTTTTAAATTTTTTATGTAGATGGGATCTTGCTATGTTGCTCAGGCTGGTCTTGAATTCCTGGGCTGAAGTGATCCTCCTGCCTCAGCCTCCCAAGTAGCTGGGACTACAGGTGCATGCCACCATACCCAGCTAATTTTTTTGTTTTTGTTTTTTTTTTAGAGATGGGGTTTCATTACGTTGCCCAGGCTTGTCTCAAACTTCTGGCCTTCAGTGGTCCTCCTTCCTCAGCCTTCCATAGCATTGTGATTCCGGACATAAGCCACCGCTCCTGGCCTCCAACTGAAATGTTATGTTCTTTGACAAACACTTCATGAAGCATTCTTCCCTGGCAACCACCATTGCACTCTCTGCTTTTATGCATTCAGCTTTTTTAGATTCTACATACGAGATGATATGGTATTCTCTCTGTGCCTGGTTTATTTCACTTCACATTGTATTTTCCAGTCCCATCCATGTTGTTGCAAATGGCAGGATTTCCTTTTTCATGGCTGCATACTATTCCACTGTGTGTCTATGCCACATTTGCTTGAGGCACTCATGTGTTGATTGACACATGGGTTGATTCTATATCTTGGAAACTGTGAGTAGTGCTGCAGTGCACAGGGGGTGCAGGTATCCCGTTGATGGGCTGATTTCCTTTCCTTTGGGTACACACCTTATGGTGGAATAACTGGATCCTGCACATCATTCTTTCCTGTGATGTTTCACAGGCCCATGACTGAACCTTGGGGAATGTCTTTACTGTGTACAAGGTGGCGGTCCCTTGGTCATATTCTTTGGAAACATCTTCAGTGTGTATACGGCGTTGGTCCCTTGGTCACATGCTTGGGAACATCTTCAGTGTGTACATGGCAGCAGTCCCTTAGCCACATTCTTAGTGAATGTCTTCAGTGTGTACACGGTGGCAGTCCCTTGGCTGCATGCTTAGGGAACGTCTTCAGTGGTGTTCCTTGGCCACATTCTTAGGGAATATCTTCAGTGTGTACACGGTTTGTGTACAGGGCGGTGGTCCCTTAGCCACAAGCTTAGGGAACGTCTTCAGTGCTGTTCCTTGGCCACATTCTTAGGGAATATCTTCAGTGTGTACACGGTTTGTGTACAGGGCGGTGGTCCCTTAGCCACATGCTTAGGGAATGTCTTCAGTGTGTACCCGTGGCGGTCCCTTGGCCTCATGCCTAGGGAATGTCTTCAGTGCCGTCCCTTGGCTGCATTCTTAGGGAATGTCTTTAGTGCGTACATGGCTTCAGTGCGTACATGGCGGCGGCCCCTCAGCCACATACATAGCTAACATGTTCAGTGTGTACACTGCAACGGTCCCTTGGCCCCATTCTTTGGGAACATCTTCCTTGCGGTCCCTTGGCTGCTTTCTTAGGGAATGTCTTCAGTGCCTACACAGTGGCAGTCCCTTGTCCACATTCTTAGGGAACGTCTTCTTCTGTACATGGTGTCGATCCCTTGGCCACATTCTTAGGGAACATCTTCAGTGAGTACATGGCGGTGGTCCCTTGGCCACATTTTTAGGGAACTTCTTCAGTGTGTACATGGCTACCGTCCCTTAGCCCATGCTTAGGGAATGTCTTCAGTGTGTACATGGAGGTGGTCCCTTGGCCGCATTCTTAGGGACCGTCTTCAGTGTGTACATGGCGGTGGTCTCTTGGCCGCATTGTTAGGGACCATCTTCAGTGTGTACATGGCGGTGGTCCCTTAGCCACAAGCCTCGAGACCGTCTTCAGTGTGTACACAGCTGTCGTCCCTTGGGCCACATGCTTAGGGAACGTCTGCAGTGTGTACACGGTGGCGGTCCCTTGGCCACATTCTTAGGGAACGTCTTCAGTGAGGTCCCTTGGCCACATGCTTAGGGAATGTCTTCAGTGCCTACACAGCGGCAGTCCCCTGTCCACATTCTTAGGGAACGTCTTCAGTTTGTACATGGTGTGGGTCCCTTGGCCACATTCTTAGGGAACATTTTTAGTGTGTACATGGCGGCAGTCCCTTAGCCACATTCTTAGGGAATGTCTTTAGTGTGTACATGGTGGTAGTCCCTTGGCCGCACACTTCTGGAACGTCTTCAGTGCGGTCCCTTTGCCACGTTCTTCGGGAACATCTTCAGTGTGTACATGATGGCGGTCCCTTAGCCACAAACTTAGGGAATGTCTTTAGTGAATACACAGCAGCGGTCCCTTGGCTGCATTCTTAGGGAACGTCTTCAGTGCGGTCCCTTGACCACATTCTTAGGAAATGTGTTCAGTGTGTACATGGCGTCGGTCCCTTGGCCACATTCTTAGGGAACATCTTCAGTGTGTACATGGCGGAGTCCCTTAGCCACATGCTTAGGGAACGTCCTCAGTGTGTACACGGTGGCAGTCCCTTGGCCACATGCCTAGAGAACATCTTCAGTGCTGTTCCTTTGCTGCATTCTTAGGGAATGTTTTCAGTGTGTACACGGTGGCAGTCCCTTGGCTGCATGCTTAGGGAACGTCTTCAGGGTGGTCCCTTGGCCACATTGTTAGGGAACATCTTCAGTGTGTACATGGCGGTGGTCCCTTGGCCGCATTCTTAGGGAACCTCTTCCTTGTGTACAGGGCAGCGGTCCCTTGGCCGCATTCTTAGGGAAAGTCTTCAGTGTGCCCACGGCAGCGGTCCCTTGGGGGTGAGGATTTCAACGCAGGAATTTGGGGGAGGAACACAAACTTTCAGATAGTAGCAAATACCATTCTTTAAAAAAATACAGTAATGGTTAAGCTTTTTTTTTTCTTGATTGATAAATTTTCCAAGAAGGAGGAGTCAAAGAAACGCTCCTTGTTTTGAAGGTGAAGGTTAGTGCTGTGAAATACACATAGGACGTGGGCTTATATAAAAATCCTGGTCACGGCAAAATATAGGTGGTACGCAGTTCCTGGGAAAGCCCACCTTTCCTTTTTCTGACATGCAACTTTTTCGGAAATTGCCTAAAAGTTGTTTATAGTTAGCCCTTTTCGGCCCTGTGTCCAACCCAGCGTGTCCGGTACTATCTAATGTTCTTTGTTTTTGAGACGGAATTCCACTCTTGTTGCCCAGGCTGGAGTGCAGTGGTGCGATCTTGGCTCACTGTAACCTCTACCTCCTGGGTTCAAGCAATTCCCCCGCCTCAGCCTCCTGAGTAGCTGGGATTACCGGTGTCCGCCACCAGGCCCAGCTAATTTTTGTATTTTTAGTAGAGACGGGGTTTCTCCATGTTGGCCAGGCTGGTCTCGAACTCCTGACCTCAGGTGATCTGCCCGCCTCGGCCTCCCAAAGTGCTGGGATTACAGGTGTGAGCTACTCCGCCCAGCCTAATTTTTTATTATTTTTAATTTTTAACATTTTTTTTTTGGAGACTGGGTCTTGCTGTGTCCCACAGGCTAGAGTGCAGTGGCATGATCATGGCTCACTGCAGCTTTGACCTCCTGGACTCAAGCCATGCTCCCACCTCAGCCTCATGATAGCTGGGACTCCAGGTGTGTGCCATCATGCCCAGGCAAGTTTTTAAAAAAATTATTTGTAGAGATGGCGTCTCACTATGTTTCCCAGGTTCGTCTGGAACTCTGGGCCTCAATGGATCTTCCCACCTGGGCCTCCCAGAGTGCTGGGATTACAGGCATGGGGCACAGTGCCCAGTCCCTCATGTGTGTAATTGTTCAACAGCTAGAGAAACCCAAACACATACCCTCAGACACTGTCCCGTCTGCCGCCCAGGTCTCCTCACCTGCATGGTTTGCTGTTGCCACTTGATTTAATGGAGGGCATAATGAATGACCCTTAAACACGGCCTCTAAGAGTCCTCGTAAGTGCCTTCCTCATTAAAATTCAAGAGGAATCAAATACCTGTTACTGAATATAAATGTTTAGAGGAGAAAGCCTGTGAGCTGAGAGTCATATCTTAAGGGGTGTGTGCTTGCAGAATTATCACATTTTCAATTTCATGTGTGAATAAATTGTTGTATTTGGGATCACCAAGAAGGCAGAAACATGTATCAATGAAATTTAGTAGACGGCTAAAAACAAACAGTAGCAGCCTACTGAGGGGCTGTGGAATAAGCAGATTTTAGATTTTTAGAGGGAAAACGGTGATGGTAGGTTATTTCCCCAATGGCTTCCAGGCCTCCAACTCAGGCTTGGAATTGGCCATGGTCATTGGCCCTTTTTTTTTTTTTTTTTCTTTTTGAGACGGAGTCTCGCTCTGTCGCCCAGGCTGGAGTGCAGGGTGTGATCTCAGCTCACTGCAAGCTCCACCTCCCGGGTTCACGCCATTCTCCTGCCTCAGCCTCCCGAGTAGCTGGGACTACAGGCTTCCGCCACCACACCCGGCTAATTTTTTGTATTTTTAGTAGAGATGGGGTTTCACTGTGTTGGCCAGGATGGTCTCGATATCCTGACCTCGTGATCTGCCCGCCTCGGCCTCCCAAAGTGCTGGGATTACAGGCGTGAGCTACCGTGCCCGGCCCATTGGCTCTTTTTTTTACCATCTCATCTTCTCTCACACGAGTTATTCTCACTGTTGGAAAGAACTTGTCCTTAAAGCATTGCTTCCAGGTGAGTGTAACGGTGCCCAGCATGTGATACAAGTTAAAAATAAGAGCAGAGCCCAAATGCTGTCATTGCTTGATCCATCATTTCCCCTGTCATGCAGCTCATTTGAGTAACAGGGTCTCGTTTCGGGGTGCTGTGTCCGGAGAGGCAGAACTCCCCTTGGAGAATGGGTAGAGAATGTACATCACTTGCCAAGTATGGTGGTTTTGCATGCTGCCTTGACTGGACTTGTTTGCCTTTGGTTTTCTGTAAGAATCTTAGGATATCTGCCCAGGAGTTAGACCCCTGGGCTAAAGTAAGGTTGAGGGCCAGCCACGGTGGCTGGTGCCTGTAATCCCTGGACTTTCGGAGGCTGATGTGGGAAAATCACTTGAGTCCAGGAGTTTAAGAGGAGCATGGGCAACGCAGTGAGACCCCCGTCTATATAAAATTTAAAAAAAATTAGCTGGACATGGTGGTGTGCATCTGCTCCCAGCTACTTTGGAGGCTGAGGTGGGAGGATCACTGGAGCCCAGGAGGTGGAGGCTGCAGTGAGCCATGATCACACCACTGCACTACAGCTTGGGTGACAGAGCCAGACCCTGTCTCTACGAAACACAAATAAAAAGTAAAATGAGGTTGAGAAACTCCGCCTCCCTCTTGATTTCAAGGTAATACTCAGCTTCTAGATTGACACACACACAAGTCATTGTCTTATCATAGTGACATGTGACGGAACACGCACGTGTCTGGTGACAGATGGTGCATTGAGGGGAACATTCCTTAAGCTGTGTTTCCTTGGGGAAAGAGGCAATAGCATTCTCTGTTAGTACAGAACCCTTCAGTTTGTACAAATGTCTTCGGAAAGGGAATATTCCTGAGAGCTTCTACGTGGCAGTTAACAAGTCACACTTTTCATCTCAGATGTCTCAATTTCCAGAAGATGGTACTTGATTACATTTCCTGGGGTTCTTGTTTCTAGGAAATCGCGGCTGGGTTTTTCTAGAAATAATGCAGTGATTTGGGGACCTGTGGCACTGGGAAGGGTATGATCTCAGGCACAGGACTGCAAAGACACGTTGTTTACCGGCCAGCATGATAACTAGGCGTGACGCTGATGGCCAGTGTGTTGCATACGTACTGGGCTTTATTATCCATACCTGGATGGAACTGAATATATATATATACACACACACATAGACACCCATAATATATTATACAATGTAATTATATATCATCATATATCATATATATTATAATATATACAGTTGACCTTTGAACAACACAGGTGTAAACTCCATAGGTCCATTTATATGTGGATTTTCTGCCACCTCTGCCACCCCCGAGACAGCAAGAACAACCCTTTTTGTTCCTCCTCCTCCTCCTCAGCTTCTTCAGCATGGAGACGATGAGGATGGAGACCTTTAGGATGATCCACTTCCACTCGATGAGTAGTACATATGTTTTCTCTTCCTTAAGATTTTCTTAATAGCATTTTCTTTTCTCTAGCTTACTTTACTGTAAGAATGCAGTATATAATACATAGAAACACAAAATAAATACAAACATGTGTTGAGAATGTAGTATATAATATATATAAATACAAAATACATGTTGATTGACAGTGGCATGATCTCAGCTCACTGCAACCTCTGCCTTCTGGGTTCAAGCAATTCTTCTGCCTCAGCCTCCCAAATAGCTGGGCCTACAGGCGCACGCCACCACACCCAGCTAATTTTTTTTGTATTTTTAGTAAAGACGGAGTTTCACCATGTTGGCCAGGCTGGTCTTGAACTCCTGACCTCGTGATCCACCTGCCTCAGCCTCCCAAAGTGCTGAGATTACAGGCGTCAACCACTGTGCCCAGCCGTGTGAGTCTTTATGGTAGAACAATTTATATTCCTCTGGGTGTGTACCCAATAATGAGATTTTCAGTAGACTTTGAGTGAAGCCGATAGCTGTTCATAATGTGGGTGGGCCTTGCCTAATCAGTGGAAGGTCTTAAGAGGTAAAAAGAGTCCCTCCTCCAAGGAAGAGGGAATTCTATCTGGAATCCACCTTCAGACTTGAGCTGCGACATCATGTCTCCATGGGCATCTGGCCTGCTGGTCTACCCTGCACATTTTGGTTTTGCCCCTCCCCCACATCTTGGGAGCCAGTTCTTTAAAATCTCTTTCTCTCTATATATATATCCTACTGGTTGTTTCTCTGCAGAACTGTCACTCATGCAGATCTGTGTCCACAGATGACATCATTGCAAAGCCACTAAGAGAGACATAGCATCCAGGGAATGGAAGGACCAGGTTCCTTTCAGACTTGAAGACACGTCAAAACACATTCCACCGCGTTGCCTTGGAGAACCCAGGGACCAGGCCTCTTCCCCTCCTGTCAAATAGTCCTTAGCCTTTGTTCTTCTTGCTCCTTGTGAATTTCACAGGCTTCCTTGACTTTGAATTCTGCTCCTTGGATGTCTTTGTTGGTGAACGTGATGAGATAGAATTTTGGAAAGCTCCGAGGTGTGATCATTGCACCCTGGGACTGACACGTGCTCCGTCTTCACTGAAGACAGCCGGAAGCCGTGGTGTTCCAGAACTTGAATGTGGCTGTGGAAACTAGAGTGTCCATGCATCCTGGGCGGTAGCTACTGGTGCCGTCTGCGTCGTCTGTAGCTCCTCATTGCTGATTCTCATTCGGCTGCCTCAGTCAGGACAGGGCTGGTTACAGCGTTGCTCTTCATGCTGTTCAAGTCAGGGTGATCTACAGGGACAGAACGAATAGGACTGATGTGTATATGAAGGGGAGTTTACTAGGATAATTGACTCACACGATCACAAGGTGAAGTCCCACAATAGGCCGTCTGCAAGCTGAGGAGCCAGGAAGCCAGTCCAAGGCCCAAAACCTCAAAAGTAGGCAAGCTGAGAGTGCGGCCTTCAGTCTGTGGTCGAAGGTCCAGGAGCCCCTGGCAAATCACTGGTGTAGGTCCAACGGTCCAAAACCCAAAGACCCTGGGGTCTTGATGTTCGAGGGCAGGAAGCATCCAGCATGGGAGAAAGATGAAGGCTAGAGATCCCGCCACTGCACTCCAGCCTGGGTGACAGAGCGAGACTCCGTTTCAAAAAAAAAAAGAAAGAAAGAAAAACATTTAAAAAGCAGAAATGAGCTGGATGCGGCATCTTCTGCTTGTAATCCCAGCATTTTGGGAGGCCAAGGTGGGTGGATTGCTTGAGCCTAGGAGCTCGAAACCAGCCTGGGCAACATACGGAGACCCTGTCTCTACAAAAAAACACAAAAATTATCTGGCCATGCTGGTGCACACCTGTAGTCCCAGCTACTCAGGAGGCTGAGATGGGAGGTTTGGTTGAGCCTGGGAAGTTGAGGCTGCAGTGAGCCATGATTGCCCCACTGCACTCCAGCCTGGGTGAAAGAGTGAGACCTTGTCTCAAAAAAAAGAAAAAGAAAAAAGAACAAATAAGAAGACAGACACACCTCTCTTCTTTGTGTGGGTACAGCCGTTGGCAAACTTTGCTGACAGATGCTACTGACCTTGTTTTCCTTTCTGCATTCTGTTCATTTCAAAAGTGGGTAAATCAGAAGTGGGACTCACTGTGACCTTCAGTGACTCAATGCTGAATTCACAAGATTAATTGGAGAGTGTGAAGAATGCAGGGCATCCGTGGACCCATTTTAATGAATTTTAGCATCTCTTGCATCCTTGTATCCTTGCATCCAGTACCGGTCCCCAGCCTTTTAGTAACTGGGCTGTGCAGCAGGAGGTGAGTAGCGTGTGAGTGAGCAAAGCTTCATCTGTATTGACAGCTGCTCCCCATAGCTCATATTACCTCCTGAGCTCTGCCTCCTATGAGATCAGTGGTGGCATTAGAGTCTCATAGGAGCATGAACCCTACTGTGAACTGAACATGTGAGGGACCTAGGTGGCGTGCTCCGTATGAAAATCTAATGCCTGATGATCTGTCACTGGCTCTCATCACCCGCACGCAGATGGGACCGTCTAGTTGCAGGAAAACAAGCTCAGGGCTTCCACTGATTCTACACGATGGTGAGTTTCATAATTACTTCATTCTCTATTACAGTGTAATAATAATAGAAATAAAGTGCATGATAAATAGAATGCACTTCAATCATCCCCAAACCATCCCCCACCCCACATCAGTGGAAAAATGGTCTTCCATGAAACTGGTTCCTGGTGCCAAAAAGCTTGAGGACCACTGGACAAAGGAACTTGTCAGAGTATGGATTGAAGGTCTTTATTGATGCTTTGCTGTCACTCTTACTTTAAGATGAATGCGTATATATATGTATATACATTCTGTAATGTGTGAATATATGAAGCTCCAGCTGCTCTCTCCCTCTCTTTCCTCTGCAGTCCAATTCTCGTAGATCAGTCTTTTCCTGAAATGAATGACCTCTTAAATTTTATTTTATATTTTAAGCTTTTATGTTATTTTACTTTATTTTTAAGCTGTTTTTATTTTTTAAGCTTTTTTTTTTTTGAGACAAAAAAGTCTCGCTCTTGTCACCCAGGCTGGAGTGCAATGGCATGATCTGAGCTCACTGCAACCTCCACCTCCTGGGTTCAAAAAATTCTCCTGCCCCAGCCTCCTGAGTAGCTGGGACTACAGGCGCCAGCCACCACGCTGGGCTAATTTTTGTGTTTTTAGTAGAGACAGGGTTTTACCATGTTGGCCAGGCTGGTCTTGAACTCCTGACCTCATGATCCACCCACCTCGGCCTCTCAAAGTGTTGGGATTACAGGTGTGAGCCACCACAACTGGCCAGTTTGCAGGTCTTTGTTGATGCTTTGCTGTCAATCTTACTTTAAGACGAATGCATATATATGTATGTGTATACATTCTGTAATGTGTGAATATATGAAGCTCCACCTGCTCTCTCCTTCCCTCTCCTCTGCAGTCCAGTACTCTCCTAGATCATTCTGTTCCTGAAATGAACGACCATTTTTTTTTTTTTTATTTTGAGATGGAGTCTTGCTCTGTCCCCCAGGCTGGAGTGCAGTGGCGTGATCTCGGCTCACCGCAATGTCCGCCTCCTGGGTTCAAGCGATTCTCCTGCCTCACCCTCCTGAGGCAGGATTACAGGCGCCAGCCATCTCGCCCGGCTAATTTTTTAATTTTTAGTAGAGATGGGGTTTCACCATGTTAGTCAGGCTGGTCTCAAACTTCTGACCTCAGGTGATCAGCCCACCTTAGCCTCCCAAAGTGCTGGGATTACAGGCGTGAAGCCACTGCACGTGGCCGGTTTGCAGTCTTTATTGATGCTTTGCTGTCAATCTTACTTTAAGATGAATGCATATATATGTGTGTGTGTGTGTGTGTGTATGCATTCTGTAATGTGTAACTATATGAAGCTCCAGCTGCTCTCTCCCTCCCTCTCCTCTGCAGTCCAATACTCCTAGATCATTCTGTTCCTAAAATGAATGACCATTCAGGTTTTTTTTTTTTTTTTCTGAGATGGAGTCTCGCTCTGTCACCCAGGCTAGAGTGCAGTGGCATGATCTCGGCTCACTGCAATGCCCACCTCCCGGGTTCAAGCGATTCTCCTGCCTCGGCCTCCCAAAGTGCTGGGATTACAGGCATGAGCCACCGCGCCCGGCCAGAATTCAGTTTTTTTTTTTTCCCCATGGTTATCCAATAGCACACAGGCTCGTGAAGCCTTCAAGGTGCTTCATCTGAGGTTCGCTTAGAATGGTTGCCACATATTGTTCTGCCGGTGAGTTTTCATGAATTGGACTCTGAAGGTTCTTAATTATGGTGGTTGAGTGACACGGTCTTTCTTCTATAAGAACCTAAGTTACACTGCATATCAGGAAAATGTGTTCCTGGGACCAGCTTTGTTGGGTTTTTGGCTGCTGGTCATCTTCACTTTACTCTCCCAAATTTGAGGACTGTGACACACACACACACACACACACACACACACACACACTCTCTCTCTCTCTCTCTCTCTCTCTCTGTCTCTCTTAGGAAACAATGGTATATCAACAATGAAATGATGCTTTTTTTTCTTCTTCTTTTTTTTTTGAGACAGGGTCTTGCTCTGTCACCTAGGCTGGAGTGCACTGATATGAACATGGCTCACTGCAGCCTTGCTCTCCCAGGCTCAAGCAATCCTCCCACCTCAGCCTCCTGAGTAGCTGGGACCACATGGGCACACCATCACACCTGGATAATTTTTGTATTTTTAGTAGAGACGGGGTTTCACTATGTTGGTCAGGCTGGTCTTGAACTTCTGACCTAGTGATTTTTCTACCTCGGCCTCCCAAAGTGCTGGGATTACAGACATGAGCCACCAGACTCGGCTGAGCATCTTTTCAATATGACCTTGTGTCCGGGCATGGTGGCTCACACCTGTAATCCCAGCACTTTGGGAGGCTGAGGTGGGCGGATCACGAGGTCAGGAGATCGAGACCATCCTGGCTAACACGGTGAAACTCCATCTCTACTAAAGATGCAAAAAAAATTAGTCAGGTGTGGTGGCGGGCACCTGTAATCCCAGCTACTCGGGAGGCTGAGGCAAGAGAATGGCATGAACCCAGGAGGCAGAGCTTGCAGTGAGCCGAGATTGCACCACTGCACTCCAGCCTGGGCAACAGAGCGAGACTCGGTCTCAAAAAAAGAGAAAGGATTCAAGGCAGTGTATACCAAACATGAAAGTAAAGTTCAGGAACCTCTTTGATGGAGGAGATGACGGTGGGGTCTGTAGCCTGTTCATGCCTATAATTGCAACACGTCGGGAGGCCAAGGTGGGAGGATCACTTGAGGCCAGGAGTTTGAGATCAGCTCGGCCAACATAGTGAGACCCCATCTCTACAAAAATAAAAATAAATTAGTGGGGCATGGTGGCACACACCTGTAGTTCCAGCTACTTGGGGGACTGAGGCAGGAGGATCACTTGAAAACAGGAGTTTGAGATCAGCCTGAACAATGGAGCAAGACCCTGTCTCTACAAAAGATTAAAAAAAAAACTGGCAGATGTGCTGGCACGTGCCTGTAGTCCCAGCTGCCTAGGAGGCTGAGGCAGGAGGATTGCTTAAGTCTGGGAGTTTGAGGCTGCAGTGAGCTGTGTTTTCACCACTGCACTCCAGCCGGGGTGACAGAGCAAGACCCTATCAGTAGTAGTAGTAGTAATAATAATAATAATAATAATAATAATAATAATAATATGTTGCTGCAAAAGTAATTGCTGCTTTTGCCATTAACTTTTGCACCAACCTCATGATAAAACAACAAAAACTCAACACCTGTACCTGCCATGCCCTGAAGCTCATGACAGTAGACAAAACTCACTGTGTCTCCAGCCCTCAGTGTTAGATGAAGGGACCAGGGTGTGGGAAGATCAGCAGTTCAAACGGGAATCATAAAACACATAGTTTTTATTTTTTTAGTTTTGTTTTATTATTTATTTATTTATTTTTGTTGTTATTATTTTTCTGAGATGGAGTCTCCCTCTGTCACCCAGGCTGGAGTGCAGTGGTGTGATCTCGGCTCACTGCTACCTCTGCCTCCCGGGTTCAAGTGATTCTCCTGCCTCAGCTTCCCGAGTAGCTGGGATTACAGGTGCGTGCTACCATGCCCGGCTAATTTTTGTACTTTTAGTACAGACGGGGTTTCACCATGTTGATTGGGCTGGTCTCAAACTCCTGACCTCGTGATCCGCCTGCCTCGGCCTCCCAAAGTGCTGGGATTACAGGCGTGAGCCACTGCGCCCAGCCCCCATGAAACATATAGATATTTTCAAAACAACTGTACTAGGATCAAGAAGGATAGGACTTTTGTTTTTCCTGTTTTTTAAGAATGAAATATCATATGGCGTAAGCATAGATTTATTTATTTACTTACTTATCTATTCATTTATTTTTAGAGACAGGATCTTGCTCTGTTGCCCAGGCTGGAGTGCAGTAATGCAATCATAGCTCACTGCAGCCTTCAAGTCCTGGGCTCAAACAATCCTCCCATCTCAGCCTCCCACGTACCTGGGACTACACATGCAAGCCACCATGCCTGGCTAAGTTTTAAATTTCTTTGTAGAGATGGGGTCTTGCTATGTTGCCCAAGCTGATCTCAAACTCCTGGCCTCAAGTGATTGTCTCACCCTGACCTCCTAAAGTGTTGGGATTACAGGTGTGACCCACTGCTTCCTGCCTAGACTTTTTTTTTTTTTTTCCAATTAAGGTTTTTACTTTGAGATCATTGTAGATTTATAAGCAGTTGTAAGAAATAATAGGAAAGAATCTTGTGTCTACTTCCCCCAGTGGTAACATCTTGGAAAGCAATAATACCATGTCACAAGGAGGATATTCACATTCAGGCAATAATGCATTGATCTTATGTTTTACTCGTATCCGTGTGGGTTTTTGTACCGAGTTCTGTGCAATTTCATAGTGCGTGCAGGTTTGTGAAGCCAGCATTGTCCGCAACACACAGAGCATTTCTTTCACCAACAACCCCTCCTGTTTCTCTCTCTGCATCCTACCTCAACCTCCTCTCCCGTCCTGAACCCCTGAGAATTACTAGTCTGTTCTCTATTTCTGTACCAACCTGCATCCTACCTCAACCTCCTCTCCTGTCCTGAACCCCTGAGAATTACTAGTCTGTTCTCTATTTCTGTACCTTTTCTCATGTCAAGAATGTCATATAAATGGAGTCATACAGAGTGTAACCCCTTTCAAATCACGTGTGTCTTTTTTTCCTTCACTCAATAGAATTCCCTGGAGAGCCATCCAAGTTGTTGCTAAGAACAATAAGATGTTTCTTTTTAAGTAACACCTGCAAAAAGTCTTTTATAAAATGGCGATGAAACTAAATGGTTTTTGATTCTAAACAAGGCAGCCATGAATGGTTTTCTCGTATATCTTAGCATATGTGTGGGAGTGTATCTGTGCAAGTAATTCTTGGAAGTGGAATAGCTGAGCCAAAAAGAAAATGCATGTAAATTTTCTTTTCTTTATTTTAAAGAGACAGCGTCTTGCTCTGTCACCCAGGCTGGAGTGCAGTGGTGCAATCATAGCTTGCCGCAGCCTCGACCTCCTGGGCTCCAGTGATCCTCCCATTTCAGCCTCCAGGGTAGCTGGGACTACAGGCGAGCATCACCACGTCTGGCTAATTTATTTTTATTTTTGTAGAGGTAGGGTCTTGCTATGTTGCCCAGGCTGGGCCTCGTGCTCCTAGCCTCCGCTGATCCTCCCACCTTGGCCTCTCAAAGTGTTGGGATTACAGGCATAAGCTACCAGGCCTGGCTGCCTGTCACCTTTCAGGAGTCATTGTCAACTTATCTCCTAAGAAAATGCAGTCTTGGTGGGTACATTTGAACTGAGTATGTAAACTTCTAACTTCTCCAAGGCATACGCATTCTGGATAACAACCCTACTTTTTAACCTATTCCATGTGATTGATGAAAGCTCACAATTGCTTTATTCATTATTTCATTGTCAGCGAGACTGAACTTTGTTTCATATGCTTATGTTTTATTTCATATCTCCAAATTGCATATTCATTTCCTTTACCCATTTGTGGAGGGACTGGGGTTTGGTTAGAAGAGCTCTTTATAGACCGGGCGCGGTGGCTCACGCCTGTAATCCCAGCACTTTGGGAGGCCGAGGCGGGCGGATCACGAGATCAGGAGATCGAGACCATCCTGGCTAACACAGTGAAACCCTGTCTCTACTAAAAATACAAAAACAAAATTAGCCGGGCGTGGTGGCGGGCGCCTGTAGTCCCAGCTACTCGGGAGGCTGAGGTGAGAGAACGGCGTGAACCCGGGAGGTGGAGCTTGCATTGAGCTGATATTGCGCCACTGCATTCCAGCCTGGGCGACAGAGCGAGACTCCATCTCAAAAAAGAAAAGGTTAGAAAAATACACCATGGAATACTACGCAGCCATAAAAAGGATGAGTTCATGTCCTTTGCAGGGACATGGATGAAGCTGGAAGGCATCATTCTCAGCCTAATAACGCAGGAACAGAAAACCAAACACCACATGTTCTCACTTACAAGTAGGAGCTGAACAGTGAGAACACAGGGACGCAGGGAGGGGGACATCACACACCAGAACCTGCTGGGGGCTGGGGAACAAGGAGAGGGAGCGCATTAGGACAAATACCTAATGCATGCAGGGCTTAAAAGCTAGATGATGGGTTGATGGGTGCAGCAAACCACCGTGGCACATGTATACCTATGTAACAAACCTGCGCGTTCTACACATGTATCCCAGAACTTTAAAAAAAAAAGAAATAGTATTTCAATATGGTCTGAATTAGGATGTCTGTTATTAGATATAAAGGAGAACATATGTGTTGAGGGCCATTTGAGCCTGTTCTGTATATAAACTCTTATTTTTGCCCTTTTCTTTGTAGCATGTTTGGGGTTTTTCTGGAGTTGAACTTTTTAGATATCTGAAAAATAGCTGTTAATATTTCTGATGGAAGTTGCAAATTTTCTTCCAGCTCATTATTTATTTTTTACTTTGCTTATGGAGATTTGTTTTGTTTTTTACCATGTGATTTTTTTTTTGAGATAGTGTCTTGTTCCTCCTGGAGTGCAGTGGCACGATCTTGGCTCACTGCAACCTCCATCCCTTGGGCTCAAGTGATCCTCCCATCTCAGCCTCCCAGCTTGCTGGAACTACAGGCACGCACCGCCACACCCGGTTAATTTTTTAAATTTTTTGTAGAGATGAGGCCTCTCTCTGTTTCCCAGGCTGGTCCTGAGCTTTTGGCCTCAAGCGATACCCCCACCTCAGCCCTCAAAGTGCTGGGATTACAGGCATGAGCCACTGCCCGGCCTGTTTTTTAAACAAGTAGTTTTTTAAATAGTGAAATCTATCTAACCATCTTTCTGAATTTTCGTTTAGGAAGCATTTTCTTTCTGTGGAGGTTAAACTAATGATTCCTGCTTTCTTGCAATCTTCTCATGGTTTAACTTTGTTTTTGCCTTGGAGTTCACTCATGCATGCTATGAGGTCTGGCACTAATTTTATCTGTTTCCTAATGTGGCTTCACGTGCCCCAACACGGTTTATTAAAACGCCCATCTTTTGCCCCTTTTGTCGTGTACTCAATTTCCACATGCAGTTGGCCTATTTTTGGAAATTGTACCCTGTTCCTTCCTCCATTAATGCCTGTAGTACCTCCCGTTTAATTATAGAAGCTTCTCAAATGTTTTAATCTCCTACAGGGCCATTGTGTTCTCAATCTTTGTACATATCAGAATTTTCCTCTTTGCCGCCTCATTTGGAATTCTTTTCCCCACAGCAATTTTCGAATCGATTCGTCCAGTTTGCCTAAAAGAAATTCTGTGAACTATCTTTATTGGATCACATCAAATTTGCATATTGACTTGGGTCATTCTGACACCTTTAGGATTGTATCAGTTTAGATTTTTTTTCCCCCTCCAACTTCTATTTTATTTTTTAAATTAAAAAAAATTTTTTTTTTGAGACGGAGTCTGGCTCTGTCGCCCTGGCTGGAGTGCACTGGCGTGATCTCAGCTCACTGCAAGCTCCACCTCCCGGGTTCAAGCGATCCTCCTGCCTCAGCCTCCCGAGTCGCTGGGATTACAGGTGGCACACACCACCACGCCCAGCTAAATTTTGTATTTTTAGTAGAGATGCGGTTTCACCATGTTGGCCAGGCTGGTCTTGAACTCCTGACCTCGTGATCCACCCGTCTCGGCCTCCCAAAGTGCTGGGATGACAGGTGTGAGCCACCGCATCTGGCCTCAACTTCTATTTTAGGTTCGGGGGTACATGTGCAGGTTTGTTCCCTGGGTATATTGTGTGATGTTGAGGTTTGGAGCACAAGGATCCCGTCACCCAGGTAGTCAGCACAGCACTCAATAGTTTTCCAACCCTTGCCCCATCCCTTCCTTGCCCCATTGAATTGCTCAGTGTTTATTGTTCCCATCTTTATGTCCATCTGTACTTGATGTTTACCTCCCAGTAAGAAGTGAGAACGTCTGATATTTAGTTTCCTGGTTCTGTGTTAATTCACATAGGAGAATGGCCTCCTCTTGCATCTATATTGCTGCAAAGGACATGATTTCATTCTTTTTAATGGGTGCATAGTATTCCATGGTATAGATGCACCATGTCTTCCTAAGAATTGAATTAACATTTGAGCCAGCAATCCCATTACTGGGTATCTACCCAAGGGAAAGTAAGTCATTCTACCAAAAAGACACACGTACTGTGTGTTCATCGCAGCACTATTCATAAAAGCAAAGACATGGAATCAAACTTAGGTGTCTGTCAACTCCGGATTGGACAAAGTTTGGGGGTTTTTTTTGTCTTTTTTTTTTTTTTTGTGAGATGGAGTCTAGCTCTGTCGCCCAGGCTGGAGTGCAGTGGCACAATCTCGGCTCACTGCAAGCTCTACCTCCCAGGTTCACGCCATTCTCCTGCCTCAGCCTTCCGAGTAGCTGGGACTACAGGCGCCCGCCACCACGCCAGGCTAATTTTTTGTATTTTTAGTAGAGACCGGGTTTCACCGTGTTAGCCAGGATGGTGTCGATCTCCTGACCTCGTGATCCACCCGCCTCGGCCTCCCAAAGTGCTGGGATTACAGGCATGAGCCACCGTGCCCGGCCGTCTTTTTTTTGTTTTGTTTTGAGACAGTCTTGCTCTGTCACCCAGGCTGGAGTGCAGTGGTATGATCGGAGCTCACTACAGCCTCAACCTCCCAGTCTTGCGTGATCCTCTGAACTCAGCCTCCCGGGTAGCTGAGATGACAGCCGTGTGCCACCATGCCTGGCTAATTTTTTTGTACCTTTTTTTTTGTTTTGTAGCAATGGGGCTTCACTATGTTGCCCAGGCTGGTCTTGAACTCCTGGGCTCAAGCGATCTGCCTGCCTTGGCTTCCCAAAGTGCTGGGATTACAGGCATGAGCCACTGCGCCTGACCCATTTGGGTCTTTGGAGAAGCACACACCAAGAAGGAACATGATGGGCCAGAGATTTACTAGGGGAACTGTGTGTGAAGGGTCAAACAGGCGCTGGCAGAAGAGTGGAGGAAGGCTTGCAGGTGATGGTGTAGGTGCCTCACACCTGTGAAGAAAGAGACGGCGAGGAATTGGGTAGAAGGAGCGTCCAGCCAGTTCTCTGGTCATGCCGAGTCATTGGCTGTGAAAACCCAAAACCCTGAGGAAGCCCGATCTTGCGAAACATGTTCCCCATCTGCAGAGGCACCGGGTGGCTGGTGTCAGGCGATTGTTGCAACCTGTTGTGTGCGGGGGTGTCTGTGTGGGTACATACATACTTCTCAGCCCCAATGCCAGCTTCCTGGTCCGTAAGGAAAACACTAAACTCTTCTAGCTAAAGTTACAAATGCAGCAAGGGTCCATTCTGCAATCTGTGATGCTTTTTTTTTTTTTTTTGAGCTGGGGTCTCGCTACCTTGCCCAGGCTGCGGTGCAGTGGCACAATCACGGCTCACTGTGCGTTTTCAGGGAAGACCCCACGGGCACCTCCAAAACCATGTGGCATGACATCCTCACCGAGACCCGAGGGCATCTTTCCATGGCCTCAACTCTACTTTTATGTCTTTAGGTTTCCTGATATAGGTTTTGCACACTCTCGATGACCAAGTCTCATTTCAGTGTTGCTGTTGTTTCTATATTATAAGCAGGACTGTCTCTTCCCCTACCTTTTTAACCTGCCAATTGTTTGTGTATGTATGGAAGCTATTGATATTTGCTTCTGAGTTTTCTATCTGACTACCTTCCTGAATTCTCTTCTTGGATTTATTTAATGTTGATTTTGTTAGTTTTTTCCTGGCATACCATCATATCATCTGCAAAGTATATTTTGACTCTCCCTCTGCCGTTCTTGTGTCTGTTGTAATTATTTGTCTGACCATGTTGGATAAGATCTCCAGTAGCATGTTAAATGACAGGGTGCACTCCTGGAATCCAGCTCTTTGGGAGGCCGGGGTGGGAGGATGACTTGAGCCCCGGAGATCAAGACCGGTCTGGGCAACACAGCAAGACCCCATCTTTACAAAAAAAAAATAGTAAAAAAAATTAGCCAAGTGTGGTGGCTCACACCTGTAGTCCCAGCTACTTGGGAGGCTGAGGCAGGAGGATCATTTGAGTCCAGGAGGTCGAGGCTTCAGCGAGCCATGATTGCACCACTGCACTGCAGCCTGGGCAATGTAGTAAGACCCCAGCTCAAAAAAAAAAAAAAGCATCACAGAGAACAGGATGGATACTTGCTGCTTTTCCAAGTTTAGCTGGAAGATTTTAGAGATTTCTTTATTGACTAGGAAGTTGGCATTGGGGCTGAGAAATATGTATGTACACACACAGACACACCCACACACAGACACACATGTATACATACACAGTATATATGCATACTGTGTGTCTGTAATTACAATTTAATAATACATTCCTATTTTTAAAATAAACTTAGTAA
Source organism: Homo sapiens (assembly GCF_000001405.40). Classification (NCBI taxonomy): domain Eukaryota; kingdom Metazoa; phylum Chordata; class Mammalia; order Primates; family Hominidae; genus Homo; species Homo sapiens. The sequence continues at coordinate 2,429,220 of NC_000023.11, read as the reverse complement.
ATTAAGAACATCAATACATCTACTGATACTACATATAGTATTTGCAAGTCCCTCAGCTTGGGTCAGGAACACGGGAATGTCATTGTACAGGTTCTATCTTCAGGTTACGAGGGATACACCAGAAAACCTAAGCATATGGAAAACTTATTCGGCAATTTTCTAAGTGAACATACCTTTTCATCGATTCATGCGTGTATCAAGAAAAACAAAATGAAAGTCTTACACACCAAGAGGATTGTTCGCACAATACTGACAACGAAATGTACGGGCTGACAAATAACAGATTATATGTTGAAGCCTCCTCCACAGGCCCCACCTCCTGATACCATCACCCTGGCGATTGTATGTTCTCAACATAGGAATTATTTTGGGGGGAGAGGAGACACAACATTTTATACTTGGAAAGGTGAAATGGAAAAGCAGCATAGGCTTTATTGTTTTATTTTATTTTATTATACTTTAAGTTCTGGGGTACATGTGCAGAACGTGCAGGTTTGTTACATAGGTATACACGTGCCATGGTGGTTTGCTGCACCCATCAACCCATCATCTACATTAGGTGTTTGTCCTAATGCTCTCCCTCCCCTAGTCCCTCACCTCCTGACAGGCCCTGGTGTGTGATGTTCCCCTCCCTGTTTCCATGTGTTCTCATTGTTCAACTCCCACTTGTGAGTGAGAACATGTGGTGTTTGGTTTTCTGTTCTTGTGTTAGTTCGCTGAGAAGGATGGTTTCCAGCTTCATCCATGTCCCTGCAAAGGACATGAACCCATCCTTTTTTATGGCTGCATAGTATTCCATGGTGTCCATGTGCCACATTTTCTTTATTCAGTCTATCGTTGATGGGCATTTGGGTTGGTTCCAAGTCTTTACTATTGTGAACAGTGCTGCAATAAACATACGTGTGTGTGTCGTTATAGTGGAATGATTTATAAACCTATTTCTATTTAAATTACCTTTGTATTTTTATAGATTTTGTGGGTATGAGTACACTTGTGTTACATGAATATATTGCATAGTGGTAATGTTTGGGCTGTTAGTGAGGCCATCACTCAAATAACGTACATGGTAGCCAATAGGTAATTTCTCATCCCTCATCCCATCCCACCCTGTGAGACTTCTGAGTCCTCGATGTCTATTTTTTATGCTCTATGTCGACGTGTACACATTATTTAATTCCCGCTTATAAGGGATAACATGTGGTACTTGACTTTCTGTTTCTGAGCCATTTCACTTAGGATAATGGCCTCCAGTTCCCTTCGTGTTGCTGCAAAAGACACAACATCATTCCTTTTCATGGCTGTGTAGTATTCCATGGTATATATGTGCCATATTTTAAAAAATCAAATTGTCTGATGGTGGACACTTAGGCTTTATATTTTAATAAAGAACATTCCAAATATGTTGAACAAAATAATCTCCTAACTTGAAAAAGATCATATGTGCCTATAATAATTCACAGAAAGGGACTTTCCTGACTACCTGCCTGCAAAATCCACTTTTCCCTCAGTCTTTCTTTCTCAAGGGAATTCATGGAAATTCCCTCCTTGAATTTTCTCAGCCCCCAGTACAAGGAGTCATTCTTGCCTCATCATGTCCCCCTCTCTGTCCTTGTCTTGTGATTTCTTTTTATTTTGAACGCGAGAAGTCTGACTCCCACCAGCACCCCTGTGGCCAGTACCTGTGAGACATATTCTGAATCCAGCACCTCTCATACCACCTGTGCTGAACTGTGGCGGAGCTCCCCCGTCAGTCCCTGCAGCTGCTTCAGGAGACCCTTGATAGCCTTGTCTTCCTCCAGCTCAAGTGGATTCTCCATGAATCTATTCCTTCCTGTGAAACATATCACAGATTGGCTCAGAGCCCCGTGATGACGCCCTGTCTGCCAGAGAGAAGCTCACGAACTCTGGGGTGCCCCTACTCCTTCTTCCCTCCTCTCTTCCCTCCTTCCATGTGCTTGGCTCCAGCTAGCCAGCCAGCCGCCTTCCTCTTCCTGGAATATCCCAGGCCTGCTAGACTTTTGCTCTCACCGTCACAACATCAGCTCAGGAGCCCCTCCTTGGAAGATTGTTCTCTAACCCTCCGTCCAGAATCACTGCTTCTCCCTTTCCTCTTCTTCCTTTGAAGTTCATTCATAACTGGAAGATGTGAGATCTGGAAAGTTCTGCATTATTGCCAGACACATCTGTGTATTTAGAGTGGTTGGTATCTTTCCCAGGGGAACCAAATGTCCTTGAGGCAGACAACATGTTTATCTTTGTCTAATTCATTTCCCTGTATGCTGGGCACAGAGTGTGGGCTCTACACATATTTTATAAAAGAAGGAGGGAAGGGTTAGAAGATGGACAGAAGGAAGGAGGAAGAAAGGAAGGAAAGAGGGAGGAAAGAAAGGAAAGAGGGAGGGAAGGAAAGAGGGAAAGAAGGAAGGAAAGAGTGAGAGAAGGAAGTAAAGAGGAAAGGAAGGGAAGGGAAGGAAGGAAGGAAAAAGTGAGAGAAAGAAGTGAAGAGGAAAGGATGGAAGGAGAAAGGAAGGAAAGGGAGGGAAGGAAAAAGGAAAAGAAGAAAGAAGGAGTGAGACAAGGAAGTAAAGAAGAAAGGAGGGAAAGAGGAAAGGAAAGAAGGAAAGAGGGAGGGAAGGAAGGAATGAAGAAAAGAAAGAGGGAAGGAAGGAAGGAAAGAAGGAAGGAGGAAGGAAGGAAAAAGGGAGGGAAGGAAGGAATGAAGAAAGGAAAGAGGGAGGGAAGGAAGGAAGGAGGGAGGGAAGGAAAGAGGGAGGGAAGGAAAGAATGAAGGAAGGAAGGAATGAAGGAAGAAAGGAAAAAGAGAAGGAAGGAGGAAGGAAGGAAAGAGGGAAGGAAGGAAGGAAAGATGGAGAGAAGGAAGGGAGGACAAGTGGAAGGAAGAAAAAGAAATACAAATCTCCCTCAAAATGTGGATCACTCGTCTTAACCAGAAATTCAAGTGAGATGCTATCTGCACGTGTGATACCAGCAGCTATGAAGCAAACTGTATTAACCAAGTCTTTTATTTTCTGTGTTCTGATGCATGACTTTCATGGCCTTGTCAACCCTAGAGACCCTGCCCCTCCCATAGCTAGCGAATCCCCAGAGGTGGTGAAGAGCCCACCTATGAACCTGTCTTTCATATGCAAACCCATCAATCCAGAATCCACCCCCCAGCCATCTCCTTTATTGGGGTTGCATATTCCACGTCACTCTCCACCTGCCCTAACCACCCCAAAGCCAGGTACCAGAGAGTCAGGGACAGCCCCTATGCCCCAGAGCCTGCTGAAATCATTCACACTAGCCAACTGTAAGCCTACTCGCCTGTTCCTTCCCTTGGAAACCACAGTGAGAGCTCTGGTCTCCTTTGTCTTCCCACCTGACCAAACTTGGTGCGCCCCTGTGTGGTCCTGAGTGGTGTCAACACGCCCCTCCTCTTGGGACCTGTGAGTAACAAACCACTTGCTTAACGGCAGTCTCCTGATCTGTTGGCCCCACCATACCTACATCATAATAAAGTCTACATTTTACAACGCAAACGAACAAAAATGTCCTGCTCAGTGCTGCCCTGAGAGCAGAGGTTATTCCAGGATTCTTGCTCGCCTCTGTAAAGGGTATCCGTTCTGCAGACCTTTCTGCCGGTCACACTGACGGCATATTGCAGAGCCTGCCAGGGACTCACAGGGGATGACAGGGGATTTATCAGGTGGTTTTTTACTGCACTGTCATTACTGGGGGCGAATCCACTTTAATACATTCATGCCTCCTGAGCCTGTGGGAATTCAAGAGGAACAGAACCAGAAATAAATGAACCATAACTCCCTTTGGCATCTTGCCTCTCTGGAGGCTTAATTCTTACAAATATGTGCTCTGCTTTCAAATCTTAGTTTGATGATTTTCTCTTCTTCTTTTTCAGTTTTCCCCCCACGACCTGACCGTGTCGCTATAGTGACGGGAGGGACAGATGGCATTGGCTATTCTACAGCGAAGCATCTGGCGAGACTTGGCATGCATGTTATCATAGGTGATGACTTTTACAGTTACTTGTGTTTTTTGTTTTTTCGGTTTTTTTTTTTTTCTGAGACAGGATCGCAGTCCGTCAACCCGTGCTGGACTGCAGTGGTGCAATCTTGGCTCACTGCAGCCTCCACCTCCTGGGTTAAAGTGATTCTCCTACCTCAGCCTCCCGAGTAGCTGGGTTTACAGACATGCACCACCACGCCTGGATAATTTTTGTATTTTTAGTAGAGACAGAGTTTCCATATGCTGGCCAGGCTGGTCTTGAACTCCTGAGCTCAAGCCATCCGCCTGCCGTGGCCTCCCAAAGTGCTAGGATTACAGGTGTGAGCCACTGCGCCTGGCAGAGTTAGTTGTGTCTTATACCTAATGTGAGCTACTTAGGTGTCGATTCAGACATGTATGCAAATGTTGATGTGCATATAGAAAATTCAGTCAGATCCAGAAAGCTCATGAAGGTGATATTCACAACCTAGAAAACACAGAAAATTGTTGTACCCTTTTGGAAGTAGATATATATTCTGCTTAAATATTGATCCTGTGTTTCTTTCACATGGTTTACTGGAAAAAAATAACCATATATCTTTATGACTTTACTAGGGCTGTTATAACAAAGTATCTCAAGGAGACTGGAGGTTGCTTAAAAAGCCAAAATTTATTTTTCACAATTCCAGAGGCTGGAAGTTCAATATCACAGTGTAAGTAGGGCTGGTTCCTCCCAATTCCAGAGGCTGGAGGTTCAATATCACAGTGTGAGTAAGGCTGGTTCCTCCCGACACCTCACTCCTTGGCTTGTAGACACCATCTTCTCCCTGTGTCCTCACAGGGTCGTCCCTCTGTGTGTTTTCATCTCCTCTTCTCCTGAGATGTCTTAGTCCATTTCAGGCGCTATAACAGAATTACCATAGAATGGGCAGCTTATATACAACAGACATTGAGTTTCCCACAGTCCTGGAGGCTGGATGTCTGAGATCCAGGTGTGGGCAGGGCTGGTTCCTCCTGAGGCCTCTCTCCTTGGTTTCTCTCTGTGTCCTCACAGGGTCATCCCTCTGTGTGTGTCCGTGTCCTCATATGCTCTCCTTATAAGGACACCAGTTCAATTAGATCGGGGCCCACTCTGGTGACCTCATTTTACCTTAATCACCACTTTAAAGACCTTATTTCCAAACACAGTCACATTCTGAGGCCCTGGGCTTTAGGACTTCAATTTATGAATTTTGTTCAAACACAAGCTCCTAACAGAATCTGAACAATGTTGCGGGATACTTGTTTCTTCTGCAACCATGACCTATAGACACTCACGGTTTGATTTCTGCTCTTCTTTTTGAAAATTTCTCTAAAAGCTTATCGTGATCTCTGACTCCTCTTCCTCTGTGACCTCTTCAGGTCTCCCTTCAACTGGGAATATGAGGACAGTTCAAATTAACCCATTCCACTACTGCCAATGGAGACGGAGTGGGGGGCGGGGAGGAGGGGAGAGAGTCTATTGCATACCTGGGGAAGTCTAAATCAGCTAGCTTAAATGATGTGTGGAGACGAGCTTGGAAAAATAAAAGCCTTAATGTGTATTATGCCCACTCTTGACACTATCTGCATTTAATTAATTATTTTCAGACAGGATCCTACTCTGTCAGCCCAGACTGCAGTGCAGTGACATAATCATAGCTCACTGCAACCTCAAACTCCTGGGCTCCAGCAATCCTCCTGACTCAGCCTCATGAGTCGCTGATATGACAGGCGTGCACCACCATGCCAAGCTCATTTTATTTATTTATTTATTATTGTTTTTTTTGAGACAGAATCTTGCTCTGTCACCCAGGTGGAATGCAGTGACACGACCTCGGCTCACGGCATCCCCTGCCTCCTGGGTTCAAGCGACTCTCCTGCCTCAGCCTCCAGAGTAGCTGGGATTACAGGCGCCCGCCACCATGCCCTGCTAATTTTTGTATTTTTAGTAGAGATGGGGTTTTGCTTTGTTGGCCAGGCTGGTCTTGAACTCCTGACCTCACGTGATCTGCCCACCTCCGCCTCCCAAAGCGCTGGGATTACAGTCATGAACCACCGTGCCTGGCCCTGGCTCATTTAAAAAAGTTATTTTGGCGGCTGGGCGTGGTGGCTTATGCCTGTAATCCCAGCACTTTGGGAGGTCAAGGTGGGCAGATCACTTGAGGTTAAGAGTTCAAGACCAGCCTGGCCAACATGGTGAAGCCCTGACTGTCCTAAAAACACAAAAATTAGCTGGGCTTGGGGGTGAGTGCCTGCGTGGTGGTGGGCGCCTGTAGTCCCAGCTACTCGGGAGGCTGAGGCAGGTGAATTGCTTGAACCTGAGAGGCGGAGGTTGCAGTGAGCTGAGATCACGCCACTGCACTCCAGCCTGGGTGACAGAGCGAGACTCAGTCTCAAAAAAATAAACAAAATGTTTTGGAGATACTGGGTCTTGCTATGTTGCCCAGGCTGGTCTTGAACTCCTGGGTTGAAGTGATCCTCCCACCTTGGCCTCCCAAAGTGCTGGGATTACAAGTGTGAGCCACTAGGCCTGGGCACCCTTTGCTTTTAATAACTTTTATGGTGTCTGCTTTTATAAACATCATACTGTAGGTCTGGTTTGAGATATGCAGGATCGTATTGACTTAACACTTTCCAGGACGGGAGCAGTGGCTCATGCCTGTAATCCCAGCACTTTAGGAAGCCGAGGCGGGCAGATCACGAGGTCAGGAGATCGAGACCATCCTGGCTAACATGGTGAAACCCCGTCTCTACTAAAAATACAAAAAGTAGCTCGGCATGGTGGCGTATGCCTGTAATCCCAGCTGCTCGGGAGGCTGAGGCGGGAGCATCGCTTGAGCCAGGGAGCCGGAGGTTGCAGTGAACCGAGATCGCGCCACTGCACTCCAGCCTGGGTGACAGAGTGAGACTCTGTCTCAAAAAAAGACTTTCCAAAACCAATGCCCATTATTGATTGACTTCTTCCTCTCCGCCATTCTCTGTCCTTCTTTCCCTTGTTGTCATTATGGAAAGATGATCATGGATCATAAACAATGCTTAGGGCTGGAGATTTCAACATGAATTTGTCTCAGTTCTTCCTTATCTTTGAGGAGCTCTGTCCAGGACAGACACTTTTCTGGGCCTTGAATGCCTTTGCGATAGCCCAAAAGGCTCAAGCATAAGAGCATGAGTCTGATCTGGTGACCAGGGCTCAGCAAAGAGTCTTTCCAGGCCTTGAACCTCTGGACATCTGTTGGTGCTCATTGGACAGGCTAAAAGTCATCATGTTACGAATCGATGAAGTTGACATGCAGATAAAAGGTATAAGGAAAAAATGAACTCTCCACATCATTGTATGCATTACATCTATACGATAAAAACTGTGATATACTCATGCGTTTAAATAGCTGCTCTGGTCCTGGGCCTCATGCGTTTCAATAGCTGCTAGCGTTCTGAGCCTCGATGGCCATCCACTTGGCTTTGAGTTAGCTCTCTCCAAAAATCTCCATGGCAGTTTCTGCTGGGGCAAATGCACGGCTGCTGCCCACACCTCTGTGTTTTCTCATCTTCATTTACAAAAGAAGAAAATGCTAACCTTGCTGATGCTAACCTCCTGAATTTCATGCAGGAATCCCCAGGAGTCTTTGACTCAGATGGGGAAACCCCATGTTCAGCCCATGTGGCCTTCTGGTCTCCCTGGAGATGCGTGGTCCATGTCAGCGCACATGGCTCCTTGCTCCGTCCTTCACTTAAGTTTGAGCCTTTTTGGCTTTTGCAAAACATGAATGCAAAACTTGAAATTTTTCTATGTCATGGCTCTTCCCAACTTTCACATTTTTGAGACAGCGTCTCACTCTGTCACCCAGGCTGGAGTGCAATGGCGTGATCTCAGCCCACTACAACCTCTGCCTCCTGGGCTCAAGCGATCCTCCCACCTCAGCCTCCCAAGTAGCTGGGACCACAGGCGTGCACCACCAGGCTTGGATAATTTTTTGTAGTTTTAGTAGAGATGGGGCCTCACCATGTTGCTTGGACTTGTCTCAAACACCTGAGTTCAAGCGATCTGCCTGCCTCGGCTTCCCAAAGTGCTGGGATTACAGGTGTGAGCCACTGTGCCCAGAGTCTTTTAAAATAATAATTTTGTACACGCAGTTCCATTCCTCATATAACCATCTTTCTCTGATGCACTTCAGGGTTTGTAAAATAGTATACAGAGATGTGTACTGTTTCACATGATGAAGCTTAGTTGTATTAGATAATGATAACATCGTGTTTGGCTATGTCATAATGAGGCAATTGAGTAGAATATAATGAAATCTTGTTGGATTAGTTAATGACTTGTTGAGCTTCGGAAGCAGGTGAGCACTTTTTGGTCTATATCAGTCTCTTTCTTTCCATCAAGCAGTTATTTTCCTCAAAGTTGTGCCTAACTCCCACTTGAGCATTTTTTTTATCCATTCTTTTTTTTTTTACTTTGACATGAAGTCTCACTCTGTTGCCCAGGCTGGAGTGCAGTGGCGCGATCTCAGCTCACTTCAACCTCCGCCTCCCGGGTTCAAGCGATTCTGCTGCCTCAGCCTCCTGAGTAGCTGGGACTACAGGAGCACACCACCACACCCAGCTAATTTTTGTATTTTTAGTAGAGACGGGGTTTCACCATGTTGGCCAAGATGGTCTCGATCTCTTGACCTTGTGATCCACCTGCCTCAGCCTCCCAAAATGCTGGTATTACAGGCGTGAGCCACTGTGCCCGGCCCCATTCTCTTTATTTTATTTTATTATTTTATTATTATTATTATTATTATTTTTTGAGATGGAGTTTCGCTGTTATTGCCCAGGCTGGAGTGCAGTGGCGCGATCTCAGCTCACCGCAAACTCTGCCTCCCGGGTTGAAGCGATTCTCCTGCCTCAGCCTCCCAAGTAGCTGGGATTACAGGCGCGTGCCAGCACACCAAGCTAATTTTTTGTATTTTTAGTAGAGGGGGGGTTTCACCATGTAGGTCAGGATGGTCTTGATCTCTTGACCTCGTAATTTGCCTGCCTCGGCCTCCCAAAGTGCTGGGATTACAGGCGTGAGCCACTGCGCCCGGCCTCATTCTCTTAATAGACTGGGACAAGTTAAAACTTTATGACAATTTCTTGAAATTGTCAAGTTCATCCATGTCCCTAACTCTCCTGTCTTGGTGTGTTTGGGCTGCTGTAGCCTGAGTGCCTTGCAAACCATAGAAACTTTTTTTTTAAAATTTTATTATTATACTTTAAGTTTTAGGGTACATGTGCACAACGTGCAGGTTTGTTACATATGTATACATGTGCCATGCTGGTGTGCTGCACCTATTAACTCGTCATTTAGCATTAGGTATATCTCCTAATGCTATCCCTCCCCCCTCCCCCCACCCCACAACAGTCCCCGGTGTGTGATGTTCCCCTTCCTGTGTCCATGTGTTCTCATTGTTCAGTTCCCACCTATGAGTGAGAACATGCGGTGTTTGGTTTTTTGTCCTTGCGATAGTTTGCTGAGAATGATGGTTTCCAGCTTCATCCATGTCCCTACGAAGGACATGAACTCATCATTTTTGATGGCTGCATAGTATTCTGTGGTGTATATGTGCCACATTTTCTTAATCCAGTCTATCGTTGTTGGACATTTAGGTTGGTTCCAAGTCTTTGCTATTGTGAATAGTGCTGCTATAAACATACGTGTGCGTGTGTCTTTATAGCAGCATGATTTATAATCCTTTGGGTATATACCCAGTAATGGGATGGCTGGGTCAAATGGTATTTCTAGTTCTAGATCCCTGAGGAATCGCCACACTGACTTCCACAATAAACCATAGAAACTTATTGTCCTACAGTTCTCAAGGCTGGAAGTCCCAAGACCAGGGGGTCAGTGTGGTCAGATTCTGGTGTAGTCTGTCTTCTAGGTTGTGGATGGCCACTTTCTCCTGTGTCCTCACATGGTGGAACCTGGATGGGGTCTCTTTTATAAGGGTACTAATTCCATTCATTGTGCTCCACCCTCGTGACCTAATCATCCCGCAAAGCCTCCGCCTCCCAACAGAATCACTGGGGATGTTAGAATTTCAACATAGGAACTTTGGAGGGATACAAACATTCAGTTTATTGCGCCCCCTCTAGATGCAAAAGGATTGGGTTTAGATGAGGAGACCCCAGGGGAGAGGGTGCCCATCTGAGAGTGTATTTCTAGAACTTCTTATGAACTTGAGCACCTCCATGATCTGTTTACATCTCCCTGGGACCTGAGTAAATTAGAGACAAGATGTAGGGCAGGGGGGGTTCTGAGATTTAGCTTGGAGACTGTGAGGTGGTGATGGATGGCAACCCTTGGTTTTGACCATCCATGCTAGGTGGATATCTGCTGTATCATTAACAACATGACAAACTTTCCAGGACTTTCTATATCTCAGACTTCTGCCAATATTTGAGATGACTGGGTCAAAATGATGCTGATTTTTTGAACAGGGAGAGCAATAGGTATTCTCTGAAGGTTGGCTGGATGTGAGCCTAGTGGCTTCAATGATGGTGGAGTAGGATGAAGAGAGACCCTCAAGGTTGAACAAAGATGGGAGGGCTCACATCCATTACTGGTTATATTTGATCTTTTGTCTCCTCCAGTGCAATGATCTTTTTCATCTTCTTAATTCTTAATTTAGCTAGGCAATGTTTAATTATTAGTTTAATTCTTAATCAAACTAGGAAAGGAAGAAAACACCCCATTTCTTTGTGCTTTTTTGCCTCATTGTGGTGGTTTAGGTCATGATGAGGTCTAGTTGGGCAGGTCATGATGAAGTCTAGTTGTATTAGGTTCTGATGATGTCTGGTTGAGTTAGATCATGCTGAGGTACAGTTTGGTTTGGTCATGATGAAGTCTAGTTGTATTAGATCATGATAACGTCTCCTTTGGTTATGTCATGATGAAGTAGTTGAGTAGAATGTAATGAAGTCTTGTTCGATTAGATCATGATGACTGGTTGAGTTAGGTCATTATGAGGTATGGTTTGATTAGGTCTTAATGAAGTCTAGTTCAGTAACAGCATGATGAGATCTAGTTGGATTAGACTTGATGATGTGTGACTTATTTAGGTGATGATGAAATCTTGTTGGGCTAGGTCACTTTGAGATCTAATTGGGTAGGTCATGATGAGGTCTTGTTGAGTTAGGTCCTGATGAAATGTAGTTGAGTTAGGTCACATTGAGGTCTAGTTGGGTAGGCCATGATGAGGTCTATTTGTATTAAGTCATGATGAGGTTTGGTTGTATTAGATCATGGTAAGGTACAGTTTGGTTAGGTCATGATGAAGTCTAGTTGTATTAGTTCATCATAATGTTTAGTTTGGCTATGTCATGATGAGGTAGTTGAGTAGAATGTGATGAAATCTTGTTGGATTAGATTAGGATGACTGGTTGAGTTAGATCATTATGAGGTGTGATTTAATTAGGTCTTAATGAAGTCTACTTCAGTAATAGCATGATGAGATCTAGCTGGATCAGATCATGGTGATGTGTGGTTTGGCTAGGTCATGATGAAGTCTAGTTGGGTTAAGACTCAATGAGTTCTAGTTGGGTCAGGTCACATTGACGTCTAGTTGGGTAGGTCATGATGACGTCTAATTGGGTTAGATCATGAGGAGATCTAGTTAGGAAGGTCATGATGAGGCCTAGTGGATAGATCATGATGAGGTCTAGTTGGGTTAGGTCATGATAAGGTCTAGTTGGATTAGGTCATGATAAGGTCCAGCTGGGTTATGTCATCATGAGGTAGTTGAATAGAACACAATAAAGTCCTCTTGGATTAGATCATGATGACAGGTTGAGTTAGATCATGATGATGTGTGGTTTGGTTAGGTCACAGTGAGGTCTAGTTGACTGAGGACTTTGTAGGCACAAAGCAATGAAGACATGTGAGCAAGCTTCTTGTTCATGTGCATGGGAATCTCAAGTGTTACCACTTCATTTAGATGATGTTTACTGAGCATCAGGAGCAGTATATGTCAGCACCAATGTGCCTTTTTTCTTGAGATAAACAGAAAGTAAACACCACATCTGCACCCCACCTGTGTCTCCTATCCCACAGAGCTCCTGATGTCAGTGTTTAATTTTCACTGTGAGTTACAGTTTTGACCCTTCAGGTCAATCCAATCAATTATGCAGTCTTATTTCCCCTGTGTGACTTTGAGGATAATTGGATATATTCTGAGAGAGGCATTTTTTCATTTTGTATGGCAGTTTGATTCAAAGTCAATTAATGAAAAAATATCATTGAACACAATGAATTTTATATTAAATACAAAATAAGAGATGGGAAATTTAACTTCAAAATTTTAATTAAAAATTTATTAATATTTAAAGAATAATCAATTACTTGTAAAATAATTCAGATTATAACCTGGGTCCAACTGAAGCACATTAATATTACTAGACACATATATCAGTTGTTCAAATTCCCATCTGTCCACAAGATCTTAGTTCTCATTGTTTCAAAATATTATTTTGGTGGGGGATCATTTTTTTTCATAATGCTCAATGGACTGTCATCTAAGATGAAAGTGGGGTGGGTAAACTTTTTCTGTAAAGAGACAGATAATAAATGTGTTCATATGTTTCTCTCATAACTATGAGCTCTGCCCTAGTAGTGAGTAACCACCCATAGGTAATACTTAAAACAACAGGAAAGTCTATGTTGCTGTAAAACTTTTTGTACAATATCCAGCTGCAGGCCAGGTTTAGCCGCAGATTGGTGACTCTGGTTTGGGCTCAAAATCTTTTTATTTAGTAAGAGGAAATTATACTGCTTTTTTCCAATATAAGAAATCTCTTGTACAGTCCTCAGGAAGGGTAGATAATGATGAGGTCTAGTTGGGTTATAATGAAGTTTAGTTGGGTTATGATGAAGTCTACTTGGGTTGGTCATGATGAGATCTAGTTGTATTAGATCCTGATGAGATCCAGTTGGGTAAGGTTCTGATGAGGTCTAGTTGATTGGTCATGATGAGACTTAGTTAGGCTATAATGAGGACTAGTTGTGTTGGTCAGGATGAGATCAAGTTGTATTAGGTCATGACGAGATCTAGTTGGGTCAGGTTGTGATGAGATCTGGTTGGTTGGTCATGACGAGATCTAGTTAGGTTATGAGGAGGTCCGGTTGGGTTGGTCATGAGGAGAACTAATTGTATTAGGTCTTGATGAGATCTAGTTGGGTTAGGTTATGATGAGGTCTAGTTGGGTTGGTCATGATGAGAACTAGTTGTATTAGGTCATGATGAGATCTAGTTAGGTTCTGATGAGGTCTAGTTAGATTGGTCATGAGGAGATCTAGTTGTATTAGGTTATGATGTGATCTAATTGGGTGAAGTTATTATGAGGTCTAGTTGGGTTGGTCATGATGAGATCTGGTTGGGTTAGGTTATGATGCGATCTAGTTGGTTGGTCATGATGAGATCTAATTAGGTTATGATGAGGTCTATTTGGGTTGGTTGTGATGAGATCTAGTCATATTCAGTCATGATGAGGTCTAGTTGGGTTAGATTATGATGAGGTTTAGTTGGGTTAGGTCATGATGAGGTCTAGTTGGGTTAGGGTATGAGGAGATTTAATTGAGTTAGGTTATGATGAGGTCTAGTTGGGCTGGTCTTTATGAGATCTAGTTGTATTAGGTCATGATGAGATCTAATTGAATTATATTACGATGATATCTAGTTGGTTGGTCATGATGAGATCTAGTTGTATTAGGTCATGATGTGATGTAGTTGGGGTAAGTTATGATGAGGTCTCATTGAGTTTGTCATGATGAGAGCTAGTTGTACTAGATCATGATGAGTTATAGTTGGGTTAGGTTATGATGAGATCTAGTTGGTTGGTCATGTTGAGATCCAGTTAGGTTATGATGAGGTCCAGATGCGGTGGTCATAATGAAATCTAGTTGTATTAGGTCATGATGAGATCTAGTTGTGGTAGGATATGATGAGGTCTAGTGCATTGGTCATGATGAGATCTAGTTGTATTAGGTTATGATGAGATCTAGTTGGATTAGGTCATGATGAGATCTAGTTGTGGTAGGATATGATGAGGTCTAGTGCATTGGTCATGATGAGATCTAGTTGTATTAGGTTATGATGAGATCTAGTTGGATTAAGTTATAATGGGATCTGTTTGGTTGGTCACGATGTGATCTAGTTAGGTCGTGATGAGTTCTAGTTGGGTAGGTCGTGATGAGATCTAGTTGTCTCATGTCATGATGAGGTCTAGTTGGGTTAGGTTATGATGAAGTCCAGTTTGGTTAGGTCATGATGAGGTCTAGTGGGATTGGTCATTATGAGAATTAGTTGTATTAGGTCATAATGAAATCTAGTTGGCCTAGGCTATGATGAGCTCTGGTAGGTTGTTCATGATGAGATCTACTTGTATTGGGTCATGATGAGACCCAGGTGTGTTAGGTTATGATAAGATCTAGTTCGTTGTCATAATGAGATGTAATTTGTTTATGATGCAGTCTAGTTGTGTTGCTCATGATGGGATCTAGTTGTATTAGGTCATGATGAGACCTAGTTGGGTTAGGTTATGATGAGGTCTAGTTGGTTTGGTTATGATGAAATCTTGTTGGATTATGTCATGAGGAGATCTAGTTGGATGGTCATGATGAGATATAATTAGGTCATGATAAGGTCTAGTTGGGTTGGTCTTGATGAGATATAGTTGTATTAGGTCGTGATGAGGTCTAGTTTGGTTAGGTTATGATGAAGTCTAGTTTGGTTAGGTCATGATGAGTTCTAGTTGGGTTAGGGTATGAGGAGATTTACTTGGATAAGGTTGTGATGAGGTCTATTTGGGTTGGTCATGATGAGATTTTGTTAGGTCATGATGAGGACTAGTTTTGTTGGCCTTGATGAGATGTAGTTGTATTAGGTCATAATGAAGTCTTGTTGAGTTAGGTTATGATGTAGTTAAGTTGGGTTAAGTTATGATGAGGTATAGTTGGGTTGGTCATGATGAGAGTTAGTTAGGTCACGATGAGGTAGTTGGGTTGGTCATGATGAAATCTAGTCATAGTCAGTCATGATTAGTTCTTGTTGGGCTTGTTTATAATGAGATTTAGCTGTGTCAGGTCATGATGAGGTCTAGTTGAGTTGGTCATGATGTGATCTAGTTGTATTAGGTCATGATGAGGTCTAGTTTGGTTAGGTTATGAGGTCTAGTGTCGTTGGTTGTGATGAGATTCAGTTAAGTTATGATGAGGTGTATTTGGGTTGGTCATAAAGATACCTGTTTGTATTAGGTCATGTTGAGGTTTATTTGGGCTAGGTTATAATGAGATTTAGTTGGGTTAGGTCATGATGAGGTCTAGTTGGGTTAGGGTATAATCAGATCTATTTGGGTTAAGTTATGATGAGGTGTATTTTGGTTAGTCCTAATGAGATTTAGTTGGGTTAGAGTATGATGAGGTGTAGTTGCGTTGGTCATCATAAAATCTAGTTTTGTAGGTCACAGGAAGTCTAGTTGGTTAGGTTATCTAAATTGCAACTGTCTTTTAAAAATGACTTGTGCCACATATACTTTGTATTGTCCATGAATAGTACATGTGAAACGTGTAAAATATTTAAACTTGTATTTAATTATCTATTTACTTATTTTAATAGACAAAAACAAGTTACATATTTTTATGGTGTACAAAATGTGGTTTTGATATATGTTTCCATCTGGAATGGCCAATTCAAGCTAATTCACATATCCATTACCTTACATGTTTCTTTTTGTGTGTGTTTTTGGAAACACTTAAAATCTACTCTCTTTGCAATTTTCAAATATTAATTATAGTCACTGTGACTAATTATAGTCAGGTTCAAGATTATAGTCACTAATTTAGTCACCTTAAGTACAATAGATCTCTTGAACTTATACCTTCTGTCAAACTGACATTTGGTGTCATTTGAACAAAATCTCAGCAACCCACCCCCCTAGCACCTGGTAATCACCATAATTCTTTTTCTTTTCTTTCTTTCTTTTTTTTGAGATGGAGTCTCACTCTGTCACCAGGCTGGAGTGCAGTGGCGCAATCTCGGCTCACTGCAACCTCCACCTCCTGGGTTCAAGCGATTCTCCTGCCTCAGCCTCCTGAGTAGCTGGGACTACAGGTGCATGCCACCGTACCCGGCTAATTTTTGTATTTTTAGTAGAGACAGGCTTTTGCCAGGTTGGCCAGGATGGTCTCGATCTCTTGACCTTGTGATCCACCTGCCTTGGCCTCCCAAAGTGCTGGGATTACAGGCATGAGATACCACGCCTGGCCAATAATCATCATAATACTTTTTCTTGTGAGTTCAACTTCTGGAGACTCTACATATGGGTGAGATCATGTGGGATTTGGTTTTATGTGGCTTATTTTACTTAACATGATGTACTCCTGGTTGATCCATGTTGTATCACAGGATAGGGTCCTCTGGTTTTCAAAGACTGAATGGTATTCCATGGTGTAGCTATCCCACATTTTATTTATCTACCCATCCTTAGATGGACACTTAGGTTGGTTTCATATCTTGGCTCTTGTGAATCATGCTGCAACGAACATGGGGGTGTAGATATCTCTATAAGGGGCTGATTTCATTTCCTTTGGATCTATACAGAGGAGTGAGATTGCTAGATCCTATGGTAGGCATAATGATCATTTTTTGAGGAACTCTTAAAAAAAAAAAGGCCACCCCTTTAGACACACCTTAAAATCCAACCTTTCTGGTCAAAGACATTTGAAAAAAATGACGACAACATCAAACTATAGTCTCCTGTCCAAGCACGTTCACTTCCTAAGATGTGAAAAAAACCAGGCCGGGTGCAGTGGCTCATGTCTGTCATCCCAGCACTTTGGGAGGCAAAGGCAAACGGGTCACCCGAGGTCAGGCGTTCAAGACCAGCCTGGCCAACATAGTGAAACCCCATCTCCACTGTTTTCCATAATGGCTATACCAATTTCCATTGCACATATAACATGTAACGCCCTCCCCTGCCCCCCCAAATACAAAGGATGAAGCAGAAGGCAGATGCACTGTGTTTGGGACGTGTGCGGTGTTTCTGCATATGCAGTACTTGCTCAGCAAATGTAGGAACCACTCCAGCAAATGCATATGAGGCCAAATGTCCCACGTCCAGTTCCTTAAAGCAGCTCCCTCCAGGTCTGAGGAGACAATTGCTGAAGGTGACATTGGCCAAAGAAGATACCGCACGTGCCACCTCACCTTCTCCATTCCTCCAGTGTGGTGCTTCTGTCCTATGCCAGCGTTGACGGTGCCACCATGGAAAATGGCCTGCCCATGAAGGTGGTCTTCCCAAATAATCACTTCACCTGGCTTTTTTTGATGCTCCCAGCTTTTTCTGGTCACTTTTGTCTTTCTTGAGAAGGTGGAGGCTCCCATCTTACTTCGTCCCAGCTTCCGGCATGTTTCCCTTTGTTTTTTTTTGTTTTGTTTTGTTTTGTTTTCTTTTTGAGATGGAGTCTCGCTGTGTTGCCCAGGCTGGAGTGCAGTGGCGCAATCTCATCTCACTGCAACCTCTGCCTACTGGGTTCAAGCAATTCTTCTGCCTTAGCCTCCAGAGTAGCTGGGATTACAGGTGCCTGCTACCATGTCTGGCTAACTTTTTTTTTTTTTTTTTTTTTTGGGACAGAGTTGGGCTCTGTCGCCCAGGCTGGAGTGCAGTGGTGTGATCTCAGTTCATGGCAACCTCTGCTTCCCGGGTCCTGGTTCAAGCAATTCTCCTGCCTCCGCTTCCCTAGTAGCTGGGATTACAGGCACACATCACCATGCCCATCTAATTTTTGTGTTTTTAGTAGAGATGGGGTTTCCTCATGTTGGCCAGGCTGGTCTTGAACTCCTGACCTCGTGATCCGCTTGCCTCGGCTTCCCAAATCCCAAAGGGCTGAGATTACAGGCATGAGCCACCGCACCCGGCCGCACCCTTTGATCTTGAGATGGCTGATACGGCAGAGCAGCCCAGCAGTGGATGAGTGCTTACATTTAAAAAGTTCATGGGATTTCATAAATAAGCTCATGAATGTACAAGTCCCCAGTGTAAAGGTTACCTTGACTTTGAATTTTTTTATCCTTTCTTTTTTTGTTTTGTGTTTGATGCATAGGACATTTATAGATGGAATATACCTTTCAGGCTATTTCTTCCTCTCCCTCCCGTCGAAACCCACCTCCCTGAAATGCCTGCTGCCTCCTCAGTGCCAAAGGACTGTCAAAGCAAAAATGTAATAATGGTATCATGTTCTGTTTCTTTAAGGAAGTCAAAGGTGCAAATTACCTTTGCAGCTTCAGTCTTCTGATGTCTGCAACTTTGAATTCCTTCAAGGAAGTGACAATTTAGATATTCCATTTACTCTGCCCCAAAGGATGGACTTTGCACTATTTATCTTAGCCGTCTCCCACTGGAGCCAAAAACATTTCCAACTTCATAAGTTTCACTGCTTCTCCTCTTTTATATATTTTTTCACTCTTTGCTGAAAACATTTTCATTGTTTTTTGAAAAGTGCATTCTAATAGTTAATTTGGGAGCCCATGGCCTTAACACAGAAGAAAGAATACCGAATACAATGATAGGATATCAAACAGCATGGTCTCTTCCTTGTGTTAGAGTGTGTAAATTCAATACGCCGTGTTGACTCAGTATTCAGGAATGCCAAAGAGAGGGATTATTTGGTAATGTATTTTCATGGAGACCCGGGGACGGTGCTGTACTACAGAACACCTCACTGGCCCGGGCTGGGTGCAGGTAGGATGGAGATAGACCGGCCCCACCCCCTTGGTAACTGCTCCTTGCAGATCAGCTGTTTGAAGCTCTCCGGGCACCCAAGACGTTCTTGTTCAAGCCTGTGCGCTTCCCCTGCTAGTTCTCATCTCCCTTCTCTCAACACTTTTTCCGTGACCCTCCCTGAAAGGGAGTTTTGGGCTTGGCTCACCCTGGAAAGCAGCTAATCCCACATGTTGCCAACAGGTTAATGAAGGATGAGGCTGAAGGAGGAAAAATTTGCCAAACTCCTTTCCCCTAAAGAGCCGCCCCTTCAGAAACACCTTAAAATCCAACCTCCCGGGTCAAAGACATTTGAAAAAATGACGAAGACAACATCAAACTATAGTCTCCTGTTCAACGCATGTTCACTTCCTAAGACATTAAAGAAACCAGGCCGGGTGTGGTGGCTCATACCTGTCATCCCAGCACTGTGGAGGCCGAGGCGGGAGGATCACCTGAGATCAGGAGTTCAAGACCAGCCTTGCCAACATGGTGAAACCCCCTCTCTACTAAAGATACGAAAAAATTAGCTGGGCATAGTGGCAGTCACCTCTAATCCCAGCTACTCAGGAGGCTGAGGCAGCAGAATCACTTGAATCAGAGAGGTGGAGGTTGCAGTGAGCTGAGATCGCACCACTGCACTCCAGCCTGGGCAACAGAGCAAGATTCTGTCTCAAAAAAAAAACAAAACAAAAAAACAAAACAAAAAAACCCAATTAACATTCTTTCACCCCGGATTTCCTAGTCTTTATTTTAGCTATAACAAGCAAAACACCTCTTTCCATCCTTCTAAAGGCGTGTTCCTGAAACCTCACTTGGAGAGTTTTACGGAAGTGCAGTGAGAGGAGTAAGAAATCCTGAGCACACAGCCAACTAACGCAGGAACAGAAAACCAAAGACCCCATGTTCTCCTTCATAAGTGGGAGTTGAACAATGAGAACGCATGGACACAGGGAGGGGAACATCCCACACCAGGGCCTGTCGAGGGGTTGAGGGGGCAGGGCAGGGAGAGCATTAGGAGAAATACCTAATGTAGATGATGGGTTGATGGGTGCAGCAAACTGCCATGGCACGTGTATACCTATGTAACCAACCTGCACATTCCGCACATGTGCCCCAGAACTTAAAGTAGAATTAAAAAAAAGAAACAGAAAGAAATCCTGAGCACGTAGTAGGAACCACGGTCTGTGATCACGTGCATCGTGCAGTCTGTGTGTGCACACTGGGATGTTTCCAGCATAAAAGCTCCTTCGAAAATTCGTTTCCATCCTGACATTTTAATGCACATTTTTTATGCTTATGCTATTCTCAGCTCTCACGTGCAAATTACACCAGCAGGTGCCCCGGGTCCCTGTCACTATTGAAAAGTAGAATGTCAAATGCATTTGTACTTTTTGCCAATGCAGGCTAAAGAAAATGACTCTTAAATGGATAGCTTTAGTCTGCCAAAATGGCTGTCAAGTTAGACGCTAGGATAAAGGGAAAGTCCATCAAAGGCACATTTCAGATTTGTGTTATACTTCTCTTAAAACCTCTTTTTTTTTTTGCAGTTAATAGTTTCTGGATAATCCTACAAGTCACCGTATCTTTTTTTTCTTTTTCCTTTTAGCTGGAAATAATGACAGCAAAGCCAAACAAGTTGTAAGCAAAATAAAAGAAGAAACCTTGAACGACAAAGGTACCGAGAGATACTCCAATGGCTTTTTTTTGTTTTTTTTTTTCCTTGGGACAGGTCGTTTGCGTGGTTCATGGCTGAGCTTCAGTCACGTGCCAGGTGGCATTTGGGAGAGATGGCTCTGATTTTTGCACTCTTCTTTTGGGGATTTCTGGCCCCATCCTAGAGCAGGAGATGGTCAAGGCAAGGCGAAGATAGCATCACTCAGCTCTGACATCTGCTAGGAAAGGCATGCAGATGTGCTGGTAGCTTGCACTCTTACTCAAATGTGTGTTCCCCAGGGAACAGGAGCCATTGTCCTTTCCTGTTGACCTCCAGGGCACATGCCAGGAGGTGCCTCTGCTGGTTGGGAGTTCTTGACTTAAGATAAATCAGGCCGGGCGCAGTGGCTCGCGCCTGTAATCCCAGCACTTTGGGAGGCTGAGGCGGGTGGATCACGAGGTCAGGAGTTGGAGACCAGCCTGGCCAACATGGTGAAACCCAATCTCTACTAAAAATACAAAAATTAGCCAGGCATGGTGGCATGTGCCTGTAATCCCAATGACCCAGGAGGCTGAGGCAGGAGAATCGCTTGAATCTGGGACTGCCTGGGAGAGAGAGCAAGACTCCGTCTCAAAAAAAAAAAAGAAAGAAAGAAAAAAAGATAAATCAAACAGGAATATGCTTGCCCTTAAGATTTTCGACCAGGTGCTAGACCAAATTCTGGTGTGCTCTTTCTGTCTGTTCACACTAAGGAAGGTGTGCACACAACTTTCTAATATCCATCTAGATTCTCAATGCTCTGTCCTTTTATTTATTTATTATTTTATTTTTCATTTGTATACAGGTAGGGAGTGCAAGTACAGTTTTGTTAACATGGATGAATGGCGTAGTGGTGAGGTCTGGGCTTTTAGTATAGCTAACACCTGAATCACGTACATTGTACCCGAGAGGTAATTTCTCATCCCTTGCTCCTCTTCCACCTCCCACCCTTCTGAGTCTCCAGTCTCTGTTATTCCACTCTTTCCATGTGGACACATTATTTAGCTCCTGCTTATAAGTAAGAATGTAGGAGGTCGGTCAGGGTGGTAGGAAAAATTGTAGAAGATGCAAACCTTCTTGGGAGGCCAGAAGGTTTTGCAAATGCTCCCGAATAAGATTTGGCTGAAGGCAGCCAGATTCTCTTATCCAGTGCCTGAAAGCTTAGGTTAGATAACGAGGGGATGTAAAGAAACTGATCTAGATAAGTTAGTTTGCTTAGGCCTCAGAACCTGGCCTTTAATCATCCACGCACAGAACTACTCTCTCCCTCTCTCCGGGTTGCGGGGGACGACCATATGAATTGCCCACGAATGTGTTGACTCAAGGCCTTTGTCATTAAATGTATACTAAATAAAGGCCCACAGCAGCAGCTTGTCAAAGCCGTGGCTGCTGACTCTTTAAAACACCCTCCTCAGTGTCTGTGAGTGGCCCCATCCCCTAGCCCACGCTTTCACTGGAAATCTGTGTCTGAGTGCATTTGTTCATCCGTCGCTCAGCCAAAGTCTGCGAGTCGGACCCAGCAAATTGGACTCGACCTAAGAAGAATGGTATTTGACTTTCGGTTTCTGAGTTATGTCCCTTAGGGTAATGGCCTCCAGTTCCATCTGTGTTGCTGCAGGAGATAGGATTTCCTCCTTTTTCATGGCTGCATAGTATTCCATCAGGTATAGATATATATTTTCTTTATGCTTTCGTGTGTTGTTGGACACCTAGGTTGTTTCCATATCTTGGCTCCTGTGAATAGTGCTGCAATGCACATAGGAATGCAGGCATCTCTTTGATACACTGATTTCATTTGCTTTGAGTCTGTGCCTAGCAGTGGAATTGCTGAATTATGTGGTGCTTTTATTTTTAATGATTTGAGGAACTTCTGTACTGTTTTTCATAGTGACTGTACTAATTGACATTCCCACCAGTGGTGTACAAGGGCCCCCTTTTCTCTACACCCTCCCCAACACTTGTAATTAACTGTAGAAATCATCATTCTGGCCAGCGTGGTGGCTGGCACCTGTAATCCCAGCACTTTGGGAGGCCGAGGCGGGTGGATCACCTGAGGTCAGGAGTTCGAGACCAGCCTGGCTAACATGGTGAAACCTCGAGTCTACTAAAAATACAAAAATTAGCCGAGCGTGGTGGCAGGGGCCTGTAACCCCAGCTACTCAGGAGGCTGAGGCAGGAGAATTGCTTGAACCTGGGAGTTGGAGGTTGCAGTGAGCTGAGATCACACCTTTGCACTCCAGCCTGGGTGACAGAGCAAGACTCTGTCTCAAAGAAAAAAAAAAACAAAAAACAAAAAAACACAAACAAAAACACCCTTCTGACAATATCCATTTTAGCTGGTGTGAGATAGTAGCTCATGGTGGTTTTCATTTGCATTTCCCTGATGATTAGTGATGTTGAGTACCTTTTCTTTGTTTATTTTTTTGTTTCTTTTTGAGACGGAGTCTCACTCTGTCACCTAGGCTGGAATGCAGTGGTGCGATCTCGGCTCACTGCAACCTCCGGCTCCCAGGTTCAAGCGATTCTTCTGCCTCAGCCTCCTGAGTAGCTGAGATTACAGGCATTGGCGACCATGCCCAGCTAATTTTTGTATTTTTAATAGAGACGGGGTTTCGCCATGTTGGCCAGGCTGGTCTCGAACTCCTGACCTCGTGATCCGTTCGCCTCAGCCTCCCAAAGTGTTGGGATTACAGGCGTGAGCCACTGCACCCGGCCGACTACCTTTTCCTATAAGCACCTTTTCATATACCTGTTGGCCATCCAAATGCTAAGTGCTTTTCTCGGCCATGTTTATGTGTGGTACCTTATTTTTTTTTTTTTTTTAAATGCACATCCCTTCCTTGGCTGTTTGAATTTGAGATGGTGTTTTGAGAATTCCCCCAAGTGGGGGATGGGTGTATTTTGATTCTTTATTTGTTTGTTTGTTTTTTGATACAGGGTCTCACTCTGTTGCCCAGGCTGGAGTACAGTGGTGTTATCTCGGCTCACTGCAACCTCCGCCTCCCAGGCCCAAGTGTTTCTCCTGCCTCAGCCTCCCCAGTAGCTGGGAATACAGGTGTGCAGCACCACACCCAGCTACTCTTTGTAGAGTTGGGGTTTTGCCTTGTTGCCCAGGTTCATCTTGAACTACTGGGTTCAAGCGGTCCATTCACCTCGGCCTCCCAAAGTGCTGGGATTATAGGTGTGAGCCACTGTGCCTGGCCTATTTTGATGATGATGACGATTATTATTAATATTTTGAGACAGAGTCTCACTCTATCACCCAGGCTGGAGTGCAGCAATGTGATCTCGGCTCACTGCAACCTCTGTGGCCCGGGTTCAAGCGATTCTCCTGCCTCAGCCTCCCGAGTAGCTGGGATTACAGGCGCCCACCCACCAAGCCCGGCTAATTTTTGTATTTTTAGTAGAGACGGGGTTTCACCATCTTGGCCAGGCTGGTCTTGAACTCCTGACCTCATGATCCACCCGCCTCAGCCTCCCAAAGTGCTGAGATGACCGGTGTGAGCCACCGCGCCCGGCCTTGATTCTTTTTAAAGCCATGAGAGTGAAATGAACGCTACACAGAGCTGAGCCTGGTCACTGCCTATGCCCCTATCTCCTCCTTTCTACCCTAAGCTGCTGTGAAACACCTTGTTATTACCTCTGCCAAGGGCTGGGGTATGTTGAAATTTCATAGCCGGCATTGCAGGATCCCTGTGATTTTCAGGAACACACTCCCACAGGGGCTCCCGCTCAGCCAGAGCCAAGCCCAGTGTACAATGTCACAGAGTGGCAGCAGCCTGGCCAGATCTTTTCTCCTCATTAGGATCTGCCTTGGGGCAAAAGGATTGGTTTCTGTGTAGAGGGATAATTAAGGAATTAGAGACACCGAGGGGTTGAGGAGGAATTATTTAATTATTTATTTGTACCGACCCCGTCGGATTAACATTTAAAGGACCGAGTTTTGAACAAAGAGTTTGGTTATTTTTTAAGTATTTTCTGGGGCGGGGGGAGCTCTGTGTAGGGGGAAGTATATCATAGAAGTGAGAAACAAAGACAGTTGTTTAATTGACACATGCATTATATTATTTTTTATTTTTTAAGGAATAATATGTTTTATGATTTGAGATTATTTGCCTAGTGACTTTGTAGCTGTATAGCTAGAGAAGCAGAGTTTTTATAATGCTTGGGAAAGGAAGAGACAAGGCTTATTAGCCGCAGAAAAACAGGCAGTTAATTTTTAATGGACTTCAACTCTTTCTCTTCCTCAGGGAGAACTGGGTTTTCTTACATACAACTGAGTTTTTGCTTATACATTTTTAAATTTTTTAAAATTCCTGTTTCATCTGTGACAGGGGGTCCTATTCCCTGCCACCTTGGCCCTTCCTCATTTGCAGCAGGTTTTCAAAGGAGTGGCATTTTCTAACACAATGAATCCAAAAGTGCCTTCTCCGGGCCTGTCACATCAGCATTTCCGGGGAGTAAACAAGAAATGCAGGTGCCCAGGGCCCATCTGTGAATCGGGGCCTCTGGGGGTGGGGGCGGGGCCCTGGAATCTGCATTCTTATGAGGCCGTTAAATGATCCCCACGCACCTTCAAATGGTACACTTGCTGCTGTCCTGAAGGCATTCAACCATCAATCTGGAGCCCAAAGAGAAGTTTCTGGAAACTGACAAGTGAGGCATTCTTTTCTCATGACTTTTTGCTTTTAATCTGAACGGCTTAAAAACTATATATAGTTCCCCAAAATTCACATATGTGATCCACCTAACCAAAATGACAGCCAAGAAACAATGATTTATAATCACCAACTTAATTTTATTAGATTCTGAAAATGTTTCAGATTTAGACAACATGAATTTTGACCAATAATTTTTTTTTTTTTTTTTTGAGACAGAGTTTCACTCTTGTTGCCCACGTTAGAATGCAGTGGTGTGATCTCGGCTCACTGCAACCTCCGCCTCCCGGGTTCAAGCGATTCTCCTGCCTCAGCCTCCCGAGTAACTGGGATCACAGACACCCACCACCAGGCCCGGCTAATTTTTTGTATTTTTAGTAGAGATGGGGTTTCACCGTGTTAGCCAGGCTTGTCTCAAACTCTTGACCTCAGATATCCACCCACCTCAGCCTCCCAAATTGCTGGGATTACAGGCGTGAGCCACTGCATCTGACCACAATAACAAATCATTGCTGTTTTCTTGGAAAAGTTTGTGTAGGATATTCGATCATCAGTTTTTAAAGTGCAGTGTTTTGTGGACAAGTAGCATGACGAATACATGATTTGTCCCCACCATTAAAAAATGTTAGTTTACTTGTGGCATATAAATACCGATGGCCTTTAAGCCAATCTTACAGAAAAGAAGAAAAGAATCGTTTGCACTTTCTGTGGCTGTTTAAAAGCTTTACCATCTTGTAAGAGGGTGGGAAGATGGGGTGTGCCGTGGAGATGGTTAATGGGCACAAAAATATACTTTAGATAGAATGAGTAAGGTCTCGTATTTGATAGCACAAAAGGGTGACTACAGTCAACAATCCTTCATGGTCCATTTAAAAATAACTAAAAGTTGCTGGACATGGTGGCTCACCCCTGAATCCCAGCACTTTGGAAAGCCGAGGCAGGTGGATGACTTGAGGTCAGGAGTTCGAGACCAGCCTGGCCAACATGGTGAAACCCCGTCTCTACTAAAAACACAAAAATTAGCCGGGCGTGGTGGTGCACACCTGTAGTCCCAGCTACTTGGGAGGCTGAAGCAGGAGAATTGCTTGAATCTGGGAGGCGGAGGTTGCTGTGAGCTGAGATTGTGCCACCGCACTCCAACCTGGACTACAGAGACTCCATCTCAAAAAAAAAAAAAAAAAAAAAGAAACCAATTAAAGGTGTAATTGGAATGTTAGTGACACAAACAAGTGATGAATGCTCGAGGGGATGGATACCCTATTTGCCCTGATGTGAGTATTACACATTGCATGCCTGTATCAAAATACCTCATTATCCCATAAATATATACACCTACTATGTGTGCATGCAATTTTTTTTTTTAAAAGAAAAAAGTTTAAAATCTGAACAGGTTTGGACATTCATCAGTGGTGGCCCTGGTATGTCCACTGCTGGGGGACTCTCCAGTCCTTGATAGATGATGCTGAGGCCCAGCTGGGTGGGGACATTTCGGCTGTGGCCATTGAGCCTTTACCTCGACTGAGTCTGCCTCCAGGCTCAGGAGCCCCCAGATCCGTGGTCCAGCCACACGGCAGGGTCTGCCCTCTGCCTGTGAGTGGTATCTGCTGCCCACAACATCTTATGGACGACCACAGCTCCTACAGGCATCCCTTCCCTCCTCAGCTGAGACCTGGGCACACCTCCACCAAACCCGTACGAACCTTGCTCTAAATTGTGCTTCTCTCTGGACTGGCCTGCACCTGCTGGAACTCTGATTCTTGTCCCCACAACCTCCAGTTGCCCAGCGAGGGACAGAGGGAGCTGAATGTGCTGTTTCGTTCTTGCTCTGCTGGGATCCCGGCATCGGGTAACCCCGGTTCAGCCATGTGGATTTATTTTTAAGCAAGTCGGCTCACGTCCTGACTCCAGGAGCACAGATTGCTGTGGAGTGTCAGTCACACAATTATTTCAACATGCTGGGCGCCTGTCTAGCCTGCTTTCCCCTCCTGCCTTTCCTGCTCTCAATTCTCTCTCCTTAGTTCTTGGGTTAATACTCTGGCCTGCGTACTTTGTTGTACTTTCTGTCTTTGAAGTCGTGCTCCTCTGAGATCCCACGCTGGGCAGGGCATGGGAAGCTACGTGCCCACAGAAGGACGGCTAATTGAGCTCTCGGAATTATAAATGCGCGATTGTTTTCAGGAATCTGGGCGAGATGGCTCATTTCCCAAGCTAGGGATTTTCCAGGGAAGCGTTTTCACTCCTTATCATCACTTAGCCATTGTGCCCACACCTTTGTGGCTCCTGGGTAATTATGTGCTGATGAAAGCTGTCTTACTTAGAACAAATAGTCTCATTCACTTACCGAAACTCCTCCAAATATAAATAAATCAAACCCCAGCGGCTCCATGAAAGCAAACACAGAAAGGCATAGCCGTGTTCAAATGAACTCAGATGGGGAGAGATAACCAGTTAAACACTCTTAAAAGCACTGAAGGCAGGCCCATTCTCTTTTGCAGCTCGTACATGCCATGGTGGAACCCCTGTAATCCTAAATCCTAAGAGAGATCAGACTAGACACGTGCTGTGTATCCTCTTTGGAAGGTGCACGGTGTCCTCATTTTCTATAATGATTGTGTAACTTTAATCACAAACAGCATCTTCTGATTCATTTAGCTTCCTGGCTAGGCACGATGGCTCACGCCTGTCATCCCAGCTCTTTGGGAGGCCTAGGCGGGCAGATAGCTTGAGGTCAGGAGTTTGAAACCAGCCTGGCCAACACGGTGAAACCCCATCTCTACTAAAAATATAAATGTTAGTCAGGTATGGTGGCGGGTGCCTGTAATTCCAGCTACTCAGGAGGCTGAGGCAGGAGAATGGCTTGGACCCGGGAGGCGGAGGTTTGCGGTGAGCCGAGATCATGCCACTGCACTCCGGCCTGGGCGACAGAGAAAAACTTCATCTAAAAAAAAAAAAAAAAAAAAGCTTCCCAAATATTATTCTTCCAGTAGCTTGTGCCGTCTTCATCAGAAGAGGGACTAGCTGTTTGGTTCATGTGCTTCCACCCAGTTATTAGACCAAGTTTGTTTTCAATAAAAGAAATCACTGGTCAATGCCTTCTGTAATTGATGGGTGTCAAGAAGGTAAATTTTGCACGCCGCCTTGGGAGGCACTTCTACTTTGAAAATAGATCTTTGTGAACCATCATTTTGGCCTATCCAATGACCTATAAAATACTTGAATTTATCATGAAAACAGAATACTGTGAAATCAGGATGAAGGTTGATAACAGGTCATCAACGTAATTGAGTAGATTGAAAATACAAGAGTCAGTGAAGTGTAGGATGAATGCTTGTTGTCAGTAAGAGAGCTCTTTGTGACCCGTTCCACGTGCAAGAGATGAGGGTTGTTGTTTTGGGAATACTCACCCTCCTCATCGCCTGTCCCTGCTAAAATCAGAGCTTTGTGAGGGCAGAGATGGATTCTGTGCACAGGTATCTTCTGAGTCTCTGATTCAGTGCCTGAAACACAGTGGCTCCCGAGACAATCTACCTCAGTGCCTGTTTTACAGGCTCACCTGTGACACATGACTGGGACATATGTTATTCATGATGACATGCAAGAGTCTCTGTGTAGGTGTCTACTGGTCTTCATCATCAAACAGAGCGAGAACTCCAAGTCAGGAGGCAGACATATCTTGGGGCAAGAAGACACCTAGAATTTTTCTTCAACCTGTAGACTTTCGGATTGGGTAGAAGGATTGTTAAGGAGGTTGCGAAACTTGGAAAAAGGATGATGTGAGTGTTGATGGCATGGAATTCTCCCCACACCCCTGGGTATCCATTTTTAATGTACAGAATTCTTGTGACATGATTTTAGGGCATAGAATCCTTGAGAGATCATGTCTGTGCTGAAGTTGGAATCACAGCACTTTATGTGAATGTGTTCGCCAACGATTAATTATGTTTATTCCCGAGAAGTTTTAACCAGATTGTGGATGTGTATTCTGGTTCAGCATATATTCACAATTACCTTTGTTTTTTGTTTTGTTGTTTTGGAGACAAGGTCTTGCTCTGTCACCCAGGTTGGAGTGCAGTGGTGTGATCATAGCTCACTGCAGCCTCAAACTCCTCAGTAGGAAACTTCCTACCCCAGCCTCCCGAGTAGCTGGGACTAGTAGCATGCACCACTACACATGGCTAATTTTGTTTTTTAAATTTTTTCTAGAGACGGGGTCTCATTATGTCGCCCAGGCTGGTCTCAAACTCCTGGCCTCAGGCGATCCTCCCACCTTCCAAAGTGCTGGGATTACAGGTGTAAGACACCAAGCTCAGCCCCTGTGTTTTTTTGTTTTTTTTTTTTTTTTTGCTTTTTGTTTGTTTGTTTTGAGACGGAGTCTTGCTCTGTTGCCCAGGCTGGAGTGCAGTGGTGCGATCTTGGCTCACTGCAACCTCTGACTCCCTGGTTCAAGCCATTCTCCTGCCTCAGCCTCCCAAGATGCTGGGATTACAGGCGTGCACCATCACACCCAGCTAATTTTTTGTATTTTTAGTAGAGACAGGGATTCACCGTGTTAGCCAGGATGGTCTTGATCTCCTGACTTTGTGATCTGCCTGCCTTGGCCTCCCGAAGTGCTGGGATTACAGGCGTGAGCTATCACGCCTGGCCTGTGTTTTTTTTTTTTTTAAACATAAAATGGCCCTTATTGACTGTTTTCCTTTTCATAGTGAGTCCTTTTGTTTCTTTCATGTTTTCGAGAAGTGTCCCGAGTCAGGCTGTAGACAGGCATATGCGTAGATAAACAGATAGACTCATGCGTTCCTGTTGGTAATTTTTCCTTGAGGTCACCGTATGTGTTCTCATGCGTGGGCATAGATGTCCCACACTCTCTGAAAGTTTAATTGGTCCTCGCAGGTCTCATTGTGTTCCTTCTCTTCAGGGCTCTTCATATCTCAGGGTGGTAATAACCTTCCAAATCTCTATGGCCGAGGCGGGCAGATCACGAGATCAGGAGATCGAGACCATCCTGGCTAACACAGTGAAACCCCGTCTCTACTAAAAGTACAAAAAAAATTAGCTGGGCTTGGTGGCGGGTGCCTGTAGTCCCAGCTACTCGGGAGGCTGAGGTGGGAGAATGGCGTGAACCCGGGAGGGGGAGCTTGCAGTGAGCCGAGATCGCGCCACTGCACTCCAGCCTGGGCGACAGAGCGAGACACCGTCTCCAAATAAATAAACAAATAAATAGAAATACAAAAATTAGCCAGGCATGGTGGCGCATGCCTGTAATCCCAGCTACTCAGGAGGCTGATGCAGGAGAATTGCTTGAACCTGGGAGGCGGAGTTTTCAGTGAGCCGAGATCGCACCACTGCACTTCAGCCTAGGTGACACAGCGAGAGTCCATCTCAAAAAAAAAAAAAAAAAGGAATATGCATTTAACGTTTCTTTGCGTCTTTTCGTGGCTCGATAGAGCCCAGTATATATTTTCACTAAAGAGCAAAAGCGCCTTTCCATGGGCCTTTAAATACTTAAGAATAAGCACATCCACACATGGGCCTCCCAGATAGTCGGTGCGTTTCCAGAAATGACGGTGTGTTGTGGTTCACAGCCTCTTTGGGTTTTGGTCTCCAACTCCCAGCCTCAGGCGATCCTCCTACCTGAGCCTCCCAAAGTGCTGGGATGACAGGCACAGTGAGCCACCATACCCAGCTATTTTTTGAAAACTCATAGTCTCATATTTCCCTAATATTTAGGGTTAGGGCTAGAGTTAGGTAGAGGTTAGAGGTGCTCTGACGAGTGTTTCCCAAGTCTTGGAGCCCACCTCTGGCCAAATCACCGCCTGCAGTTGGAAGCAAGGCTGTTTCTGAGATGAGTCATACTGACATATTTTGCTATTGAATGCACGGTTGCCCTGATCCATTCAGAGATACTTCTGCAGCACCATGAGCTCCTTAATCCCTGCCCCTGTTCACCTACAAGGGTCTGCAAGCGAGCCCCCTTCCGCAACTCATCTCTTTGTGTAATCCTTCTCCAGACCCTGAATATATCAGCCTGTTGGCATATGTATCTATGTGTGTGAGATCAGCCTGTTGGCATATGTATCTATGTGTGTGAGATCAGCCTGTTGGCATATGTATCTATGTGTGTGTGTGTGTGTGTGTGTGCGCGCTCTGAGGATATTGGCACTTTTTAATCTTCTTCCATTAGACGACAAGGCTGAGGGCTTCCACTTGCCGCCGACTTGCCGGCACACCTGGGGCATGTTTAATAAGTAATTGTGTATGGTCTGCTTTGCAAATGCGCTACTTCACATTTTTCCATCCCGCCCGTAACGAGGACTGGGGTTGTTTTACAAGTTAATTACCCAAAAGATTATCGAGTGGGTTTAGAGGCACAAATTCTACGCGCTATTTAACAGATAAGAATTAATGAGTGTTGTTAAAATGGGAAAAAAAAAATGTCTCTGTCAGTGGAGGGAGTTATCTCTACCCTGCCTGGCTGTGTTACTGTTGTTTTTTTTTTTGTCTGTGAATGAGAACCGAGGTAGAGAAACAAGGCGAGTGTTCTCATTGCTCTTCTCCCACCAGAGCACAGGCGGCACGTGTGAAAATAACTATTCACAGTTTCTTTCCCACCGTGTCTCAAGAGGGGTGAATGCCAGGGTCGGGCCCGGTGGCTCACGCTTGGAATTCCAGCACTTTGGGAGGCTGAGGCAAGAAGATTGCTTGAGGCCAGGAGTTCGACAGCAGTCAGGGTGGCGTAGAGAGACTCCGTCTCTACAAAATATTAACAAATCAGTCTGGCTTGGTGGGGTGCACTGTGGTCCCAGCTACTCGGGAGGCAGAGGCAGGAGGATCGCTTGAGCCCAGGACTTCAAGACCAGCCTGGGCAACATGGCAAGACCTTGTCTCTACAACTAAATAAAAAAATTAGTCAGGCGTGGTGTGCGTGCCTGGAGTCTCAGCTACTCAGGAGGCTGAGGCAGGAGGATCGTTTGAGCCTGGAGGTCAAGGCTGTGGTGAGCCATGATCGCGACCCTGTACTTTAGCTTGGGCGACAGAGCAAGACCCTTTTCTCTAAATAAAAATGGAATAATAGTAAAAAGAAGCTGAATTTCAGCTGTTTTCAGCCATTCTCTTTATTCCTTCAAATGCCTCTGTATTCTGCAGTATCCTTTAAAATATTAAGAGCAATTTTAGCTAATCAGGAGGCTGAGACAGGAGAATCGCTTGAACCCAGGAGGCGGAGGTTGTGGTGAGCCGAGATCGTGGTATTGCGCTCCGGCCTGGGCAACAAGAGTGAAACTCCATCTCAAAAAAAAAAAAAAAAGGGAGACACAGATAAGGCCATGTGGAGACAGAGACTGGAGTGATGCGGCCATCAACTTAGGGATACCAGGAGCTGGAAGAGGCAGGAAGGATGCCCCCTAGAGTCTTCAGAAAGTATCAGACACCTTTGGGAGGCCAAGGCGGGTGGATTGCTTGAGGCCAGGAGTTCGAGACCAGCCTGGCCAACATGGTGAAACCTCATCTCTACTAAAAATACAAAAATTAGCCAGGCGTGGTGGCGGGAGCCTGTCATCCCAGCTCCTCGGGAGGCTGAGGCTGGAGAATGGCTTGAACCCGGGAGGCTGAGGTTGCAGTGAGCTGAGATATTGCCAATGCACTCCAGCCTGGGAGACAGAGCATGATTCTGTCTCAAAAAAAAAAAAAAAAAAAAGAAAAAGAAAGAAAGCATCAAACACAATTGCAAGGGGTTGAATGCTGATCTCCAAAAGATATGTCCATGTCCTAATCCCCAGAACCTGTGAACAGGAACTTATTTGGAAATAGGGTCTTTGCAGATGTAATTAGTTAAGGATCTCAAGATGAGATCATTCTGGATTAGGGTGAGTCTTAAATCCAATGATAGCTGTCCTTGTAGGAGACAGGAGAGGAGACACAGACACAGAGGAGAAGGCCTTGTGGAGACAGAGGCAGAGACTGGAGCGATGCGGCCACAAACCCAGGGACTCCTGGAGCCCCCAGGAACTAGGAGAGGCAGGGAGGCCCCTTCCTGAGAGCCCCCGGAGGGAGCATGGTCCTGAGACACCTGATCTCAGACTTTTGGTCTCCAGAGCCAGTAGAGGATGAATTCCTGTTGAATTAAGTTCCCCAGGTGTGGTCATTTGTCACAGCAGCCTCGGGAGACGAGTAGAGACATAGATCGGGCAGGAATAGAATATCTAGTTGCATTGCTGATAGAGGCATACTACAGCTGTGTGACATGGTGTGACATCAGCACACTGTGTCCTGACCCCAGGTCATGGGACAAGAACTTGGGGAGACATAGTCACCCCCCTGGCTCATCAGGGAAATGCATGGCTTCCGGTAAGGTGACCCTGAACATGCGTGTGTCACTCTGAAGTGTTGGCCTCAGACTCTGCCTCCAAATTCCAAGTCCCCTGGGGGTTCCGCTGGAGGTGGACACGCCCCCATCCATGCCTTCCTTGCAGTCACGGGAACATCCCTTACTCAGTCCTCTCTGGTCACCGATGGGGCATGACAGGAGGCGCTACATGTTTCCAAGCAGCCGGGGTTCCAGATGCTTGGAAATTCTGCGTGCGGCCTCTCTATGGGAAAAAGGGAGGTCTGCCAGGAGTGGAACCCCAGTGAGAAAGTAAACTCAAAACAGAAATGAAAGGTTTCTAGACACAGTACAAGCCCCCTTTGTGGTGCGCGCAGGGACTTACGTAGCTCGGCCCCTCCACCCCCTGGCTGGCCCCAGTGGCCGAGGTGTGTTGGGTGCTGATCTGTGACACCCTCCTGCTTCACACGGGCAGGGAGGGGTTCTGGAGAGAGTGCAGGTGGGCTGGAGAGCTGAGCTCCCTGCAGCAGGTGAGTGTGAGTCCTGAACAGACTCGTTCCAAGGAAACAGGTGCAGGAAAGAACACAGGTCTTGGAGGAATCAGGGTTGAGCCAGCCCTGTGACCTCGGGCTGTCCTTGGCCCCAGTGATGGCTTATCTTTACCTGGAACTTCAACCTCTTATCATCACCTATAACGCTGACCACTGATCCTCACCTGGGACTCGAACCTCTCCCCATCACCTGTAACTCGGACCACTTGTCCTCACCTAGGACTCCAACCTCCCTCCATCACCTGTAATGCTGACCACTCATTGTCACCTGGAAGTCCAACCTCTCATCACTACCTGGAACTCCAACTCCAACTCTTTTTTTTTTTTTTCATGAGACGGAGTCTCACTGTGTTGCCCAGGCTGGAGTGCAGTGGCACAATCTCGGCTCACGGCAACTTCCGCCTCCCAGGTTCACGCCATTCTCCCGCCTCAGCCTACTGAGTAGCTGGGACTACAGGCACGTGCCACCACGCCCATCTAATTTATGTATTTTTAGTAGAGATGGGGTTTCACCATGTTGGCCAGGACGGTCTCGATCTCTTGACCTTGTGATCTGCCCGCCTCAGCCTCCCAAAGTGCTGGGATTACAGGCGTGAGCCACTGTGCCCGGCCCCAACTCCAACTCTTATCCTCATCTGTAGCTCTAACCTGTTATCCTCACGTGTAAATGTGATGTCATCCTCACCTGTAGCTGTAATCTCATCTTCACCTGGCATTCTGACCTCTTACCCTCACCTGTAGCTCTAACCGGCTATCCTCACCGATAGCTCTGACATCATATCACCTGTAGCTGTAACCTCGTCCTCACCTGGAACTCTGACCTGGCTGACGTGCTTGCAGCATGTGGGTGGGGCCGATTTCCCTCCTGCCCCAGCTCCCTGCTGCTGCCAAGTCCAGGTCTCTCCTGTGGGGCAGGTATACCCCTCCCTGGGTCTCAGCTGGGCCCACTGGCCTTCACAGGGAGCCTGCTGTCTGCACTCCCATTCTTGTCCTGCCCTCTCCTCCGGCGCCCTGTCTGCTCAGATGTCCTCATGGCCTAGGCACCTGCAGCCGCCAGGACAGTGAGCCCGGACACAAGCAGCCTTCCATCCGGTTCCCCCTGCATCTGCCAACCCATCTTGCCCACAGCCAAGCTTCTGTGAAAAATCATAGCAGTCATGAAACTCATGAGTGCTCGGGCAAATCAGAAAAATTGCCAGGGATCCTACCATGGACACGCGTCCCTGAACCCCGAATGGTCCCTGTGTGTTGTGTGTGCGCAGGAGACGGGCAGGTCACTGTGTGTCGTGTGTGCAGGAGACAGGGAGGTCCCTGGGTGTTGTGTGCCCAGGAGATGGGGAGGTCCCTGTGTGTCGTGTGTGCAGGAGACGGGGAGGTCCCTGTGTGTCGTGTGTGCAGGAGACAGGGAGGTCCCTGGGTGTTGTGTGCCCAGGAGATGGGGAGGTCCCTGTGTGTCGTGTGTGCAGGAGACGGGGAGGTCCCTGTGTGTCGTGTGTGCGCAGGAGACAGGGAGGTCCCTGTGTGTCGTGTGTGCGGAGGAGACGGGGAGGTCCCTGTGTGTCGTGTGTGCAGGAGACGGGGAGGTCCCTGTGTGTCGTGTGTGCAGAGGAGATGGGGAGGTCCCTGGGTGTCCTGTGTGCGCCGGAGACAGGGAGGTCCCTGTGTGTCGTGTGTGCGGAGGAGACGGGGAGGTCCCTGTGTGTCATGTGTGTGCAGGAGATGGGGAGGTCCCTGTGTGTCATGTGTGTGCACAGGAGATGGGGAGGTCCCTGTGTGTCATGTGTGCGCAGGAGATGGGGAGGTCGCTGTGTCTTGTGTGTGCACAGGAGATGGGAGGCGTCAACACACATTTCATGCTCACATTTCCATTCACTGTCCACACTGCACACTTGTACATGGTCAATGTCTAGACATTTATAGTTTGTTTATGTGTTATATTCATCTACTTTATATATATTCATATTTTAGGTTCATATATTTATTGTATACACATTTATATATTTGATCTATATTAATATTTTAGGTTTATATACTTACTATATATTTATTATTATAAAGCATATACATTAAATTATAATGTATTATTATATATGATGTATTATGTTCAATGTATATATTAAATACATAATGACATAATATGAATTTATATTATAATGTATATACATATGAATTCACATTCATATGTATGTTACATTTTGTAATGTATATATATTTTGTAACATATATTTGTAATATAAAATTATATACAAGATATACTTTGATATATTTTATTTATATATTTATATATAAAACATAATATAATATGCACAATACATTTTGTGTATATATAAAATATATATTACATAAATATATAATGATAACTATAAATTATATTTGTGTCATTATAAATAATTTATATTAAATATTTATGCTATTCTATAAATAGTATATATATTTAGTATATATTTTTATATCATACTTTATAATAAACACGAATTTATAATATATAAGTATAAACTATAGTTATTGGATGTTTAATTTTATGTATATATTATTTTATATATATCATACTATGTAACACATAATATATAATAAATATAATATATAATAAGCATATATCATAATATATAATATAAATAAACATTGTAACATATAATATATAATACATATATATCAGTATACAAAATATAAAATTAATATATACATAAAATTATATACCTACTTATTTTATTTTATTTTTTAAGAGACGTGAGTCTTGCTGTGTTGCCCGGGCTGGCTTTGCCTCTGGAACTCAAGCGATCCTCCCACCTCAGCCTCTCGAGGAGCTGGGACTACAGGCGTGCACCATCATTTCCTCCTAAAATTGTATGTGCTGCATATATAAAATGATAAATGCTTTACATATACTTTATGAAATTATATATGCTTTAGATAAAAGCAGAGGTTTCATAAAACTGAACTGTAACATGCATGGCATTTAAATCCCATTGAAGTGAAGGGCTGGGCTTGAGGGTAGCGTCACCCTCCCTGACCGTCATACCCATTTCCATTTCCCCAGGAAGGACCAGGATGCTTTGTTTAAGCAGCACGTTTGAATTGCTGGCATTGCCTGTGGCCTCCCTGTGGCGAGGGATGGTGAACGACAGCGTTTTCCCTCCTCCTTCCTCACCTTGCAAACCTCACTTCGTTGGATGCATAATTGCTGACTCATCCCCATGGATCGCCTTGGACTGTGTAGCAATCACTGCTCTTTTCACAGTCCCTCTTGAATTTCTTTCCTTTTTTTTTCTTTTAGTCGGAATTTCGCTCTGTCACCCAGGCTGGAGTGCAGTGGTGCAATCTTGGCCCACTGCAACCTTCACCTCCTGGATTCAAGCAATTCTCCTGCCTCAGTCTCCCCAGTAGCTGGGATTACAGGTGTGTCCCACCACACCCAGCTAATTTTTGTATTTTTAGTAGAGATGGGAATTTCACCATGTTGGTCAGGCTGGTCTCGAACTCCTGACCTCAGGTGATCTGCCCACCTCGGCCTCCCAAAGTGCTGGGATTACAGGAGTCCTCTTGAATTTCACTTAAGATGGGCTGGGTGCTTCGTGGCAGGCTTTTCACATCAGCCTTTGCATTTCTGGGTGTGACCCCTGTGTCTGCTGCCTTCTATATTCCTCTCTTACTTGGCAGGATTCCACCCCTAGGTGGGTTTATTTTTTCCCCCAGTCCCCTGCCTGCCTGAGAATTCCTACCTATGGCTCCTCCTGGGAAAGGGCTCTTGGCTGCGTCTTAAATCTTGGGTTATGCCTTGGTGCATACTGGTGTTGCACCAGTGGTGCAACGTTGCCGGCATCCCTTTTGCCTGAGGGCAGGTCACTTGTATTCTGTCTTGAAGGAACCTGACTTTTAAGGAGGGACGACCTGGAGAGTTTCTTTATTATTGAACTTCACTGACTCCCTGAGGATAGACTGATCCTGCCAAATTCTTGGGTCCCCAATAAAACAGCATTCCATGAAATAAAAAGTAAGAACAGATGGCACCAGGAATTCCACTGCTGGGTATATACCTCAAAGAATTGGAAACAGGGTCTCCAACAGATATTTGCACAAACCACGTTTGCAGCAGCAGTATTACTTACAATAACCCGAAGGTGGAGAGAAACTGTGTCCTTCCAGAAGCAAATGGATAAGCAGAATGTGGTATATCCAAACGGTGGAATATTACGCAGCCATAAAAAAGGAAGGGTATTCAGATGCATGCTGCGATGTGGGCTAACCTTGAGGACATTAATGCTAAGTGAAATAATCCAATCCTAAAAGGTGGAGAGAAACTGTGTCCCTCCACAGGCAGATGGATAAGCAAAATGTGGTGTATCCAAATGATGGAATATTACACAGCCATAAAAAAGGAAGGATATTCAGATGCATGCTGCAATGTGGGCTAACCTTGAGGACATTAATGCTAAGTGAAATAAACCAATCCCCAAAGGACAAATACTGTAGGATTCCACTCCTATGAGGTACACAGAGTACCTTTAAATTTTTAGAGACAGAAAGTAGAATGGGGTAGTTATAGGGGTTGGGCGAGGAAAAGGTGGGGACTTAATGTTTAATGGGAACAGAGTTTCCATTTGGCAAGATGAAAATATTTTGGAGATGCATGGCAGTGATGGCTACATAACAATATGAATGTATTTAATACCACTTTACTGTGTACGTAAAAATGGTTAAAATGCTAAACTTTATGTGATGTGTATTTTTCCACAATTCAAAATTATAAAAAAAAAAAATGCAGCTGGGCATGGTGACTCATGCCCGTAATCCCAGCACTTTGGGAGGCCGAGGCGGGTGGATCACCTGAGGTCAGGAGTTTGAGACGAGCCTGACCAACATGGAGAAACCTCCTACTAAAAATACAAAATTAGCCGAGTGTGGTGGTGGGCGCCTATAATCCCAGCTATTTGGGAGGCTGAGCAGGAGAATCGCTTGAATCCGGGAGGCAGAGGTTGTGGTGAGCTGAGATCGCGCTATTACACTCCAGGATGGGCAACAAGAGCAAAGCTCCATTAAAAAAAAAAAAAAAAAAGGTTAAAATGCTAAACTTTATGTTATGTGTATTTTTCCACAATTAAAAATTATTTTAAAAATGAGGCCGGGCACGGTGGTTCATGCCTGTAATCCCAGCAATTTGGGAGGCTGAGGCGGGTGGATCACTTGAGGTCGGGAGTTCGAGACCACCGTGGCCGACATGGCGAAACCCCTTCTCTACTAAAAATACAAAAACTAGCCTGGCATGGTGGCTCAAGCCTGTAATCCCAGCTCCTCGGGAGGCTGAGGCAGCAGAATCACTTGATCCCCGGAGGCGGAGGTCGCAGTGAGCCGAGCTCATGCCACTGCACTCCAGCCTGGGTGACACGGCAAGAATCCATCTAAAACAATAAAAAAAAAATAAAATAAGTAATTGCCCTTAAATTGGAAATGCTCAACAACCCACGTGATTCTGAATCTGAAAAGGCCAGATCAGGGAGATACAGAGAAGAATAAATAAAACACAAGGCAAGAGAAGATTTATCTCTGGAGCATCCTTGTGCAGCTGTTGGTGAGTGACTCGTGTGTGTCAATTGATCATACACTCATGAGTGGATAAAAGTACCCATGTTTTAGGTCAAGAAAGACTGTGACACACGTGTCCAGCACGCCAAGCACACAGCCCGTGGGGTGTCATCCATGTGCTGTGCCCTCCCTGTCTCCCTCTCCCAAGCTCCTGCATGGAAACAGAGGTGGACACGAAACCTACCTACCCACCCCCTCCCAGGTTACCGCCATCACTTTCATCACAAAACAGAGTCTGGATTCAGGGATTCAGCCCAGGGCAGGAGCTCAGGTCATCTTCCTCTTTCAGAAGGGAGATTTCTGCTGCCTCTGGCCCAGCCTTTCCCTCTCTTTCCCCCCATGAGCTGCCATTGGAGCACCCACCTGGGTGCAGGTGAGAGAGAGGAGGAAGGAGACCAGGTGACCCCTTCCTGGCTGGTTACCCTATGTCCCGGTAACAGACGGTTAGAGCTGATTCTCATGGCAGAAGCGTGACTGCCAGAGACCACCTGCGGCGCTTCTAATGCTCTGGTCCGTGTATTCGTCTTGTAGCGTTGCCGAGTGTTACAGAGATCCACAGACCAGGTGGTTTAAACAAAAGATACTTATTCTCTCACAGCTGTAGAGGCTACATGTCTGAGGTCACCGTGTCGGTAGGCTTGCTTTCTCTCTGGCTTGTAGACGCCGTCTTCTCCCTGTGTCCTCACAGAGTCCTTCCTCTGTGTGTGTCTGTGTCCTCATCTCTTCTTATGAAATGTCTTAGTCTATTTCAGGCTGCTGTCACAGAATACCATAGGCTGGATGACTTACAAACAAGACATTTATTCTCCCACAGTCCTGGAGGCTGGATGTCTGAGATCAGGGTATGGGCAAGGCTGATTCCTCCTGAGGTCTCTCTCCTGGACTTGGAGATGCTGTCTTCTCCCTGTGTCCTCACAGAGTCCTTCCTCTGTCTGTGTCTGTGTCCTCATCTCCTCTTCTTATGAGATATCTTAGTCCATTTCAGGCTGCTATCACAGAATACCATAGGCTGGGTGGCTTAGAAACAATAGACATTGATTCTCCCACAGTACTGGAGGCTGGACATCTGAGATCAGGGTATGGGCAGGGCTGGTTCCTCCTGAGGTCTCTCTGCTGGACTTGGAGTCACCGTCTTCTCCCTGTGTCCTCACAGGGTTGTCCCTCTGTGTGTGTCTGTGTCCTCATCTCCTCTTCTTATAAGGAGCCAGTCCCATTGGATCAGCCTCCCCCCAACCCCCTGAAACCTCATTTTACCTTAATTGCCTCTTTAAAGACCCCATATCCAAATATGATCACATTCTGAAGTCCTAGGGGTGAGGATCTCAATGTATGAATTTGAGGGGGACAAAATTCAGCCCATGACAACCAGTGTTTCTTTCCAAGGGGCTACCTGAAAACGTTTCTGCAACCCCCAGCAAGCTGGCATCGTCTCAGCATCTTGCCATGGGGTTCCCTCCATGCCTCCCAATGGCTCCTTTGAGTAAGACCAAGGACAAACCCATACCACTCCCTTCTCCTGTTTTCTCTGCCCTCATTGTCCCCTCAAGCCCTGAGGCTGATCAGTCCCCACAGGACCACAGCTACCCTGTAGCTATGAGCAGTGGCTTCCTCAGGAGTGAGCCAGGCTCCTGTACCCCATGCCTCCCTGGCACAGAACAAGATTTAGGTTCTGGGGGTACCTGAGGGAATCCCGTTTTTTTTTTTTTTTTTTTTGCAGGGGAGGGTGGAGGCTCAGAGTAGGGAATTTTTTTTTTTTTCCGCCTGCTGTGAGGAAATTCACCCCTGTTATCTGATCCATGCACACTCTGGAGCTGGCTGAGGTCCTAACTATTTCCTCTGTAAACTTCTGCCCTTGGAATGGGTTCTGCGATGATTAATACTTAGAGTAAACTTGATTGGATTGAAGGATGCAAAGTATTGATCCTGGGTGTGTCTGTGAGGGTGTTGCCAAAGGACATTAACATTTGAGTCCGTGGGCTGGGAAAGGCAGACCCACCCTTAATCATCTGGGTGGCCACCATGTCATCAGCAGGCCAGCGAGGCTAGACTATAAGCAGGCAGAAAAACATGAAAAGACTAGACTGGTCTAGCCTCCCAGCCTGCATCTTTCTCTGTGCTGGATACTTCCTGCCCTGGAAAACTGGACTCCAAGTTCTTCAGCTTTGGGACTTGGGCTGGCTTCCTTGCCCCTCAGCCTGCAGACAGTCTATTGTGGGACCTTGTGATCGTGTGAGTTAATACCGAATAAATGCCCCTTTCTATATATCTATCCTGTTAGTTCTGTCCCTCTAGAGAACCCTGACCAATACAGGGTCCGTTCCTTACCCCCTACATCTATAACCCTGCTGCCTCAGTTGATAGGGAAGCAGAAAGAGCCGCTTTTTTAATGTTTAATTTTATTAAGTTTGCAGTTTCCCAGTGCCCAAACTCATGTTGATTTCAAAAACTGTCCTTTTAAAGCATGTGGGCAGGGTGACAATTCATAGCAGGTGACAAAAATGTTTTATAAATAATATCCATGGAAATGGAAGCTGTCACTGTCTGCAGAATGCAGCCAAAATATTCAGAAGATTTGTATCACTCTAAGTTCTCGTGCTAGTAAGAAATAAAAAAGCAAATGATGACTGGGCCTCTAAGAAATAAAGTAAAATTAGGAAGCAGGAGTATGAAAATAATGACATTGTGCAGAAATAAATACAAAAGGAAAGTAGCAGAGAAGCAAAAAAAAAAAAAAACAAAACCATCAATAGTAGTTTCCTTAAGAAAAATGAAAGAATAATATCCCACCATTTATTCATCCTTCATTCCACACACAAAAGAAGCAAGGACAGATTAGCATGAATTGGAACAAGAAAGAGGAAATAACATGTAATAAAAATATGATTTAAACTTATGCAAAAAAAGTAATTTATTCTTAACTCAACTAACATATTTGATTACCTCCTCCTGGGCAAAGGATGAAAGGCTGTCTTATTGCAAAAAATTAGA
Source organism: Homo sapiens (assembly GCF_000001405.40). NCBI lineage: Eukaryota > Metazoa > Chordata > Mammalia > Primates > Hominidae > Homo > Homo sapiens. The sequence goes on along the minus strand of NC_000023.11, from coordinate 2,386,629 downwards.
ATTTTGCTAAATTCATGCAAATGGAATTACAGATCACAGATAAAACAACATGCTGAAATTTCAACCGTCAGAACTTTCCACCAAGTGTTCCTAATGAATTCTTGAATATCTGGTTGGGTGCAGTGGCTCACGCCTGTAATCCCAGCACTTTGGGAGGCTGAGTTGGGCGGGTCACCTGAGGTCCAGAGTTCGAGACCAGCCTGGCCAACATGGTAAAACCCTGTCTCTACTAAAAATACAAAAATTAGCTGGGTGTGGTGGCACAGGCCTGTAATCCCAGCTACTTGGGAGGCTGAGGCAGGAGAATTGCTTGAACCTGGGAGGTGGAGGTTGTAGTGAGCTGAAATCATGCCACTGCACTCTAGCCTGGTGACAGAGCAAGACTCCGTCTCTCTGTCTCTCTCTTTCTTTCTCTCTCTCTCTCACACACAAAATAAATAAATAAATAAATAAATAAATAAATAAATAAATAATTGATTATCTATATACTTTTTCCAAACCATCAAGGACAATCTAGATCAAGAATCTGGAAACTGTTGACCCTGGAACATATCTGACCCTTAACTTGTTTTTCTCATTAAAGTTTTCTTGAAACACAGCCATATACATTCATTTACTTATTGCCTGTGACTGTTTTTGCCTTAGGTACACAGGTTTGAAGAGTTGCAACAGAGACCTTATGGCCCACAAATCCTAAGGTGTGTAGTATTTGGCCATTTATCCAAAAATCTACTGGCTGTACTCTTCAAAGTGACCAGAGCCACCAACCTGTGTCTGAGTAAACCGTTTTACTCCCAAATGAACACTTTTCAAAGAAGCATCATCGGCTGGTTCTACTTACCAACCTAAATAAAGAAAATCTAGTTTAATCTTATCCACTGAATAGACTTCCAGGTTAAAAAAAAAATTACTCCTGACTTAGTTGCAACTCATCCACCTGTAGACCAAAGGATGCTTCTCATTAGGTAACAGGGAAGCATTTGGGATAATTCAACATCCATTAATTAGTAAACCTCTGAAGGAATTAATCTCATAACAGCAGCCGGAATGCAGGAGATGCTCTACACCCGAATCACAAATTGAATGGATGGCAAGTGGATTTTCCCTCCTAAGGCTGATTGATTGGTTCTGGCTGCCAGCACCCTGAGATAAGAATGATCCTGCAGCAAGGAATAGTCATCAATTAGTGATGCCTGCTGTGGCTATGGAATGAGAATTACGGTCTGTGTGCTACATTCTTTCCATTCTTGGTGGTTCTCTCATAAACCACAATAAAGCATGCATCTTTTAAAGCAACCATGACCATCACTAGCCACCACCATAGCCCTCTGGCTGATTCATGGATGAATTTCCAAATTCAAATGTGAATTTCCAGTGTCACATTTGTGTTCCTTTCCCTAAATGATGATGATGGTGATGATGGTGATGGTAATGATGGTACTTGTTGGATGTGTGTATGTATGTATACACACACACACATATATATACACATACACACACACACACACACACACACACATATATATTTGAGATGGAGTCTCACTCTGTCGCCAGGCTGGAGTGCAGTGGCACAATCTTGGCTCACTACAACCTCCGCCTTCCAGGCTCAAGCGATTCTCCTGCCTCAGCCTCCCGAGCAGCTGGGACTACAGGTGCGCAGCAAATGTATATATATATATTTTTTTTTCTTTTTTTTTTTAAATTTATTTATTTTTTATTATTATACTTTAAGTTTTAGGGTACATGTGCACATTGTGCAGGTTAGTTACATACGTATACATGTGCCATGCCGGTGTGCTGCACCCACCAACTGGTCATCCAGCATTAGGTATATCTCCCAATGCCATCCCCCCCCTCCCCCCACCCCACAACAGTCCGCAGAGTGTGATGTTCCCCTTCCTGTGTCCACGTGATCCCATTGTTCAATTTTAAATACAACCAAATAAGCTTGCTTCTTGCCTGTGTGGAATTTATAGTCCAGCTGGAGTGAGGAATTAAATAATCATCCACTTATCTGAGTGAGCAAAATTATGATAAACACTCTTAAAAAGTGTCCTTTAACAGCTGTCTTGAAAGATTCAATTCCATCCTCTCATGAGGTTCCACCCTCTGGGTTTGCTTTCTCCAAGACCTACCCTCCTGTGTGGCTTCTTTCTTGACTGTTTCTTTTATGCTGCCTTTCCTCAGCGTTTCCTCGTAGCATCTCACACTACACACCTTTCCTTAGGTCTTGCAACCACGTCCGTGTTCTCCAAAACTCTGCTCTGCTAGTTCTCACCAATATATTTGTTTCCAAACTCCTGCCTCCTACACCTCCCTGCTTCCACAGCAAGTGCAGGAATGTATTTGACATTTTCCTTCTCTCTGTGTAAGTCAGTGGACTACCATCCTCTCAGCTGCCTACAGTCGATCCTAGAGTGTCTGAGATGCTTTTCTCCACCTTGGCATTCCTCTCCCTGGTGGCAACTGAGAGCTCTGTAGACCACCTACATGCTTATCAAAAACACTCCGTCATTTTCGGTATCACTCCCTACAGCAGGTCACACCTATCCCTTACCTGCTTCATAACTCTGCTTCCTGGCTAGTCTCTCGGCTTCCAGGTTTCCCTCCCTGAACTGTCTACACTGCAGTCAGAGAGATCCTGCTGAGTCACACTGTTGTCTTAACCTGCTTAAACCCATATGGGCAGAATGCCCTTCATGCCTCCACCTGTTTGCTGTAGCTGTGCACATGTGGTTCCTGGTTCTTGAGAATTCTTCCCCTCCTCTGCCTCCTGACCATCCAAGTCCCTTTCATGCTAGTCTTCTCAGCTTTTATAGCATGCTGTAAAGCAGTTGTCCTGAAGCCAGGTGCCTTACAACTCCCTGCTCCCTTGGGACACTTAATCCCTTCTATCGCCAACCTCACACATTGTATCGTTGGTTGTTTAATTGTGTCACTGATTTCCCCAGCCCCATGATGGTCCATGGAACATCACTGGGATATAAAAAGTACTGGCCAAAGGAATAAAATACAGGAAAATATTTTGTGCATTGTGGGATCTCATGAATGACAGCTGCCACAATGATGATGTTGATGATAATGGTGATTCTGATGGTGATGATGGTTGTGATGATGGTGGTAGTGATGATGGCAATGATGATGACAGTGGTAATGGTGATGATGGTGATAATTATGGTGATGGTGATATAGTAATGACTGTGATGATGGTGATGATGATGATGATGGTGATGATCATGACGATGGTGATGATGGTGATGATAATGATTATGCTGCTGCTGCTGATGTGATAATGATGATGGTGATGGTGATGATGGTGTTTATGATGGTGATGATAGTGATGATGAAAATATTGGTGTTGATGATGCTGATGCTGATGGTGATGATGATGGGGTGATAGAAATGATAATGATGATGGTGATGAGGATGGTGATAGTGATGGTCATGGTCATGTGATGATGATGATGGTCAGTGATGATGATGGTCATGATGGTGATGACAATGGTGGTGGTGATAGAAATAATGATGATGGTGATGGTGGTGATGCTGCTGCTGCTGATGATGGTGATGGTGGTGATGATGATGATGGTGATAGTGGTGGTAATAGAAATGATAATGATGTTGGTGATGGTGATGATGCTGCTGATGATGGTGATGATGGTGATGGTGATGATAGAAATGATAATGATGGTGATGATGGTCATGCTGCTGCTGCTGCTAATGATGGTGATGATGGTGATGGTGGTGATGATGATGATGATAGTGATGATGATGGTGATAATGATGATGGCGATGATGATGGTGATGATGGTGGTGATGACGGTGATGGTGATGATGATGGTGATGATGGTGATGGTGATGATGATGATGATGATAGTGATGATGATGGCGATGATGATGGTGATGATGGTGGTGATGATGGTGATGGTGATGATGGTGATGATGGTGATGGTGATGATGATGGTGATGATGGTGGTGATGATGGTGATGGTGATGATGGTGATGATGGTGGTGATGATGGTGATGGTGATGATGGTGATGATGATGGTGATGGTGATGATGATGATGGTGATGGTGATGATGATGATGGTGATGATGGTAGTGATGATGGTGGTGATGGTGATGATGGTAATGATGATGGTGGTGGCTATGATGTTGGTGATGGTGGTGATAGTGATGATTATGAAAATGGTAATGATTGCTGTTCATGGATTCTGTGAAAGAACCAACCCCTTTTCCTGAAACAATCTTGCTCTACTTGACTATCTGTGGACTGTTCTGTGTCCTTCCTCCCAAGTCTCTGTGGCTTGCATGTCCTCCTTCTGGTGGGTAGGTTGGCCAAGTCTGACACCCTCAACTCTGCCCTCCTTCCATAGCTAACAACAGCCCTAATATCCGAAGACTCAGGGATTCTGCTGTCAGCTCCCTTGGCTCAGCCAAGCAAAGACTGTGCTTGTGGGAGCCCAGAAAGAGGGAATGGAATACTTCTCCAGAGAGTAGGTGTTGCATTTCTGAATATTGTAATTAAGCCAGATGAGTCTAGGCAGGCCCACAGGACCTCTTCAGGCATCTTCTTGTCCATGTTTTGCACTATGCAGGAGAAGTGATGCTGTCAGCCATGCAAGCCATGGCCCCCCATACAGCAGACTCTCCTACGAAGCCATGTAGCTTGCAAACAATGCCATGTTTTAGTTTCATGTTACCCCTCCTGCAGATTTGCACATCTAGGCTCTGCTTTTAAAATAATCATGCACCTGTCAGGCTGGAAGTTTTCAGGAAAATCCTTCTCACCTCATGTGTGTTGCTGGCTTTTTTTTTTTTTTTTTTTTTTTGGTTGTGGCTTCCTGAGAACGGGGATGCTACAGCCTGCCACTGTTGGAACAAAGGTGCTTTTAGTCACTCTACCTGTCGCTCTTAGGGAACGTACGTGCCCTCAGGGGAAATAGGCGGATGCACATTTTGCTTCTGGCTCTTTTGCCTCTTTATTTTTTTCATTTTTATTTTTTTGAGGCAGAGTTTCCCTCTTGTTGCCCAGGCTGGAGTGCAATGGTGTGATCTCGGCTCACCACAACCTCTGCCCTCTGGGTTCAAGCGATTCTCCTGCCTCAGCCTCCTGAGTAGCTGGGATTACAGGCATGCGCCACCATGCCCAGCTAATTTTGTATTTTTAGTATAGACGGGGTTTCTCCCTGTTGGTCAGGCTCACACTTCTGGAGGCTAGAAGTCCAAGATCAAAGCATGCCACGTTCAGTGTCTGGTGAGGACCTGCTTCCTGGTTCACAGACGGTGCCTTCTCACTCTTGTCATCACGTGGCAGAAGGGTCGAGGGAGCTCTCTGGGGTCCCTTTTAGAAGGACACTCATCTCATTCCTGAGGCCCCACCCTCATGACCTCATCACGTCTTAAAGGGCTCCACCTCTTAACACTATCACCTTGTAGGTTATGTCTCAAGACAGGGATCTGGGGCCGGGTGTGGTGGCTCACGCCTGTAATCCCAGCACTTTAGGAGGCTGAGGCAGGCGGATCACCTGAGGTCAGGAGTTCGAGGCCAGCCTGGCCAACATGGTGAAACCCTGTCTCTACTAAAAATACAAAAATTAGCCGGGTGTGGTGGTGCACACCTGTAATCCCAAGCTACTCAGGAAGCTGAGGCAGGAGAATCGCTTGAACCTCGGAGGCGGAGGTTGCAGTGAGCCGAGATCACACCACTGCACTCCAGCCTGGCGACTGTGTGAGACTCCGTCTCAAAAAACAAAACAAAACAAAAAAGCAAAAGCAAAAACAAAACAAAACAATAACCAAAAAATGGGGATTTCGAGAGGACACAGACATTGAAACCATAGCACATGGCGACCTTGAGTCTTTGAGTTTACGTGTGCAGCATGAATGCTCGGTGGTGATGGATGAAGAGAGAGCAAGGGGGGAATGCCACACACTTCTAAACTGTCAGACCTCGTGAGAACTCACTCACTATCATGAGAACAGCAAGGGGGAAATCCGCCACCATGATCCAATCACCTCCCACCAGGTCCCTCCCTCAACGCTGGGAATTACAATTCAACGTGAGATTTGGATGGGGACACAGAGCCAAACCATAACAGCAGCAATAGTAAACTCATACATCATATCTATACATCTCTCCTGAACCATCCCTGCTAGACTCAGTAGGACCTGTAGAGACCATCTTTCCCTGTATTCCTTCAACATCCTGCTTCCTTATCATATGTTTCTAAGGTTGTATAGTTCCATGAGAGATTACAGCTACTTTTTTTTTTTTAAGACATCTCATCCTGCAATGCAGTCTTTTTTTTTTTTTTTTTTTTTTTTTTGAGACGGAGTCTTGCTCTGTAGCCCAGGCTGGAGTGCAGTGGCATGATCTCAGCTCACTGCAACCTCCGCCTCCTGGGTCCCGGTTCAAGCAATTCTCCTGCCTCAGCCTCCCGAGTAGCTGGGATTATGGGGACGTGCCACCATGCACAGCTAAGCTCTGTATTTTTAGTAGAGACAGGGTTTCACCATGTTGGCCAGGCTGGTCTTGGACTCCTGACCTCATGGTTTGCCCGCCTCGGCCTCCCGAAGTGCTGGGATTACAGGTGTGAGCGAATGGGCCCGGCCAATGCAATCTTTTAGCAGGAAATCCATCCAGGATTTTGGAATCAACAGAAAAGAAAAACCTTGGGTTTTGGAGTCTCAGATTCTGGCGGTCCTGCTAGATGTGTTGACGAGTGTGTTGGGCCAGTTAATTACCCTCATAATTGTTCTAATTGCTTTTATCCTGCAAATATCCCTCTGTGTTCATTAGCTTTGCCATTACGACTGAGCCCAAGTGGATTAAAGAAAGCCTGTGATGCCACCAGACATCATTTTTGTTTCGGCAAAACAGCTTTCTCTAGGAATCTGGCCTTAATGTGTTTTGGATGCCCCCCACACTGACAGGGTCCTTCATGAGCTCTCCTGGATAGAATAACACAAAAAACTCAAAGCCCATTTTAAGAAACAGCAGCATCATTAAAAAAAAAAAAAAAAAAAAAAAACCTCCACTGCCAGCCCACAGGTCGCTCATTTTCTTCCTAGAAATAAATTCCAGTTGAGTGGACACGTCTTTTACGGGGGAATTTCAGTCGTGATTGATCATCCGTTGACCTGTTTAAAATGATTGTCAAGTGACTGGGCTATCCTCATTCACAGATAACTCAGGCAGGCTCAGATTAATTAACCCTTCGTTTGTTTGCCATGTAGGACTAATTAGTCATCATCCATCTACTGGGAATCAGACGTCATTGGCACAGTTATCAAGGACAGGGACTTTGCCGGCTTATCATGTAGAAGGAAGAATTAATGGTGTTGGTGATATATGGTCTTGTGTAGTGGTAGGGTATTCCTCTCCCTCTTTTCTTCATGTTCTTCTTTCTTTGCTTGCCACACATTCATTTACAGGGGACTCTGAAGCCACGTGAGGGTTAGGGGCACGTGAAGACCTTGTGTAACTCTTCACTCCCCCAAAACTTAACTAATAGCTTGCTGTTGGCTGGAAGCCTTTCCTGCAACTAGACGGTCCCATCTAGGGGTAATGGGAGACAGTGACAGATCATGAGGCAGGTCATTATTGCACCAGACACAAATAATATAGTAATATTCTTACAATAAAGTAAGCCAAAGGCCGGGCGCGGTGGCTCACGCCTGTAATCCTAACACTTTGGGAGGTTGAGGCAGGCGAATCACCTGAGGTTGGGAGTTCGTGACCAGCCTGACCATCATGGGGCTACCCCGTCTGTACTAAAAATACAAAAAAGTAGCCAGGCGTGGTGGTGCGCACCTGCAATCCCAGCTACTCGGGGGGCTGAGGTAGGAGAATCACTTGAACCTGGGAGGTGGAGGTTGCAGTGAGCCGAGATCGCACCACTGCACTCCAGCCTGGGTGACAAGAGCACAACTCTGTCTCAAAAAAAAAATTAATCAAGAGAAAAAAATATAGTATGTATTATATACTATATTCTTACAATGAAGTAACCTAGAGAAAAATATAGTAAATATTCTATATTATATTCTTACAATAAAGTAAGCTGTGATTTTCCTTAAGAAAATCGTAAGGATGAGAAAATATCTTTACTGTTTATCAGGTGGAAGTGGCTCATGATAAATGTCTTCATCCTCGTCATCTTGACGTTGAGGAGGAGGAGGAAGAGAAGGGGGTGTCTCGGGTGGCAGAGGCAGAAGAAAATCCACATATAAGGGGACACCCATTCAATTCAAGCCCGTGGTGTTCAAGGGTCCACTGTCATAGGGGAGGCTCAATATTTTAGTTTCCTGGAGCTGCTGCGACACAATTCTACAAACCAGCTGGCTGAAAGCCACAGAAGTCAAATCTCTGACAGCTCTGAACACCAGAAGTCCACAGCCAAGGCAGGCTGACCACCTGGTCATCCAAGGGCAGAGCCCGTGTCAAAGGACATTCCTGGAGCAGAAAGCCAACACATCCGGGTGGAAATACAACCTTCCAGTCACTAAGTATATTTGCAAATCTCCAGCAGGTCACTATTGCACCAGACACAAAGAATAAGCGTTCAGTAAGTTGAAGTATTGTGTGCACACGGCCGGGCGCAGTGGCTCATGCCTGTTATCCCAGCACTTTGGGAGGCCGAGGCAGGCGGATCACGAGGTCAAGAGATCGAGGCCATCCTGGCCAACATGGTGAAACTCCATCTCTACTAAACATACAAAAAATTAGCCGGGTGTGGTGGCACGCACCTGTAGTCCCAGCTACTCAGGAGGCTGAGGCAGGAGAATCACTTGAACCCGGGAGGCGGAGGTTGCAGTGAGCTGAGATCATGCCACTGCACTCCAGCCTGGCGACAGAGCAAGACTCTGTCTCAAAAAAAAAAAAAAAGTATTGTGTGCACACTGCAATTATGAAATGCATTTCATTCTGGAGTATTAAGGCAGGGCTGTGCCCCTTGCGGAGGCTCTGGAGGAGGATCCTCCGCTATCTCTTCTGGCTTCCTTCGCTAGCTAGCAATCCTGGTTGTTTCTTGTCCTGTAGAACAGAGGACTCCAACCCCCTGGCTGTGGACTGGTACTGAGCAAAGCTTCATGTGTGTTCACAGCCACTTCCCACTGCACGCATTACCGCCTGAGGTCACCTCCTGTCAGATCAGCAGTGGCATTAGATTATCAGAAGATTGAGAACCCTATTGGGAAGTGGGCAGACCAGGGATCTGGGTTGCATGCTTCTTATGAGAATCTAATGCCTGATGATCTGCCACTGTCTCCCATCACCCCCCGGATGGGACCATCTAGTTGCAGGAAAACAAGTTTGGGGCTCCCACTGAGTCTACATGGCAATGAGTTGTATTGTAGAATTACTTCATTTAACGTATCATCATAGAAATAAAGTGCACAATAAATGTCATACGCTCAAATCATCCCCAGATCCTTCCCCCTGCACTCACAGTGACTGTCTTTCTATGAAGACAGTTTTTGTGTGTGTGTGGAAAAATTGTGTTCCATGAAACTAGTCTCTGTGCCAGAAAGGCTGGGGACGGCTGGTGTAGAAGCATCAATACAGTATCTGCCTTTGTCGTGGCCATCTCTGTGTCTCTATGCCACAGTGTTCCTCTTCTCCTTTTTTTTTTTTGAGATAGAGTTTTTGCTCTTGTCACCCAGGCTGGAGTGCAGTGGTGTGATCTCGGCTCACTGCAACTTCTGCCTCCCGGGTTCAAGTGATTCTCCTGCCTTAGCCTCCTGAGTAGCTGGGACTACAGGTGTGCACCACCGTGCCCGGCTAATTTTTGTATTTTTAGTAGAGACAGGGTTTCACCATGTTGGGCAGGATGGTCTCAGTCTCCTGACCTCAAGATCTGCCTGCCTCAGCCTCCCAAAGTGCTGGGATGACAGGCGTGAGCCACTATACCCGGCCTCCAATGTTCCTTTTCTTATAAGGACACCAGTTATTCAGTTAACAGCGTACACTACTCTAATGCAACCTAATTGTATGCAATGACAACCTAGTTGTATGCAATGACACTACTCTAGTGCAACCTAATTGTATGCAAAGATCTGATATCCAAGTGAGCTTTCATTCCTAGGTTCTGGGTGGACACATCTTGGTGAGGTCACAGTTAAACCCACGTCACCCAAGGCTAGGGGCAGAATCAGAGTGGATGTTAGATCTCCAGGCTCTTGTTCTGGGAGTGTCATTCAAAGCCTTTCTTCATGGCCACCTGAATGACGATGTCATCCTCTGTGGGTAACAGACACCAGCATTGTGAATGATGCTGGCTTCCTTTGCTGGTTTCTTTCTGACATTTCCCTTTTGTGCTTTCGTTTATGGCAAGTGTAGACATACATGCACACTCAGACACATACACACACGCACACATGCACTCTTGCCATCTACAATGCCTCAGATCCGTACTGCAATTGGCCCCAGCCACCCTGTAGAATTTAGATTTAGCGAAAAAAGACTTCACGTGTTCGCCAAATTCTGCGTTTCCTCCTGAGTCAGAGGCACCTGCAATGCAGGCAGCGGGAAGTTGTTCTTCTACCAGAACAAGAGCCCCTAGGAAAATTGCCCCTTTTATTACTGTTTTGGTCAAAATATGGCAACAACATTGGTGACTCCAGGCGAGTTAGTAAAAATCACAGAGAGGCACATTTTGTGTCCGGGGAATGCTGGGATGCTCCTAAAACCCACTGAGCCGGCCGGGTGCAGTGGCTCCAGCCTGTCATCCCAGCACTTTGGGAGGCCGAGGCAGGTGGATCACGAGGTCAGGAGATCGAGACCAGCTTGGCCAACATGGTGAAACCCCGTCTCTACTAAAAATACAAAAATTAGCCAGGCGTGGGGGTGCACGCCTGTAGTCGTAGCTACTGAGGAGGCTGAGGCAGGAGAATCACTTGAACCTAGGAGGCGGACGTTGCAGTGAGCCGAGATCGCACTACTGCCCTCCAGCTTGGCGACAGAGTGAGACTCTGTCTCAAAAACCAACCAACCAGCCAACCAACCAACCAACCGACCAACCAACCAACCATCCCATCGAGCCGTTCTCTTGCTGACTCAAGAGAGAATAAATCAAGAAACAAACACACAAGGAAACCAAAACAACCCTGTAGCTGAGGATTCTCCCCTAGGAGGAAGAAAACGGGCATCCACACGGCGTGTGCCCAGCTAAATATAAACTGCGAGGGGAAGGGAGGAGACAGTGATGACAAGCCCCAGCCTTTTCCACAAGAAGAAAAAGGTTTAAGTTTTCAATGCTGCCCATGATATCCAAGAACGAACCGCATTTCACAGCCGCGGTGTGCATACCATACTTTCACTTATCGGAAGCTCATTCATTGTGTGATGTGCACTAATTACCCGCTGGAGATTTGAGAACGCACCTGCTGACTGGGAGGGCGTATTCCCACCTGATGTGGTTGCTTTCTGCACTCCAGAAATTCCCTTTGAGATGGGCTCCATCCTTCCATGACAGCGTGACCGCTTGTCCTGTAGTCACAGTGTTGTCTGAAGAATGCAGGATAGTTTATTTTCATTTTTGTTTATTTATGTTTCTGTTTTAGAGGCAGGTTCTTGCTCTGTTGCCCAGGCTGGAGTGTAGTGGTGCTATCTGGCTCACTGCAGCCTCTACCTCTTGGACTCAAGCGATCCTCCCACCTCAGCCTCCTATGTAGCTGAGACTACACATACATGCCACCAACACCCAGCTATTTTTATTTTTTATAGAGACAGGGTCTCACTATCTTGCCCTGGGTGGTCTTGAACTCCAGGGCTCAAGGGATCCTTCCACCACGGCCTCCCAAAGTGCTGGGATTACAGGACTGAACCTGGCCTTGCTGTGGTCTGTTTCGAGAAGACTTTGTTTTTCGTTTTTTGTTTTTTGGTTTTTTTGAGATGGAGTCTCGCTGTTGTCACCCGGGCTAGAGTGCAATGGCGTGATCTCGGCTCACTGCAACCTCCGCCTCCCGGGTTCCAGCAATTCTCCTGCCTTAGCCTCCCAAGTAGCTGGGATTACAGGCATGTACCACTATGCCTGGCTAATTTTTGTATTTTTAGTAGAGATGGGGTTTCTCCATGTTGGTCAGGCTGGCCTCGAACTCCCGACCTCAGGTGATTTGCCTGCCTCGGCCTCCCAAAGTGCTGGGATTACAGGCGTGAGTCACTGTGCCCGGCTGCTCACCCAGCTATTTTTATTTTTTGGATGGGGTCTCACTATGTTGCCCTGGGTGGTCTTGAACTCCTGAGCTCAAGGAATCTTCCCACCACGGCCTCCCAAAGTGCTGGGATTACAGCCCTGAGCCTGGCCTCACTGTGGTCTGTTTTGAGAAGCCTTTGTTTTTAAACAGAACCACATGTTGGTATTTCAGAGCCAACTCTTCTGTCAAGAATCCAAATCAGCCAGGCACGGTGGCATGCCTGTGTAGTCCCAGCAATTCCAGAGGCTGAGACAGAAGGATCATATGAGCCCAGGAGTTTGAGATCAGACTGGGCAACATAGTGAGACTCCATTTCTTTAGAACAATACTAATCACATGAGGGTGGTAGGCCATTGCCTGGGCTGGACAGGTGAGTAGAGGGCAGGTGTGCAGGTGCAGAGGTCTTTTTTTGTCCTCATTCCATGCACGACTGTTTCTCAAACTTGCTATGCTAAGATGCTACAGGAACTTACTTTACGTCACAATATCATTGACCTTTTTTCTTCCTTCCTGTGGCTTCCTCTTCCCCCACTCTCTCACCTGTGTGCCCTATTTTGGATAACCCTCCTCCTGGGTTCCTTTCTCACCATCTCCTGCTGTCAACATCTCACCTCTATTTCCTGGCCGGATGATGCCTCCTCCAGGAAGCCTGCCTAGGTTTCCTGTTGGCTTGCAAACTCTATGTGGGTGCGAACTGTCCACACCGCGTCAGGTACGCAGGGGCCCTTGAAGTATCACACGTTGGCAGCTCAGCCCTGAAAACTTCAGCTCCAGATACAACAACCCCTTCCCCTTTTCTCCAACCTGATAATTTATAACTCCAGGGTGACTCGGTTCAGCGGCACTGCAGTCCCTCAGCTCTTCCTTGCAGCAGCCGTGGTTTCCATGGGATGTAGAGGGTTATCCTGCTTGGAAAGCATTAGAGCTGGGGGACTAGAGACCCCCTAATTCTGGCGTGGGGAGAATGGAGGCCCCAGAGGAAATGGAGCAGGTGTTTTAGTGGAAAAGCTGGTTTTGAAATTCCAGCCTCGCCTCAGAACACAGCATAGCTTCCCTAGATGATGTTTCTTTTGAAAGGTCTCCTCTGAAAAGAGTGTGAGGATTCTGGCAAACTTGCAACAATCTCTGTAACGATGGGATGGCTGTGTCCCCACCCACATGGCACCTGGAATTGTAATGATTCCCACCTGTGAAGGGTGGGGCCAGGTGGAGGAAATTGAATCATGGGCGCGGTGACCCGCATACTGTTCTCGTGGTAGTGAGTGTGTTCTCACGAGATCTGATGTTTTATAAATGGAAGTTCCCCTACAGGAGCCATTTTGCCTGCCGCCGTGGAAGATATGGTTTTCGTCTTCCGTCGTGATTGTGAGGCCTCCCCAACCCCGTGGAACTGTGAGTCCATTAAAGCTCTTTTTCTTTATAAATTACCCCGTCTCGGGTATGTCTATCAGCAGCGTGAGAATGAACTAATACAGATGCAAAGTAGAGCCGCGGTTTATGAGCCACAAGAAATACCAACCCCCAGCCAGGCGCGGTGGCTGACGCCTGTAATCCCAGCACTTTGGGAGGCCGAGACCGGCGGATCACCTGAGGTTAGGGGTTCGAGACCAGCCTCGCCAACATGATGAAACCCCGTCTCTCTACTAAAAATACAAAAAATTAGCCGGGCAGGGTGGCGGGTGCCTGTAATCCCAGCTACTCGGGAGGCTGAGGCAGGAGCATCGCTTGAACCCGGGAGGCGGAGGTTGCAGTGAGCCGAGGTTGCGCCATTGCACTCCAGCCTGGGCAACAAGAGGAAAACTCCGTCTCAAAAAAAAAAAAACAAAGAAGGAAAAGAAAAGAAATACCAACCTCTCCCTTTCAAACCTAAAACCCCAACATGCTGGATGCTCTAGGGGGTCTCTGGGGCTTCGCTGCTTACGTTTGCCCTTGTTGGGTCCTGGGTTTTTATACTCAACGGGATCCTGGAATTTATGTTTCATTTGTGATTCGGTTCCAATTTGACACAACTGCCTGCCTTCCCCCAGCGGTTCGTGTGATAGACACACTCACGCTGTCAATCATGGAGCTGTGGGGCGCGTCTGGGAGATCTATAGCAAAACTCCATCCACTCCGGTTCCCTTGTATAATACAAAAGGGTTTTATCAGTCATGTATTTCGCCTCAAAACTAGAAGCATGGATTTCCCAACCCGATTCACCATTAAAATTGTGAATTTTTCTGGTTCTGGTAAGGATACGTTGACTGTATAATGGATTACATAACAGTGTGTTTTCTTCACCTTAGTAAGTAGCCCTGGGAGTTTGTAGCAAAGAAAGAAGAAACCCGAGCCTCAAGAAAATTTCTCCGACGATGGTGCCCAGAACAGGGGTCAGGGGTCACGTGTGATGCGCGAAAATTAAATAAGTGATAATTAAGGGAAAAGAAAAACTCAGTGCCTCATTGCACTAACTGTCTGGCAAGCGCCCAGTGTCCAGCTGTGGACAGCACAGTTGTCTGGGGCAGGGAAGATATGGACTTTCCTGCAGAGAGTGCTACTCTGCAGCAGTGAGGTACACCTTTCAGGGATGTCCCATGATGGTGACAGAGACACCAGATACACAGGTAGCAACAGTTTCATTTGAAAAGATCATTCCCACAGATGGGAGCTTTTGCAATAAGAGGAGGAGGGACTACTGTAATGGGAGGAGGAGGGGCTGTGATAATGGGAGGAGGAGGGGCTGTGATAATGGGAGGAGGAGGGGCGGTGATAATGGGAGGAGGAGGGACTATGGTAAGGGGAGGAGTGTGGACTATGGTAACGGGAGGAGGAAGGA
This sequence comes from Homo sapiens, assembly GCF_000001405.40. Taxonomy (NCBI): domain Eukaryota; kingdom Metazoa; phylum Chordata; class Mammalia; order Primates; family Hominidae; genus Homo; species Homo sapiens. The sequence continues at coordinate 2,371,619 of NC_000023.11, read as the reverse complement.
CTGGTAACAGAAGGAGGGACTCTGCTAATGGGAGGAGGTACTATGGTAATGGAAGGAGGGACTATGGTAACAGAAGGACGGACTATGGTAACGGAGGAGGGGCTGTGGTAACGGGGAGGGTCTACGGTAACGGGAGGAGGAGGGTCTATGGTAACGAGGAGGGACTATAGTAACGAAAGGAGGGTCTGTGGTAACAGAAGGAGGGACTATGGTAATGTGAGAAGGGGGGACTGTGGTAACGGAGGGTCTATAGTAATGGGAGGAGGGACTATGGTAACGGAAGGAGGGACTATAGTAACGGGAGGAGGGTCTATGGTAATGGAGGAGGGACTATGGTAACAGAAGTAGAAGGGTCTATGGTAATGGAGGAGGGACTATGGTAATGGGGAGGGACTACGGTAACGGGAGAAGGGACTGTGGTAACGGAGGAGGGTCTATGGTAACGGAAGGAGGGACTACGGTAATGGAGGAGGGGGGACTATGGTAATGGCGGGGAGGGATTATGGTAATAGGGGAGGAACTATTGTAACAAGAGGAGGAGGGACTAATGCAACCACTGGTGGACGCTGCCTATAGCACCATGAAGCACACCCGAGCAGTGACATCTGGGAGCCTCTTGGAGCGCAGGCAGCATACCATTTTCTTTTCTAGGGACAGGCACGTGATGCTCGGAACAACCGTGATTGGGGTCGTTCGATGTGGGGTTCAGTCATGGATAAAAGCTGCCAAACCCTGTGGCTGCATAGCTAATTTTGAGCAGGTCCTAAGGAAGCGTTGCTTGATCCTCTGACGTTTGCTCCAGGTGAGGCTGGCCCAACATCCCGGGGCCTGATAGGAGGAGAGAAACCCAACCAAAATGTGATCACGTTAGATGGGAATTTTGTTCAGGTCAAGGAAGACGAGGAATTCAGTCCATCCCTGAAGGGGCAAATAAAGAATGTGAATTTGGAGGATGTGGCCAGCCTTGTCCTAGGCTGACTTGGAAGCATCTGTGAGTAATGAGGAAGGGAATTTTTTTTTTTTTTTTTTCAGTAAAACCATTTTCTGGAAGACAAAGGCAGTGGGGAATTCTTAACCTTCACAGATTCCCAACAGCACAGTTGTGTGGAATGATGGACTGATTGTGTCTCCGTAAAATACAAAGCCCTCAGCTGGGCGCGGTGGCTCAGACTGTCATCCCAGCACTTTGGGATGCCGAGGCGGGTGGATCACCTGAGGTCAGGACTTTGAGACCAGCCTGACCAACATGGTGAAACCCCATCTCTACTAAAACTACAAAAATTAGCCGGGCATGGTGGCGGGTGCCTGTAATCCCAGCTACTGGGGAGGCTGAGGCAGGAGAATCGCTTGAACCCAGGAGGCGGAGGTTGCAGTGAGCCGAGATTGCGCCACTGCACTCCAGCCTGGGAGACAGAGTGAGACTCTGTTTCAAAAAAAAAGACGAACTGGGACTCCTCAAACTGGGGGAATGGTGCATTTGTAGACAAAACTCATGGTGTGCCATCTGCAGGTGTCATTGTCAGGAAGGTGAGCTTGGTTCATCTGTGCCCACTTGCAAGCTCTTTGGAGAGTGAGGAGCAGGTTGGGAAGCATCTATCCTCAGTCATGAACCCGGAGCTCCTGCTGGAAAAGACAGCCTTGGGGTCTCTGTCATGCACATTTCAGTAGGGGAGTCCGGGCCGGGCACAGGGGCTCATGCCTGTAATCCCAGCACTTTGGAAGGCTAAGGCGGGCAGATCACTTGATGTCAGGAGTTTGAGACCAGCCTGACCAACATGGTGAAACCCGTCTCTACTAAAATACAAAAAATAGCTGGGGCTGGGTGCTGTGGCTTAGGCCTGTAATCCCAGCACTTGGGGAGGCCGAAGTGGGTGGATTACTTGAGGTCAGGTGTTCGAGACCAGCCTGGCCAACATGGTGAAACCCCGTCTCTACTAAAAATAGAAAAAATTAGCCCCGGCTAATTTTGGTGGTGTGAGCCTGTAGTCCCAGCTACTTAGGAGGCTGAGGCAGGGGAATCGTTTGAACCTGGGAGATGGAGGTTGCAGTGAGCTGAGATCGTGCCACTGCACTCCAGCCTGGGTGACAGGGCGAGACTCTGTCTCCAAAAAGAAAAACAAACAAAAAAAAACAAAAACTAAACACATAGGAGAGTCCCTTAGCCCCTCACGAATACTCCACACACACATCTAGTCCAGCTGCATCTTGTTGACTCACAAGACATCAAGATAAGCCTGATTCAATGAAGTTCTTCAAAATCAGAGTTCATTTGCTCATTTTCTTTTCTTCTCTCCACCAATTAGTGGTGAGAGTTTCGCCTGAATCACAGTACCTGCTGTCTCCAGTTCTGATGTTGGTATCACCCATCTTCAGACAAGATTTCTTGTGTTATTTCCACATCAGCTTAGCCACTGTCTCTCAACATGAAATGCTGGCTGGGGGGAAGTTTCAACCGCAGAAGCAAAGCTCTTAAACTCATTGAAAAGACAAGCTCTTTCCCCCTTGGTAGGGTCACGAAGGCTCCTCAGTGAAGGGTGTGGTAGGTTTGCTTCTATAGGGTAGAAATGAGACACCCTGAAAATCAGGAGGCTTTCATTGGCTTTTAATTTACACAGAAGGCAATGTGTAGTTTCAAAATATTCTTTTTTATTTACTTATTTACTTTTATTTATTTATTTGAGATGGAGTCTTGCTCTTTCGCCCAGGCTGGAGTGCAGTGGTGCGATCTCGGCTCACTGCAAGCTCCACCTCCCGGGTTATTTATTTTTTTGAGACAGAGTCTTGTTCTGTTGCCCAGGCTGGAGTTCAGTGGCACAATCTTGGCTCACTGCAACCTCCGCCTCCCAGGTTCAAGTGATTCTCCTGCCTCAGCCTCCTGAGTAGCTGGGATTACAGGCACCTGTCACCATGCCTGGCTAATTTTTGTATTTTTAGTAGAGACGGGGTTTTGACATGTTGGCCAGGCTGGTCTTGAACTCCTGACCTCAAGTGATCCGCCCTCCTTGGCCTCCCAAACTGCTGGGATTACAGGCGTGAGCTTCCGCGCCTGGCCTCAAAATATTCTTAATGAGTAAATACCCGTAAGCATTTGAATACAACCATTTATGTTTTTTGTTGTTTAGCAATTGTTTGAACTTCAATGTGCCTCATAAAAATGTTTCATTATAAAACATTTCACACATTTGAAAGACGCAGAGAATAATTTGAACAGCATTTGTGTACCCACCATCCAGTTGTATCAAATCGTAATGTTTTGCCAAATTAGTTATAAATTACGTATGTGACTTGGGTACCCCTCTCCAATTATTTTGTTATTACATAAAAAATGACTTTATAACATGGGTCAATAGGAGACCTTTTTTCTTTTTTTTTTTTTTGAGACAGAGTCTTATTCTGTTGCCCAGGCTGGAGTTCAGTGCCACAATCTTGGCTCACTGCAACCTCTGCCTCCCAGGTTCAAGTGATTCTCCTGCCTCAGCCTCCTGAGTAGCTGGGATTACAGGCACACGGCACCACGCCCGGCTAATTTTTGTATTTTTAGTAGAGATGGGGTTTTGACATGTTGGCCAGGCTGGTCTTGAACTCCTGACCTCAAGTGATCCACCCTCCTCGGCCTCCCAAAGTGCTGGGATTACAGGTGTGAGCCTCCGTGCCTGGCCTCAAAATATTCTTAATGAGTAAATACCCGTAAGCATTTGAATACAACCATTTATCTTTTTCATTGTTTAGCAGTTGTTTGAACTTCAATGTGCCTTCTAAAAATGTTTCATTATAAAACATTTCACACATTTGAAAGACGCAGAGAATAATTTGAACAGCATTTGTGTACCCACCATCCAGTTGTATCAAATCATAATGTTTTGCTAAATTAGTTATAAATTATGTATGTGTCTTTGTGTGCCTGAGTGTACATGAAATAAGACATTTCAGAGACTATTGTGCTCTTGGGTACGCCTCTCCAATTATTTTGTTATTACATAAAAAATGACTTTATAACTTAGGTCAATAGGAGACATTTAAAATATTATTTTCCATGCATCTTTGTCCTTGTTTATTTTCTCTAGAAAAGAAAAATGTATTTCCCTGTTCTTATTTTCAATTCCCAAATGAAGCTTCAATGTAAAACTAATTTTCTGAGAATGTAGCATCGTTCTTTTTTTTTTTTCTTTTTTCTTTTTTTTTTTGAGACAGTCTTGCTCTATCTCCCAGGCTGGAGTGCAGTGGCACAAGCTTGGCTCACTGCATCCTCTGCCTCCCAGGTTCAAGCGATTCTCTTGCCTCAGCCTCCTGAGTTGCTGGGATTACAGGCACCTACCACCACGCGTGGCTAATTTTTGTATTTTTAGTAGAGACGGGATTTCACCATGTTGGTCAGGCTGGTCTTGAACTCCTGACTTTGTGATCCGCCCACCTCAGCCTCCCAAAGTGCTGGGATTATAGGTGTGAGCCACTGCGCCCGGCTAGCATCTCTCTGTATTTGCTGAAGCCATGTGTGCTGTGAAGATTGTAGTTTTAGCCATTGTGGTTCCTCTTGAAAGGGGGCCCTATATCTTCCTGATGGGGAATGGCTTAACTGAAGCCTGGGGAATGGCTGGTGTTCGTGAAATGGCTGCATTCAGATGAGAAACCGCACATACACATCCTCACAAAGTCTCAGAGTCAGCTTTCCAGGGGGCTGGGTTTTATTCCGGTGCAAAGGAGTGAGAATATTGTACACACGAATGATCCATGGTGGCTCCTGCCTGTAATCCCAGCACTTTTGGGAGGCCAAGGCGGGAGCATCACTTGAGCCCAGGAATTTGAGACTAGCCTGGGCAACATAGCAAGATCTCGTCTCTACAGGAAAAAAAAAAAAAATTATCCGGGTATGATGGCATATGCTTCTGGTCTCCCTCTCAAGATGCTGAGGCAGGAGGATTGCTTGAGCCCAGGAGGTGGAGGCTGCAGTGAGCTGTGACTGCTCCACTGCTCTTCAGCCTGGCTGATGGAATGAGACAGTGTCACAGAAAAAGAATGAGAAAAATAAGCCCAGGATGCAGCAAAGAATGCTATCCTTTATTTATTAACCCCCTACCCTGGTTGTATATTGATGGTCATTTAAATATTAGAGGGTATAAAAATACAATTTCCAAGAATTACCTGAACTATTTTCTTTTTCTTTTCTTTTCTTTTTTTTTTTGAGACTGAGTTTCGCTCTTGTTGCCCAGGCTGGAGTGCAGTGGCGTGGTCTCGGCTCACCGTAGCCTCCACCTCTGGGTTCAAGTAATTCTTCTGTGTCAGCCTCCCGAGTAGCTGGGATTACAGCCATGCCCAACCACTCCTGGCTAGTTTTGTATTTTTAGTAGAGATGGGGTTTTACTAGGTTGGCCAGGCTGGTCTCAAATTCCTGACCTCAGATGATCCACCTGCCTCGGCCTCCCAAAGTGCTGGGATTAAAGGTGTGTGCCACCACACCCGGCCTATTTTCTTAGAATTAATATTTTATCCTCTGCCATCAGCCGTCGTAGGGGTATGAGCAGTTTCCTGCCTATTGTAAGGGTTTAGAGAAGGGTTTGTGATAAATTGGCCGTGTGGTGAAGAGATTCCCATTCGGGAAAGACATTGGGCAGAGGGTAGGATGTCATGTGAAGACAGCATTCATTTCAGGCAGGGAGAGGGGGTTCATAGAACGCTAGTGTTCAGTGAACTGTTCCTAGAACTAGTTCATATGTATACATGTGCCATGGTGGTTTGCTACACCTATCAACCCGTCATCTAGGTTTTAAGCCCAGCATGCATTAGGTATTTGTCCTAATGCTCTCCCTCCCCTTGCCCCCCACCTCCCGACAGGCCCCGGTGTTCACAGAGCTCTAGTATCCACCCAAGGCTCACCAAAGGCAGTCACCCTTTGCTATGGTGGAGTATCCTGGGAGCCATAGGTATCCCTGAGCTACCTCAGGTTAAAGACTGCATACCTGTGAAAGCATGTGAGGATTTACCCATTTCTGTGTATTTTGAGGAAATCTCACTTCCATCTTCAGAGCTTGGTAGCCCCAAGGTAAAATTTTAAGAAGTAAAGAGATTGTAAGTTTGCATATTCTGGGAGGTGATATGAGGACAAGCTCTTAGGATGAACTCTCTAGGCATACAGGAGAAAGAAGTAAAGGTCAAAGCAAAGTGGCATCAAAAAGGCCAAAACCTGGCCAGGCACGGTGGCTCACACCTGTAATCCCAGCACTTTGGGAGGCCGAGATGGGTGGATCATTTGTGGTCAGGAGTTCGAGACCAGCCTGGCCAACATGGTGAAACCCTGCCTCTACTAAAAATACAAAAATCAGCCAGGCGTGGTGGTGGCTGCCTGTAGTCACAGCTACCAGGGAGGCTGAGGCAGGAGAATTTATTTAAGTTCCTTGTAGATTCTGGACATTAGACCTTTGTCAGATGAATAGATTGCAAAAATTTTCTCCCATTCTGTAGGTTACCTGTTTGCTCTGATGATAGTTTCTTTTGCTGTGCAGAAGCTCTTTAGTTTAATGAGATCTCATTTGTCAATTTTTGAGGCAGGCATTGTTATTACCCCAATTTCATAAATGAGGAAATGACAGACAGATAGATAGATAGATAGATATGCCAGTTGTCCCTGAGGAGGCGAAATTTTGCTCAGTTGAAAACCACTGTGATATAGATAGATGATGGATACATAGATAGATATTAGTTAGACAGAAAATAGCTAGATAGATAATAGCTAGATAGATAGTAATGGTCAATGATAGATTGTGATCAATGATAGGTAATAGATGACAGGTAGATAAATGATCGATGGTCAATAGATGATAGGTAGATGATAGACAGTAGATAGAGAGTAAACAGATGCTATATAATGATCAAAGATAGATAAATGATAGATAAATATGTACTTGATAGATAATAAATGGTAAATAGATAAATGATGGTAGATAAGTAGATGATAGATGATAAATGGTAAATAGATAAATGATGGTAGATAGATAAGTAGATGCTTGATTGTAAATGGTAAATAGATAAATGATAGACGGTAGATAAGTAGGTGATAGGTGGTAAATAGGTCGATAGATATTCTATAAATAGTTGATAGATAAATGGTAGGTGATAGATGATAGGAAGTGAGTTGGATGATAGGCACACAGACAAATGGATCACATATGCATACAATCTGTCATGCTAAGGCAGGCTTTGTCAACCTTGGCAGTATGTCCATCTGGAGCTGGATGATTCTCTGTGGTGAGGCCATGCTGTGGACTGTAGCGTGTTGAGCAGGATCCCTGGGCTCCACCCACTTGACATGGATGTACCCACTATACCCCCCACCGCAGTTATAACAACCAAAAATACCTCCAGACATTTCTATATGTTCCTGGGGGAGGGGGAAACAAAAAGGCCTCCAATGGAAAACCACTGATGTAGATCCCTACAGATGCCAGCCCAGTTCTGTGGGGATGTGCCTACTACCATTCAATGGCAGTAACCTGGACCTAAGACCAGTATGCTCTCTGAGGCTCTGGAAAGGGACTCCCAGCCTCGCATCTTGAGGAGAGCTTAGACATCCTACGTAGCATTATGATTCCCCTCCAAACATGGCTGTGCTGTGTGGATCAGGGGTCTCCTCCCTTATCTCCTCCATCCCACCCAGCCGTCTCCTTTCACCTCAGTCCCTGTGTGTTGAGTGTGGAAATATCTCTGTGCCCAGGATCCTGGGCCGGTTTTGTGGCGGGGATTCTTCTCCCACAGCTCCATCATGCATGTTCCCTCATCTCCTTCGATGCTGATGTGTTATTATTCGTAGAACAGTGATGAAATGGCAGCATGATACCATAGAACGGTGATAAAATGGCAGCATGATATCATAGAACGGTGATAAAATGGAAGCATGATACCATAGAACGGTGATAAAATGGAGGCATGATACCATAGAACGGTGATAAAATGGCAGCATGATACCATAGAACGGTGATAAAATGGCGGCATGATACCATAGAACAGTGATAAAATGGAGGCATGATACCATAGAACAGTGATGAAATGGCAGCATGATACCATAGAACAGTGATAAAATGGCGGCATGATATCATAGAACGGTGATAAAATGGAGGCATGATACCATAGAACGGTGATAAAATGGCGGCATGATACCATAGAACAGTGATAAAATGGAGGCATGTTACCATAGAACAGTGATAAAATGGCGGCATGATACCATAGAACAGTGATAAAATGGCGGCATGACACCATAGAACAGTGATAAAATGGAGGCATGATATAGAACAGTGATAAAATGGAGGCATGATACCATAGAACGGTGATAAAATGGCATGATACCATAGAACGGTGATAAAATGGCAGCATGATACCATAGAAAGGTGATAAAATGGCATGATACCATAGAACGGTGATAAAATGGCGGCATGATACCATAGAACGGTGATAAAATGGCGGCATGATACCATAGAACGGTGATAAAATGGCGGCATGATACCATAGAACGGTGATAAAATGGCGGCATGATACCATAGAACGGTGATAAAATGGCATGATACCATAGAACGGTGATAAAATGGCGGCATGATACCATAGAACGGTGATAAAATGGCGGCATGATATCATAGAACGGTGATAAAATGGCGGCATGATACCATAGAACGGTGATAAAATGGCATGATACCATAGAACGGTGATAAAATGGTGGCATGATACCATAGAACGGTGATAAAATGGCGGCATGATATCATAGAACGGTGATAAAATGGCGGCATGATACCATAGAACGGTGATAAAATGGAGGCATGATACCATAGAACGGTGATAAAATGGCGGCATGATACCATAGAACGGTGATAAAATGGCGGCATGATACCATAGAACGGTGATAAAATGGCGGCATGATCTCAAGGGTTGGGATTAGACACCCAGAAATGGGAGCACCTGTGGTTGGGTGGAGTTATTGATCCATCCTTCTCCAGTGTTCAACTCCTCCACCTATGCTCATATCACTTATAAGGCAGACCTGGCCAGGCATGGTGGCTTATGCCGGCAATCCTAGCACTTTGGGAGGCTGTGGTGGGCGGATCACGAGGTCAGGATTTCGAGGCCAGTCTGGCCAACATGGTGAAACCCCATCTCTACTAAAAATACAAAAATTAGTGGCATATGGTGGTGGGCGCCTGTAATCCCAGCTACTTGGGAGGCTGAGGCAGAAGAATTGCTTGAACCCGGGAGGCGGAGGTTGCAGTGAGCCAAGATCACACCACTGCATTCCAACCTGGTCAACAGAGTGAGACTCTGTGTTTCAAAAACAAACAAACAAAAACAAGGTAGACCTTATGGGTCTTTCCCTGGGAGCCTTCTACAGAGTGGTTGTTGCTACAGACAGCAGTGATATGAGACAAACCATCTAAGGCCCTGAAATATGAGTCTTGAAAATGGCTGTGGACAAGGAAAATCAATGAAATAACAGTGACACCAGCACCCCACTCTCTCTAGGGCTCTTAAAAGTTCTTAGCCTGTAGCCTCTTTTCCAATCCACTCCAGCCTTCCTTTTCTTTGAATTTGAAAATGAACTTTGAAATTTCTTTCAGTGACAAGAAAATGTCACTGTGTTACGTGTTGTATATCCATGTGTCTCCTTGGGAAGAAAATTAAAGGACTAATTGAAGAAAGAATTAGAAACACTGAATCCACAGAAACGCAGCCACACTCTGTAATTAATTTTTGAAGAAAAGAAAATGAAATGCTTGCCGATGGTGAACCTCTCCAGCATGTTCATTAGATATTTGCATTTTCTGCCTATTCCATTAAAAGTACCTCTAATCAGACAGTCAATCAAAAGTGCTTATCCAGACATCTTCTTTTTAGAATTTGAATCATGCCATGTTCTGTATAGGAGTGAGACCTTACCACATAAACAGGGTAGGGCTTGCTGTGTGCTCAGAAACGACACATTAACCAGGCTGAACTGATGGAACTCCAGCTCTCTGTATCCTTCTTTGTCCCTCTAATACTTGGGCAGATTCTGCCCCACCATTAAAAATTCAATCATTAATACCAAGAAGAAAATTGAGGGGTTTCAAAGAACCTCAATAAACCACAGATTTAGGTCTTTATAAGACCTTGGTAAGCAGTTGTGGATTCTATAGTTTGTACCTACCATAAGTTATGATGATCATTATAGCATTACTGATAACATTTTAAAAACTTTTATTGAGCTGGGTGCGGTAGCTCACACCTGTAATCCTGGCACTTTGGGAGGCTGAGGCAGGTGTATCACGAAGTCAGGAGTTTGAGACTAGCCTGACCAACATGGTGAAATCCCATCTCTACTAAAAATACAAAAATTGGGTGTGGTGGTGGGCGCCTGTAGTCCCAGCTACTCAGGAGGCTGAGGCAGGAGAATCGCTTGAACCCGGGAGGTGGAGGTTGCAGTGAGCCGAGATCGCACCACTGCACTCCAGCCTGGCGACAGAGTGAAAACTCCATCTCACAAACAAACTTTTATGATAATGTGTATGGAAAGTGTCTCCTCTTGAAATGTTCCATTTTCTCTAACCAAAGCCAACGCTCCAGCCAGCCAGTAGGTAGCAGCCAGTAGGAGCTGTCAGAACTGATTGCTCTTATCATCACTAAACACACAAAGAGGGAAAAGCCATTTCCTCATTCCCCAAATTCCAGCTCCATCCTTCCTCTGAAAGCATCATGCCATTTCTCGCTCCGGATATGTATTTGGTGTTTAGTCATTCAACCGTGACATATCTAACGTTGGCAGAGAGGGGGCAGAATTCGAAGTTCTTGCCATTCCAGGAAGAGGAAGCCATGTTCCCTGTCTAAGCATCTGCCCACATCGGGCCGTGTCTCGGTACCAACTCCACCAAGAGAGCAGTGAGTGACAAAGGCAAGGATGTTCTTACCAAACTTGGCGATAACCTGGCTCCATTACCATCCTAGATTAATAACCCTTCAGTCATTCCAGAGGTGGATGTTGATACCCAAGAAATGGTGGGTGATGTGTATTTTTTTGTTGTTGTTGTTGAAACAGAGTCTCACTCTGTTGCCCAGGCTGGAGTGCAGTGGCGCGATCTTGGCTCACTGCAATCTCCGCCTCCCGGGTTCAAGCGATTCTCCTGCCTCAGCCTCCCAAGTAGCTGGGATTACAGGCACGCACCACCACACCTGGCTCATTTTTGTATTTTTAGTAGAGACAGGGTTTCACCATGTTGGTCAGGCTGGTCTTGAACTCCTGCCCTCGTGATCCGCCCACCTTGGCCTCCCAAAGTGCTGGGATTACAGGCGTGAGCCACCACGCCTGGCCCCATTATAACCCTCTTGCATAGTCTATCCTTCACTCTTGCGAAATGTTTAATGAGATGTTGAATAAATGTTACTATGCTTTGTATCTTTTTTTTTGCTTCTATGTCACTTTTCTTTTTGCCGTGGGTGGCAATGGTGAGTTCTTTTGCACTCAGGGAAGCTTCATGCCTCATCACCCCAACCTTCTGGAAATTTTGATTCTTATAGTTCAAACTTCCATAATTTTTAAAAACCATTTTTAAGTTCAGGGATACAGGTGCAGGTTTGTTACATAGGTAAACTCGTGTCATGGGGGTTTGTTGTATGATTATTTCATCACCCAGGTATTAAGCCCAGTACCCATTAGTTATTTTCCTGATCCTGTCCCTCCTCCCACCTTCTGATAGGCCTCAATGAATGCTATTCCCCTCTCTGTGTCCATATGTTCTCATCATTTAGCTCTCACTTATAAGTGAGAACATGTAGTAATTTGGTTTTGCTGTTCCTACATAGTTTGCTGAGGATAATCGCCTCCAGCTCCATCCATGTTTCTGCAAAGGACATGATCTTGTTCTTATTTATGGCTGCATAGTATTCCATGGTGTCTATGTACCATATTTTCTTTTTCTTTCTTTCTTTTTTTTTGATATGGAGTCTCGCTGTGTCACCCAGGCTGCTGGAGTGCAGTACCCTTGAAAATTCCTCTGCCTCAGCTCACTGCACCCTTGAAAATTCCTCTGCCTCAGCCTCCCAAGTAGCTGGGATTACAGGTGCACGCCCCCACGCCCAGCTAATTTTTTTGTATTTTTAGTAGAGACGGGGTTTCACCATGTGTTGGCCAGACTGGTCTCGAACTCCTGACCTCGCGATCCACCCGCCTTGGCCTCCCAAAGTGCTGGAATTACAGGCGTGAGCCACCGCACCTGGCCTATGTACCATATTTTCTTTATTCTGTCTACCACTGATGGGCATTCAGATTGATCCCATGTCTTTGCTATTGTGAAAGGTGCTGCCACGAACATACACGTGCATGTGTCTTTATGACAGAATGATTGATGTTCCTTTGGGTATATACCCAGGCATGGGATTGCTGAGTGGAATGATATTTCTGTTTTTAGGTCTTTGAGGAATGGCCACACTGTCTTACACAATGTTGGAACTAATTTACACTCCCGCCAACAGTGTTTAGGTGTTCCTTTTTGTCTGCCACCTTGCCAGCATCTGTTGTTTTTTGATGTTTTAGTAATAGCCTTTATGACTGGTGTGAGATGGTATCTCATTCTGGTTTTGATTTGCGTGTCTCTAATGAGCAGTGATGTTGAATGTTTTTGCATAGGCTTGTCGGCTGGATGTATGTCTTTTTTTTTTTTTTTTCCGAGACAGAGTCTCACTCTGTCGCCCAGGCTGGAGTGCGGTGGCGCGATCTCGGCTCACTGCAACCTCTGCTCCCCGGGTTCACGCCATTCTCCTGCCTCAGCCTCGCAAGTAGCTTTGGTTTTTGACTTTAGTTACATGCACTTTTTCAGAAATCAAGGTATGCATAAGCAAAGCACATCTGTCTTTCCAAACTGGATTTAAATTCGCCATTTACTAACTAAGGAATATTGTGCAATTTAGTTAACTTCTCTAAGCCTCATTTTCCTCGTCTATGAAATGGGAAGAATAGTAAGATCTACCTCAAAAGAATGTTGTAAAGGTTAAACAAGGTAATCAAATTGTTTAGTAATATGCCTCCCACATATCAAGCCCTCAACCCCGCCACCATGCCTGGCTAATTTTTTTTGTATTCTTAGTAGAGGCAGGGTTTCACCGTGTTAGCCAGGATGGTCTTGATCTCCTGACCTTGTGATCCACCCGCCTCGGCCTCCCAAAGTGCTGGGATGACAGGTGTGAGCCACCGCGCCCGGCCAGCTGCATGTGTATCTTCTTTTGAAAAGTGTCTGTTCATGTCCTTTGCCTGACGTGGCAAAGGGTGTGCTTTCAATGGGATTTTTTTTGTTTTTATTTTTGTTTTGTTTTGTAAATTTGTTTAAGTTCCTTATAAATTCTGGATATTAAACCTTTATCAGATGCATAGTTGGCAGATACTTTCTCTCATTCTGTAGGTTGTCTGTTCACGCTGTTGATAGTTTCCTGGGCTGTGCAGAAGCTCTTTGAAACTTTCGTAACTTTAAACCAAGTGTTAGCTAACTCCGTTTCTCAACTGAGTAACTTCAGAAATTAAATTAGAACAACAGGTTCTGCCTTTTGAAGACAAAGTAGCATAACCCTAGCCATCCACCACATGCTATCACTTGATTCTGATTGCTGTTTTGAGGATTCTTTTTGTCCCAATCTCTAATTAGTTTTTTAAAATAAGCGTTTTGTAGAGAGGATGTTTTTCTCAAGAGTTACCCTGTTTTGACTATGGTAGCCACACCCCAGTGATGTACATGTGTTTCTCTATTTTCCATTTCATAACCACCGTTATGTAGGTGAATCCTTGATCTGACACACAGTGCCTGTCTTTCCCTATGAATGGCTTAGTGATTTGCCTGGAAATCTTAGCTTGCTGTAGTGTGTGTGTGTGTCTGGGCACAGTTTTAGAGAAACAAGCAATGATTCTTTTTTTTTTTTTTTTTTTTAATTTCCTGAGTCCCAAAGTGTTTGAGACAAATCTCGTTTTCCCATATCGGGTCTAGGGTTATTTGTTCAGATCCTTTGTCATTCAGGACTCTGTAGCTCTTTCTTTATTCCTTACTGAAATCTCACATTGACGAAGAGCTCTTTCCACCTGATTTGCTTTTCCATTGGCAGATGTCCTTTTTGTTCCTCCCTTGATGCTTTTAGGATTTTCTCTTGATCTTTAAAGCTCCACGGTTTCATCAGGATGAGGTTGATGGACATATGGGCATTTAAAAATAAATCGTATGGCTTACTATACATCTTATAATGGCAGATCTGGGTTTTTATCTCAGGGATTTTTTTTTTCTTTGCACGAAACCTTTCCATTTACAATTGACCCTTGAAAAACATGGGGGTTAGGGACACCAACCCCTCACACAGTCAAAAATCCATGTGTAACTTTTTTTTTCTTTTTCGAGACAGAGTTTCACTGTTACTGCCCAGGCCAGAGTGCAATGGTGTGATCTTAGCTCACTGCAATCTCCGCCTCCTGGGTTCAAGCGATTCTCCTGCCTCAGCCTCCTGAGTAGCTGGCATTACAGGCGCACGCCACCATGCCTGGCTAATTTTTGTATTTTCAGTAGAGACGGGGTTTTACCATCTTGGTCAGGCTGGTCTTGAACTTGTGACCTCAGGTGATCCACCCACTTTGGCCTCCCAAAGTGCTGGGATTACAGATGTGAGCCCCTACGCCTGGCCCATGTGCACCTTTTGATTCTCCAAAAACTTAATTATTAATAGCCTACTGTTTACAGGAACCCTTGCCAATAACATAAACAGGTGATTCACTCATTCATATTTTCTATGTTCTATGTATTGCATACTTTATGCTTAGACTAAAGTAAGCTAGAGAAAAGAAAACGTTACCAAGAGAATCATGAGAAAGAGAAACTACATTTACTATTCATCAAATGGAAAGGGATCATCCCCGAGGTCTTCATCCTCATCATCTTCACATGGAGGAGGCTGAGGAGGAGAAGGAGGAAGAGGGAGGTTGGTCTGGCTTTCTCAGGGGTGGCAGAGGCAGAAGAAAATCCACATATAACTGACCTGTACAGTCCAAACCTGTGAAGGATCAACTATGTTTCTGTGTCTCTTTCTCCCAGTTCTTGTCTTCAGAGATACCAACATTGGATGTTGCCTCTCAACTGGTTTCCTTCTCTTTCATGTTCTTTTCTCCAATCACTTCATGTCATCATCTTTTTCTTCTACATTCTACACGCTTCCACAAGCCTGCCCTCTGCACCCCTGACATGATTCTCCACATTCATTTTTTTTCTTTTTTTGAGACAGAGTCTTGCTTTGTCACCCAGGCTGGAGTGCAGTGGCACGATCACGGCTCACTGCAACCTCTGCCTCCTGGGTTGAAGCAATTCTCCTGCCTCAGCCTCGTGAGTAGCTGGGATTACAGGTGCCCACCACCACACCCAGCTGTATTTTGTATTTTTAGTATGACAGTGTTTCACCATGTTGGCCTGCCTGGTCTCGAACTCCCGACTTCAGTTGATCTGCCTGCCTCGGCCTCCCAAAGTGCTGGGATTACAGGTGCACACCACCAGACCCGGCTAATTATTGTATTTTTTTTTTTTTTTTTGAGACGGAGTCTCGCACTTGTTGCCCAGGGTGGAGTGCAATGGCGCAATCTCGGCTCACTGCAAACTCCACCTCCTGGGTTCAAGTGATTCTCCTGCCTTAGCCTCCCGAGTAGCTGGAACTACATATACCTGCCACCACACCTGGCTACATTTTGTATTTTTAGTAGAGATGGGGTTTTACCATGTTGGCCTGGGTGGTCTCAAACTCCCGACTTTAGATGATCTGCCCACCTCAACCTCCCAAAGTACTGGGATTACAGGGTGAGCCACCATACCCAGCTGAGTCTCCTCATTCTTGATTTTGATCTTCCCTCTGTCTACTATTGTCCGGGCTTCTCTAGGATGTGATGTTATATCTCCTACTCGTTTCCGGCACCCTTCTTATTATGTTACCGCATTAACCCTTTTGTTAAACGTTTAATATTTTTGTGCTCTGAATTTATTATTTTTTATCTGATATGAATATATTAGGTTGGTGCAAAAGTAATTGCTGTTTTTGCCATTAAAAGTAATGATAGTCTTTTTTTTTTTTTTTTTTTTTTTTTTTTTTTTTTAGATGGGGTCTCGCTCTTGTCACCCAGGCAGGAGTGCAGTGGCACCATCTTGGTTCACTGCAACCTTTGCGTCCCAGGCTGAAGACATCGTCCCACCTCAGCCTCCCGAGTAGCTGGGACTACAGGCATGCGCCACAACGCATAGCTAATTTTTGTATTTTTTGTAGAAACAGGCTCTCACTATGTTGCTCAGGCTAGTCTCAAACTCCTGAGCTCAAGCAATCCGTCGTCCTCGGCTTCGCAAAATGCAGGGATTCCAGGTGCGAGCCATTGTGCCCGGCCTGATAATATTTTGACTCTGACTTTCTTTTCGTTTCTATTTACCTTTAAATCTCTTTTATGTTCCACCTGAATTACTCCTCTGTGGGTATCTTTTATAGGCTGTATATTTGTGTTTTCCTTCCAACCTATTTCTTGCTATAATTGAGATAGTGAAGGATTAGTGGTCTCAGGTCCTTCTGCCTCGCCCCACATAAATCTTCATTTCAACTGATGCTCTTCATTTCTTTTTTATGGAATATTACTTTCCTGTTTTTTGTGTTTGCCTGTTTTTCCCATGAGTCCCAAGATGGATATTTTCCCTCCATACGGGCATTTATTTTAATGCCCAGTCTTCACCCCTGGAGGATGCGTGAGTTGGTTCTTTTTTCCTCCTTGCCCCGTGGACCTCAGACATGGACACACGTGTCTGTGGTTTTGAGGGCTTTGTTTTATCCGTTCAGTTCTTCAGCTGCTTAAGATGGACGGACAGAGGCCGAGCGCAGTGGCTTACACCTGTAGTCCCAGCACTTTGGGAGGCTGAGGCGGGCAGACCACAAGGTCAGGAGTTCGAGACCAGCCTGGCCAATATGGGGAAACCCCATCTCTACTAAAAATACAAAAGTTAGCCAGGCGTGGTGGTGGGTGCCTGTGGTCCCAGCTATTCGGGAGGCTGAGGCAGGAGAATGGTGTGAACCCGGGAGACAGAGGTTCCAGTGAGCCGAGATTGCGCCACTGCACTCCAGCCTGGCTGACAGAGCGAGATTCCATCTCAAAAACAAAAACAAAAAAGATGGATGGGCAGGGAGTGGAGGCTGTGGGTAGTGATTGCTGTCCATGACCCCTGTCTGTGAGCACCTGCTCTCTAAGCTGAGGGAATCCCTGGTGTCATCCCAGCAGTGGCGTGTTCCATGCTGCTGTAGGCCAGGAACATGGTGCAGCCGAAGTGGACGGCCATCCAGTGATGACTTGGCCCCAGTGGACAGCTGCCCAGTGATGGGACATCTGGAGTAGATGGCCGTCCAACAACAGTTCATTATTGTTGTGCTACGTCTGGTGTTTCCAGTGGCTGGAACCACTAGAGCTCCGCTCCATTGGGTTGGAGCCATTCCAGGGTGGGAATGGCCACCAGGAGACGATGCCTACCCTTCTCTTCTTGCACCAAGTCAGCACCCATACTCAGGCGAGGCCCTGTGTCTCCTCCTCCTCCCCAGCATAGTCTTGCTGGAGTCATGTAGAAAAGTCATGGAAAGGGGCTTGTGAAGGGATACGCTGCCTTCTTCCTGGGCTCTCCTGGTATCCCACTGGTACTCAGTCATTCTCCTTCCAAACTGAGGTGTGTGCATACATATAATTTGCTGGCCCTTAAAAACCACGTGTAGGCCTGGCTCCTGTAATCCCAGCAATTTGGGAGGCCAAGGCAGGAGGATCACCTGAGGTCAGGAGTTCGAGACCAGCCTGACCAACGTGGAGAGACCCCATCTCTACTAAAAAAAAACAAAATTAGCTGGGTGTGGTGGTGCATGCCTGTAGTCCCACCTACTCAGGGGGCTGAGGCAGGAGAATCGCTTGAACCCGGGAGGCGGAGATTGAGGTGAGCCGAGATCGCGCCATTGCACTCCAGCCTGGGCAACAAGAGTGAAACTCCATCTCAAAAAAAAAAAAAAAATGCAATCAGCTATAATCCTTCCCTAAACTACTGGTGTGACTGTCTTCTGACTCCTTCAACTATTACCCAAAAGATGAATGACTTCTTAGTGACCCTTTGTCCTAGGAATTATTTCATAGGCTTCTGTAGCAAATGGAACCTTGGGTCTCACTAGGATAATAAGCATGTTCTGAATTCCTGGACGCTTTTTTCTTTTTTTCCTGCACAACTTCATTTCGGGGTAAATGAGGACAGCACCTGAGTTCCCCACTCCCCTTTGGATTCTCTAGGGGGTTGAAGGTTTCTTCTACTGACATACACATGGCTTCAGGAAGATGGTGTTGGACGCTTTTTCTTTTTTTGAGACAGGGTCTGGCTCTGTCGCCCAGGCTGAAGTGTAATAGTGCAGTCTTGGCTCACTGCAATTTCTGCCTCCGGGCTCAAGCAATCTTCCCACCTCAGTCTCTCGAGTAGCTACGACTGTAGGCACGTGCTACCATGCCCTGCTAATATTTGTATTTTTTTTTGTAAAGATGAGGTTTTGCCATTTGTCCCAGGCTGGTCTCAAACTCCCGAGCTCAAGCCATCTTGCCTGCCATGGCTTCCCAAAGTTCTGGGACTACAGGCAGGAGCCACTGCGTCCAGCCTGGTTTTGGACTCTTGGTCTTGGGTTTGGCCAAAACTTTGGTGGTTCAGATGGACTCTTGTAGATTTTAAGGAGAATTGAAGTTTTGTGGCTTAAGCTGAACTGCTGTTCTCAATGCCCGTGCTGGTCCGAATGCCCATGCTGGTCCCTATAGCCCTTCATCTACTGTGGCTGGTCTTGTAGGTCTGTTTTATTTGCTGTAGGAGCCTTTGCCTGTGCTTGTAGCTATCACCGTAGCATTCAACACACCTCTGCTGTATCCCCTGAAGACGCCGAAACGTGGTATTCTCACCCCAAAGAGTTTCCACCCTGATAAGTTCCAGCAAGGCAGCCCAGCAGCTACGCCTGCAGACACTTGTTGGTAGGAAGAAGTGTCAGATGATCTGTAACACTGTGCGTTGATCCTGCATGTCTGAAGAACTTCACAGAATTGTCGCATGGTGAGCAGTGATACTAAGCAAAGCTGAGTCACCCGTAAGCTCCCAGGCCCTCAGCCCGGCAAGTAGGACGGTATTTTCACACCTCTGTTGATGAAGCACCTCAGATAGCTCAAGTTTTTGGAGACAGCCTCGTAGGAGTTTTAGTTTAACCATAATCTGCTTGCGGATCACTGATGTTTCCATGAGTCATTCCCTGAGATTGTAGTGAAGAAAACAGATACTATCCCATTCGCTTCTTTGCAAAATACCCACAAAGCCACATGCATTTTCATACTGAACATCTTGGGATACCATTTATTTTCCTGCAGGATTATATCATAGTTTAGGGTTGAGTGTGCCTCCAGGAGTCATCAGCTAAGCTTCCTGTTTTGTGGATAGAGAATACGGGAGGACATCTGATCCCCTATGACTGCCAGCATCAGGCCTGGGATTGTGGTTGTCCAATGGTGCTTTTAGGGGGCAAAAATGCACAGCTGTTTATTGAAACAACAAATGTTCCAGGCTGGGCACGGTGACTCACGCCTGTAACCCCAGCACTTTGGGAGGCCGAGGCGGGTGGATCACCTGAGGTCAGGAGTTTGAGACCAGCCTGGCTGTTATGGTGGAACCCTGTCTCTACTAAAAATACAAAAATTAGCCGGGTGTAGTGTTGGGCATCTGTAATTCCAGCTACTCAGGAGGCTGAGGCTGGAGAATCGCTTGAATCGAGGAGGTGGAGGTTGCAGTGAGTTGGGATTGCGCCACTGCACTCCAGCCTGGGCGACAGAGTAAGGGCAGGGAGGGCTCTCAGTCTGGTAGTCTCACCCAGGTGGTCCAGGGTTCCAGCACTGAGAGCCAGGATGCCAACTCCCAATGCATCATCAGCCTCCTCTTCAGCCATGCAGGAAGTCAGGGCTGGTCCCAGTGGTTAATCCAGACACCAGAGTGCATAGCATGGCCCTCCCCATGTCCAGCACACTGGCCTTTCACTGTACCATGTCCTCTTTCTCCCATTGGGTGGCCTGTGTTGCTTTCTCAATCTCCAAGTCTGTGTCAGCAAGGAAGTGTTCCATCCTTTACTGAGTCATGACCTGTCTGAGGCTGACAAGTGCCAGAGCTCATGTTATTCAGGCATATTTATAAGCAGGTGTTTTTATTTAAAGACTTAGTCCACATATTACAAGTATTCTGATGGACTCATCAAAGCAGATAGGGAAAGTTGGCCAGTCTCATTTTGAATGTTACGATGTAGCCGAACATTTACAAAACTGTCTTTGACTTTCTTTCTTTTTAATTTTACTCTAAGTTCTGGGATACATGTGCAGAACGTGCAGGTTCGTTACATAGGTGTGCGTGTGCCATGGTGGTTTGCTGCGCCTATCAACCAATCTTCTACGTTTTAAGCCCTGCATGCATTAAGTATTTGCCCTGATGCCCTCCCTCCCCTTGCCCCCAGCTCCCTGACAGGCCCCGGTGTGTGATGTTCCCTTCCCTGTGTCCATGTGTTCTCATTGTTCAACTCCCACTTATGAGTGAAAACAGGCAGTGTTTGGTTTTCTGTTCCTCTGTTAGTTTGCTGAGAATAACAGTTTCCAGCTTCATCCATGTCCCTGCAGAGGAGATGAACTCATCCTTTTTTATGGCTGCATAGTATTCCATAGTGTCTACATACCACATTTTCTTTATCCAGTCTTATCATTGATGGACATTTGGGTTGGTTCCAAGTCTTTGCTGTTATAAATAGTATTGCAATAAACATACGTGTTGAAATTTTTATTTTATCACGGTCAAACGCTTACCATGAGAGCCACCCTCTTGACAAAGTGTTACATGTATAATACGGTCTTGTTAACTCTAGGCACAACTGCTGTGGTGTGCACAGTTGTACCCAGACTGCAGAACTGATTCATGTTATATACCAAAACCTTATACTTGTGGAACAGCATCTCCCTACGTCCCTCTCTCCTCATCTTCTGAAAACCATCATTCTACTGTCTGCTTCTGTGAATTTGACTATTTTAGATTCTACATGTCAGTGACATCATGCGGTATTTGTCTCTCTGTGTCTGGTGTATTTCACGTTAACATCCCCCAGGTTCATCCATGTTGTGGCAAATGACAGAATTCCCTTCTTTTTAAGGCTGCGTGGTATTCCATTGTCTGTATGTACTGCATTTTCTTTCTTTTTTTGAGATGGAGTCTTGCTCTGTCACCCAGGCTGCAGTGCAGTGGCGTGATCTCGGCTCACTGCAACCTCCGCCTCCCAAGTTCAAATGATTCTCCTGCCTCAGCCTCTGGAGTAGCTGAGACTACAGGCACCCGCCACCATGCCCGGCTAATTTTTGTACTTCTTAGTAGAGACGGTGTTTCCCCATGTTGGCCAGGCTGGTCTCAAACTCCTAACTAACTGCAAGTGATCTGCCTGCCTCAGCCTCCCAAAGTGCTGGGATACCAGGCGTGGGCCACTGCACCTGGCCAATTACGTTCTTTTTTTATTTTTTTTCTTGAGACAGAGTCTCTGTCGCCCAGGCTGGAGTGCAGTGGCGCGATCTCGGCTTACTGCAAGCTCCACCTCCCAGGTTCACGCCATTCTCCTGCTTCAGCCTCCTGAGTAGCTGGGACTGCAGGCGCCTGCCACCACGCCTGGCTAATTTTTTTGTATTTTTAGTGGAAACGGGGTTTCACCCTGTTAGCCAGGATGGTCTCGATCTGACCTCGTGATCCGCCCGCCTCGGCCTCCCAAAGTGCTGGAATTACAGGCGTGAGCCACCTTGCTCAGCCCAATTACCTTCCGTTTAAGGCTGTAAAGTATCCCATTGTGTGTATTTACAGCATTTTCTTTATTTCTTTCTTTGAGACTGAGTGTCACTCTGTCGCCCAGTCTGGAGTGCAGTGGCGTGATCTCAGCTCACTGCAACCTCCGCCTCCCAAGTTCAAGTGATTCTCTTGCCTCAGCCTCCCAAGTAGCTGAGATTACAGGTGCCTGCCACCATGCCCGGCTAATTTTTGTACTTCTTAGTGGACACGGGGTTTCACCATGTTGGCTGGGCTGGTCTCAAACTCCTAACTAACTGCAAGTGATCCACCCGCCTCAGTCTCCCAAGGTGCTGGGATTCCAGGCACCGCGCCTGGCCCAACTACCTTCTTTTGAAGGCTGCATAGTATCCCATTGTGTGCGTGTACCGCATTTTCTTTTTTTTTTGTTTGAGACGGAGTGTCAGTCTGTCGCCAGGCCTGAGCCACCGCACCCAGCTGTACCGCATTTTCTTCATCCATTCATCTATTGAACGCTTGGGTTCATTCCATATCTTGGTGATTGTGAATACTGCTGCCATAAACATGGGGGTGCAAATGTCTCTCATAGACCGATTTATCTTTTGGATAAATACCTAGAAGCATGCTTGCTGGATCATCGAGTAGTTCTATTTTTAATTTTTTTGAGGAACGTCCGTACCATTTACTGTATTCACCCATTTCTGCAGGAAACAGTGGCAGAGGAACACAAGTTTTCTTCTTCCCTGTCCCAGCTGTGCAAAAAGAGACCCACAGCCGGGCGCGGTGGCTCATGCTTGTAATCCCAGCACTTTGGGAGGCTGAGGCAAGCGGAGCACCTGAGGTCAGGAGTTTGAGACCAGCTTGGCCAACGTGGTGAAATGTCGTCTCTACTAAAAATACAAAAATTAGCTGAGTGTGGTCGTGGGTGCCTGAAATCCCAGTTACGTGGGAGGCTGAGGAGGGAGAATACCTTGAACCTGGGAGGCGGAGGTTGCCGTGAGCCGAGATCGTGCCACTGCACTCCAGCCTGGGCAACAGGCTCTCTCAACAAAACAAAATAAAAAAAAAAAAAATAAAAATAAGAGACCCACAAGGGCTTTGGACCTCCTTTCTTTGCAAAACAAGAAAATAATATAGCAGACATTGGGCAGTTTTTCATTCTGACTTTCCAGTTTCATTTTTGCTTCTTCCTGTATGGTTGCTGCCTGGACCTCTTTCTTATTGCTGGGAGGTCTTTCCCCTGCCCCCATCCTTTTGAGCCTTTCTATCTACTTTTCTTTTGAAAGAAAGTAAATAAAACCCCACACATCCAGACAATAGGAGCGCACGCCTCAGAATTCTGGCTGCGAGGGACTGACCCCATCCAGAGAGAACGAACAAATGCATCAAAACCCTGGCTGCAAGCGACTGACCCCAGCTTGATCCACTTAAGCCAGAAGAGCCTTTGCTTCTATGTTTAATCTGCACCAAGCTTAGTGATCACTTTCTTCTCAGAGGCCAGAACACAGAGTCCAACCTTTCCAGGATGCCAGCTTCCTATCTCTGGGGTCTCCTCTTCCTGCAGAGAAGCTTTAGTCTCTTACCCGAGCTGCTTCTCTATTCTCTTTTGCCTTGCTTTGCCTATAATACTAACACACTGTCTTTTTCTTATGTTACGTTGGACTATCCCAAGGCAGGGACCCAATTGGCCTGGCTTGGGTTCCCTGCCTGACTGTGGGTTTGGCTGAGGAGTGGGCAGCAATTTCCAGCCGTTGGCACTGCCAGAACGCATGGGTGTATGGGGTTTCTGGAGGCAGCAGCTCTATAGTGAAGCAGATATGTAGGGGGTGTTCATTACCAAGACAGCAGTGATTGTCCACGAGCAGGGTGGTTCCAACAGGGAGCCTACAGTCTAACTGCAGATGGATGCTACCATTTTACATGTCCCATGTATGACATCCATGTACCGTATGTTGCTGGACACCGCATTATGGCAACTGAAAAACAAAAAGGCATTAAATGCCTGGGAAAATGTACAGCTCATTACATCTCATATGGTTTGGCTCTGTCCCCACTCAAATCTTATTTATTTATTTAGAGACAGAGTCTCGCTCACTCAGGCTGGAGTGCCGTGGCATGATCTCGGCTCACTACAGCCTCCACCTCCTGGGTTCCAGCGATTCTCCTGCCTCAGCCTTTTAATTAGCTGGGATTACAGGTGCCCGCCACCATGCACGGCTAATTTTTGTGTTTTTACTAGAGACGGGCTTTTGCCAAATTGGCCAAGCTGGTCTTGAACTCCTGAGCTCAGGTGATCCACCTGTGTTGGCCTCCCAAAGTGCTGGGATTACAGGCGTGAGCCACCGCGCCCGGCCCCAAATCTCATCTTGTATTCCCACCTGTTGTGGGAGGGACCCAGTGGGAGGTAACCGAATCATGGGGGCAGGTCTTTGCCCTGCTGTTCTCATGATAGTGAGTAAGTTTTATGAGATCTGATGGTTATTATAAAGGGGAGTTTCCTGCACATGCTCTCTTCTCTTGTCTGTCACAATGTGAGACGTGCCTTTCACCTTTTGCTTTCCACCATGATTGTGAGGCTTCCCCAGCCACGTGGAACTGTAAGTCCAGTTAAACCTTTCTTTTCTAAATTGCCCATTCTCAGATATGTCTTTATCTACAGCATGAAAACATACTTATACTTTATTTATCCATCCTTATCTATATCAAATACTATTTGACCATAGATTGTGTAAAGACAATATGGCACAGAGACACCATGGAATACTATGCAGCCATAAAAAAGAATGAGTTCATGTCCTTTGCAGGGACATGGATGAAGCTGGAAACCATCATTCTCAGCAAACTATCACAAGGACAGAAAACCAAACACCTCATGTTCTCACTCATAAGTGGGAGTTGAACAATGAGAACACATGGACACAGGGAGGGGAACATCACACACTGGGGCCTGTCGGGGAGTAGGGGACTGGGGGAGGGATAGCATTAGGAGAAATACCTAATGTAGATGACGGGTTGATAGGTGCAGCAAACCACCATGGCACATGGATACCTATGTAACCTGCATGTTCTGCACATGTACCCCAGGACTTAAAGTATTAAACAACAACAACAAAAAAAAAACCAGACTCATACAACATCCCTACAAACAGGAAAAATGGGGAGGGGAACATGGGAGTCACCTTGTAGTTTACTTAGATTTGCTGTGAGAAGAAGCTATGGGAGGCTTTCCAAAGGCTGCGGGAAGGATTTGGGCTATCTTCAGGAGATTGAGCTTGACAGCAGCTTCAAGGCGCCTTGTGGGAGGGGAGGCTGGGGGCAGGAAAATCAGGTGGGTGAAAAATACACTGATTTGCAGAGAAATGGTGCCAGCCTGGACTGTGAAAACAGAGACGAGAAAAACCACACTCGGCAATATTTGAGCACGTATTAAATCCTGGATGGCACATTGCATTTTTATGGATGTCATTCCTAAGAGATTCACAGTCAGGGGAAGATGGTACATAACAACTCGGGCATGTCAGATGCACCTCTGTAGCTGCGTGTCCAGATGCCATGGAGTGAGATGCCTGGTTTTGCTCATAGAGTTAGAAACATTATCAGAAAATACATGTATTTGAGTTAAATTTTAGAGAGTGAGTAGAAATTCATCGGGTCTACAAGGAGGCAAAGAGCTTTCCTGGATGAAATTCCTCCTTGGCGTTCACCTAAAACTTACTAATTTCTTACAGAACAAGGATACCACGGGAGGTGGGTGCCGCAGAACCAGGGAACTGTGTGTCTGAGTCAAGATACTGCAGAGAAATAGAACCAATATGATGTGTGTACTGATAGAAAGCACATTTATTTTAAGGAATTTTGCTCATATGGTGATGGAGGCTGGCAAGTCTCAAGATGTATGGGGTAGACCAGCCAGCTGGAGACCCAGGGAGGAGCTGATGATGTAGTTGGAGTCCAAAGTCCATCTGTTGGCAGAATCCCTTCTGGCTCAGGTAACATTAGTCTTCTGTTCTAGTCAGACCTTCAACTGATTGGACCAGGCCCACCCACCATAGGAAGGACAAATTGCTTTACTCAAAGTGTACTGATTTAGATTTTTTTTTTTTTTTTTTTGAGACAGAGTTTCACTCTTGTTGCCCAGGCTGGGGTACGATGCGATCTCGGTGCGATCTTGGCTCAATGCAACTTCTATCTCCCAGGTTTGAGCAATTCTTCTGCCTCATCCTCCCGAGTAGTTGTGATTATAGGCACACACCACCACGCCCAGCTAATTTATTTTTATTTTTTTGGTAGAGACAAGGTTTCACCATGTTGGCCAGGCTGATCTCAAACTCCTGACCTCAGATGATCCACCTGCCTCAGCTGCCCAAAGTGCTGGGATTATAGGTGTGAGCCACTGCACCCAGCCCAGTCTTTTGTTCTATTATGACCTTCAACTGATTAGACCAGGCCTACCCACCAATTCCTTTACTCAAAGTCTCCTGATTTCGATATTTATCTCATTTAAAGCAACCTCAAAGAAACACCCAGAAGAACATTTAATCACATATGTGGGCACCATGGCTCAGCCAAGTGGACTTATAAAATCAAGGATCAAGGGTGCCTCAGAACAAGAGTACCCAGACAGAACACAAGTTGGGCAGTATTTCAAGAGGCAGGGGAAGCCATGGAAGCTGCTCTGAGGGGACTTGTGATCAGGTGTGTATGTTAGGGAGGTCACTGTGGCAGCAGGGTATAGGGTAGACTGCAGGGGTCTTGTGGCCTCTGTCTCTGTCACAGGCCAAGTCATATTCAAATTTATAAAATTCAAAATTTTTACATCATTAATTTGAAATTTTATTAAATAAATACAGTATATATATATATATATATATATATATATATATATATATATATGCTTCTTTTTATATACTTTAAGTTCTGGGGTACATGTGCAGAACGTGCAGGTTTGTTACATAGGTATACATGTGCCATGGTGGGTTGCTGCACCCATCAACCCATCATCTACATTAGGTATTTCTCCTAATGCTATACCTCCACTAGCCCCTGACCCCCTGACAGACCCTGGTGTGTGATGTTCCCCACCCTGTGTCCATGTGTTCTCATTGTTCAACTCTCACTTATGAGTGAGAACATGTGGTGTTTGCTTTTCTGTTCTTGTGTTAGTTTGCTGAGAATGATGGTTTCCAGCTTCATCCATGTCCCTGCAAAGGACATGAACCCATCCTTTTTATGGCTGCATAGTATTCCATGGTGTGTCTGTGTACCACATTTTCTTTATCCAGTCTGTGGTCGTATAGTATTTCTGGTTCTGGATTCTTGAGGAATCGCCACACTGTCTTCCACAATGGTTGAACTAATTTACACTCTCAATAACAGTGTAAAAGCGTTCCTATTTCTCCACATCCTCTCCAGCATCTCTCGTTTCCTGACTTTTTTAGTGATCGCCATTCTAACTGGCATAAGTTGGTATTTCATTGTGGTTTTGATTTGCATTTCTCTAATGACCCGTGATGATGGGCTAAAAATTCAGAGAAAATGTAATAAAATGTTTAATCTAGCTCAAGTATCCTTCCTTTGTTGAATCAGTTTTCACCTTTTCTGTCTTTCCTGCTGGCTGGCTTGCTGGAGCCCGCTCTCATGAGTGGTGCAAGGTCAGAGATAGAAAACCAGGCCCATGTATGGTTGTGTCTTTTCACAAGTTCAGCCTTTTATTGATGCTATTTCAGTTTACAGAAGCCCCAAGATGCACGGAGTTTTCAAGGAGGCAATTCTCCTTAGGACTTCCCATTTAGTACTGAAATGGCTTGAGCCCTTGGAGTACTGGAGCCTGTGTGCCGGCAGCATTTAGTCAGAGCTACAGGCGCACAGGCTCCTGCTGTGACCCAAGTCAGTCAGTATTGCAACCTATACATACTAATACACTTCACCAATATATGCATGTTATAGATTAAACATTCTACATCAAACAACGTAACATTTATCATCAAGAGAAAAGGGGTAGGAAAAAGCTTAACAAAGGAGCACAGGGATATTGATGTGGACAAAAAAAAGTCTCCTGGCCTGGCCCTGGAGGGCCATCAGTGGTCGCCATCTTGCAAGGAAGAGCCTTTGATATCAGTGGGGCAGAGCCTTTTGCGGTGGATGCTGCGTAATGATTACAAGTGACAGCAAGATGGCATCTGTTAAGGTAGCCATTTGGAGCTGCTGAAGCCCTGTTCTTTCATGACCACAGAGTCCTCTGGTGAGGATTGACAATGGAAGAGGGTGTTTGGTTGTGTCCTTAACTGTTTGGATGTGGTCTTTATTGATCAGGTGAACATCTGGCTCCTGTAGGCATGATGCCTTTTGAATGAAATGTAACATGGAATCTTTTTCTAAGGTGGAGTCACTTATGTCAAGCGTGCTCTACACACTCACTGTAAGAATTAAAGAGGAAAGAAGCATGAAATGTCACTTGACAGTTAAACACAGGTTTATTTTAGAGAAACCTGAGAGGGGCTTCTGGCTGAGTTAGGTCAGAGCTCTTCTCTCTTATAGACTAAGCACATTTAAGGGTTTTGGAAGGGGGTGCTTATCATAGGTTCAGAATGTTTGTATGTGAGGGAGAGTTTATTGCAGGGTTGAATATCTCTGGTCAGAGGGGAGGCTGTCTCAGGGTTGGTATGTTTTTGGTCGGAGACGGGTTTATCTTAGGGTTGGAATGTTTCTGGTTATGCTGACATGAGTCATGAGGCTGATGTTTTCGGGCTGGATTTAGGCGGTTTTTAATCAAGGGGAGCCTAGAATGGTGGTGTTTGTTCAAGATGGCCATGCTCCCGCTCTGTCACCCACAACCTGAAGACCGTTATCATATTGATTTTGTATCTCCTGTGCGTACCTGATGGAGAATGACTGAATGTTTGAATTAAAAGACTCAGGGAGAAGGCAAAGTTGTGTTTAAGTTGCAAGTTGAAAAAAACAATCCATTGGCTCTGTTAGCAGCTATTAGAGAGGTTGGGGCGGGAGCAGAGTCTGTAGCTTAACTTTGCTTTTGTTATGTCGATGCTATGAGCGTGGGAATCATGGAAACTGTGAATAAATGGAAGAGAGTCTGTCAGTGACCTACTGCTGCATCTTGGGCCAGCCCAGGCATCCGTGAGTGTTCAGGGAGACCTCGGGAGAGTTCTCAGGCAGAAACTAGCCACTCACATGCTTGTCATCTGCGGGGTTGACATGGTGGGCTATTTTTATGCTCAGACACTTGGGAGAAAGGGCAGGCTGTACCCAAAGGCAGATAAGTGCTGGCCAGATGGGCTTGCTGGGCACCGTCGAACTCATGGTCACCGTCCTGCCCAGGAGCTAGAAATAGAACTAGCCCCGGGACAATCCGTGAGGTATCAGGTGAGTATGGCCCGATACATGTGACTCAGAGACACAAGGAGTGAGGGTGTGTGCTCTGTCTCAATGAGAGAAGAGAGAAGTCAGGGCTTGCTTTGGCAACACCAAATGCAGATATCAGACTCCTATTCAGAAACCAGAATTCTCATCTCAGCATTTATTTTCTGGATATGTGGCCGACAGATAGGCATCTCTGTTTATAATGCCTTTAATTTTGATCTTGACAAGGACTAGAGGAAGCTCTTACTGAACCTTCACGCCCACAAACAAAAGCTTCTAAATCGGCCGGGCGAGGTGGCTCACGCCTGTAATCCCAGCACATTGGGAGGCCGAGGCGGACAGATCACCTGAGGTCAGGGGTTTGAAACCAGCCTGGCCAACATGGTGAAACCCCATGTCTACTAAAAATACAAAAAATTAGCCGGGAGTGGTAGCGGGCATCTGTAGTCCCAGATACTTGGGAGGCTAAGGCAGGAGAGTTACTTGAACCCAGGAGGTAGAGGTTGCGGTGAGCTGACATCACGCCATTGCGCTCCAGCCTGGGCAGTAAGAGTGAAACTCCATTTAAAAACAAAACAAAACAAACAAAAAAACTTCTAAATCACATTCAGGAAGCATTTTGTAATATTTTATTTCTTATCAGGGAGCATTTTGTAATATTTTATTTCTTCTCAACCCCTGTAGTGGATTGAATGGTGCCTCTATTTTACCCCCACCCCCACCAAAAAAAAAAAAAAGACAAGTTCACCTTGAATCTGTACATGTGATTTTTTATTTGGAAATAAGGTCTTTGCAGATGTAAAAAAGGATCTGGAGATGAGATCATCCTGGATTGCAGTGGATCCTAAATCTAATGACAGGTGTCCTTGTAAGAGACGGAAGAGGAGACACAGACACAGAGGAGAAGGCCACGTGGAGACGGAGGCAGAGACTGGAGTGATGCGGCCATAAGCCCAGGGATGCCTGGAGCCCCCAGGAGCTGGGAGAGGCAGGAAGAATTCTTCCCTAGAGCAGGGAGCATGTCCCTGTAGGCACCTCGATTTCACAGATGTAGTCTCCAGGACTGGGAGAGGTTAAATGGCTGCTTTTGTAAGCTCCCTAGTTTGGGGTCATGGGTTACAGTGGTCCCATCCCAACCTGTAAGCTCTGGAGAACATGAGTCTGGAATGCAAGCGTGTGCGGTGATTCAGCTTGATGCCTGTGGTGGGAAAAGAGCCCCTTGTATTATGGCTTCCTGCTGTGTGTAAGTAAAACCAGTCCTCTGAGGAAATCAAAGCCCAGTAAACCCGTGCACCCTAACTTCCCAGGATCGCAAACTGGAGAGAGAGCGGCAGCCATTTTCTCCCCCTGCCTTGATTTGCTGAACCTGCCACCCGTGCAGCATTTCCCAGGAGGCTAACCTGGTGATATTGTCCATTCTTGGTCCTCCGCAATGCAGGCAATATTCGTTGCTCAGCTCAAATGCTTGCGTCTCCTCTTTCTTCTCTCCACCTGCAAAACATCTTTTCATAGGTCCCATTGGGAACACCAGCTCGTTGGCTGGTATTTCCACACTCTTTTTCCTTCCTTTTGTTGCTTCATCTACCTCTGATTTGCCAGTTGTCTGATGTCTCCTCTCACGAGCCTATCTTTCTCCCAAGCCTAGTAGACACGAACCATTGAAAGCATCCTTGAATGACAAAAGTCCAAATATCAATTTGCAAGGTGAAGACTGTGGCTTTTATTATTTGTTCTCAATGGCGGGTGTCTGGCGGGGAGTCCAGTCGCCTGACGTTGAATGCAGTCATTTCCTAGGTGTGGGTCAAGATTCTGATGTCCACAGGCAATAATGTCCGTGAACGTGTGTATGTACCTTGATGGACATTACTGACTGTGGACTCCAGAACATTGGACATTGTATATATTGATGGACATCATATATATATATACACACACACACACAGACAGACGCACACACACACCATGGAATACTACACAGCCACAAAAAAGAATGAATTAACAGCATTTGCAGTGACCTGGATGAGACTGGAGACTATTACTTTTTTTATTATTATACTTTAAGTTCTGGGGTACATGTGCAGGACGTGCAGTTTTTGTTACATAGGTATACATGTGCCATGGTGGTTTGCTGCACCCCTCAACCCGTCATCTACATTAGATACTTGTCCTAATACTATCACTCCCCTAGCCCCCCACCCCTCGACAGGCCCCAGTGTGTGATGTTCCCCTCCCCGTGTCCATGTGTTCTTATTGTTCAGCTCCCACTTATGAGTGAGAACATGTGGTGTTTGGTTTTCTGTTCTTGTGTTAGTTTGCTGAGAAGAATGGTTTCCAGCTTTATTAAAAGTCAGGAAACAACAGATGCTAGAGAGGATGTGGAGAAATAGGAATGGTTTTACACTGTTGGTGGGAGTGTAAATTAGTTCAACCATTGTGGAAGACAGTGTGGGGATTCCTCAAGGATCTAGAACCAGAAATACCATTTGACCCAGTAATCACATGACTGAGTATATACCCAAAGGATTATAAATCATTCTACTATAAAGACACATGCACACGTATGTTTATTGTGGCACTATTCACATAGCAAAGACTTGGAACCAACCCAAATGCCCATCAATGATAGAATGTATAAAGAAAATGTGGCACATAGACACCATGGAATACTATGCAGCCATAAAAAAGGACAAGTTCATGTCCTTTGGAGACTATTACTCTAAGTGAAGTAACTCAGGAATGGAAAACCAAACATCGTCTGTTGTCACTGATACGTGGAAGCTAAGCTATGAGGACACAAAGGCATGAGAATGATACAATGGACTTTGGGGACTTGGGGAGAGCTTGGGAGGGGGCAGCGAGGGATAAAAGACTACAAATAGTGTGGAATGTGTACTGCTTGGGTAATGGGTGCACCAAAATCTCACAAATCACCACTAAAGAACTTACTCGTGATCGGATGTGGTGGCTCACACCTGTAATCCCAACAGTTTGGGAGGCTGAGGCGAGCGGATTACCTTAAGTCAGGAGTTCAAGACCAGCCTGGCCAACATGGTGAAACCCTGTCTATACTAAAAATACAAAAGGAATTAGCCAGGCCTGGTGGCACACACCTGTAATCCCAGCTGCTTGGGAGGCTGAGGTAGGAGAATTGCTTGAGCGTGGGAGGTGGAGGTTGCAGTGAGCCGAGATCATGCCACTGCGCTCCAGCCTGGCTGACAGAGCGAGACTCTGTCTCAGAAAAAAATAAAAAGAACTTACTTATATAACCAGATACTGCCTGTAACCCAATAAGTTATGGAAAATTAAAGAAAAACACACAAAAAGAGTATATTCAGGATCACTTAAGTAAGCATGATACTACATCACATCTCGTTGCGGAAATTATATGGATTATCATTCCATGAGTGTACCAGCTTCCGGAAGTTTCTGAGCTCATATGGGGAGTGGGAAGTAGGTGGTCTCGTGGGAACTGCAGGGCTGGCCCCTTGTCAGGACGGTCATCACTAGTGACATAAATACCCCATGGTAGAGAGAGCTGGGGTGTCTTCGTCGGTTTTGTGTCACTAGAAAGGAACACTGGAGGCTGGATAATTTATAGAGGAAAGAGGTTTATTTGGGTTATGATTCTGCAGGCTGTACAAGAAGCACAGGGCCAGCATCTGTCTCTGCTGAGGACCTCAGGAGGCTTCCACTCATGGTGGAACGGGAAGGGGAGCTGGTATGTGTACAGAGACCACACGAAGAGACAGGAGGGAAGACAGACGGGAGACGCCAGGCTCTATTTAACAACCAGCCTGTGGAGAACTCATAGAGTAAAAACTCACTCATGCTTCAAGAAAGGACATTGATCTCTTCAGGAAGAATCCATCGTCCGTTGCTCAAACCCCTCCCATTCGACCTCCCATCCAGCACTGAGGCTTACATTTTAACCTGAGTTTGGGAGAGGAGGAATTTTAAAGCAGAGCCTGTAGATTCTAAAGCAAAATATTCTGGGTCTCCTGCTTGTAGAATGGTTGTGAGTGTGACTTCCTTTTTCTATTTTTATTTTATTTTTTTGAAACAGAGTCTCGCTCTGTTGCACAGGCTGGAGTGCAATGGCACTGTCTCGGCTCGCCGCAACCTTCATCTCCCAGGTTCAAGCGATTCTCCTGCCTCAGCCTCCCAAGTAGCTGGGATTACAGGCGCGCACCACCATGCCTGGCTAATTTTTGCATTTTTAGTAGAGACGGGGTTTCACCATGTTGACCAGGCTGGTCTTGAACTCCTGACCTCGGGTGATCTGCTGGCCTCGGCCTCCCAAAATGTTGGGATTACAGGCATGAGCCACCATGCCTGGCCTGGGATTGTTATTTCTAAATGATTCCAGCTTTTTTTTTTTTTTTGTCTCAGCTGAGGCACAGCGGTGGAACTTGTCGTCTTATCATTGACTTGTTATGTTCATGAAGGACTTGGAAAACCAACGCTGATCCTCAGAGTAACAGCATAGATCCTCACAAGACAGTCTATGAAGCTGGAGCCCCCTGGGTTGTAAAATGCCTCCGCACCCCGTCTCTGTTTCTGAAGAAGGAAGCTCTGCTGAGCAGCTAAACATGACGTGCTTGTTAAGTGTGCATTGGTTAAAGAACAGATGAAGGTACAGGCTCAGTCTCCAAAACTTCATTATACAATCTCACAGATGAGTAGCACCGTTCAGCATTGAGTGACACCTACTTTCCCGTCTCCAGGTGGTTAGATATCATCATCTCCAATTTAAGGCCCATCTAAGAGGTGCACCTTTTCTCGATCCTGAGGCTCAAGTGTCTAAACAGCAACTGTAAATTTTCTCCAATCAGTGTTTCTCCCCTGTGTGGAAATAAATTCGCATCCTTGAAGTTCAGCTCTCTCCTTCATTTTACAAAAAAACAAAAAACAAAAAAACTTGTTTTAAGCAAGATTAAAAGTGAATTTTCTATTAGCAGTAATTTTATATCACTCCCTGTCTTGCTTCTTTTGCACTCACTGAATTGAAGAGAACGATATGAAATTGCCTGGAAATAAAAATGAAAGTGCTTCTCAGAGCCAAACAACACTACTCGTGTGAAAGAATATAGAATGAAAGTTTGAAGTGTCCATCAGTCCTGAACCTGGGATGATCCTGTCCTGATATCCTTAACGAGAATGCATCTACCAAGACCCTATTCGCAAATCAGTTCACATTCACGGTGTTTGGGGGTTAGGACTTGGGCATGTCATTACGGGAAATAGCTTTGTTGGCTTTTCTGGTTTTACATAGAAAGAGCAATAAAGGTCAGCCGCGGTGGCTCACGCCTGTAATCCCAGCACTTTGGGAGGCCGAGGTGGGTGGATCATGATGTCAGGAGTTCAAGACCAGCCTGGCCAACATGGCGAAACCCCATTTCTAATGCAAGCAGGGCTTAAAACCTAGATGACGGGTTGATGGGTGCAGGAAACCAGCATGGCACATGTATACCTATGTAACAAACCTGCATGTTCTGCATATGTATCTTGCAACTTAAAGTAAAATAAATCTATCTATCTATATCTATCTATCTATCTTAGGGCTGCTGTAATAAACGACCACACACTTGGAAGTCTTAAAGCCACAACAAGTTTATTCTTTTCCAGTCCTGGAGACCAGAAGTCTGAAATAACGATGTGGGCAGTACTGTGCTTCCTCTGGAGGCTCACTTGAACCTGGGAGGCAGAGGTTGCAGTGAGCCAAGATCATGCCTTTGCACTCCAGCCTGGGCAACAACAGCAAAACTCCGTCTCAAAAAAAAAAAACAAAACAAAAAACAAAATACCGTGAATATGTTCTCTAAATTAATCTCACAGCATGGGAGAAGGTGAACAGGATACCCCAGTACTGATGACAAGTATTATGGGATGGAAAAGAGAACTGGCATTCTTCTTTGCTGGCAACACAACCTGTTTTTGTTGATGTGAAGGCAGTTAACCTTGTTGCTAGATAAATGTTACTGCAGATGTCTGACGTAATGAGAATGCGTTATCCACAGCAAAATGCTTTTGAAAAAGAAACTGCAGGGAACTTCACAGTGAGTGACTAAGACTCACTACTGCAGTCTGGCGTGGTGGCTCACGCCTGTAATCCCAGCATTCTGGGAGGGTGAGGCAGGCGGATCATGAGGTCAGTAGATCGAGACCATCCTGGGCAACAGGGTGAAACCCCGTCTCTACTAAAAGTACAAAAAAACTAGCTGGGCATGGTGGCGGGCGCCTGTAGTCCCAGCTACTTGGGAGGCTGAGGCAGGAGAATGGCTTGAAATTGAGAGGCGGAGGTTGCAGTGAGCCGAGATCACGCCACTGCACTCCCTGGTACCAGAGCAAGACTCTGTCTCAACGACAACAAAAAAACAAAAACAAAAACAAAAGCATGATATTAAAGACACTGTGCTCCATGACTCAGAAGTTGAAAGAGCTACTTTGAATCTGCAAATGATACCTCCATGGATGTCGCCTAAGTTCATGAAAGATGGAAGCATAGTGACAGTAACAATAATTTAAGAAGGTTTGAAAGGAAAATCTTGGGGTCCCCAAATCACTAAGCTCAAGGGAAAAGTCAAGCTGGGAACTTCTCAGAGCAAACTTGCCTCCCGTTTTATTCAAAGTTACTCCTGGCCAGGTGCGGTGGCTCACGCCTGTAATCCCAGCACTTTGGGAGGCCAGGGCAGGCAGAACACGAGGTAAAGAGATCAAGACCATCCTGGCCTATATGATGAAGCCCCATCTCTACTAAAAATATTTTAAAAACTAGCTGGGCATGGTGGCGGGCACCTGTAGTCCCGGCTACTCGGGAGGCTGAGGCAGGAGAATGGCTTGAACCTGGGAGGCTGAGGTTGCAGTGAGCCGAGGTCGCGCCACTGCACTCCAGCCTGGTGCCAGAGCAATACTCTGTCTAAACACACACACACACACACCCCAAAAAAATAATGAATGCAACCATTTGTCTCTTATCCACCTATGACCTGGAAGCCCCCTCCCCACTTCGAGTCGTCCCCGTGTTTCTGGATGGAACCAGTGTACCTCTCAACATATATTGATTGATGTCTCATGTCTGCCTAAAATGTATAAAACCAGCGTGTGCCCTGACCACCTTGGGAACATGTCGTCAGGACCACCTGAGGCTGTGTCATGGGTGCGTCCTCAACTGTGGCAAAATAAATTTTTCTTTTTTTTTTTTTTTGAGATGGAGTCCTACTCTGTTGTCCAGGCTGGAGTGCAGTGGTACGATCTCGGCTCACTGCAACCTCCACCTCCCTGGTTCCAGCGATTCCCCTGCCTCAGCCTCCTCAATAGCTGGGATTACAGGTGCCCGCCACCATGTCCAGCTAAAGTTTTTTTTGCATTTTTAGTAGAGACGGAGTTTCACCATGTTGGCCAGACTTGTCTTGAGCTCCTGACCTCAGACAATCCGCCCGCCTCGACCTCCCAAAGTGCTGGGATTACAGGCGTGAGCCACCACGCCCGGACTTAACTTTCTAAATTAACTGACACCATCTCAGATATTCAGGGTTCACAAAGGCTTGGAGGGGCCTGCAAATATATACAATTATAGAATTAAATAGTGATGGATAGAGTCCCTTATTCAAAAATACTGTTATAAATTAAGTTAAAATATTAAAGTCAAAGAAACTTCACACCCATAATCGCAATGCTTTCAGAAGATGGAGGATTATTTTGAGCTCAGGACTTTGAGAGCAGCTTGGGCAACACAGCAAGATGCCATTTCTACAAAAATTTTTCAAAAATAGCTGGGCATGGTGGTGTGTACATGTGGTCCCAGCTACTGGGGAGGTTGAGGCGGGAGGATCACTTGAGCCCAGGAGTTTGAGGCTGCAGTGAGATGTGCTCAAATCACTGCACTCCAGCCTGGCTGAGAGACCAAGACCTTATCTCTTAAAGAAAGAAAATAGGCGGCTGGGTCCGGTGACTCACGCCTGTAATCCCAGCCAGGGCACGCGAATCACCTGAGGTCAGGAGTTCGAGACCAGTCTAGCGAACATGGTGAAACTCCGTCTCTACTAAAAATACCAATATTAGCCAGGCATGGTGGCAGGTGCCTAGAATTCCAGCTACTTGGGAGGCTAAGGCAGGGAGAATCACTTGAACCTAGGAGGTGGAGGTTGCAGTGAGCCAAGATCATGCCATTGCACTCCAGCCTGGGTGACAGAGTAAGACTGTGTCTCAAAAAAAAAAAGCATACTTTTGAGTTAAAACAACAGAATTACCATTCAACCCAGCAACCATTCCTGGGTACATACCTAAAGAAATACCAATTATTCTACCGTAAAGACACTTTTGCACATGAATGTTCATTGCAGCATTATTTGCAATAGCAAAGACATGGGAATTAAGCTAGATACCCATCAGTGGTAGACTGGGTAAAGAAAATGTGGTACATGTACGTCGTGGAATACTGTGCAGCTGTAAAAAAGAACAAGATCTTATTATTTTTTGCAGGAACATGGATGGAGCTGGAGATCATTGTCCTTAGCAAACTAATACAAGAACATAAAAGCAAATATCGCATGTTCTCACTTATAATTGGAAGTTCAACATTGAGTAAAGGTGGCCTCAAAGAAAGGAACAACAGACATTGGGGTCTGCTTGAGGGTGAAGGGTGGGAGGAGAGGGAGGATTAAAAAGCTGCCTATTGGCCGGGCGCAGTGGCTCACACCTGTAATCCCAGCACTTTGGGAGGCCGAGGTGGGCAGATCACGAGGTCAGGAGTTCGAGACCAGCCTGGCCAAGATGGTGAAACCCTGTCTCTACTAAAAATACAAAAATTAGCCAGGCAGAGTAGCAGGCATCTGTAATCCCAGCTACTCGGGAGGCTGAGGCACAAGAATCACTTGAACCCATGAGGCGGAGGTTGCAGTGAGCCGGGATCGCACCATTGCACTCAAGCCTGGGCGGCAGAGTGGCACTCTGTCTCTACTGCATATCAGATATTGTGCTGATTATGTGGGTGACAAAATAATCTGTACACCAAACTCCCATGTCACGTAATTTGCCTGTGCAACAAACCTGCACATGGACTCCTCCCGAATCTAACATACAAGTTTAAAAAAATACATGTTTGTACAGCTGCACCACGTGTGTATGTGTTTTAAGCTATGTGTTATGATGACTCAAAAACGTTCAAAAAATTAAAAGGTGTTAAAGTTATAAAAAAGAATAAAATGCATCACACTTTTCAAATCATGAAATACCTTTTTTTACCCATCGTGAATGTAAACATTGACACCAATGGGAAGCTTGAGTATTGTGTCCATTTTACAGGGCAAGAAAACAGGGGAATGGGTAAATAGCAAAACGAGCAAAGAAATGAGTAGGCAAAGGCCCATCACCTATTTCTTTGTGGATGTCTTTGTTGAACTTTTTTTCAACAAAATGAAACCAAGCCCCCTGATTGTTAGTTACCTCACGCCCATAGTCTTGGCCAGTGAGTCTTTTCGTAAAATGGTACTCACCGCAGAGTACATTCTGAATACACGTTAGACAACGATGACCAGGAAAATTCCTGAGTTTTTGATCGATCACATTCCTGGCCAAATCAGATGGATATTTAAGACCTCAGTGTGCCCTTTGCAATCTTGCAACTCCTGCTTTGGTTCTCTGGAAGAAATCTTCTTGTCGAAGATTCTTACTAAAACTCAATGGGTTAAAATGCAAAGATCTTATTTGTTGCATAGAATCAAGACTCTGGGTCAATACCTGGCAGAGTGACTGGAGGCTGCATTGGGGTGGACTGTTTTTAGACGGCAGGTCAGGCCCCAGAGAGAGGTAGTTGGGTGGGAAACATAAGTCCTATTTCTAATGCACAGTTGTTGTGCCTCCTCTGGATATCCAAATGTTTGGCACAATCTGTTTTCCTAGAATCCCAGCTGACATAGAGCAGCTAATGCTCACATACTGTCATCCAGCCAGTGGCTCATTTAGCCAATTAACACGCTGATTTCAAAAGCATTGTGAAAATATCACTGCACACACTAACTAGCTTCTGACCATCCCTTCCCTTCCCTTCCTGGCATATTTCTCCAGCGTAATCTCTGCTCATAGCCTTTCTTACGAGCTACCCACACCCTTGAGCTTCACAGGACCCATTCAGTCTGTTTGTGTTTTCTCCCCGACCTTTCAGCAATGTCACCATGATCTTTTCAAGAATCTTTTTCTTTGCTTCTCCTGACAAATGCATCATCCTTCTGAGCAATAAACAGAGGAATTGGCAAAGTTAATAATGTCGTTATTGAGCACTTAGTGAATGGTGAGCATTATGCTAAGACTGTTTTGTGGTGTATCCATACACCATTCCAACGATATATATTTTTTAATTTAAGCATACTTTATTGGTAAACAATACTAACAATTATCTGAACATTTCGCGAGTCAAAACCTTATTGCTGGTGGAGAGTCTTGCCTCAATGTTGCTGGCTGTGGACTGATCAGGGTGGTGGTTGCTGAGGGTAGAGGGTGCTTTGGCAATTTCTTAAAATAGACAACAGTGATGTTTGTCACATCAGTTGACCCTTTCTGTCATGAAAGATTTTTCTGTATCAAGCGATGCTGTTTGATAGGGTTTTACCCAGAGTAGAACTTTTTTCAAAATTCGAGTCAGGGCCGGGCGTGGTGGCTCACGCCTGTAATCCCAGCACTTTGAGAGGCCAAGGCAGGTGGATCACCTGAGGTCAGGAGTTTGAGACCAGTCTGACCAACATGGTGAAACCCCATCTCTACTAAAACTACAAAAAAATTAGCTGGGCATGGTGGCGGGCACCTGTAATCCCAGCTACTCGGCAGGCTGAGGCAGGAGAATCGCTTGAACCTGGGAGGTGGAGGTTGCAGTGAGCCAAGATCGCGCTATGGCACTCCAGCCTGGGCAACAAGAGCAAAACTCCGTCTCAAAAAAAAAAAAAAAAAAAAAAAAAAAACCAAAAAACCTTCCTGAAAGGATTCCTCATTCTGAATGCCATTTAGAACCTTGGTGATTCATGGCAGGAAGTTAAGATATCCACATTAACAGAAATCGGGAAAAAGTGAATTCCAATATTCATGAATGACATTGAGGGGGTTCAAGACTTCAGTGGAGGAAGTCACTTCTGCTATGGTGAAAATAGCAGAAGTAAAGGTGCAGGTTGAAGATGGGGCTGAACTCCTGTAATCTCATGATAAAACTGGAATGGAAGAGGAGTTTCTTCTCATGAAGGAGCAGAGAAAATGGTTTCTTGAGATAGATACTATTCTTGGGCCCATTTCACTGATGAGAAAACTGAGGCCTCTCCAGGTTGAAGGGTACAACTACCAAGTGTGGGAGTCTGGGCTCTACCCCATTACTGGACATCTCCAGAGCCTGTTCTCCCTTCTGCTAAGTTTGCGGGTCGCTCAACATTGTCTCCTTGGACGTGTGATAAGTCTTCCTGCTCCTCCTTCATCAGTCTTTAACATTTGAGAGACATTTAGAGTGGCCTGGACCAGGCTCTTTGCTCATTCTCTTTTCTTCTACTGAGGCCTCTTTCACAAGTAGGTTTTCTCATCTCTCTCTTCTTTCATTTATTCTCTCCTTCATTCTCTCTTTCTCATTCTCTTATTCTCTCTCCCTGTCTTCTTTCCTCTTCTCTTCCCTCCTCTTCCCCTCCTACTTCTTCCTTCCCCTCCTTCTCCTGCCCCTCATCTCCTCCTACTTCTCCTCCTCCTTCTCCTTCTTCTCCTTCATCTTCTTTCGTTTCTTCTCCTTCCCTTTCTCTCCTCCTCCTTCTCCTTCTCCCTTTCCTTCCCTTCCCCTCTCTTCCCCTCCCCTTCCCTCCCCTCCCCTCCCTTCCCTTCCCTTTTCTTTTCTTTTTTTTTTTCTTTCACGGAGTCTCACTCTGTTGCCAGGCTGGAGTGCCGTGGCGCGATCTCAGCTCACTGCAACCTCTGCCTCCCCGGTTCAAGCGATTCTTCTGCCTCAGCCTCCTGAGTAGCTGGGATTACAGGCATGCACCACCCTGCCCAGCTAATTTTTGTATTTTTAGTAGAGATGGGGTTTCACCATGTTGGCCAGGATGATCTCAGTCTCCTGACCTCGTGATCCACCTGCCTCAGCCTCCCAAAGTGCTAGGATTACAGGCATGAGACACCGCACCTGGCCCCTTCTACTTTTTTTTTCCCTTCTCCTTCACCTCCTCTTCCCCCTCCTCCTGCTTCTCCTCCTCCTCTTTCACCTCCTCCTCCTTCCTTTCTCCTCCTCCTCCTTCCTTTCTCTCTGTCTCTCTCTCTCTCTCTCTCTCCCTCCCTCCCCCCCCCCCCCCCCCCCCCGCCGTCTCTCTGCTTCTCTCTCATTCACTCTCATTGACGTCCATATCCAAATTTTTGGAATCGCAGTGCTGCCCTCTTAGTTCTTTGTCATGAACCATCTGTTGCCCTTGGATTGTTTTACCTTTTGTATCCTTGGCAGCTTGACATACCCATGGTCTAAGCAAGAGTGTTTTCTCTGAAAGTGCAGGCATGAGCTGATACTTGTGTGTTTCATCCATTATCAGCACTGTTTTATGCATGTAAGGAGGGTGTGTGGCATTTGCTTCGTGGGTTGTAGGAAGGGACACCCAGGAAACAAACAACTAAAGTGAAGCTTTCCTGCGGGCTAGGATTTGAAGGTCATACTAATGTCCTTCGAGAGAGTTAATGTCAAGAATTGGTGTGACCAAACAGTGGTGGATGTCATAGTGTTTTCCTCTTTTCATAGGTTCACTTTTCAAATGAGACAGTAGCCATGAGGGACCATCCATGCAGGCTGAGACTAGTCTTCAGGAAAATATCTATGCCTAGTAGTTTCAGAAAGGTTAGGGTTGCATAGATGTACCCACCTGTCCATCCTGATCCTTACTCTAAATTCGACCTCTTCTATCATTGCTTTCACCATCACTGTCTTGTTGGTGATGGGCCCAGCTTCGAGAAACTCAGATCTGCCTCAGTGCTGCTGGAGCTGGAGAGCTGGAAGAAAACCAATATGGCGTTTGAACCGCACAATCCAAAAGTATTGTAGCAGCACTGATTCATAGGTTCCTTCTCAGTAGAACCTCTTTTGAATTCCTCCAAACAAAGCCTTCTATTTGAGCCATGGCCCTTGAGTAGACCGATGTCATGGACTATTAGAGTATGCTATTGGTGCTCCAGCTACCCATGGCCAACCACCAGGCATTACTTAGGTAGAGCCCCACTGCCTGGCCTATGCACCAGGCATCAACATGAGGTTTCATAAATACCTGGGAGTACAAGTGCAGAATCTCTGTTGAAAGAATGCAATACTCTTTTTATTTCTTCACCGAATAATTAAATAATTTTTATTTCTTCATTAAAGGGCAATTGAAGAGAAGACAACATGTCTCTCTTAGTAGGTACCATCCCCGAGTAGAACTCATCCTCCTCTGTGCAAAGATTCCCATTGTTCAGATCACTCTAATGCTTTGAGGAAAACCTCCCCACAGTGTAACATACAGAACACTCTTCCGGGGGTTATGGCAGATGCTGGAGTCTCTTCTACCACCACCTAAAGATGCTGGGGTACTCTGCAACACCACCTGAGGAAAGGAACAGGATGAAACACCTGTTGTATTAGTCACCTAGGGCTGCCATGACAAAATACTACAGGCTGGGCCGCTTAAACAGCAGACTTTTATTTTCCCACAGTTCTGAAGGCTGGAAGTCTGTGAGATCAAAGTGTGGGCAGGGCTGGTTCTTCCTGAGGCCTCTCTGCTGGGCTTGTAGACACCGTCTTCTCCCTGTGTCCTCATAGGGTCGCCCCTCTGTGTGTGTCTGTGTCCTCATCTCCTCTTATGAGGTGTCTTAGTCCATCTCAGGCTGCTATCACAGAATACCATAGACTGGGTGACTTATAAACAACAGACATTGATTCTCTCACAGTCCTGGAGGCTGGAAGTCTGAGATCCAGGTATGGGCAGGGCTGGTTCCTCCTGAGGCCTCTCTCCTGGGCTTGGAGACGCCATCTTCTCCCTGTGTCCTCACAGGGTTGTCCCAATGTGTGTGTCTGTGTCCTCATCTCCTTTTCTTATGAGGTGTCTTAGTCCATTTCAGGCTGCTATCACAGAATACCATAGACTGGGTGGCTTGTAAACAACAGACGTTTATTCTCCCACAATCCTGGAGGCTGTAAGTCCAAGATCAAGGTGTAGGCAGGGCTGGTTCCTCCTGAGGCCTCTCTTGTAGGCTTGTAGATGCCATCTTCTCACTGTGTCCTCGCAGGGTCGTCACTCTGTGTGTCTGTGTCCTCATCTCCTCCTCTTTTTTTTTTTGAGACGGAGTCTCGCTCTGTCGCCCAGGCTGGAGTGCAGTGGCGGGATCTCGGCTCACTGCAAGCTCCACCTCCCAGGTTCAAGCGATTTTCCTGCCTCAGCCTCCCAAGTAGCTGGAACTACAGGTGCGTGCCACCATGCCTAGCTAATTTTTTCTATTTTTAGT
This sequence comes from Homo sapiens, assembly GCF_000001405.40. Lineage (NCBI taxonomy): Eukaryota > Metazoa > Chordata > Mammalia > Primates > Hominidae > Homo > Homo sapiens. Next base: position 2,327,913 of record NC_000023.11, on the reverse strand, counting down.
AGAGATGGAGTTTCACCGTGTTAGCCAGGATGGTCTCGATCACCTGACCTCGTGATCCACCCACCTCAGCCTCCCAAAGTACTGGGATTACAGGCGTGAGCCACCACACCCGGCCTCATCTCCTCTTCTTATAAGCATCCCAGTCTTCTCGGATTAGGGGCCTCCCTGGTGACTTTGTTTTACCTTAATCACCTCTTTAAAGACTATCTCCAAATATGGTGACATTCTGAGGTCCTGGGCGTTAGGGCTTTAACATAGGGATTTGGGAGAAGGAATCAGCCCATCACAGCTGTGCATTCTAAGACTCCAGTGACTTTGTGCTGACAATGGCTTTTCCTTGGGTAGCTCTAACCAGATGGTCTGGCTGGGTCTATCTTGAGTCTAGTGACTCCCACCACGAGGCCAACTGAGCAGGGTGGCCAGGAAAGCCTGTGGCCTTACAACAAGGTGATGCTCACCTGCAGCACACAGGCCATCACTGTAGCTCTGCTGGCTTTATTCTTGGGTTTATAGTGATGGCTTCTTTCTGCCTCTGCCTCCCTTGAGGCATCTCGTTTCTGTGGTTGGAGTACTGTGAGCCTAAGAGACAGAGAGCATGTCCACAGTCAGGCTTCCCTTACTTGCTTCAGTAGCATCTCATGAGTGTTTCCAATGCATTCAGGGAGACTCTTCTTCACTGAAGGAGTCAGATCCATTTTGCAGCTTTGCTGCTTGGAACCTTGATGGAATGGCTGAGTACATGGCCGCCAGCGTCACTCATGCACGAAAAGTGTTGTTGAAAGCTAATAGAAACTGAAATCTGGTCGGGCACGGTGGCTCACGCCTGTAATCCCAGCACCTTGGGAGGCTGAGGCGGGTGGATCACCTGAGGTCAGGAGTGCGAGACCAGCCTGGCCAACATGGCGAAACCCCATCTCTACTAAAAATACGAAAAATTAGCCGGGCATGGTGGCAGGCACCTGTCATCCCAGCTACTCAGGAGGCTGAGGCAGGAGAATCGCTTGAACCCTGGAGGTGGAGGTTTCAGTGAGCCGAGATTGCGCCATTATACTCCAGCTTGGGCAACAAGAGTGAAAATCTGCCTGGAAAGAAAAAAAAAAAAAAGAAAAACTGAAATAGAAGATTTCCCTTCCCCCAGTTCACTTTGACTGCGCTAAAGTAATTTCCTTTGAGGGCAGAGAGGACACGGATTGCTTTGGGCATACTTCAAAATGCTACTGTCTCCCTAGGAATATTGCAAAGTGGTTACTTTCCCCCAATAACACACAACTGGATATTTCTTTGATCTTCACCCTGGGAACCTGGTGGAGCTCCCGGAGGTAAAATTTGTGAAAGTACAAGGTCCCCTCTAAGATGGGCCCCCAGAAGTTTTTCTGTTGTTGTTGTTTTTTGAGACAGAGTCTCGCTCTGTCACTCAGGCTGGAGTGCAGTGGTGCGATCTGGGCTCACTACAACCTCCACCTCCCAGGGTCAAGCAATTCTCCTGCCTCAGCCTCCCGAGTAGCTGGGATTACAGGTGCCTGCCACCACGCCCGGCTAATTTTTGTATTTTTAGTAGAGACGGGGTTTCACTATGTTGGCCAGGCTGGTCTCGAACTCCTGACCTCAGGTGATCTGCCCGCCTTGGCCTCCCAAAGTGCTGGGATTACAGGTGCGAGCCACCATGCCTGGCCAGGAGTTTTTAACTTACTTAGGCTTGTCCACTGTCAGCCTGCAGCTGTTTAATAATTACCCTGCAAATGTGTCCATCAGGTGCTGGCTCCAGCAGGAACTCCTAGACAAGCACAATTCCACTTGCCACCTGTCTGTCCAGTCTTCAGGCAGCATTTCGTCTTGTGATCTCTATTTTCTGATGGATCGCAGAGTTGCTGATTTTCAGTATGTTCTGCTCTTTGCCTATTGTGAGGATAGGAATTAAAATGCGCAAGCTCTCTACATGTTAGTGAAGTGGCTACGTTGTCTGGGGTATATACCCTGGGGTTCGTCATTGGGCATCAGGAAAATTTAGGACAAAGACACACACGAGGAGTTTAGGAGTGGAAGTTTAATCAGGAGAAGAGAAAGAGAAATGGTTTTCTCTATAGAGAAAGGGGTCTCCGAGCGGAAAGGACCAGCTGGCACCAAATGTGATGGATTTTATAGTCCAGTTTGAGGAGGCGGTGTCTCATTTACATAGAGCTCAGAGATTGGTTCCATCAAGCATGGCATTTACATAGCCCACAGGAAAGGCTGGTTGCCCACCCTAATCGTTTATGCAAATGGGCTTTGTAGTTGGTCGGGGCTCTCCGAGAGATTGGTTCCATCAAGCATGACATTTACATAGCCCACAGGAAAGGCTGGTTGCCCACCCTAATCGGTTATGCAAATGGGCTTTGTAGTTGGTCGGGGCTCTCGGTCCTGTTTTTCTTACTTTACATGTGGCTGACAAAGAGGAGGGAAGATGGAGCCACTGTCTTGAACGTGTCTAGTCTCTAGTTCCTGCTGGGAAGATGGAGCCGCCGTTTTGAATGTGTCTAGTCCCTAGTTCCTGCCGGGAAGATGGAACCGCCATCTTGAACGTGTCTAGTCCCTAGTTCCTGCCGGGAAGATGGAGCCGCCATCTTGAACGTGTCTAGTCCCTAGTTCCTGCCCGGAAGATGGAGCCGCCATCTTGAACGTGTCTAGTCGTTAGTTCCTCCCGGGAAGATGGAGCCGCCATCTTGAACGTGTCTAGTCCCTAGGTCCTCCCGACATTCACCCGTACAAGCTCCCAGCTGGCTTGTGTATGTCTGCAGCTCGACTTGACAGGCTGTTCATTGTTAGAAAATGACTTGGGGCTGCTTTTCGTTAAAGAGAAAAGCTGCCGGGCGCAGTGGCTCACACCTGTCATCCCAGCACTTTTGGAGGCTGAGGCGGGTGGATCATTAGGTCAGGGGTTCGAGACGAGCCTGACCAGTGAAACCGCGTCTCTACTAAAAAAAAAAAAAACAAAACAAAAATTAGCCGGGCTTGGTGGTGCGTACCTATAATGCCAGCTACTTAGGAGGCTGAGGCAGGCGAATTGCTTGAACCCGGGAGGCGGAGGTTGCAATGAGCGAACATCACGCCACTACACTCCAGCCTGGGCGACAGAGCGGGACTCCATCTCAAAAAAAAAAAAAAAAAGAAAAGAAAAAAGCCTTGCCGAGGACTCCCATACCCTTACTGTCTGCCTAAGTGATTTCTTCTTAACTCCTGTATCACTGGCAGACTCTGAGTTGCCTGTTGGGTGGAGTACTATATTGCCGAGTATCATGACTGTATTAGATGTGAGGGAGACAGTGTGAATAGGACATGGTCCCTGAAGAGCACAGAGCTTTCACCTGGGGCTGGGCGGAGCTTCTGTCCTATCCAGTGTTATGGAACCCTTGCAAGCACAGGTCAAGCAGCTCAAGGGCTGGAAGACGTGCACACAAAATCCAAGGGCAACGTTGGAAAGAGGTTTAGTGTTTCTTAGAAAAATGCCAGAAGGCTGAAGAAGTGGGGGCCCCGAGCAGCTCTGAAGGGTGTGTATGCAATTAAACTGAAGCCAAAGGCTGAGAGAGAGGAGTGAGAGCCGCCTACGGAGCTCTGTGCAGCTTCATCATAAACTCACAGACAGGCTTCATGCAGCGCCGTCTCAGTGCATTCAATGTTTGGATTCCACATGCATGCGTCCTCAACCCCCTTGCAATGCTGTTCTCCTTGGAGGGAAATGGGTCCTTCTTACCCTATCACATGCAGGTATCTGGTCTACCAGATAAATGTGTGAGAAATCACCAACAAAGCAGAAATTACTTTTAATTACAAAGCAGAGTCATCGTAAAACTTTGTGCAAAATCTTTTTTTTTTTTTTTTTCCAGACAGGGTCTCCATCTGTTACCCAGGCTGGAGTGCAGTGGTGTGATCATGGCTCACTGCAACTTCAACTTCCGAGGCTCAGGTGATCCTCACATCTCAGCCTCCCAAGTAGCTGGGATGACAGGTGTGCACCACCACACCCAGCTAATTTTTACTATCTGCTTAAGTCATTTCTTCTTAACCCCTGTATCATTAGAGGAGAAACCGGAAGCCCCTATTTTTGAAATTAGTAACCACCTATCACCTAAAATTCCTCTCATTACTGTGACGATAATGATGATTTTTTCGAGACCGGATCTCACTCTGTCACCCAGGCTGGAGTGCAGTGGTGTGACTGTGGCTCACGACAGCTTCAGCCTCCCGGGCTCGAGTGATCTTCCCACCACAGTGTCTAAAGTAGCTGGGGCTGTAGGTACGCATCATCATTCCCAGCTATGTATATATTTTAAATATTTTGTAGAGATGGGATCTTCCTCTGTTGCTCAGGCTGGTCTTAAACTCCTGGCCTCCAGCAGTCTTCTCACCTGGGCCTCTTAAAGTGCTGGGATTACAGGCGTGTACCACCGTGTCTGGCCAAAAAACATATCTATTCTGGGGTTCATAGTGATGCTTGTTTCTGCCTTGGCCTGTCTTGAGGCATCTCACTCCTGTAGTTGGAGTACTCTGAGTGTAACAGATGGAGAGTATGTCCACACCCACTCTTCCCTCACGTGTTTCTGTAGCATCCCGTAGGAGTTTTCAAATGCATTTGGAGATGTATTCACCCTGTGACAGATTCAATGCATCTCTACAAGGCAGAATAGCTCTACCATGGTGTGGCTATGGCGCTTGGCTACCTGAGTCTTTATTCTGCCTTCCAGGTGCTTGTTGGTTGGATAACTTTGGGTAGGTTCTTGTACCTCTTTGAGCTTCAAGACTGTCTTAGTCAGCTCTGGCTGTTGCAAGAAAATACAGTTGACCTTGATACAAAAATTAGCTGGGTGTGGCGCCTGTAATCCCAGATACTCAGGAGGCTGAGGCAGGAGAATCGCTTGAACCTGGGAGGCGGAGATTGCAGGGAGCCAAGATCACACCATTGCACTCCAGCCTGGGCGACAGAGCAAGATTCCATCTCAAAAACAACAACAACAACAACAAAAAACTAGAGTTGACCCTTGAACAATGTGGGAGTTAGGGGCGTCACACACGTCCCTGGCACAGTTGAAAATCCAAAGATAACTTTTGACTCACCCAAAACTTATGAATATCCTATTGTTGAGCAGAAGCCTTATCAATACCATAAAGTCGATTAACATATATTTTGTATGTTTTATGTATTGTATACTGTATTATTAAAGTATGCTAGAGAAAAGAAAATGCTGTTTGTTTTTTTTTAGCCGGGCGTGGTGGCGCACGCCTGTAATCCCAGCTACTCAGGAGGCTGAGGCAGGAGAATCGCCTTATAAGGAACTTTGAGAATCAAAAATCATAAGGAACTTTCATTCTTTTTTTTTTTTTTTTGAGATGGAGTTTCACTCTGTTGCCCTGGAGTCAGGCTGGAGTTCAGTGGTGTGATCTCTGCTCAGTACAGCCTACGCCTCCCACGTTCAAGTGATTCTCCTGCCTCAGCCTCCCGAGTAGCTGGCACTAAAGGTGCACGCCACCACGCCCAGCTAATTTTTGTATTTTTAGTAGAGACAGGGTTTCACCACGTTGGTCAGGCTGGTCTTGAACTCCTGACCTTAGGTGACCTACCCGCCTTGGCGTCCCAAAGTGTGGAGATTACAGGCTTGAGCCACCACGCCTGATAAGGAACTTTTATTCTAAGTGAAGTAACTCAGGGATGAAAAACCAACATCGTATGTTCTCAGTGTTACGTGGGAGCTAAGCTATGAGGACACAAAGGCATAAGAATGATAAAATGGAATTTGGGGTCTTGGGGGGGAAGAGTGGGAGGGGGGTGAGGGATAAACACTACAAATAGGGTGCAGTATATACTGTTCGGGTGATGGGTGTACCAAAATCTCACAGATCACCACTAAAGAACTTAGGTAACCAAATACCACCAGTACCCCAATCACTTATGGAAAGATAATTAAAAACAAAAAAGGACACCAAACTAAATTTTTAAAAATCATAGAGAAGAGAAAATATATTTACTATTTCTGAAGTGGGAGTGGATCGTCATGAAGGTCTTCATCCTTATCGTCTTCACCTTGAGTAGCCTAAGATGAGAGCGGACAGGAGGGATTGGTCTTGCTGGCTCCGGGGTGGCAGAGGTAGAAGAAAATGCCCGTAGAAGTGGACCCGTGCAATTCAAACCTGTGTTGTTTAAGGGTTAACTGGACCATAGATGGGGTGGCATAAATAACAGAAATTTATTTCTCTATAGTACTGGAGGCAGAAATGTTTACATCCAGGTGGCACCATGGTTGGGTACTTGAGAGGTTCCTCTTCTTGGTTTACAGATGGTCTCGCAGGGCAGAGAGAGAGGGGGGTGGAGCACGAGGGAGCATGTGTGCCCTGGTGTCTCTTCTTACAAGGGCACGAATCCCAACATAAGGATCCCACCTTCACGACCTGATGTAAACATCATCATCTCCCAAAGGCTCCGTCTCCAAATACCATCCCCTTTGGCATTAGGGTTTCCACACATGAGATTCGGGGTGACACCATTCATTCCATAGCAGGAGCCCTCCTTGGCAGACTGGGACACCAACGCCTCTTCCCTCTTGGGCTGACACGAGCTGTAAATGTCAGTGGACATTTAAATACTGCGTTACACATTCGATGTCCTGTCTGCAATGGAGCCGGGTTCTGTAAACATAAGCTGCCATGGCGAAATCGGATCATCATCGCCCATCAAGCTCTTTGGCAGCAGTGCTGTAATCAGTGCAAACATTTATTTATATAAATGCTCCCATCCCCTCGGCATGAAGATATACTTAGGCTCTCTCAATGGACAGCCACGCCACAAGCCCAGGAATGAGAGCTTGTCAGATACTGAGGCTGTTTTCAGAGCCAGTGTTCGGCTGAAGTGGCACAGAAGCTATCATTGTTTGCAAATCTCTGCTGCTTGTCAAGCCACAGGGTTAAGTAACCCCGGATGTTGCGAACACTCTGAAGTGCTGACCTGCAGTGTCTTTTTGGATCACTGAGCCCTCAGGCAGACAGGCTGTACGTGGACCGACACGTCATGGCTGCTGTCTTGCACTTAACCCTCTTTATCTTTAGACCTTGATTGTGCACCTGTTTCTCATTGGAAGCTAATGACAATCCACGAAGCGGCTTGGCAGTGACTGTCTCTGATTGTGTAAGGAGGGGTTGCCACATTCACCCATGTTGTTGACTTTCAACTGTACACTTGAAAACGTCAAAAGTCAGAGTAAGCATTGCCTCATGTCTCCGAGTGTAGCAATTCTAGGAAAACTCTTCCGAATGGGTTTAAAGTCAAACAAATCCAATCAAAACAGACTTGCAGGGCCAGGCACGGTGGCTCATGCCTGCAATCCCAGCACTTTGGGAAGCCAAGGTGGGCAGATCACTTGAGGTCAGGAGTTGGAGACCAACCTGGCCAACATGGCGAAACCCCGCCTCCACTAAAAATACAAAAAGTTAGCCAGGTGTAGTGGTGCGTGTCTGTAATCCCAGCTACTCAGGAGGATTAGGGAGGAGAATCTCTTGAACCTGGGAGGTGGAGGTTGCAGTGAGCTGAGATCACCCCACTGCAGTCCAGCCTGGGTGACAGAGCAAGATCCCATCTCAAAAAAAAAAAAAAGAAAAGAAAAGTCCACATAGGGAAATATGTGAAGCTCTTTGGGTCATATGATCGCTACCACAACAGCGCAATATGTAAATGAATGGGCAAGTTCTGTGTTCTAAGAATCTTGAGGGACACTGAGATGTAAATGTATATATTTATCACGTGGCACAAAATACAGTTGACCCGGCCGGGCACAGTGGCTCACAACTGTCATCCCAGCACTTTGGGAGGCCGAGGCGGGTGGATCACCTGAGGTCGGGAGTTCAAGACCAGCCTGACCAACATGGTGAAACCCGTCTCTACTAAAAATACAAAAAATTAGCTGGGAATGGTGGTGCGTGCCTGTAATCCCAGCTACTCATGACGCTGAGGCAGGAGAATCGCTTGAATTCGGGAGGTGGAGATTGCAGTGAGCTGAGATCACGCCATCGCACTCCAGCCTGGGCAACAAGAGGGAAACTCCACCTCGAAAAAATATGTATATACAGCTGACCCTTGAACAACACGGGGGTTAGGGGTACTGACCTCTATGCAGTTGAAAATCTATGTATAGGTTCTGACTCCCCCAAAAGTTAAATACTGGTAGTGTACTCTTGACCGGAAGCTTTATTCATAACATAGAGTCGATTAGTACATAGTTTGTATGTTATGTATATTATAAAGTCAGCTAGAAAAAAAATGCTAAGGAAGAGAAGAGAAAATATTTTACTACTTACTAAATGGAAGTAGATCATCATAAAGGTCTTCGTTCTCTTTTTTTTTTTTTTTTTTGAGATGGAGTCTCACTCTGTCACCGAGGCTGGAGTGCAGTGGCACGATCTCGGCTCACTGCAACCTCCGTCTCCTGGGTTCAAGCACTTCTTCTGCCTCAGCCTCCCAAGTAACTGGGATTACAGGCACACGCCACCACACCTGGCTAATTTTTGTATTTTTAGTAGAGACGGGGTTTCACCATATTGGCCAGGCTGGTCTTCAACTCCTGACCTCGTGATCTACCCGCCTCGGCCTCCCAAACTGCTGGGATTATAGGCGTGAGTCACTGCACTCTGCAGGAGTAGGGAGAGGAGGGGGAGGGGAGGAGGAGAAGGGAGGGGGGGAGGAGGGGGGACGAAGAGGGAGGAGGAGTCATCTCGGGTGAAAGTCCAAATGGGTGAATCTGCTCAGTTCAGATGTATGTTGTCCAACAGTCAACTGTGTTATCCTTCTTTTGATTTTTTTTAACCCACTGTTTAAAAGATGTGGAAATAGTTTTTTGGTTTACAAGGTGCACAAAAATAGGCAAGGGGCTGGATTTTGCTAGAGGGCTGCAGTTGACCAACCCCGGGTTAGACCATTACCATTGTCAGTGGGCACACAAAGTAATGAAATTATTATAGAAAACATGAGGCGTTGTTTACTGGAAAGGGGTCTTGATCCTGACCCCAAGAGAGGGTTCTTGGATCTTGTGCAAGAAAGAATTTGGGGTGAGTCCATAGAGTAAAGTGAAAGCAAGTTGATTAAGAAAGTAAAGGAATAAAGAGTGGCCACTCCATTGGCAGAGCAGCACCGAGGGCTGCCAGTTGGTGATTTTTATGGTTATTTCTTGATTCTGTGCGAAACAAGGGAAAGATTATTCGTGAGTTTTCTGGGAAGCCGGTGGGCGGTTCTGGGAACTGAGGGTTCCTCCCCTTTTTAGACCCTATAGGGTAACTTCCTGACATTGCCATGACATCTGTAAACTGCCATGAGGCTGATGGAAGTGTCTTTTAGCAGCGAATGCATTAGAGTTAGCGTATAATGAACAGTGAGGAAGACCAGAGGTCAGTCTCGTCGCCATCTTGGTTTGCATGGGGTTTGGCCAGCTTCTTTACCACAACCTGTTTTATCAACAAGGTCCTTAGGACCTGTATCTTAATGCCGACCTCCTCTCATGCCAGTGGTCATGTGCATTCATCTGGCTGGAAGGGTATCTTTTTTTTTTTTTGAGATTGGGTTGTCACTGTGTTGCCCAGGCTGGAGTGCAGTGGCACAGCCTTGACCTTCTCAGCTCAAGTGATCCTCCCACCTCAGCCTCCCAAGTAGCTGGGACTACAGGCATGCACCACCATCACCACACCCAGCTGCTTTTTTTTTTTTTTTTTTCTGTATTTTTGGTAGACACGAGGTTTCACCATGTTGCCCAGGCTGGTCTCGAACTGCTAGGCTCAAGCAATCCTCCTGCCTCAGCCTCCCAAAGCTCTGGTATTACAGGCATGAGCCACTGCACCTGGCCTTCAGGACTATCTTCAGACACTTGTTGTAGCCTCTTCATTTCTGCACATCCCTCCCCAGCGGAGATGCTCTCACAAATTGCTCATAAGGAAATTTCTTGTGGGCTCCAAAATCTTTCCCCTAAAACAGAGTTCTGTTGAATTTCTCCCTGACAATGTAAATTAACAACTTGTCTTCACAAGTGTGGGACAAAGATAAGACTAGAAATGATCTCTCCGCCCACCCTGAGACAAATGCATGTTTGACATCTTCCTCTTCTGTATGTTGACTTTGTCTTATGCAAAAGTGGATTTACTGTGCATGAAATGAACGCGTGATTGACTGTTCCTCTACCCGCACTTTGCCATGTAAAATGTGTATTCAGAGAGTGCCAATCAAAGACTCACAAGAATGTAATCATTTGCCTCTTTTATCTACTCTCCTTCTTTTTTTTTTCTTTCCTCTTTCCCTCCTGCCTGCTTTTTTCCCTTTCTATACCAAAGCCCTCAAAACCATCCTTGGAAAAAGCACAGGGCCGCACGCAGTGGCTCACGCCTGTAATCCCAGCACTTTGGGAGGCCGAGGCAGGTGGATCACCTGAGGTCAGGAGTTCAAGACCAGCCTGCCAACATGGCAAAACCCCGTCTGTACTGAAAAATAAAAAAAATAGCAGGGCGTGGCGTTGCATGCCTGTAATCCCAGCTACTTGGGACAGTGAGGCAGAAGAATCATCTGAGCCCGGGAGGTGGAGGCTGCAGTGAGCTGAGACTGCGCCACTGCACTCTAGCCTGGGCCACACAGCAAGACTCTGTCTCAAAAAAAAAAAAAGCCAGGCGCGGTGGCTCACGCCTGTAATCCCAGCACTTTGGGAAGCCGAGGCGGGTGGATCACCTGAGGTCAGGAGTTTGAGACCAGCCTGACAAACGTGGTGAAAGCCCATCTCTAGTAAAAATACAAAAATTAGCCGGGCGTGGTGACGTGCACTTGTAATCCCAGCTACTCAGGAAGCTGAGGCAGGAGAATCACTTGAACCCGGGAGGCGAAGGGTGCAGTGAGCCGAGATGGCGCCATTGCACTCCAGCCTGGGCGACAGAGGGAGACTCCGTCTCAAAAAGAAAAGAAAAAGCACGGAGCACAGGTCCTATGGTGACTGGCGTCTGTTTTTCCTGGACTGGGGCACATTCTCAACCGTGGCAAAATTAACCTCTAAACTAATGGAGGCTTGCCTCACTCATCTTCTTTGATTCAAAACTTTGAGTTAATCCATTTATGCCTGAAGTTGCAAGTTTTTGAATTTTTGCCATCAGATCTTGGCGATGACCTTGAGCAGTAGGATATAAATAACTCCACATGCTTAGCATTCCAATAATGGAACACTAGGCATACGTGGGTTTAATCAAAGGAGAGATCATCTGTGCTGGACCTGCCTCAAAGAGGGTGAGATGAATGAGTAATTCTTCTTCTTCAAATAAACTTGAGATGGTCTCAGAGATCCTTTTCCTGGTTTTTGTTGTTATTATTGTTGTTGTTTTTGAGGCAGAGTCTTGCTCTATCACCCAGGCTGGAGTGCAGTGGTGCAATCTCGGCTCACTGCAACCTCCACCTCCCAGGTTCAAGCGATTCTCCTGCCCCAGCCTCCCAAGTAGCTGGGATTACAGGCGCCCACTACCATGCCTGGCTAATTTTTGTATTTTTCGTAGAGACAGGGTTTCACCCTTTTGGCCAGGCTGGTCTCGAACTCCTGAGCTCAGGTGATCTTCCCCACCTCAGCCTATCACAGTGCTGGAATTACAGGCGTGAGCCACCGCAGCCGGCCCTTTTTGCTGGTTTTGAAGAAGCAGACTCCCATATGACAAGTTGCTGAGGGTGTCACAGCAAGCAGAGAGCCACCATTGTCTGACAGCCAAAATGAAAATGAGACTTGGCCGGGCGCGGTGGCTCACGCCTGTTATCCCAGCACTTTTGGAGGCCAAGGCCGGTGGATCACCTGAGATCAGGAGTTTGAGACCACTCTTTCCAACAAGGAGAAAACCCGTCTCTACTAAAAAGACAAAAATTAGCTGGGTGTGGTGGCAGGCACCTGTAATCCCAGCTACTGGGGAGGCTGAGGCAAGAGAATCACTTGATCTTGGGAGGCGGAGGTTGCAGTGAGCTGAGATCGCGAAACTGCACTCCAGCCTAGGCAACAGAGTGAGACTCTGTCTCAAAGAAAAGAGAGAAAATGTGACTCAATCTCACAACCACAAGAAGCTGAATTTTGCCTCCCAATTCAGCATGCCTGGAAGAGCATCCTAAGCTACAGATGTCATCTCAGCTTTGTCTGACACCTTAATTCCAGCCTTGTGAGACTCTAAATGGAGACATCCTGTTAATCTAAACCCAATCTTCTGACTTACAGAACTGTGAGATCATAAAGGGGTGTTGTTTTTTAAACTACTACGTTTGGGGCGTTTTGTTACGCAGCAGAGCTAGCTAAGATGGATGGCTCCTTAAGCAGCTCATTTGAGGGCAGAGGGAGGCAACTTCTGCAGACAGATGGGCATCTATATTCGCTAGGTTCAAGCTGTTAATGCTGCTATGTATACCCAAATGACCTCACTACCTTCTCACCAGGCAGCAAGAAACAGGATCCTCAGACGAACAGAAGTCCAACACCTTAGTCTAAGTCTGTTTATGTTCTCCTGATAGGAAATCTTTTCATCTCATAAAAAGCTGCTGATGTAGGCCTTTCTCACCCTGTACCCCACGTTACTGATGCCTGTTTTGTTGCCAAACTGGACTGGTGTCCACTTGCCTGGTGCACTTAGGTCAAACCTCCACAATGAGGCTTTGCAGCAAGAGAAAGGATAGTGTTTATTTGGACAGCACCAAGCCAGGAGACTCAGGCAGCTCACGCTTAAGACCTAACGTTTTTTTTTTTTTTATTGAAACGGAGTTTCACTCTTGCTGCCCAGGCTGGAGTGCTATGGCGTGATCTCAGCTCACCGCAACCTCCACCTCCCGGGTTCAGGCAATTCTCCTGCCTCAGCCTGCTGAGTGGCTGGGATTACAGGCATGCGCCACCACGCCTGGCTAGTTTTGTACTTTTAGTAGAGACAGCATTTCTCCATGTTGGTCAGGCTGGTCTCTTAACTCCCGACCTCAGGTGATTCCCTCGCTTTGGCATCCCAAGGTGCTGAGATTGCAGGCGTGAGCCACCGCACCTGGCCTAAGACCCAATCTTTTCAATGACTTCCGAGCCATAGTGTTTCAAGTCGGGTAAATTTCAGGACAGAAGCTGCTCCAGGCAAAATCATGAGGACGAAGTTCTGATTTTTTTATCTTGCCCAAATTCCTATCTAAAGGGTCTAGGGAGTCATTCTTTACAAACCATGAGTTCTCATTAGATGGGTTTTATTTAACCCTATATATCGTAACTTACTTTCCAATGTGACTCTGGCATAACATAATGAGACAAGGAAAAACAATGTATTTAACCCCAAAATATATTTCCTTGCCATACCTTGAAATTGCCCTGAGAAGTCTCTTGTGGGAAAAATCCACATTCTATAGAGAATAGCCTTTCCTCCCTCCCTCCCTTACCTCCTTTACCTCCCTTCCTTCCTTCCTTCCTTCTCCCCTTCCTTCCTCCCTTCTCCCCTTCCTTCCTCCCTTCTCCCCTTCCTTCCTTCCCTCCCTTCTTTCCCTTCCTTCCTTCCCTCCATTCCTTTCCCTCTCTCCCTTCTTTCCCTCCCTCCCTCCTTTCCCTCCCTCCCTCCTTCCCTCCCTGCCTCCCTCCTTCCCTCCCTCATTCCCTCCTTCCCTCCCTCATTCCCTCCTTCATTCCCTCCTTCCCTCCCTTCCTTCCCTCCCTCCCTTCCTTCCCTCCTTCCCTCCCTCTCTTCCTTCCCTCCTTCCCTCCTTCCTTCCGTCCCTCCCTTTGTTCCTTTGTTCCTTCCCAGATCTGGGACATAATCAACTGAGAGCCAGGCCCCCTTTTAGGTCTGATAAGAAACATTTTACAACCTGTTCTCTCTGAAGTCTGCTATCTGAGAGCTTCCTGTGCAAAATAAAACTTGGTTCCCACAATCCTTTATCTCCACCTGGACATTTCCTTTCTGTTGATTCCAGGTCTTCAGATAAACTCAACCAGTTGTCAACCAGAAAATATTTAAACTTACCTATAGCCTGGCAGCCCCCAGGTTGAGTTGTCCCACCTTTCTGAACCAAACCAATGTATTTCTGAAATGTATTTGATTGATGTCTCATGCCTTCCTAAAATATATAAAATCAAGCTGCACCCCGACCACCTGGGGTACATGTTCTCGGGATCTCCTGAGGGCTGTGTCACGGGCCGTGGTCACTCATATTTCGCTCAGAATAAATCTCTTCAAATATTTTACAGAGTTTGACTCTTTTCATCAACAATTATAAATCACGGCTGGGCGTCGTGGCTCATGCCTGTAATTCTAGCACTTTGGGAGGCCGAGGTGGGCAGATCACGAGGTCATGAGATCGAGACCATCCTGGCCAACATGGTGAAACCCTGTCTCTACTAAAAATACAAAAATTAGCTGGGCATGGTGGCGCTTGCCTGTAGTCCCAGCTATTTGGGAGGCTGAGGCAGGAGAATCGCTTGAACCTGGGAGGCGGAGGTTGCAGTGAGCCGAGATGGCACCACTGCACTCCAGCCTGGGCGACAGAGCGAGACTACATCTCAAAAATAATAAGTAAAAAAAAAATCATAAATCAATACATGGAAGCTATACGTTGGTTTGGCCTAAAAAGGGATATCTTGGGCCAGGTACGGTGGCTCATGCCTGTAATCCCAGCACATTTGTAGGCTGAGGCAGGCAGATCACCTGAGGTCTACTAGTAGTTCAAGACCAGCCTGGCCAACATGGTGAAACCCCGTCTTGACTAAAAATACAAAAAATTACCCAGGTGTGGTGGCAAGTGCCTGTAATTCCAGCTACTTGGGAGGCTGAGGCAAGAGAATCGCTTGAACCTGGGAGGCAGAGGTTGCAGCGAGCCAAGATCATGCCACTGCACTCCAGCCTGGGCAACAAGAGCGAAACTCCATCTCAAAAAAAAAAAAATATATATCTTGAAGCTGGGCCCGAGGGTGGGGTTGCTTACAGGAACAAGGTGGATTCAAAGACTTTTGGACTTGCAATTGGTTAAGGAAGTGGAGCTTTGTCTAAGACTTGCGGTCAGCAGTAAAAGCACATTGGATCTGGCCCATGGGCAGGACCTCCTCCAGGACCCTCAGGAAGAAATTTAAAACAAGGAACAGGGATCAGAGTTCAGTCCCTAGCTCTCCCACGTCTGAGGTCTTCATGCCAGAGGATTCCATAGGGTAGAGGTGTGAGTTTCTTTTATTTTTTTTAATTATACTTTAACTTCTGGGGTACATGTGCAGAATATGCAGGTTTGTTACTAGGTATACACGTGCCATGGTAGTTTGCTGCCATCCATCATCTACATTAGGTATTTGTCCTAATGCTCTCCCTCCCCTAGTCCCCCAGTCCCCGAAAGACCCCTGTGTGTGATGTTCCCCTCCCTGTGTCCATGTGTTCTCATTGTTCAACTCCCCCTTATGAGTGAAAACATGCAGTGTTTGGTTTTCTGTTCCTGTGATAGTTTCCTGAGAATGATGGTTTCCAGCTTCATCCATGTCCCTGCAAAGGACATGAACTCATCCTTTTTTATGGCTGCATAGTATTCCATGGTGTCTACGTGCCACATTTTCTTTATTAGTTGCTCTAGGGAAGCGAACATCCCTGACTCTAATTTCCTTGGTTGTTATTTTAAGCTACTGTGACTTTCTTCTTCATCAAGTTGCTCATTAACTTCTCCCAGCCAGCGAAGTGCCTGGAGTTTCCTTCCTGGAAGGAACTCAAGATTTCTCTTGATTTCCATGCTTGGTCGGGGGTGGAGAGAGTTTCCTGGTTTGCCCCTAAGAGGGGTCCCTGCCAGGTCTCAGTTCCTCAAGCTTTCTCTTTAGCACCTTTAGCAGACAGATACTATCACAGCTTACAGTGCTTGCAGCATGGGTGGTGGCGTGGGGATTTTGATGCCGTTGGATTTTCCCCACTTTTTCCATTTTGTGCCCAGAAGCATTACTCTTGAAGCATTTAAATTTGAACACAGTGGGAAACAGCTTCTTAGGAATTAAGTTTTAACTGGTTTCCAGTGTATCTAAACAGCAGACAGGTAGACCCTTGGTAACTTCTTTTTGATGTATAAACAACTCAGACCATTAAATCGACGCTCATTAGCAACCTATGCTGCTCATCCAAGCTACCCTGAAGTTTACTTTTAGCCCAGTCCTGTGGGTGGATAATGGTTTCAACGCATTCCCAGGAGGACGATTTACCTCCTTGGAGACAGAATTGTTCTTGAAAGCTCTTCACAAGTCCGCGTTTCCACGGCAACATCAAGATTGACTTCTCGCCCTTGGGTAGTGCCTTGTCTTCGAAAGCCTTTCTTTCCTCTTTACTTACACAAGCTCTTTGGGGCATCTGCTCTTTGCCTCGCGGGTGGGTCAATGGTGCTTTCATTTTAATCTTCTTTTCTAGACTAGACCTGGGAGTCAGAGGACAACTTTAATTATCTGAACACTTTACCATTCTGACAACAATATTTACAGAGTTTATCCTGAAGGTGGTTTCTGAGGACAGCTGTGTATCCGAGGAGCATTGTTTTAACTTGAGTTCTCTCGTAGTGATGTATCTCAAGTGCTCAAGAGGGAGAGGAGGGCCATCGTAGTAAACACAATGAAAACAAAGGCGTCACCCACTTATTTATCCCACCATGCCAGGCAGCTCTCTCCCCATCTCTCTCTTTCTCTCTCTGTATGTCTCTCTCTCTTTCTCTCCCTCTCTGTGTCACAACCTCTGTCTCTCTCATTCTATTCCTCTCTGTCCCTCTCTGTCACTTTCTCTGTGTCTCTCCTCTTTCTCTCTCTCTGTCTCTCGCTTATTCTCTCTGTCTCTCAGTTTCTGTGTCTCTCTCCTTCTGTCTCTCTTTTTTTTTTTTTTTGACACAGAGTGTTGTTCTTCTCATTCAGTCTGGGGTGCAATGGAGTGATCTCGGCTCACTACAACCTCCGCCTCCCGGATTCAAGCGATTCTCCTGCCTCAGCCTCCCGAGTAGCTGGGATTACAGGTGCCCGCCACCACGCTCAGCTAGTTTTTATATTTTTAGTAGAGACGGGGTTTCACCATGTTGGCCAGGCTGGTCTCGAACTCCTGACATCAGGCGATCCACCCGCCTCGGCCTCCCAAACTATTGGGATTACAGGTGTGAGCCTGTATCTGTCTCTCTGTGTCTCTCTGGCACACTCTCTGTCTCTTTCAAGCTCTCTTTCTGTGCTTCTATTTCTGTGTCACAATCTTTCTCTCTGTCTCTTTCCTCCCTCTGTCTCTCTCTTTCTCTCCCATTCTCACCCTCTCTTTCTCCATAACTTTCTCTGTGTTTTGTTCTTTTTTCTTCCTCTCTCTTGCTTATTTTCTCTCTCTCTCCCTCTCTCTCTCTCTCTCACACACACACACACACATATACACACACACACAGAATAATCTCGCTGCAGCGTCTTTCACAGTAGGTCTTAGGGGCAGATGGATAGCTGCCTCATACAAAGAAAATAGGATTTCAGGTCTCCAGAGAGGCGCTCCATACCTGCATAACGACTAAGAGATACTGGTATTTCACCTTTATTTTTAAATTGATAAATATATAGAAATGAGAGACGCAGGGGGTGACAACCAATCTGCCCTCCTTCTTGGCAAATTCCGGCAGTTCGGGCACCTGGGTTCCTTCCCTCCTGAATGAAGAGAGGCCAGAAGCCATCATGAGCTTCGTCCCTGCTCAAGACTTTGCAGGCTGTGGTCGCATCAGCTCTTGGCTCCAAGAACTGGGCTTTTTGGGTAGCAGGACGGCTGTTGCTACCCACAAGTGCGGGAAGAACTGTCCTCTGGCTGCCTGGATCCCGGAGGTTCTGGCTTACCAAGACACTCGTGAATTTATTAGGATGCGTAGGGACGGGGCAGGTGCAGACGGATTCAGGGGCTGTGTTGGCTGTTGGTAGATGCTTGAAAGCTGTTGCTGCTCTGAGCTGAACGCCTTCTCCACAAGCGCTGCCTCCTGGTCTAAATGATGGGTTTTTATTTTATATTATTTTGAGACAGGGTCTTGCTCTGTTTTCTAAGCTGGAGTGCAGAGGTGCAGAGGCATAATCATAGCTCACTGCAGCCTCAACCTCCTATGCTCAAGCAGTCCTGCCACCTCAGCCTCCCACGTAGCTGGGATTGCAGACATGCACCACCACACTCAGATAATTTTTTATGACTTCCTTTTGTAGAGGTAGGGTCTTGCTATGTTGCCCAGGCTGCTCTTGAACTGGCCTCAAGCAATCCTCCCACCTCGGCCTCTCAAAATGCTACAGTGACAGGGTGAGCCACCACACCTGGCCATGATGATTTTCAAATTAGCCCAGTTGGGTTACAAGGTTGACTAAGATCTGATTTTCAGGTAGTGGTTATGGACACACTTATCACATTTATTCTAGGAGCTCTTTAATAATATTTCAGAATGGACAGCATTTCTGGAAATTTTTTTCTTAGTATTAAATACATTTGCTTTTGTATGTCTCAGTGGAAGACTTCTTTAAGTTTACATTTTTATGATTTTTTTCTTCTGTATATATAAATGTTACTCATCAAGCAATTCCTGCCCTCCTAGCAAATTTCTTCTGCTATGCTTTTTTCAGAATTTCTATCAGAACAGCATAAATTTCACAAAACAAACCACCTCAGACTCTTTTTGTCCAACCAGTCAGTATCAGGGCACTTATCTGTTCTTTGAAAGTCTAGAAGAATTTTCTAAAATACCCTCTGCACTCATCTACCCTTTCTTCATGCCATTCTTTCATTATTCTTCTCTATTTTTCTTATAGCTATTGGTCTGATTAGACCTAATTTCCTTGATTGAATTGGGATAATTAGTATCTCTGAGAAAATTATTTCCTCGAGATTTTCACATTTTACTTACAAATGTAACATATTATCAGGATACTAAGAAACAGAAACCTATCATTTTAAAGCTTTTTTCATACAGTACAGTGTTTCCTATTTGTAAGTTTGCATTTCCTGCCTCATTAAATATATTATTGACAGTATTTTCTGGGACCTTGTTTCTCCTTCTTCCTTCCTTCCCCGTTTCCACCCATCCTTTCCTCCTTCCCTTTCTTCCCTCCTTTCTCCCTCCCTCCCTTTCTTTCTTCCCTCCTTCCATTCATTCTTGCTTCCCTCCCCTCCCCTCCCCTTCCCTCTTTCCACCCATCCTTTCCTCCTTCCCCCACAATGTTGATTTTGTTCATTTCTCCCTGCCTACCTAGGAATTCTTGAAAAATATACTTGGATATTGTGTTATTCTGAAGAAAATGCTGTGAAAATGGCACATTATAGCTTCATCTCAATTCAGCATTTGGTTTATGATTTTCAAGTTAGCCCTGTTGGGTTACAAGGTTGGTTACACAGATCCAAACCATGCCTTCATAGGCGATGATCCTCCTTGTTCCATTAACGTTTTAGACTTCAATCATTGCTGTCTTGTGTGACTAGGGCCATTTCTACTTGGTTTTTGCTTGTTTGGCTGATAAATGTGAACGTTTTAACAATTGTTGAACAATTGTTAAAACAATTGTCGAACAATTGTCGAACAGTTGTTTTAACAATTGTAATTCCTCCTTTTTAATACTCTGTATCTTTACCATCAAGATACAGACATCACCTTTTTCACAGGCTCTGAGTGTAGGAGGCCACCATTTTGGCTTTATATCATGACCAGTAACTGGGAGCGCCCTCGTTGGCTGAAGCTGTACTTCCTGCTTCTTTTCTGTTCTTGCCACATGGATAACTGGTATACTCCATCTTATTCCATGAGCTACGTGGCAGACACTCATTTTGTAGCTCCTAGGAGTGCGTTAAATACTCCCAAACACTCTAACTTTCATTTCTCTAAATTATCTAAATAGAATGAAGGTATCGTTGAAGGTACTCCAGGTGGAATGAAAAAACCTATCTCAAGTCTTCCGGAGATCCTCCTGTGTTCGGTTCCCTGGTCCCTCTCATGGTGCCCTGGGAAAGGGACGCAGCTCCTACATGGGTTAGGTTCCAGGTGAACGCAGCCACTGAGCTCCTAGCAAGTACGATTTCCTGTGTCCTATGCGCAGATCACCCTGGTGTCTTGGTCCAGTGGGCTTGAAGCCTCATACTCTTTTGTTTTTCCTTGTTTTTTATTTTATTTTTTTTATTTTTATTACTTTTTTTTTTTTTTGAGAGGGAGTCTTGCTCTGTCGCCCAGGCTGGAGTGCAGTGGCACAATCTCGGCTCACTGCAAGCTCCGCCTCCCAGGTTCATGCCATTCTCCTGCCTCAGCCTCCTGAGTAGCTGGGACTACAGGCGCCCGCCACCACGCCTGGCTAATTTTTTGTAGTTTTAGTAGAGACAGGGTTTCACCATGTTAGCCAGGATGGTCTCGATCTCCTGACCCCTCGTGATCCACCCGCCTCGGCCTCCCAAAGTGCTGGGATTACAGGCGTGAGCCACCCACCCCCCGGCCTTGTTTGTTTTCTTTTAAAAAAAATTTCATGAGGTACACGTGCAGCTTTGTTGTAAGATACATTGTGTAGTGCTGCGGTTCACGCTTCAGTTGAACCTGTCACTCAAACGGTGAACAAAATACCTCATAGGTAGAGTTTTAGCCTTTACACCCCTCTCCCTCCCCTGCTCTTGGAATGCGCAGGTGTGCCAGCTTCCCATTTTTATGCCTGATTATTCAATGTTTAGCTCCTATGTATAATTGAGAACAAGTGGTATTTAATTTTCCGTTTCTGTGTTAATTCACTTAGGATAATGGCCTCCAGCTGCATCTGTGTTGCTGCTAAAAACATGATTTCATTCTTTTTTATGGCTCTATACTATTCTACGGTATATATGCAGCAACTACATTTTCTTCATCCAACACATAATTGATGGACACCTGGGCTGATTCCCTCATGCCTCCCAAGATTGAATCAGGAAGAAATCAGATCCAGAACAGACTCATTTCATGACAAGTTATGAAATTGAATCAGTAATTTACAAAAACCTATCAATCAAAAAAAAAAAAAAAAGCCCCAAGACCAGACAAATTCACAGCTGAATTCGACCAGATGTACAAAGAAGAGCTGGTTCCAATCTGACTGAAACGATTCTAAAAAATTGAGGCGGAGGGATTCCTCCCTAACTTATTCTACAAAACCTGTATCATCTTGATACCAAAATCTGACAAGGACACGACAAAAATAGAAAACTACAGGCCAATATCCCAGATGAAGATAGACGCACAAATGCTCAACCACATACTAGCAAACAGAATCCAGCAGTGCGTCAAAAAGATGACTGATCATCGAAACCTTGTCTCTACTACAAATACAAAAATTAGCCAGGCGTGGTGGTGCGCGTCTGTAATCCCAGCTACTTGGGAGGCTGAATCGCTTGAACCTGGCGGGTGGAGGTTGCAGTGAGCCAAGATCGCACCACTGCGCTCCAGCCTGGGCAACAGAGCAAGACTCTGCCTCAAAAAAAAAAAAAAAAGATAATTGATCGCAATCTTAATTGTGGGCTTCATTCCTGCTCTGCTCTTTGTCCAAAGAGATTTTTCTGAATGTCAGGGGTGAAGTTCAAGTTCTAGCACCCAGTGAGCATTCTGCCTTCCCCTGCTGCAGGGCTTGATGTATCGGCTCATCTTCCCCTAGTGATGCCAGCCATACCCTGTTCCCCTTACCCTTCCTACCAGTGTTTCTCTTGGTGCGAGGTAGCTCCTGAATGGATGCAAAAAAAAAAAGATGCTGATTGCAAGAATGAGCAAAGCCCGTTGGTTGCCTGTATTACTCCGTTCTCACACTGCTCTGAAGAAATACCTGAGACTGGGTAATTTTTAAAAATTTTAAGTTCCGGGTACATATGCAGGATTGTACATAGATAAACATGTGCCGTGGTGGTTTGCTGCACCTATCAACCCATCACTTAAGTATTAAAGCCCAGCATGAGTTAGCTATTCTTTTTATTATTGTACTTTAAGTTCTGGGGTACATGTGCAGAACATGCAGGTTTGTTATATAGGTATAGACGTGCCATGGTGGTTTGCTGCACCCATCAACTCGTTATCTACATTAGGTATTTCTTTTAAAGCTATCTCTCCCCTTGCCCCCCACCCCCCAACAGGCCCCAGTGTGTGATGTTCCCCTCCCTGTGTCCCTGTGTTCTCATTGCTCAACTCCCACTTAAGAGTGAGAACATGTGGTGTTTAGTTTTCTGTTCTTGTGTTAGTTTGCTGAGAATGATGGTTTCCAGATTCATCCGTGTCCCTGCAAAGCACATGAACTCATCCTTTTTAATGTCTGCATAGTAGTCCATGGTGTCTATGTGCCACATTTTCTTTATTCAGTCTATCAATGACGGGCATTTGCGTTGGTTCCAAGTCTTTAATATTGTGAACAGTGCTGCAGTAAACACACATGTGCATGTGTCTTTATAGTAGGATGATTTATAATCCTTTGGGTATATACCCAGTCATGGGATTGCTGGGTCAAATGGTATTTCTGGTTCTAGATCCTTGAGGAATCGCCACAGTGTCTTCCACAATGGTTGAACTAACTTCCACTCTCACCAACAGTGTAAAAGCATTCCTGTTTCTCCACATCCTCTCCAGCATCTGTTGTTTCCTGATTTTTTAATGATCGCCCTTCTAACTGATGTGAGGTGGTATCTCATTGTGGTTTTGATTTGTACTTCACTACTGAGCAGGCATTAGCTATTTTTCCTGATGCTCTCCCCCTCCCTGACCCCCACCCACAACACGCCCCAGTGTGTGTTGTTCCCCTCCCTGTATCCATGTGTTCTCATTGTTAAGCACCCACTTATGAGTGAGAGTGTACAGTGTTTGGTTTTCTGTTCCTGCATTAGTTTGCCAAGAATAATGGCTTCTAGCTCCATCCATGTCCCTGCAAAGGACATGATCTCGTTCCTTTTTATGGCTGCATAGTATTCCACGGTGTATATGTACCATTTTTTTTAATCCAGTCTATCATTCTTGGGCATTTGAGTTGATTCCACATCCTTGCTATTGTGAATAGTGCTGCAATGAACATATGTGTGCCTGTATCTTTATAATAGAATGATTTCTATTTATTTGGATATATACCTAGTAATGGGATTGCTGGGTCAAATGGTGTTTCTGGTTCTAGGTCTTTGAGGAATTGCTACACTGAGACTGGGTAATTTATAAAGAAAAGAAGTTTAATTGGCTCATGGATCTGCAGGCTGTACGGGAAGCAGAGCAGCTTCTGCTTCTAGGGAGGCATGAGGAAATGCATAATCATAGTGGAAAGTGAAGGAAAGCAGGTGTCTTACATGGCCCTAGCAAGAGAAGGAGAGACAGAGGTGCAGTTGGGGTGGGCTGGGGAGATGCTACACACTTTTCAACAACCAGATGCCACGAGAACTCATTCACTATTGCAAGCACAGCACCCAGGGGATGGCACTAAACTATTCCTGAGACATCCACCCCCGTGACCCAATCTCCCCCTACAAGGGTCCACCTCCAGCACTGGGGATTCCAATTCAACTTGAGATTTGAATGAGGACACAGATCCAAACCATATCACTACCCATCTATCAATTCATCCATCCATCTATCCATCCATCCATCCATCCATCAGTTCATCCATCCATCCATCCATCCATTCATCCATCCATCCATCCACCCACCCACCCACCCATCCATCCACCCACCCACCCATCCATCCATCCATTTATCCATCCATCCATCCATCCATCCATCCATCCATCCATTTATCCATCCATCCATCCATCCATCCATCCATCAGTTCATCCATCCATCCATCCATCCATCCATTCATCCATCCATCCATTTATCCATCCATCCATCTATCCATCCATCAATCCACCCACCCACCCATCCATCCATCCACCCATCCATCCATCCATCCATCCATCCATCCATCCATCCATCAGTTCATCCATCCGTCCATCCATCAATTCATCCATCCATCCACTCACCCATCCTCTCATGTATCCATCCATCAATCCATCGATCCACCCACCCACCCATCCATCCATCCATCCATCCATCCATTTATCCATCCATCCATCCATCCACCCATCCACCCATCCACCCATCCACCCATCCATCCATCCATCCATCCACCCACCCATCCACCCACCCATCCACCCACCCACCCACCCATCCATCCATCCATCCATTTATCCATCCATCTATCCAATCCATCCATCCATCCACCTATCCATCCATCTACCCATCCTTCCACCCATCCATCAATTCATCCGTCCATCCGTCCATGCATGCATCCATCTGTATTAGTCTGTTCTTGCATTGCTATAAAGAAGTACCTGAGATTGGATGATTTATAAAGAAAAGAGGTTTAATTGGCTCATGGTTCTGCAAGCTGTACAGGAAGCAGAGCAGCTTCTGCTTCTGGGGAGGCCTCAGGCAACTTACAATCATGATGGAAGGTGAAGTGGAAGCCAGCACGTCTTAATGGCTAGAGCAGGAGCAAGAGTGGAGGGGAGGTGCTGTGCACTTTTAAACAACCAGATCTTGTGGGAACTCATTCATGGTCACAAGAACATCACCAAGGGGATGGCGCTAACCCATTCGTGAGAAATCCACCTCCATGATCCCATCACCTCTCCCCAGGCCACTCCTCCAACACTGCGGATTACAATTCAACATGAGATTTGGGTGGGGACACAGATCTAAACTATATCACCACCTCGCAAGCCAGTGATCTCAATAGAATGCTGATGTTCATGTTGCTAGTGGCTATAAGCCTTTTTTCTCAAGGAGCAAGAAAAATGCATCTTCTAGTTTTTTTAAAAAAAATCCATTCACACTGCTGTTTTTGGAAGCTCAGCTTGTGCTTTTACCCATCCTTTGATCACTGGTTCCAATTATTAGCAGTAGTATGGGTTTTCCTCTTTCTTACATCCCCACAAGTGTTTTTGTGGAAAATTACAGCAGTACCTCAGGAGTTTCTATCCAGATGACACTGTGCTCAGAATCAGCGCTTTTAAACTCTCCATGGCAAAACTGCCTCTCCCCTAATCTGCAGCAGATTGATAACTGCCGTAGATACAATAAAAATGAATTACTAAAAAAAATGCATTTAAGAAACATGGAAACTAGAAGCTCTCAGTGTGTTTTTTTTAAGTCATTGGATTGAACAAAGCTTAAATGACTGTCATTATTTTTTAAGTTTCTAAACATTTACTTTCAATTTCTGAACATGTCTCACCACAGACAGCTTGCAGTAACAGTTCACAGAGTGGCAGCCGTCTGATTCAGGAGTGTGTGTACCATCATACCATCCAATATATTACTTTATTTATTTATTTATTTATTTTTTGAGACAGTCTGGCTCTGTCACCCAGGCTGGAGTGCAGTGGTGCGATCTCAGCTCACTGCAACCTCCACCTCCCGGGTTTAAGCAATTCTCCTGCCTCAGCCATCCAAGTAGCTGGGATTTCAGGTGCCTGACCCCATGCCCGGCTAGTTTTTGTATTTTTAGTAGAGATGCAGTTTCACCGTGTTGGCCAGGCTGGTCTTGAGCTCCTGACCTCAAGCGATCCGCCCGCTTTGGCCTCCCAAAGTGCTGGGATAACAGGTGTGAGCCACTGCACCTGCCCACCCAACTGTATTTCTCTAAGGAAAATATTGAAAGTACTTATTTCCTTTTCCTTGATGGCCTGGTGACTTGGTACAGATGGGCTTCATTCTCCATGATGAGGAAGCTGTTATATTATCTTAAAACATGCCTTCCAAGAGAAGGTTAAAGTATATATTTCAGATCACAAGGTCAGGAGCACTTTTGGCTGCCACGTTTGGCTGACTCTTGGATGTTGTGTTATTTAAAGTGTCCTAGATCAGCCACAATAAAACAAAACCTAATCACTGTGTCTCAACCTCAGGTGTGTGCTGCAGGAAGCGCCAGTTCTTGTGATATCGGAGCCATGTCCACCTCTGTTCTGGGGACCCGGGACCCCACGGGTTGGTCTGAGTATGTCATCAAGAGCTAGATGAGGCCGGGTGAGGTGCTTCACACCTGTAATCCCAGCACTTTGGGAGGCCGAGGCGGGCAGATCACAAGGTCCGGAGTTCAAGAACAGCCTGGGCAACATGGTGAAACCCTGTCTCTACTAAAACACAAAAATTAGCCAGGCGTGGTGGCGGGTGCCTGTAGTCCCAGCTACTCAGGAGGCTGAGGCAGGAGAATTGGTTGAATCCAGGAGGTGGAGGTTGCAGTGAGCCGAGATCGCACCACCGCACTTCAGCCTGAGCTACAGGGTGAAACTCCATCTCAAACAACAACAACAAAGAACTAGGTGAAAAGACCTGGCGTGCTCCTGCAGCGCAACCAGCCGTGATCATACAAAGACCAGAATGCTGCAGGATGGCATGTCATGGCCCATCCCTCTCATCTCTGCTCCACGCAGCAATAAGACCAAAGCTAACCTGCTTCCAGAGACACCTCGTGGAAATGTGCAAGGCTCAGCAAAGAAAGGCTAATATCTAATGATTCATGTATTTACACAGCTTTTTTTTTGAGATGGAGTCTGGCACTGTCACCAGGCTGGAGTGCAGTGGCATGGTCTCGGCTCACTGCAACCTCCGCCTCCCAGGTTCAAGCGATTCCCCTGCCTCAGTCTCCCAAGTAGCTGGGATTACAGGCAATGCACCACCATGCCCAGCTAAGTTTTATATTTTTAGTAGAGACAGGGTTTTGCCATGTTGGCCAGGCTGGTCTCGAATTCCTGAACTCAGGTGATCGCCCGCCTCAGCCTCCCAAAGTCCTGGGATTACAGGCGTAAGCCACTGCGCCCGGCCTGCTTTTTTATTTCTTACTAGCACGAGAACTTAGAGTGATACAAATCTTCTGAATATTTTGGCTGCATTCTGCAGACGGTGACACCTTCTGTTTCCGTGGATATTATTTATAAAACATTTTTGTCACCTGCTATGAATTGTTACCCTGTCCACATGCTTTAAAAGGGCAGTTTTTGAAATCAACATGAGTTTGGGCACTGGGAAATTGCATACTTAATAAAATTAAACATTAAAAAGGGGCTCTTTCTGCTTTCCTATCAACTCAGGCAGCAGGGTGATAGATATAGGGGGTGAGGGATGCACCCTGTGTTGGCCAGGGTTCTCTAGAGGGATATAACTAACAGGATAAATAGCTATATATAAAGGGGGGTTTATTCAGTATTAACTCACAGGATCACAAGGTCCTACAATAAGCTGTCTGCGAGCTGAGGAGCAAGGAAGCCAGCCCGAGTGCTAAAGCTGAAGAACTTGGAGTCCAATTTTTGAGGGCAGGAAGCATCCAGCACGGGAGAAAGCTGTAGCATGGGAGGCTAGGCCAGTCTAACCTTTTCACATTCTTTTGCCTGCTTTTTGAATGTGCTGTGCTGGCAGCTGATTAGATGGTGCCCACCCCGATTAAGGGTGGGTCTGCCTTTCCCACCCCACTAACTCAAATGTTAAACTTGTTTGGCCACACCCTCACAGACACACCCAGGATCAATACTTTGCATCCTTCAATCCAATCAGGTTGACACTCGGCATTAACCATCACACCTGGTGTGTGTTTCTCTGATTATAAGGACACCAGTCCTACTGGACGAGGGCCTCACCCTTTTGAGCTCCTACAGGCCCTGTCTGCAAATAAAGTCACATTGGAGTTTAAGGGTTCTGATGATGAGTGAGGGAGGGCACGGCTCAGTCTATAACGATGTCCTATATCTATTGCAAAGAAAAAATGAAGGCACTATTCAATTCCTCCAAATTAGGAGGTTTGCCAGAGCCTCAGACAAAAGGATTTTTTAGGGAGGTACAGTTCATTCCATAATGATGTTCTCTATCGCAAAGAAGAAGGGGTAATTCAGTTCCTCCAAACCAGGCGATTTGCCAGAACTCCAAACAAAAGGAATTTTTTTTTCTTCTTGATCCCTATTTATCAACACATGCCTCTGTGTCTTTCCAGTTGACTTCATCTCTTGGGCAGCATTAATTTCAGAAATCTGTATTTCTGACTTGCCCTCAGGAAACCCCTTTAGATGTTAGAAATTCTTCTGTGGATGAAGTTATCTTTTTTTTTTTTTGAGACATAGTCTTGCTCTGTCGCCCAGGCTGGAGTGCAGTGGTGTGATCTCGGCTTACTGCAACCTCCACCTCCCAGGTTCAAACGATTGTCCTGCCTCAGCCTCCCGAGTATCTGGGATTACAGGCGTGCACCACCACACCTGGCTAATTTTTGTATTTTTAGTAGAGACCGGATTTCACCATGTTGGCCAGGCTGGTCTCGAACTCCTGACCTCAGGTGATCCACCCATCTCAGCCTCCCAAAGTGCTGGGGTTATAGGCATGAGCCACCACACCCGGCCAGATGAGGTTATCTTCTTGAGTCTCAGGGTTTACTGTCTGTCACTGAGTTGCAAATAAAAGAAAAGTTGGATGAGTTATTGGCAGCCTCAAGAGCAACAGTGAGAATTGTAGACTCACTTTCTGCATTGGAGGGTGTGGTGTGTGGGCTACGGGAAGCGTGGACATCATTCACCATGCTAGGTGCCGAGAGGGGCATCAGACACAGCAGGTGCGTGAATCTCCTGTCTTCATATGATACTGTCTCACTGTCAGAATCACAGTGACAGAAGGCATTTGTTACTGTGGATTCACACTCCGTTAGGGTTAAGATTTTTATTCTGTGTGAGTTCCTTAGGGTTACTGTGAAAAGCACATCTTATCTTCTCTCGATAATTTTTAAGTGACATTTAAAAATATTCAAGCATGTGACTTGACCGAATTGCTTAGCATTTGAGTTGTTGCATTAAATGGAGCATCTCGTCACTTTCAAGTATTTGATACTGGCAGTTGCTAAGAGTTAAAAGGCAGCTGGATTTGTCGCAGACAATGAGTTAAGGAATCCTTCCACATTTTTCCCATTTTTTTTTTTTTTTTTTTTTTTTTTTTTGAGACAGAGTTTCACTCTTGTTGCCCAGGCTGGAGTGCAATGGCACGAGCTCGGCTCACCGCAACCTCTGCCTCCCAGGTTCAAGTGATTCTCCTGCCTTAGCCTCCCTGGTAGCTGGGATTACAGGCATGTGCCACCACACCCGGCTAATTTTGTATTTTTAGTAGAGACGGGGTTTCTCCATGTTGGCCAGGCTGGTCTTGAACTCCCGACCTCAGGTGATCCGCCCGCCTCGGCCTCCCAAAGTGCTGGGAATACAGGCGTGAGCTGCCGCGCCCGGCCCGTTTTTCCCAACTTTAAAAGTAAGGGTTCTCAGGACCCTGTGTAGAGCAGTGAAAATAAGACCTCGTGTGTGTGTGTGTGTGTGTGTGTGTGTGTGTGTGTACACACGCGCCTGCAGGAGAACTGCTGTTCCACTTAGGTGAGAGGATGGGCTGTGTGCTTCAGACCAGGAAATGTGTCATCTTGCCAAGCAACCTGGCTGAGTGTGCTGGAGTCAGGATCTTGAACAGAAACTTCCTTTTCTGGTGTTGTTCACTACAGAGCTAAAATGGCCAAATATATACTGTGAAAATTGTTTTTTTTTTTTTTAACAAAAGACCAGATCCCTCCTTCAGCTGTATACATTTTTGAATAAAATCATATTGAACTAACAAAAAAAAAAAAAACACCAAAACTGGGGAACTTGCACAATAGAAATATATCCTCTCCCAGGTCTGGAGGACAAGACTTTAAATCCAAGGTGTCTCAGGGCTGAGCTCCATCCAGACGCTCTAGGGGAGGATCCTTTTGGCCTCCCCCAGCTCCTGGGGGCTCCAGGCATCCCACGGCTTGTGGCTGTATCACTCCAGTCTCTGCCTCTGTCTTCACATCATCATTTTCTCTCATCTGTCTCAAGCATGCCTGTTCCTCCTCCTTATAAAAACCCCAGGCTAGGCGTGGTAGCTCATGCCTGTCATCCCAGCACTTTGGGAGGCCGAGGCGGGCAGATCACCTGAGGTCAGGAGTTTGAGACCAGCCCGGCCAACATGGTGAAACCCCATCTTTACTAAAAATACAAAAATAAGCCGGGCGTGGTGGCGGGTGCCTGTAATCCCAGCTACTTGGGAGACTGAGGAAGGGAGGATCACTTGAACTCGGGAAGTGGAGGTTGCAGTCAGCCAAGATCTGTCCGCTGTATTCCAGCCTGGGTGACAGAGCAAGACTTTGTCAAAAAAAAAAAACTCAAAAAGACAAAACAAAAAAAACTCCGCACTCCTGTCATCCTAGCATTTTGGGCAGCAGTATGATAACAAGGCCAGGAGTTTGAGACCTACCTTGGCAACATAGAGAGACCCCTGTCTCTATAAAAGCTAACAAACAAAAAACAAAAATCTTTGTCATTATATTTAGGCTAATACAGGATAATTTCCTCATTTGAAAACCTTTAATGTCTAAACACCCTATTTTCATACAAGGTAATCTTTTCACAGGTTCTAGAGATTAGGACCAGGAGATTTTTAGGGACGGAGTGGAGGATACCGTCATTTAGCCTACCACATTCTTACTACCTTAGGAAAGGATGGCCAGGCAAGGTGGCTCACGACGGTAATCCCAGCACTTTGAGAGGCCAAGGCGGGCGGATCGCTTGAGCCCAGGAGTTCGAGTCCAGCTTGGGCAATATTGCAAAATCCGATCTCTACAACAACTACAAAAAGTAGCCAGGCGTGGTGCTGCGCACCTGTGGTCCCAGCTACTCAGGAGGCTAAGGAGGGAGAATCGCTTGAATTCGGGAGGTGGAGGCTGCAGTGAGCCCAGATCACACCTTTGCACTCCAGCCTGGGTGACAGAACGAGACCCTGTCTCAATAAATGCATAAATAATTTTAAAAAGGAAAGTAATTCAGCACAAACATTTGCATATTCCCAAGATGATGCTCACAGCTTGCAGTGCCTGCCTGGGTCCTATTCCTATCTGCCTGGGTCTATCTGCCTGGGTCCTATTCCTATCTGCCTGGGTCCTATTCCTGTCTGCCTGGGGTCTATCTGCCTGGGTCCTATTCCTATCTGCCTGGGTCCTATTCCTATCTGCCTGGGGTCTATCTGCCTGGGTCCTATTCCTATCTGCCTGGGTCCTATTCCTGTCTGCCTGGGGTCTATCTGCCTGGGTCCTATTCCTATCTGCCTGGGTCCTATTCCTATCTGCCTGGGTCCTATTCCTATCTGCCTGGGGTCTATCTGCCTGGGTCCTATTCCTATCTGCCTGGGTCCTATTCCTGTCTGCCTGGGGTCTATCTGCCTGGGTCCTATTCCTATCTGCCTGGGTCCTATTCCTATCTGCCTGGGGTCTATCTGCCTGGGTCCTATTCCTATCTGCCTGGGTCCTATTCCTATCTGCCTGGGGTCTATCTGCCTGGGTCCTATTCCTATCTGCCTGGGTCCTATTCCTATCTGCCTGGGGTCTATCTGCCTGGGTCCTATTCCTGTCTGCCTGGGTCTATCTGCCTGGGTCCTATTCCTATCTGCCTGGGTCCTATTCCTGTCTGCCTCGGGTCTATGCATTTCCTTTTTGTCTGAGGACACATTTTTGCTTCATGCTGATATTTTTCACTTCACCTTTCTCCCCTTTTCTTCTTTTCTCTTTTTCCCTCTCCTTCCCTCCCCTCCCTCTGGGGCAGAAGCTGGCATGCGGCAGAGCGCCAGCAGAGGACGTGGCCCAAGCTCCCATACATCTTCCCTTTACCTCTTCCGCTGACTTTTTTCTGGGTGTGCCCAGAGAGCCTAGCTCTGGACACTCAAAGATGCATCATTTCAATGTATGTTCCAAAGTTACGTAGCATCCAAGGCATATGAGACATGCTTAAAAACATACTGGTCATGCAAGTGAGGAGGTGCAATGATGGGTACTGTCGTTGCGATTGCGGAAGCCAGATCTAGAGATGCCCGGCGTGGCTTGGGGTTCAGGAAAACTTCCTGAAGGAGGTGACACATTTGCGTTTACGATCCCCAAGTGAGGCACACAAGCATCTCTCGGCGAGAACCCCACAGTCCATCCCAGAAAAGGAAAGTCAAGAGAATGGGCTACGTATGGGAGGAAGGGAACTATTTATGGTCTTCGATGAGAAAATAAATGTGCGTATGCGCCCCAGCTTTGTGCTTCGGTATTGCCACATGCCGGAACCGCGTGAAAATACAAGCCGTCAATACAAGCAAGTGCTAGCCCTCTTTTATTATTCTACTGCAGAAGAAGGAAGTCCTTGCTTCTGAGTCATTTTGTGTATTAGTTACACATGCCGTGTAACAAAATAACACAGACTCAGCAGCGTGTCCTAACAGCCTGGTAATATTTTATCCAGAATGACGTGTTTTAGAAAGTTATGTCCTGTCAAAGTAATCCAGATACCATTTCCTTTTCTTCTTGTTTTTTTGGTATTATTATACTTTAAGTTCTGGATACATGTACAGAACGTGCAAGTTTGTTACATAGGTATACACGTGCCATGGTGGTTTGCTGCACCCATCGACCCGTCATCTACATTAGGTATTTGTCCTAAAGCTATCCCTTCCCTAACCCTCCACCCCCCAGCAAGCCCTGGTGTGTGATGTTCCCCTCCCTGTGTCCATGTGTTCTCATTGTTCAACTTCCACTGATGAGTGAGAACATGCAGTGTTTGGTTTTCTGTTCCTGTGATAGTTTGCTGAGAATGATGGTTTCCAGCTTCATCCATGTCCCTGCAAAGGACATGAACTCATCCTTTTTTTATGGCTGCATAGTATTCCATGGTGTCTATGTGCCACATTTTCTTTATCCAGTCTATCATTGATGGGCATTTGGGTTGGTTTCAAGTTTTTGCTATTGTTAATAGTTCCGCAATAAACGTATGTGTGCATGTGTCTTTATAGTAGAATGATTTATAAACCTTTGGTATATACCCAGTAACGGGATTGATGGGTCAAATGGTATTTCTGGTTCTAGATCCTTGAGGAATCGCCACACTGTCTTCCACAATGGTTGAACTAATTTACACTCCTACCAACGGTGTAAAAATGTTCCTATTTCTCCAAATCCTCTCCATTTCCTTTTCTTCTCCTTATACAGTAAGGAATATGAAACTAACACACACTTTCTCTCATTTCATTCTCTTTCTTTTTCTGTCTGCTCTCTTTGTCTTTCTCCCTCTCTCTCTCCCTCTCTTTTTCCTCTCTCTCTCTCCCTCTCTTTTTCCTCTCTCTCTCTCTCTTTCTCTGTCTCTCTCTTTGTCTTCTTTTCTCTATTTCTCTCTGTCTCTCAGTGTTTGTCACGCTCTCTCTCTTTGCCTCTTTCTGTCTCTTTTTTTTTTTTTGAGACAGAGTCTTGCTCTGTCACCCAGGCTGGAGTGCAGTGGCGCGACCTCGGCTTACTGCAACCTCCACCTCCCAGGTTCATGCGATTCTCCTGCCTTAGCCTCCCAAGTAGCTGGGATTACAGGCGTGCACCACCACAGTCGCCTAATTTTTGTATTTTTAGTAGAGATGGAGTTTGACCACAATGGCCAGGCTGGTCTCGAACTCCTGACCTCTGCCCACCTTCCAAAGTGCTGAGATTACAGGTGTGCACCACCACAGCTGGCTAATTTTTGTATTTTTAGTAGAGACGAGGTTTCAACATGTTAGCCAAGCTGGTCTCAAAGTCCTGACCTCACGTGATCTGCCTGCCTTCGCCTCCTAAAGTGCTGGGATTACAGGCATGAGCCATCGTGCCCGGCCTCTTTCTTTGTATCTCTCTGTCTGCCTTTCTCTCTTTGTCCCTTTTACTGTCTCCCGTCCCTCTCTCTCTTTCTGTTTCTCTCTCTCACTGTGTCTCTTTGTCTTTATCTCTGTGTGTTTTTTCTCTCTTCCCCTTTTCCTCCCCCTCCTTTTTTCTCTTTCTCTCTTAGCCTTTCTTTCTTTCTCTCTTTCTCTCTCTCTCTGCTTCTATCTTTCTATCTCTCTCTTTCTCATTCTTACACTCCATCTCTGTCTCTTCTCTCTCTCTGATGGTGAGTGGAGAGTCATTTCGTTTTGGAATGATGATGAGCATTCCAGTAATAGTTTTGGAGAGTAAGGCTCATAGAGCTTATTAAGCAAGGTGTGTCTGTCATAAAATTGATTGCTGGCATTTTACACATCAGTGCAGACATGGGGGGCACAGGCAGACCCCTCCCCCCACCACACACACACACTGCTTATCCTCTGAAAGCTATGTGGCCTTCATAAAAATATTAACAGTTCTTTTACAGTAATGATTTTCCCCTATGAGGCTCCCCAGTGAGGAGGCTGTAAATGACACTGACCACCAGCAGCCCTGCAGATCAAGGCTGTTCTCTTCTCGGCCAGCCCAGAACCAGCCTCTGCTCGCTCCCTCCCTGAGGACTCCTGTCTCTGACCTCTGCACACATGCTGTGATTTGCTCTTCCACCTCACACCATTCCCCATCCTCACCTTTCAGAACTCACTGGCAGTGTCCCCCAATACCTTCCACCTCTCTCCAGAAATTACCTTCCCATCTCAATGTAAGGGAACTTGCTTCTTCCCTCAGAGATCTGCTGTCTCTGCTGCAAGTAATAGCTAGTTTTCATGCATTTTGTTCTGTCTGACTTTAGGTTGTTGCATTGTTCTCCCAACCTCCTTGAACCCATGGACCTGGAGGCAGAATTATATACCTGTGAATTTGCTTTTCTTTCTAGTTCCTCTCCCTCCAAAACCTCAGTCCTTCTGGGAAAAAAAAAAAAAAAACAGCTTTAACACAATCAAACACATCACTTTTAGCGATGGAGACCCACTGGGAATTTAGAGAGAAAGAGTGAAGTTGATATACTGAATACAATAGACATAAGTCTACCTCTCTACCTATGTGATGTTATAAAGCTGTCCCTGAGTCATTCACTCTCTAAAAATGTCATCTTTGGCTGGACACAGCTGCTCACGCCTGTAATCCAACACTTTGGGAGGCTGATGTGGGAGGCTCACTTGAGCTTAGGAGTTCGAGACCAGCCATGGGGACATAGTGAGACCCTGTCTCCAAAAACATAAATGTAATAAAAAATAAAATGCTTTCTTTTATTATTCTTCTGCAGAAGAAGGAAGTCCTTGCTTCTGAGTCATTTTGTGTATTAGTTACATATACTGTGTAACAAAATAACAGACTGAGCAGCGTGGAAGAGCTCATACTTACTATCTGTAGCAAGGGATCCATAAATGGCGTCCTTTTTTATTATTATATAAAATTCTATATTCTCCTGTGGAAGAAGGAAGTCCTTGCTTCTGAGCCATTTTGTGTATTAGTTACATATGCCCTGTAACAAAATAACACAGATTCAGCAACGTGGAAGGGCTCGTACTTCTTACTATCTGTAGCAGGGGATGCATAAATTGCTTCCTGTTTGATTATTATATAAAATTCTATATTCTATATTCCTCTACTGCAGAAGAAGGAAGTCCTTGCTTCTGAGTCATTTTGTGTATCAGTTACATATGCTGTGTAACAAAATAACCCACAGACTCAGCAGCGTGGAAGGGCTCATACTTACTATCCCACAGCTGCTGCGGGTCAGGAATCTGGGCAGGTGTAACTGCATTCTCTCTTCGGGGTCTCACTGGGCTATAACCAAAGTGTCATCTGGCCTGAGGTCCTCTCTGGAGCTCAGGATCTTCGAAATTCACATGGTTATACGCAGAATCCAATTCCTGGAAGCTGCAGATCTGGGGATCTGAGTATCTTGCTGGCTTTTGGCCAGGGGCTGCTGTCAGCTCCTAGAGAGGCCATGCCCAGGTTCTGGCCCCAAGGCGCTCTCACAAAACATCAGCTCACATCAAGGTCAGGAGGAGAATGACAGGTCCCACACAGACTCAAGGAAAGGGGACTATACAAGGATGGGACTCATTGATCTCCCTAGAGTATGAGCTCCTCATTGTACCCTACTGACATGTCCAATTCAGTGTTACTTCCTGGACAGGCGTGGTGGCTCACGCCTGTAATCCCAGCACTTTGGGAGGCTGAGGCGGGCGGATCACCTGAGGTCAAGAGTTTGAGACCAGCCTGGCCAACATGGTGAAACATTGTCTCTACTAAAAAAAAAAAAAAAAAAAAAAATACAAAAATACAAAAATTAGCTGGGCCTGGTGGCATGTGCCTGTAATCCCAGCTACCTGGGAGGCTGAGGCAGGAGAATCACTGGAACCCAGGAAGCAGAGGCTGCAGTGAGCTGAGATCCTGCCACAGCACTCCAGCCCGGTCAACAGAGCGAGACTCCATCTCAAAAAGAGCAGAAAAAAAAAAAGTGTTACTTCCTAGATGAAATTGAGTTTGACCTGTTTAGAAATTTTCTTAATCTCTGAAATAGGTTGGGAGATAACCAGGTATTTTTTGTTGTTGTCCTTTTCCAGTGGAATTTTTATACTGTGACTTGGCTTCCATGACTTCCATCCGGCAGTTTGTGCAGAAGTTCAAGATGAAGAAGATTCCTCTCCATGTCCTGATCAACAATGGTGAGTCCTGGTGAAATTGCAGCAAGCCAGGGGTTAATTTGAATGCAAACAGGAACTCTAGCTTTCATGCGGGAGAAGTGTCTCAGCAAAACAGGATATCCATGGGAATTATTGAACATACCTGCTATTTCTAGTCAGTGCTTCATTTCACGGATAGCTTTGGAAGAGCATCATTCTTGTTAGCATGTTACTTTGAAATAATGGTAAACGCGATAACATGTTGTATGGAGTTGACACGTTGACTTGTCCACTTGGACTAAAGGGTATGAGGCACATGCTAAGGGTTGGTGTTTTCCCAAATGTTATCTTACAAAACCATCACCACATTCCCCTGAGAGTCATTATTTGGGCACTAGAAGCTCATTACCATTTATCTCTTGATTTTACCCCCTGTTCAACATTCTCACCCAGATAGGTGGAGTCAATATCTCCCCTTCCCCACCTTCAATCTGCCCATCTGCCAATCTTCAACACAAACTACCCTTGACCTTGAGCCCTTCTTTGAGCCTCGCTGAGTGCTTAAGGTCATTGCAACGCTTACTGTTGACCTTGAGCCCTTCTTTGGGCCACGCTGAGCGCTTAAGATCATTGCAACACTTAATGTTTCTCCTCGTAACACTGATGCCCATTACTCTCATCCCCTGCTGCAGTCCATTTTATTTTTTATAAAAGTTAACCTGAACCCTCCACACTGAGGAGGTACAGTTATTGACATCTCCAAACTAAGTAAATACATAGAACTAAAGGTCTCAGAAATACACCAACAAACATGTGTGCTAGTAGAATTTAACGCATCACTTTCACAGATGGAGACCAAATGCAAATTCAGAGAGGAAATAAATAGTGACATTAATACAGTGGATAGAACAGACGTACGTCAAACAGTGAGCCCATAAAGACAGCACATTCCTTTCAAATACATGAAATATTTATCAAGTTATTGACACTTCAGATTGCAGACAAAAAAATCAGCAAAAGGATCTTGTGATTACCCAATGTAATTACTCCATTACCCACCTAGACCATTAAAGATTCTTAATTCTGCAAAACCCCTTGTGCTACCTAACGTACCATTTTCATAAATTCTGGAGATTAGGATATGGACATGTCTGTAAGGAGGGAGAAAGCATTATTCTTTGTACTAAAGTTGTAATACCTGTCTGTTTCCAGCTGCCAAGATGTGGTAGCTTCTATCTAATTTTTTTTTCTTTTTGTCTTGATGTGTTTCGTGTTTTTGTATAACATTAATGGGATTGGAGGATAGGAAAGTGGATGAGATACCCACGGTTCCCCCTCAACCCACTTGTTTAATTGGAAATTATTATGCTAGAGTTTAAAGGAGAAGCATGGGATATAAAACTATACATAGAGTGTGATGCCAATTTATGCATAAAAATTTGTACAGACATAGCTATGTGTGAGTGCATATGTATTTGTATATGTATTTGATGTATGATGTATATGTATTTATGCATAAAAATACGTGCAGACATAGCTATGATGTGTGAGTGCCACTCAAATAGCTACAGACAACACCATTTCCATGTACTTAGCCTGGTAAGAAACATCGTATTATCAGTGCTAGTGGCTCCTGTTGGAAGGTCCGGAATGATTTTAACTTTGTGTGTCTTCTTTGGAGATCAATAACACTTTTCAGATTTGCCATCCTGGTGGGATCTGAAGTTTCTACGCAGGCATAAATGATTTCCCAGTCAGCAGCCATTTGGAATCTTCTGTCTCAGCACTGGGTGTGGACTTCCTTTGCTGAAGACCTATCAGTATTAGAAGTGATTAGAATTATAGCATTATAAGTCACCAAATGTGGAGACCACTTAGAGGCACTGTGGAGATCCTACACGACCCGACGTCTCATTTCCTCGTTCTGTGTAACACCCTTACTCATTAGTAATGGGAGCACTTTATCACAGAGCAGTTGGAGATGGAAATACATACATGACATGGTGCCCTTGCACAGAGACACACAAAACAGAACTGTCCATCCTCTTAGGACTTTTGTGCGACTACTTCCATCCATTTGGTATGGGCTTGCATCCACCAGTAAGCAGAAAAAATTAGGAATCTCAGGCCGGGCGCGGTGGCTCACCCCTGTAATCCCAACACTTTGGGAGGCTGAGGTGAGTGGATCACCTGAGGTCAGGG
Organism: Homo sapiens; assembly: GCF_000001405.40. Taxonomy (NCBI): domain Eukaryota; kingdom Metazoa; phylum Chordata; class Mammalia; order Primates; family Hominidae; genus Homo; species Homo sapiens. The sequence continues at coordinate 2,289,341 of NC_000023.11, read as the reverse complement.
GTTCCAGACCAGCCTGACCAATATGGTGAAACCCTGTCTCTACTAAAAATACAAATATTAGCCAGGCGTGGTGGCGGGCATCTGTAGTCCCAGCTACTCAGGAGGCTGAGGCAGGAGAATCGCTTGAACCTGGGAGGTGGAGGCTGCAGTGAGCCGAGACCACACCATTGCACTCCAGCCTGAGCAACAGAGCAAGACTGTTTCAAAAAAAAAAAAAAATTAGGAATGTCAGATATGATATGTTTCTCCAGCAGAATCTTACTGTGTTCTGGGGGGAGCAGAATTTTACTGAGCAATGTGTATATGAACCACATCTGTGACAGTGGATACAGGCTAACACCAGTTGACACAGGCTAACCAGCGTATACTCCATCACTCAACCACCACGTTTACCTTTTGAAATGGCTATTGCATTCCTAGGATTCTCCTCTGTTCCTTTTCTCAACAGATTTTAAACAAGGCACACAGGGCTCTCAGAAACAAACAAAAATATTCTGGAAACTGGGACAGGGTTGAATTTGAATCAAAAGGGTCTTGTTGTTGGATTGTCTCTGTACCCTATCTCTTCTGTAGAAAATCTCATGCACATATTGGGTTTACTTCTTCCTAGACTTATCTAGACCTTTCTTCCATGCTAAGACCTTTTACCTTCGCTCAATGCCTCAGAGGCACCTCAAGCCAGTAAGTCCAGTGTGAAATTCCTGAGTCTATGGCTGACACTGGTTCTAGAGGAGAGTATTTCCTTCCCCAGTTTTTAGAAGACTGTCAGCGTTTCTTCACCCATGGCCTCCAACCCGGCCTTAAAGCCAGCAATGATAGTGGCTCACGCCTGTAACCTCAGCACTTTGGGAGGCCGAGGCAGGTGGATTACGTGAGGTCAGGAGTTCGAGACCAACGTGGACAACATTGTGAAACCCTGTCTCTACTAAAAATACAAAATTAGCTGGGCATGGTGGCGCATGCCTGTAATCCCAGCTACTCGGGAGGCTGAGGCAGGAGAATTGCTTGAACCCGGGAGGCAGAGGTTGCAGTAAGCTGAGATCACACCACTGCACTCCAGTCTGGGCAACAAGAGCAAAACTCCATCTCAAAACAACAAAAACAACAACAAAGCCAGCAATGAGACACCTTTGAATCTCTCTTTCTTGTTCTCTCTCTCTCCCTCTCTTCCCTTCTCTCTCTTTCTCTCTCTCATCTTGCCTTCTCTTTTTTTTTATCTCCTTCACTTACTTTTGTTCTTCTGCCTGCCTTGTAGAAGAACCATTGTGATTATTTGGGGCCCACCAGGATCATCTCAGATAATCACCTCATCTCAAGATCTTCCACTAATTCACATCTACAAAGGCCCTTTTGCCGTGAAAGTCACATTTTCATGTGTTCCAGAGATGAGGACATGGACATTTTTTCATCTTTTGAGTTATTACTCTTCCAAATTGGGAATAGGTTGTGGGCATCTCTGGGGTCATTATTGTGTCGACCACATGAGAATTAGTCTGTGGACATCTTTAGAGCCATTATTCAGTCTTCCACATGAGGATTAGGATGTGGACATCTTTGGGGCCATTATTCTGTTTCCCACATGAGGATTAGAATGTGAACATCTTTGGGGCTATTATTCTATCTACCACATGGGAATTAACATATGGACATCTTTGGGGCCATTGTTCGGCTTCCACATGGGGATTAGGATGTGGACATCTTTGGGGCCATTATTCTGTCTTCCACATGGGGATTTGGATATGGACATCTTCGGGGCCATTATTCTGTCTCCCACATGGGGATTCGGATATGGACATCTTCGGGGCCATTATTCTGTGTACCACATGGGGATTGGGATGTGGACATCTTTGGGGCCATTATTCTGTCTACCACATGGGGATTAGGATGTGGACATCTTCAGGGCCATTATTTTGTCTTCCACATGAGGATTGGGATGTGGACATCTTTGGGTCATTATTCTGTCTTCCACATGAGGATTAGGATGTGGACATTTTTGGGGCCATTATTCTGTCTTCCACCTGAGGATTAGGATGTGGACATCTTTGGGGCCATTATTGTGTCTCCCACATGGGGATTACAGTGTGGGCATTTTTGGGGTCATGATTCTGTCTCCCACATGAATAATGTGGACCTGGACATCTTGAGTTGTGCATTATTTAACCTGCCATACCTACCTACTCTGCCCTTCACATACTTCGCTTGCAGGAAAAATAAAATAATAAGCAAGATTCTTGACCTCATAGAAATCATACTTTAGCAACGGAAACAAACATTGGACCAATAATCATTCTGTGAAATGTTCTGCCTTAGAAAACACACCTCTTGCAATGTGACAACACAGTCTTGTAAAGTACAGAGAAGATTGCACCCCAAGTCACACGCCTCCCTGGAATTCCCCAGCCTGTGCTGCTCAGAACACCATTTCCAGGAGGTGATAATGAGAATCCATTTGTTACAAGATGATGGCTTGAAATAACACTTTGCACTTTCTTCCTTTTATCTTTTTGTTCTACATCTTTCAAGAGGTTGCTCAGGCTGTGGCTTTCCTGGACTCCCTATAGGTTTTTGTGGCTGACTAAGGTTCATCTTGTCCCTGGGGTCACTGTTGAGAAGAGCTCAGTTGCAGAGGATCTGGATTTTTTTTTTTTTCCTCTGTGGGTACAGACAGAAGCTTCTAGAAAAGAGCTGGAGACTTCGCTTTTGGAGGCTGTGTTGAATACCCATTGCCCACTCTTCACAAGAAGACAGAAATGCAGAGAGGCAGTCTCTTGTTGACAAATCCTCTTGGTTCTCTTGGAAATGCAACAGAACCATGGAGCTTCGTGAAGCCCATGGGCTTGGAAAGGGGCCTCCCGAGGTACCCAGGGTGGATGGAAAGCTGCAGGGATAAGTGCTCCTCAAGCCAGAAGTAGCCCAGATGGCACAGTCTATGCTGAGAATGGATTCATCACCAGCCTGTGTGCTGGAGGCTTGGGCCAGATGAACCTTGATTTAGAGAGGAAGTAAAGCATTTTTTGCCTTGGTTTGTGCATCAGAATTCATCTTCATGGTGTGCAAATGACGAGGCTGGATTCTATACAGTCAGCACTGAGAATGGATTCAGCACAAGCCCGTGTGCTGGAGGCCTGGGTCTGATGTACCTGGATTTAGGGAAGAAGCAAAGTATTTTTCTCATTTATTGCATGCCTTAGTTTGTGCATCAGAATTCATCTTCGTGGTGTGCAAATGAGAAGGCTGGATTCTACACAGTCAGCGTTGAGAATGGATTCATCACCAGCTCTTGTGCTGGAGGCTTGAGCCAGATGTACGTTGATTTAGAGAAGAAGTAAAGGATTTTTCTCATTTGTTGCATGCCTTGGTTTATGCATCAGAATTCATCTTCGTTGTGTGCAAATGAGAAGGCTGGATTCTATACAGTCAACGCTGAGAATGGGTTCATCACCAGCTGGTGTGCTGAAGCTTGGGCCAGATGTACCTTGACTTAGAGAAGAAATCAAGGATTTTTCTCGTTGGTTTGTGCATCAGAATTCTTCTTCGTTGTGTGCAAATGAGATTGCTGGATTGTATGTTTGGGATATTGCTGGTGTCAACTTATGTAAATAGAGTTTCTATTTATAGGCAGCCTCAGGGAAGGACTCCAGTGGTGGTACTTTTAGTGTCTAAGAGGCTAGTAGGGGGTCTGCAGACCCCTAAACCAGGGCTGTCCAACCCCCAGGTCATAGTACCAGTCCATGGCCTGTTAGGACACCGGCCGCACAGCAGAAGGTGAGTGGCAAGTGAACAAGCAAAGCTTCATCTGTATTTACAGCCACTCCCCATTGTTCACATGACTGCCTGAGCTCTGCCTCCTGTCAGATCAGCAGCAGCATTAGATTCTTATAGGAGCACAAACCCTACTGTGAACTGTGCATGTGAGGGACTTAGGTTGTGCACTCCTTATGAAAAGCTAAAGCCTGATGATCTGTGCATGGGAAGGATCTAGGTTGTGTGCTCCTTATGGAATCTAATTCCTGATGATCTGTCACTGTCTCCCATCACCCCCAGATGGGACTGTCTAGTCACAGGAAAACAAGCTCAGGGCTCCCACTGATTCTATATGATGGCGACTTGTAGAATTATTTCATTATATAGTACAATGTAATAATAATACAAATAAAGTGTACAATAAATGTCATGCCCCGGAATCATCCCAAAACCATCCCCACATTCCACCTCCACCTTCTGTCTTCAGAAAATTGTCTTTCACAAAAGTGGTCCCTGGTGCCAAAAAGGTTGGAGACTGCTGCCCTAAACTATTTCCCCAGAACCTTCCCTCCAAAACTCCTGCTAGTCAACCACGTGCCTCAAGTCTCATGGAAAACAGCCCCAGCTGAGCTCAGCCAGGGTGACTTCCAAGGCAAGAAGGAGCTACACTTCGTGCTTTTCTTTTTTTATTCTTAGAGCAATCAAGGTTTTGCAAACATTAAATACTTCAGACATAGAATATCTTTTTCATTTGCTAGTGGGTTGAAAATAGAACCTGACTGCCTCTGTCTGGCTGCTGTGGGAAGCTCAGAGGCAACGCGATGATTTATCAAGCACAAGAATAAATCAATAATAGACCTCCTGCAGAGCCGGTATTTATGGTTTATTCACTTCAAAATTGTATTTATCTAGCTTCCCATCCCCATGTCTGAAAATTGATAGATTTTTAATAATGCAGAGGATTTATAGATTTATCCTTGTCAGCCATCTTCCCATAACTCTAATGGATGAATTTCTTTCTGAGATAATGAATTACTAAGCATTATTTTTCCTACCACCAAAGAAATACGTCCACGATACAGGGTGACCCTGAAAAATAACAATGATTCTTCCCTGGCCAGAGACCTAAAGACTCTGTTTTTTGGTACAGTTCTTCATTCACCCATTCATTCATTCATTCATTCATTCATTCAAATTCATTCATTCACTTGAATGAATTCAAATGAGTGAATGAATGAATGAAAGAATTCAAATGAATGAATGAATTCAGAGGAATGAATGAATGCAAATGAATTCAAAGGAATGAACAAATGAATTCAAATGAATTAATTCTAAGGAATGAATGAATTCTAATGAATGAACAAATGAATTCAAAGGAACGAATGAATTCAAAGGACTAAATGAATTGAAAGGAATGTATGAATTCAAAGGAATGAATTCAAAGGAATGAATGAATGAATTCAAATGAGTGAATCTGAATGAATTCAAGGGAATGAATAAATTCAAATGAAGGAATGAATTCAAATGAATGAACAAATGAAGTCAAAGGAACGAATGAATTCAAAGGAATGAATAAATTCAGAGGAATGAATGAATGAATTCAAAGGAATGAGTGAATTCAAAGGAATGAGTGAATTCAAAGGAATGAGTGAATTCAAAGGAATGAGTGAATTCAAAGGAATGAGTGAATTCAAAGGAATGAACGAATTCAAAGGAATGAATGAATGAATTCAAATGAGTGAATTTAAATGAATAAATTCAAGTGAATGAATGAATTCAAAGGAACAAGTGAATTCAAAAGAAGGAATGAATTCAAATGATGCAAATGAATGAATGGAATCAAATGAATGAATGAATTCTAATGAGTTCATTCAAATGAGCAAATGGGCACAGGGCACCTACAAGACCCATGAGAGTTAAGGAAGATTCATTCGGGGAAGCCCAGGTGTGCAGTTCTGCATCAACAGAAGACTGAGGTGCAGTGGAGCCGGTCCTTACTGAGGACCCACTTTTTGGTGGACGGACACCTGAGCAGCCATCTCCTGTCTTTGTGGGCGCCTGGCATTTTCTATGTGACTCGGGCTCCACAGTCATCTGGTCTCCCTCCCGGGAAGACGGAAAGTGTTGCATCGCGGCGCATGCATTCGTCAGCGGATCCTTGAGTCTGCACAGGTGTAGACCATTTATTCTGCGTGCCTTCTGTTTGCTTCTCTTCCAGAGCTGCTCTCCTGTGGATAGAGTAGCTTTCTGTTCCGTAGTGGTTTCCTCTGCCTCTCCCGATGGCGCCTTCTCTGAACAGGAGGCATTTGGATGTTCTTTTAGTGTTGGTGTTGGCAGCAGCATGGGATGTGGTCTGTTGTGACTCTGCGGCAGGCTGTTCCCTGCCAGAGAAGGCTAGATGTTCAGGGCGTCCGTCCCATAGCCTCCCTGGACTGGCTCCATCCTTCCCACCGCCCTCCCGAGATTCTAGGAAGTGGGTTGAGAAGCAGTGGTTTTTCAGTTACTCAAATGCTTTTCTCCTCTCTCTCTCTCTTTCTGTAACTCTCTGTCTCTCTCTCCTCCTTCTCCCCGTCTCTCTGTCATTCTCTCTTTCCACCTCTTCACTGTCTCACTTTTCCTCTCTTTTGCTTTTTCTCTCTGTCTCTCTCTCTCCTCAGTCTACCCCATCCCCGCTTCTACTATTTTGCTCTCGACCTCCCTTCTCCCTCCTCCCTCCCTCTCTCCCCCTCTCTCTCCCCTTCTCCCTTCTCTCTCTCCCTTTCTCCCTCTCTCTCCCTCTCTCTCTTTCTCTCTTCTCTCTTTCTTCTCTCTCTCCCCCTCCCTCCCTCGCTTTCTCCCCTCTTCTCTCTCTCCCATTCTCCCTCTCCCTCCCTCCCTCTCTCCTTCCTTCCCTCTCTCCCTCTTTCTCCCCTCTTCTCTCTCTCCTTTTCTCCCATTCTCTCTCTCCCTCTCTCCCTCCCTTTCCCTTCTTCTCTCCCTCCCCTCTTTCTTCTCTCTCCCCTCTTTCTTCTCTCTCTCCCTTTCTGTTTCCCTCTCGCACACCCTCCCTCTTCTCCCTATCTCCTTTCTCTTCCTGTCTCTCCCCTTGTCTCTCTATCTCCTTTGTCTTCCTCTGTGTCCCACTTCTCTCTCTTTCCTCCTTCCCCCATCTCTCCTCCTCTCTCCTTTGCCTTCCTTCTCTCCCCCTTTCTCTCTTTCTCTCTGTCTCTTTCTCTGTCTCTCCCCTTATTTCCTCCCTCTCCTTCTCTCTTCCTTTCTCGTTTGCCCTCCCTCTCTCTCCCTGTTCCCTCTCCATCTCTCTCTCTCTTTCCCCCATTTCCTCCTCTTCCTTCTCTCTCCCTCTCGTTTGCCCTCCCTCTCTCTCCCCGTTCCCTCTCCATCTCTCTTTCTCTCTCTTTCCCCCATTTCCTCCTCTTCCTTCTCTCTCCCTCTCGTTTGCCCTCCCTCTCTCTCCCCGTTCCCTCTCCATCTCTCTTTCTCTCTCTTTCCCCCATTTCCTCCTCCTCCTTCTCTCTCCCTCTCGTTTGCCCTCCCTCTCTCTCCCCGTTCCCTCTCCATCTCTCTTTCTCTCTCTTTCCCCCATTTCCTCCTCCTCCTTCTCTCTCCCTCTCTCGTTTGCCCTCCCTCTCTCTCCCCGTTCCCTCTCCATCTCTCTCTCTCTTTCCCCCATTTCCTCCTCTTCCTTCTCTCTCCCTCTCGTTTGCCCTCCCTCTCTCTCCCCGTTCCCTCTCCATCTCTCTTTCTCTCTCTTTCCCCTATTTCCTCCCTCTCCTCCTTCTCTCTCCCTCTCTCGTTTGCCCTCCCTCTCTCTCCCCGTTCCCTCTCCATCTCTCTTTCTCTCTCTTTCCCCCATTTCCTCCTCCTCCTTCTCTCTCCCTCTCGTTTGCCCTCCCTCTCTCTCCCCGTTCCCTCTCCATCTCTCTTTCTCTCTCTTTCCCCCATTTCCTCCTCCTCCTTCTCTCTCCCTCTCGTTTGCCCTCCCTCTCTCTCCCCGTTCCCTCTCCATCTCTCTTTCTCTCTCTTTCCCCCATTTCCTCCTCCTCCTTCTCTCTCCCTCTCGTTTGCCCTCCCTCTCTCTCCCCGTTCCCTCTCCATCTCTCTCTCTCTTTCCCCCATTTCCTCCTCTTCCTTCTCTCTCCCTCTCGTTTGCCCTCCCTCTCTCTCCCCGTTCCCTCTCCATCTCTCTCTCTCTTTCCCCCATTTCCTCCTCTTCCTTCTCTCTCCCTCTCGTTTGCCCTCCCTCTCTCTCCCTGTTCCCTCTCCATCTCTCTTTCTCTCTCTTTCCCCCATTTCCTCCTCTTCCTTCTCTCTCCCTCTCTCGTTTGCCCTCCCTCTCTCTCCCCGTTCCCTCTCCATCTCTCTCTCTCTTTCCCCCATTTCCTCCTCTTCCTTCTCTCTCCCTCTCGTTTGCCCTCCCTCTCTCTCCCCGTTCCCTCTCCATCTCTCTCTCTCTTTCCCCCATTTCCTCCTCTTCCTTCTCTCTCCCTCTCGTTTGCCCTCCCTCTCTCTCCCTGTTCCCTCTCCATCTCTCTTTCTCTCTCTTTCCCCCATTTCCTCCTCTTCCTTCTCTCTCCCTCTCTCGTTTGCCCTCCCTCTCTCTCCCCGTTCCCTCTCCATCTCTCTCTCTCTTTCCCCCATTTCCTCCTCTTCCTTCTCTCTCCCTCTCGTTTGCCCTCCCTCTCTCTCCCCGTTCCCTCTCCATCTCTCTCTCTCTTTCCCCCATTTCCTCCTCTTCCTTCTCTCTCCCTCTCGTTTGCCCTCCCTCTCTCTCCCCGTTCCCTCTCCATCTCTCTTTCTCTCTCTTTCCCCCATTTCCTCCTCCTCCTTCTCTCTCCCTCTCGTTTGCCCTCCCTCTCTCTCCCTGTTCCCTCTCCATCTCTCTTTCTCTCTCTTTCCCCCATTTCCTCCTCCTCCTTCTCTCTCCCTCTCGTTTGCCCTCCCTCTCTCTCCCTGTTCCCTCTCCATCTCTCTTTCTCTCTCTTTCCCCCATTTCCTCCTCCTCCTTCTCTCTCCCTCTCGTTTGCCCTCCCTCTCTCTCCCCGTTCCCTCTCCATCTCTCTTTCTCTCTCTTTCCCCCATTTCCTCCTCCTCCTTCTCTCTCCCTCTCGTTTGCCCTCCCTCTCTCTCCCTGTTCCCTCTCCATCTCTCTTTCTCTCTCTTTCCCCCATTTCCTCCTCCTCCTTCTCTCTCCCTCTCGTTTGCCCTCCCTCTCTCTCCCTGTTCCCTCTCCATCTCTCTTTCTCTCTCTTTCCCCCATTTCCTCCTCCTCCTTCTCTCTCCCTCTCGTTTGCCCTCCCTCTCTCTCCCTGTTCCCTCTCCATCTCTCTTTCTCTCTCTTTCCCCCATTTCCTCCTCTTCCTTCTCTCTCCCTCTCTCGTTTGCCCTCCCTCTCTCTCCCCGTTCCCTCTCCATCTCTCTTTCTCTCTCTTTCCCCCATTTCCTCCTCCTCCTTCTCTCTCCCTCTCGTTTGCCCTCCCTCTCTCTCCCCGTTCCCTCTCCATCTCTCTTTCTCTCTCTTTCCCCCATTTCCTCCTCCTCCTTCTCTCTCCCTCTCGTTTGCCCTCCCTCTCTCTCCCCGTTCCCTCTCCATCTCTCTTTCTCTCTCTTTCCCCCATTTCCTCCTCCTCCTTCTCTCTCCCTCTCGTTTGCCCTCCCTCTCTCTCCCCGTTCCCTCTCCATCTCTCTTTCTCTCTCTTTCCCCCATTTCCTCCTCCTCCTTCTCTCTCCCTCTCTCGTTTGCCCTCCCTCTCTCTCCCCGTTCCCTCTCCATCTCTCTCTCTCTTTCCCCCATTTCCTCCTCTTCCTTCTCTCTCCCTCTCGTTTGCCCTCCCTCTCTCTCCCCGTTCCCTCTCCATCTCTCTTTCTCTCTCCCCCATTTCCTCCTCTTCCTTCTCTCTCCCTCTCGTTTGCCCTCCCTCTCTCTCCCCGTTCCCTCTCCATCTCTCTCTCTCTTTCCCCCATTTCCTCCTCTTCCTTCTCTCTCCCTCTCGTTTGCCCTCCCTCTCTCTCCCTGTTCCCTCTCCATCTCTCTTTCTCTCTCTTTCCCCCATTTCCTCCTCTTCCTTCTCTCTCCCTCTCTCGTTTGCCCTCCCTCTCTCTCCCCGTTCCCTCTCCATCTCTCTCTCTCTTTCCCCCATTTCCTCCTCTTCCTTCTCTCTCCCTCTCGTTTGCCCTCCCTCTCTCTCCCCGTTCCCTCTCCATCTCTCTCTCTCTTTCCCCCATTTCCTCCTCTTCCTTCTCTCTCCCTCTCGTTTGCCCTCCCTCTCTCTCCCCGTTCCCTCTCCATCTCTCTTTCTCTCTCTTTCCCCCATTTCCTCCTCCTCCTTCTCTCTCCCTCTCGTTTGCCCTCCCTCTCTCTCCCTGTTCCCTCTCCATCTCTCTTTCTCTCTCTTTCCCCCATTTCCTCCTCCTCCTTCTCTCTCCCTCTCGTTTGCCCTCCCTCTCTCTCCCTGTTCCCTCTCCATCTCTCTTTCTCTCTCTTTCCCCCATTTCCTCCTCCTCCTTCTCTCTCCCTCTCGTTTGCCCTCCCTCTCTCTCCCCGTTCCCTCTCCATCTCTCTTTCTCTCTCTTTCCCCCATTTCCTCCTCCTCCTTCTCTCTCCCTCTCGTTTGCCCTCCCTCTCTCTCCCTGTTCCCTCTCCATCTCTCTTTCTCTCTCTTTCCCCCATTTCCTCCTCCTCCTTCTCTCTCCCTCTCGTTTGCCCTCCCTCTCTCTCCCTGTTCCCTCTCCATCTCTCTTTCTCTCTCTTTCCCCCATTTCCTCCTCCTCCTTCTCTCTCCCTCTCGTTTGCCCTCCCTCTCTCTCCCTGTTCCCTCTCCATCTCTCTTTCTCTCTCTTTCCCCCATTTCCTCCTCTTCCTTCTCTCTCCCTCTCTCGTTTGCCCTCCCTCTCTCTCCCCGTTCCCTCTCCATCTCTCTTTCTCTCTCTTTCCCCCATTTCCTCCTCCTCCTTCTCTCTCCCTCTCGTTTGCCCTCCCTCTCTCTCCCCGTTCCCTCTCCATCTCTCTTTCTCTCTCTTTCCCCCATTTCCTCCTCCTCCTTCTCTCTCCCTCTCGTTTGCCCTCCCTCTCTCTCCCCGTTCCCTCTCCATCTCTCTTTCTCTCTCTTTCCCCCATTTCCTCCTCCTCCTTCTCTCTCCCTCTCGTTTGCCCTCCCTCTCTCTCCCCGTTCCCTCTCCATCTCTCTTTCTCTCTCTTTCCCCCATTTCCTCCTCCTCCTTCTCTCTCCCTCTCTCGTTTGCCCTCCCTCTCTCTCCCCGTTCCCTCTCCATCTCTCTCTCTCTTTCCCCCATTTCCTCCTCTTCCTTCTCTCTCCCTCTCGTTTGCCCTCCCTCTCTCTCCCCGTTCCCTCTCCATCTCTCTTTCTCTCTCTTTCCCCCATTTCCTCCTCCTCCTTCTCTCTCCCTCTCGTTTGCCCTCCCTCTCTCTCCCCGTTCCCTCTCCATCTCTCTTTCTCTCTCTTTCCCCCATTTCCTCCTCCTCCTTCTCTCTCCCTCTCTCGTTTGCCCTCCCTCTCTCTCCCCGTTCCCTCTCCATCTCTCTCTCTCTTTCCCCCATTTCCTCCTCTTCCTTCTCTCTCCCTCTCGTTTGCCCTCCCTCTCTCTCCCCGTTCCCTCTCCATCTCTCTTTCTCTCTCTTTCCCCCATTTCCTCCTCCTCCTTCTCTCTCCCTCTCGTTTGCCCTCCCTCTCTCTCCCTGTTCCCTCTCCATCTCTCTTTCTCTCTCTTTCCCCCATTTCCTCCTCCTCCTTCTCTCTCCCTCTCGTTTGCCCTCCCTCTCTCTCCCCGTTCCCTCTCCATCTCTCTTTCTCTCTCTTTCCCCCATTTCCTCCTCCTCCTTCTCTCTCCCTCTCGTTTGCCCTCCCTCTCTCTCCCTGTTCCCTCTCCATCTCTCTTTCTCTCTCTTTCCCCCATTTCCTCCTCCTCCTTCTCTCTCCCTCTCGTTTGCCCTCCCTCTCTCTCCCTGTTCCCTCTCCATCTCTCTTTCTCTCTCTTTCCCCCATTTCCTCCTCCTCCTTCTCTCTCCCTCTCGTTTGCCCTCCCTCTCTCTCCCTGTTCCCTCTCCATCTCTCTTTCTCTCTCTTTCCCCCATTTCCTCCTCTTCCTTCTCTCTCCCTCTCTCGTTTGCCCTCCCTCTCTCTCCCTGTTCCCTCTCCATCTCTCTTTCTCTCTCTTTCCCCTATTTCCTCCCCTCCTTCTCTCTCCCTCTCGTTTGCCCTCCCTCTCTCTCCCTGTTCCCTCTCCATCTCTCTTTCTCTTTCTTTCCCCCATTTCCTCCTCTTCCTTCTCTCTCCCTCTCTCGTTTGCCCTCCCTCTCTCTCCCTGTTCCCTCTCCATCTCTCTTTCTCTCTTTCCCCCATTTCCTCCTCTTCCTTCTCTCTCCCTCTCTCGTTTGCCCTCCCTCTCTCTCCCTGTTCCCTCTCCATCTCTCTTTCTCTCTTTCCCCTATTTCCTCCTCTTCCTTCTCTCTCCCTCTCTCGTTTGCCCTCCCTCTCTCTCCCTGTTCCCTCTCCATCTCTCTTTCTCTCTTTCCCCCTATTTCCTCCCTCTCCTCCTCTCTCCCTCTCGTTTGCCCTCCCTCTCTCTCCCTGTTCCCTCTCCATCTCTCTTTCTCTCTCTTCCCCCATTTCCTCCTCTTCCTTCTCTCTCCCTCTCTCGTTTGCCCTCCCTCTCTCTCCCTGTTCCCTCTCCATCTCTCTTTCTCTCTTTCCCCTATTTCCTCCCCTCCTTCTCTCTCCCTCTCGTTTGCCCTCCCTCTCTCTCCCTGTTCCCTCTCCATCTCTCTTTGTCTCTCTTTCTCCCTATTTCCTCCCTCTCCTTCTCTCTTCCTTCTTTGCCCTCCCTCTCTCTCTCCTCTCTCTCTCTCTGATTGCCCTTTCATCCCCATCACTCTCCTTTCTCTGGAGTTCTCCGCTTGGAGAGCGGAGAACTCTCCCTTCTCCTCCCGTTCAGGATACACCTCACCTGTGTTCACTGCTTCAGGCACAATATGTGATTGTGACCCTGAGCGTTCACTCCCCAGTAAAATGCCATTAGGTGCACAGACCAATGAACGATAATTGTATTGCGTATTTTCCACCTTTGAATTGGCAGATCAATGGACGATAATTTTACTGTTTATTTTCCACCTTTGAATTGGCAGATCGATGGACGATAGTTTTATTCTGTATTTTCCACCTTTCGATTCGCAGATCAATGAACGATAGTTCTATTGTGTATTCTCCACCTTTGAATTGGCGAAGAGACAGATTCCGTGAATGCTCCTAACGTGGACGGCACCCGATACACTGACGTGGCCACAGGGTTTTCTTATTCCTTACAAAATTCGCAATGAAACATCAGTATATTTGCTGATGATTAAAACTTGTGCAACAAAATCTCAGAAGTCACCACAAAAGAATGTATCCATGTAGCCCAAAACCACTGGTTTCCCAAAAATTATTGAAATTTTAAGAAACAGGCCGGGCGCGATGGCCCACGCCTGTAATCCCAGCACTTTGGGAGGCCGACGTGGATGGATCACGAGGTCAGGAGTTCGAGACCATCCTGGCCAACACGGTGAAATCCCGTCTCTACTAAAAATACAGAAATTAGCTGGGCATAGTAGCATACACCTGTAATCCCAGCTACTCAGGAGCCTGAGGCAGGAGAATTTCTGGAACCCGGGAGGCAGAGGCTGCAGTGGGCCGAGATTGTGCCACTGCACTCCAGCCTAGCGACAGAGTGAGACTCCATCTCAAAAATAAAATTAAATTAAAATTTTTAAAAAAAGGCAAATTATTATTTTATTTTATTTATTTATTTCCTTTTTTGAGACAGAGCCTTGCTCTGTCGCCCAGGCTGGAGTGCAGTGGCACAACCTCTTCTCACTGCAATCTCCGCCTCCCAGAAAAAAACAGGCAAATTAAATCTATGGTAATGGAAATTGGAATTGTAGTTACCTTAGAAGAATGTGATAATTAATTTTGGATCAAAAAAGGGCTTAGGGGTGCAGATGTGGGAGGCGGTTACCTGAGAGGGGAGAGTGCTCGCTTTGGATGATTCCATTGAGATTTCCCTCATGATCTCTGCACCTTTTTTTTTTTTGTTTTGAAACATAGTCTCGCTGTTGTCGGCCGGGGCTGGAGTGCAGTGCACGATATCAGCTCACTGCAACCTCTGCCTCCTGAGTTCCAGAAATTCTCCTGCCTCAGCCTCCCAAGCAGCTGAAATTACAGGTGCCCGCCACCACACTCAGCTAATTTTTTTTTTTTTTTTGTATTTTTAGTAGAGACGGGGTTTCACCAAGTTGGCCAGGCTGGTCTCAAACTCCTGACCTCAGGTCATCCGCCTGCCTCGGCCTCCCAGAGTGCTGGGATTACAGGTGTGAGTCACCGTGCCCAGCCCTGTGCACCTTTTTTATACTTTCCTTTGATTTAAAAGAAAATAATAACTTGACAAAAATAAATAAATAGAATTTTACTGATGCCGAAAAAAACATGATTATGGAAAATTTAAAACACATACAAAAGCCTACAGGCATTTGAATTTGCCGTCGATTGTCTAACTAGTACTCAATTCTGCATTTCGGACTTCCGTCAATCCCTCCTCTGGGGTACCATCATCTCTTCCTAGGCCATGATAATGGCCTCCTAACAGGCATCTCAGGCACCCATCCAATCTCTCTACCTGGCACCAATCTGGTCTTTCAATGCTCTGCTTACATAGGAAGAGGAAAATTAATACCTAAAGCCACTGGCAAAGAACTCAACAACAAAACAATTTCTCCTTCAGAATATGTCAGGCTTTCGTTCCGTAAATATCAGCGTTTCAGGTGGGTTTGCTGCCTAGAAACGTCTCCGTGACACTGTGGTTTAAAATACGGGTGCGTGGCCGGGCGCGGTGGCTCACACCTGGGATCCCAGCACTTTGGGAGGCTGAGGCGGGCAGATCACTTGGGGTCAGGAGTTCGAGACCAGACTGGTCAACATGACAAAACCCCATCTCTACTAAAAATACAAAAAAAAAAAAAAAAAGTTTAGCCGGGTGTTGTGGTGCACACCTGTAATCCCAGCTACTTGGGAGGCTGAGGCAGAAGAATCACTTCAACCCGGGAGGCGGAGGTTGCAGTGAGCCGAGTTCAACCCACTGCAATCCAGCCTGGGCAACAGAGTGAGACTCCATCTCAAAAAAAATGAAATAAAAAATAAAATACGGACACACTGCACTCCAGCTTGGTTGACAGAGCGAGACTCTGTCTCCAAAAAAATAATAATATTAGTAGGGCTGGGTGCAGTGGCTCACACCTGTAGTCCCAGCACTTTGGGAGGCCAAGGCGGGAGGATCAGTTGAGATTAGGAGTTCAAGAGCAGCCTGGCCAACATGGTGAAACCCCGTCTCTACTAAAAATACAAAAAATAGCTGGCCATCGGGGCAGGTGCCTGTAATCCCATGTACTCGGGAGGCTGAGGCAGGAGAATCGCTTGAACCCAGGAGGCAGAGGTTGCAGTGAGCCGACATCACAACACTGCACTCCAGTCTGGGTGACACAGCAAGAGTTTACCTCAAAGTAATAATAATAATAATAAAATAGGAATAAACGTAATTACTCGCAGTAGCTCACTAACGATGAATTATCAGCATCCAGGGCCCCTGCGCGTGGCTGCTGCATTCACCACGGCGCAGGAATTCTCACGCAGCTTCCCCGCCAGGCGAGTCCCTAGCACGGCTCGGATTCATCTGGAGCACAGGTCACCACCTGCCTGCACAGAAGCACTGTCCCCTCTGCTCTTGCAAAAGATACCTTCCCCAACGATGCTGTTGTCACCAAGAATTTGCTCAGAGCTGCAAGCCATTATCCTAAGAGAACCAGCACAGAAACAGAAAACCAAATACTGCATGTTCTGACTTACACCTGGAAGGTACACAGCGGGTACTCATGGACACAAAGATGGGAAGAGCAGAAACTCTTGACTGCTAGAAGGTAGGGGGAGGGAGGCAGGGGATGAAAAACCACCTGTTGGGTACAGTGGCCATTTCCTGGGTGACAGGTTCACTCACAGCCCCACCCTCAGTCTCTAATGTGTATTCCTCTATTCCGTATGCCCCTTCAATGCCAGAAGCATACCCAGAGCTTAGTGCCCACTTACAAGTGAGAACGTGTATTTGCTTTTCTGTTCTTGAGTGACTCCACGTAGAATAATAACCTCCAGTTCTATCCAAGTTACTGCCAATGACACGATTCCACTCTTTTTAATGGCTTAGTAGTATTCCATTCCATTTTCTTTATCCAGTACTCCACGGAGGGGTACTTAGGTTGATTCCGTATGTTTGCAATTGTGAGTTGTGCTGCAAGAAACAGACAGGTGCAGGTATTTTGTTTTGTATTGTTTTGTTTGATTATTTTATTTTATTGATTTATTTATTTTTGAGATGGAGTCTTGCTCTGTCACCCAGGCTGGAGTGCAGTGGTGCGATCTCGGCTCACTGCAACCTCCACCTCCTGGGTTCAAGCAATTCTGGGGTTTCTCCATGTTGCCCAGGCTGCTCTCGAACTCCTGACCTCAGGTGATCTGCCCGCCTTGGTCTCCCAAAGTGCTGGGATGACAGGCGTGAGCCACCATGCCTGGCCTGCAGGTGTCTTTTTGATATAAGGACTTCTTTTCCTTTGGGTAGATACCCAGGAGTGGGATTGCTGGATCGAACAAATGATCTGCTTTTAGTTCTTTGAGAGGAACATCCGTGCTGTTTTCTATACAGCTTGTATGAATTCACTTTCTTTCGGGGCACAGGAATGTAGGCAGTTCTGCCTGGGGGGTCTCCTGTGGGGCTGCAGCTGGGGCTGACTTTATCTGAAGGCTTGACCAGGTTGGATGTCCAGGATAGCTTTCTCTGGTGTCAAGAAGCTGGTACAGCCTGTCACCTGGGCTTAGCTGGGAGGGCCAACAAGAACAGGTACCTGGGGCCTCTCCAGCATGTCAGGCTGAAGGTGCTCAGTCTTTTTAAACCAAAGCTGGCTCCTCCCAGACTCAGCATTCCCAAGAACCAAGCAGGGGCCACGTGACCTTATTGACCCAACTTTGGAAGTCACACAGTGTTTACACCACTGTGGCATTCTACAAAAGAATTAACGAGAAAGTTAATGAGCATGGCCGAGATTCAAGGGAAGGGGCGTAGACTCTAGCTCCCAAGGAGACGAGTGTCAAAAGAATTTGCAGGCCTGCTTTAGAGCCCCCTGAAGCTGCCTTTCAAAACCATGCATGCATAAGCCAGGTGTTCATGATAAGCTCGTCTCTCCTAAGCTGGGAATTTATGACACTTCAGGCACGGATTGAGCTGTGTGTCTCCAGATTCTTCACATCAAATAAAATATGAGGAAAATGGCATCGTGAAAAAGATGTTTATAGTTCATCAAAATGCAAAGCTTCCCGTCCACCCACAGCAACCTATTCTGGTGTTTTTGTTTTTTTGTTGTTGGTTTTTTTTTGTTTTTGAGACAAAAATCAACTTAGGTTGATTCCGTATGTTTGCAGTTGTGAGTTGTGCTGCAAGAAACAGACAGGTGCAGGTATGTTTTTTTGTTTCGTTTTGTCTCACTCTTTCGCCCAGGCTGGAGTGCAGTGGTGTGATCTCGGCTCACTGCAACCTCTGCCTCCCAGGTTCAAGCGATTCTCCTGCCTCAGCTTCCCGAGTAGCTGGGATTACAGGCATGCACCACCACGCCCGGCTAATTTTGTATTTTTAGTAGAGACAAGGTTTCTCCATGTTGGCCAAGCTGGTCTCGAACTCCTGACCTGAACTGATCTGCCCGCTTCGCCCTCTGAAAGTGCTGGGAGGATTACAGGCATGACCCACCGGGCCGGGCTTTTTTTCTGGATAACTCCTGAGGTGAATTCTGACATACTTCTCAGAAGTGTTTTGTTAGATGGGCTTTGAGGACTGTAGGAGTGTTGAATGTTTAATACACATGTGTCTTGTGACTGATTGATACTGGACCCTGATTGATATTGGATCCCTCCCAGTTGGTTTATACTCCTGATGTTTTACAGGCATAAGCTCAGGGAATAAATTCTCTGTATCCTGGAAGTTTTTTTGAAAGCTAGATATTCACGTAGGAGGGGGAAGCACTGAGTCTGGCTGGAAAGTGTGTGCAGGTGAGAAGCAAGGACTGCACCTGAACAGTCTGCTCATTTCTCCCTGAGGATTTCAGCAGGCCACAGGCCTGGAATGGCATGGTGGTGCCTCTCCCCTGCCACCATTCTCTGTGAGAGTGTGTCCAGAATTTATTCCTTCTTGTGGGTTCTTGGTCTCGCTGACTTCAAGAATGAAGCCGCAGACCCTCACGGTGAGTGTTAGGGCTTTTAAAGATGGTGCGTCCCGAGTTTGTTCCTTCAGATGTTCAGATGTGCCTGGAGTTTTTTCCTTCTGGTGGGTTCGCAGACTCGCTGACTTCAGGAGTGAAGCTGCGGACCTTGGCAGTGAGTCTTACAGCTCATACAGGTAGTGTAGACCCAAAGAGTGAGCAGCAGCAAGATTTATGGTGAAGAGTGAAACAACAAAGTTTCCACAACGTGGAAGGGGACACAAGCTGGCTCAGGTGGCCAGCTTTTATTCCCTTATTTGGCCCCGCCCACATCCTGCTGACTGGTCCATTTTACAGAGTGCTGATTGGTCCATTTTACAGAGTGCTGATTGGTCCATTTTACAGAGTGCTGATTGGTCCATTTTATAGAGCATTGATTGGTCCATTTTACAGAGCACTGATTGGTCCATTTTACAGACTGCTGAATGGTCCATTTTAGAGTGCTGATTGGTGCCTTTACAATTCTTTAGCTAGACAAAAGGTCTCCGGGTCTCCACTCGACCCAGGAAGTCCAGGTGGCTTCACGTCTCAAAAGCAGCAGATCTCCATCCACGTTTATTTTTTATTTCCCCCTTGCTGTACCCAAAGCACTACAACCGCACTGTGGAGGCTACAGCCAGAATAAGACGTTGGTTTTTCCTCAAGGACCTCACAATTGTCAAGCCTCCACTGGGGCCAGGGACGTGTAGAGCCGCGGGACCCACTGCTGAGTCTTCTGTGGGCCCTCCGCGCAATGGGGCATCCAGTGCGGCCTGTGCATCCACAGTTTTGAAAGGCGGGTTGGAGAGGCTGTAAAACAGGCCTGCAAATTCTTTTCACACTTGTCTCTTCGGGAGCTGGAGTCCCTGCTCCGTCTCTTGAATCTCGGCTGTCCTCATTAACTGTCTCGTAATTCCTAGAATGGGGCAGTGGTGACAACTCTGTAGGAGTTCCAAAGTTGGGTCGATAAGGCCACGTGGCTCCTGCTTGGTTCTTTGGGAATGCTGAGCCGGCGAGGAGCCAGCTTTGGTTTTGAGTGTTCATAAAGTACAACTGGAAAGACTGTGTACACAAACACAGGCAGGTACACAAATGCACACGCATCAAAAATTTATAGGGAAATGGGTCCATGTACCGAGGCACAAATAACATACAGATATTACAGTACACACAGAAGCAAGCACATATACAAATGCATGTACCTCAAAAAATGTATACACCTACGGATACACCTCTACATATACAAACACATAGAGAAATGCTAGACCTACATATATGTATAGATAGCTCCATATAAGATACACACAAACACAAGCACGTGTACAAATGCATATGCATAGAAAAAGATGTACGCTATGCAGATGTACATATACATACACAAATACATACAGAAACGCTAGACCTATAGATATATACATATCTCCATATAAAATACACACACGGCCGGGTGCAGTGTCTCACGCCTGTAATCCCAGCACTTAGGGAGGCCGAGGTGGGCGGATCCCCTGAGGTCAGGAGTTTGAGAGCAGCCTGGCCAACATGGCAAAACCCCGTCTCTACTGAAAATACAGAAAAATTTAGCCACGTGTGGTGGTGGGTGCCTGTAATCCCAGCTACTCGGGAGGCTAAGGCAGGAAAATTGCTTGAACCTGGGAGGCGGAGGTTGCAGTGAGGCGAGACTGCCTCATTGCACTCCAGCCTGGACGACAAGAGCGAAACTCCTCCTCAAAAAATAAATAAATACATACATATAAAATACACACACACATACAAGCACATAAACAAATGCATGTACCTAGGAAAATGTATTCATGTACAGATACACGTATACATATACAAATAAGTAGAGAAATGCTAGGCCTATATATGTGTAGATATCTCCATATAAAATACACACAAATACAAGCACATATACAAATACATGTACATATAAAAAATGTGTGCACTTGCAGATGCATGTATACATGTACAAATACACAGAGAAATGCTAGACCTCTATATATTTGTGTGTAGATATAAAATACATACACACTAATACAAGCATATATACAAATGCATATGCATAGGAAAATATGTACACATGCAGATATACATATACAAATATGTAGACAAATGCTAGACCTACATATATGTATAGATAGCTCCATATAAAATACACACAAACACATATACAAATGCATATGCATAGAAAGATATGTACACATGCAGATGCAAACACATATATATACAAATACAGAAATAGATCTACAAATATCAATATAGCTCCATATTGAAATACATCTTTGAACACAAACGTGTCCATATGCAAATGGATAGGTGTGTGTGTGTATTAATCATACACCTCAAATGCATTTGCAAATGCAAACGTGCACAAATGCAAAAGCTATGGGATTCCACAGATGAATCAAAATGCATATTCATGCGTGCAATACACGTAGATGTTCCAATGTACAAATAATGACAAATGCTGTGTGTTTGTAGGTGTATGAACACATGCAAATACTTGCGATTGTACAATTCCAAATAGAAACATATAATATATACATACACTGTATGCAGATACACATGCAAAGATGTAAATGTGTATGGACATGTATATACATGTGAATAAATGTGTACACATGCAAACTCATGCACATGTGCATACAACACATATGTAAAAGAAAATATGCACAAATTTATAGGCATTTGAAAATGAATCTGCATGTAAAGACGTGAACACATATGTACATGCTAACATATATCTCTATAGGCATATATCTTTGAATTATGCATACATGCAGTTATATACCCAAGTGTATAGCTATATAAACACATTTACAAATGCGTATGCATATATGTATATGAATAGACGTGCCTGTATTTGCGTTACGTGTAGATAGATACAGAATTCCAGGTACATATATAACATGCCTATGTATACACATCTACATTATCCATGTACATACAAATACATATCTACATTGGCATTAATATCCAAGCAAACTGGTCTGCTCTAAGTACAAGGCAGTATGGTTCGTGCGTGTTTCTAGGACAAGTCACCTTTGAGATCAGGCCTCCACAGCAAGGACTTCAGGGCAGGCGCTCAGCCGGGCTTGGCCTGACAGGGGTGGGCTGTTCTGTGTCTGGTAGATAGAACATGTCAAGCACAGAACCTGCGGTGATGATGATGTCTATAGAATGATGACCGACAGGGCTGCCCTGTGGTCTAGGGGTGAGGACAGGCCATGTTTATACTGAGGTCGGCATTTCTCAAAGGACATCTGAGCAGTTTGTTTGTGGGATACTCAGTGAAGAGGGGGTGCCATAGCAGCTATACTTGTCCAGAATTCTGGGGGGAGACAGGATCTCTGTTGCCCAGGCTGGGGTGCAGTAGCACAATCTCGGCTCACTGCAACCTCCACCTCTTGGGCTCAAACAATCCTCCCGCCTCAACCTCCCCGAGTAGCTGGGACTACAGGCACGCACCACCACACCCACTAATTTTTTGTATTTTTGGTAAAGATGGAGTTTCACTGTGGTGCACAGCCTGGTCTCGAACTCCTGACGTCAAGCAGTCTGCCCTACTCACCTACCCAAAGGCTGGGATTACATGTATGAGCCATCACACCTAGCCGCCCAGAATAATTAATTGTCCAGGGGACTCTGTTTGGTGACTTGGATGATTCTCACTCTCTTGTGTGTGTTGCTGTGTTATCATTGTGGTTATTATTTTTCTTTTCCTTTTTTTTTTTTTTGAGATGGAGTCTCGCTCTGTCACCAGGCTGGAGTGCAGTGGCATGATCTCAGCTCACTGCAACCTCCGCCTCCCAGGTTCAAGCAATTCTCCTGCCTCAGCCTCCTGAGTAGCTGGAACTACAGGACCCTGCCACCAAACCTGGCTAATTTTTGTATTTTTACTAGAGACAAGGGTTTCACCATGTTGGGCAGGCTGGTCTTGAAGTCCTGACCTCAGATGATCCACCCGCCTTGGCCTCCCAAAGTGCTGGGATGACAGGCATGAACTTCTGACCTCAGGTGATCCACCCGCCTCAGCCTCCCAAAGTGCTGGGATGACAGGCGTGAGCCACCGCGCCCGGCCTGTGGTTATTATTTTTAAACTCAAGGCACAGAGGTGCAGAGACAGAAGGCAGGAAGGGACTTCAGTGATCTTCTAGAATCTTCTCCATCACACCTAAAGCAGGAAACAGAGGCCCAGGAGGAAGACATGGCCGCCAGCTCTACACCCCACCCTCCGATGTCCTGGGCCATTTGCGCATCTGGGGAATCCATCTGTGAGATTTCTCCACTGTCTTCCCCAGTCTAACTCCTTCTGATATTCTCTTTTGTCCAGCTGGGGTGATGATGGTCCCTCAGAGGAAAACCAGAGATGGATTCGAAGAACATTTCGGCCTGAACTACCTAGGGCACTTCCTGCTGACCAACCTTCTCTTGGATACGCTGAAAGAGTCTGGGTCCCCTGGCCACAGTGCGAGGGTGGTCACCGTCTCCTCTGCCACCCATTACGTCGCTGAGCTGAACATGGATGACCTTCAGAGCAGGTAGGTGCACCCTGTGAATAATCATAACAGCATCTCAGGTGGGTTAAAGGTTATTCATCTCCCTCTGTCTGTGCGGTGTGGCGCTCCCTGCATCTGCTGGACGCTGGTGCTCTGGGAACAGTGCTCCCTGCGTCTGCCGAGCACTGGTGCTTTGGGGACAGTGCTCCCTGCATCTGCCGGACACTGGTGCTCTGGGGACAGTGCTCCCTGCATCTGCCGAGCACTGGTGCTCTGGGGACAGTGCTCCCTGCGTCTGCCGAGCACTGGTGCTCTGGGAACAGTGCTTCCTGCGTCTGCCGAGCACTGGTGCTCTGGGAACAGTGCTCCCTGCATCTGCTGTACACTGGTGCTCTGGGGACAGTGCTCCCTGCATCTGCCGAGCACTGGTGCTCTGGGGACAGTGCTCCCTGTGTCTGCCGAGCATTGGTGCTCTGGGGACGGTGCTCCCTGTGTCTGCTGTACACCGGTGCTCTGAGGACAGTGCTCCCTGCGTCTGCTGGACACCGGTGCTCTGGGGACAGTGCTCCCTGCGTCTGCCAAGCACTGGTGCTCTGGGGACAGTGCTCCCTGCATCTGCTGTACACTGGTGCTCTGGGTACAGTGCTCCCTGTGTCTGCCGTACACTGGTGCTCTGGGTACAGTGCTCCCTGCGTCTGCCGAGCACTGGTGCTCTGGGGACAGTGCTCCCTGCGTCTGCTGTACACTGGTGCTCTGGGAACAGTGCTTCCTGCGTCTGCCGAGCACTGGTGCTCTGGGAACAGTGCTCCCTGCATCTGCTGTACACTGGTGCTCTGGGGACAGTGCTCCCTGCATCTGCCGAGCACTGGTGCTCTGGGGACAGTGCTCCCTGTGTCCGCCGAGCATTGGTGCTCTGGGGACGGTGCTCCCTGTGTCTGCTGTACACTGGTGCTCTGAGGACAGTGCTCCCTGCGTCTGCTGGACACCGGTGCTCTGGGGACAGTGCTCCCTGCGTCTGCCAAGCACTGGTGCTCTGGGGACAATGCTCCCTGCATCTGCTATACACTGGTGCTCTGGGGACAGTGCTCCCTGCGTCTGCCGAGCACTGGTGCTCTGGGTACAGTGCTCCCTGCGTCTGCTGTACACTGGTGCTCTGGGTACAGTGCTCCCTGCGTCTGCTGTACACTGGTGCTCTGGGGACAGTGCTCCCTGCATCTGCTGAGCACTGGTGCTCTGGGGACAGTGCTCCCTGCATCTGCTGGACACTGGTGCTCTGGGGACAGTGCTCCCTGCTTCTGCTGGACACTGGTGCTCTGGGGACAGTGCTCCCTGCGTCTGCTGGACACTGGTGCTCTGGGGACAGTGCTCCCTGCGTCTGCTGTACACTGGTGCTCTGGGGACAGTGCTCCCTGCGTCTGCTGAGCACTGGTGCTCTGGGGACAGTGCTCCCTGCGTCTGCTGAGCACTGGTGCTCTGGGGACAGTGCTCCCTGCGTCTGCTGAGCACTGGTGCTCTGGGGACAGTGCTCCCTGCGTCTGCTGAGCACTGGTGCTCTGGGGACAGTGCTCCCTGCGTCTGCTGAGCACTGGTGCTCTGGGGACAGTGCTCCCTGCGTCTGCTGGACACTGGTGCTCTGGGGACAGTGCTCCCTGCGTCTGCTGAGCACTGGTGCTCTGGGGACAGTGCTCCCTGCGTCTGCTGGATACTGGTGCTCTGGGGACAGTGCTCCCTGTGTCTGCTGGACACTGGTGCTCTGGGGACAGTGCTCCCTGCGTCTGCTGAGCACTGGTGCTTCCTGCATCTGCTGGGCACAGGTGCTCTGGCTACGGTGCTCCCTGGAGTCTGCTGGGCATGGGTGCTCTGGGCACAGTGCCCCCGCATTTGCTGCACATTGGTGCCCGGCATAGTGCTCCCTGCATCTGCTGGGCATGGGTGCTCTGAGAACGGTGCTCCTTGCATCTCCTGAGCATTGTGCTCTGGGCACGGTGCTCCCTGTGTCTGCTGAGCACAGGTGCTCTGGGCACGGTACTCCCTGTGTCTGCTGGGCACAGGTGTTCTGGGCACACTGCTCTCTGTGTCTACTGGGCGCACGTGCCCTGGAAATGGTGCTCCCTGGATCTGCTGGGCACAGATGTTCTGGGCACGATGCTCCCTGCATCTGCTGGGCATGGTCCTCTGGGAACAGTGCTCCCTGCATCTGGTGGGCACTGGTGCTCTGGGCATTGTGCTCTCTGCGTCTGCTGAGCACAGGTGCTCTGGGCACAGTGCTCCCTGAGTCTGCTGGACACAGGTGCTCTGGGCACGGTGCTCTCTGCGTCTGCTGAGCACAGGTGCTCTGGGCACAGTGCTCCCTGAGTCTGCTGGACACAGGTGCTCTGGGCATGGTGCTCCCTGCATCTGCTGGGTAGAGGTGCTCTGGGCACAGTGCTCCCTGAGTCTGCTGGACACAGGTGCTCTGGGCACGGTGCTCCCTGAGTCTGCTGGGTAGAGGTGCTCTGGGCACGGTGCTCCCTGCTTCTGCTGGGTAGCGGTGCTCTGGGCACACTGCTACCTGTATCTGCTGGGCACATGTGCTCTGGAAATGGTGCTGCCTGCATCTGCCGGGCACAGGTGCTCCTGGCGCTGTGTTGTGGGATATGTACATCCCCAGCCATTTGCTGTCCTTGGGCAACTTAGCAATGTGCGATGGTATTGTTACTTTATTTTTTAGAAGGAACAAGAAACACAGAGGTGAGACATAGAAAAGGAAAACGGATCTATTTAAACCTTCTCTTGTGCCCCCATGGGAATGTCAGGCACTGCATCTGCAGGTGGCATTGGTGTGGACTCCTGTCGACACGCAATGTACTGTCTGTCCATCAGCAGGTCTCTCTTGTGAATTCCTCCTAACCCCGCCTTAAGGATAAAAACGATTCCTCTGTGGGAATAATCATCTTAGTTTGTTTAAGCTGATATAAGAAAAAATCCAGCAGTCCGGGTGTGGTGGCTCACGCCTGTCATCCCAGCACTTTGGGAGGCTGAGGCAGGTAGATCACGAGGTCAGGAGATCGAGACCATCCTGACCAACATGGTGAAACCCCATCTCTATTAAAAATACAAAATTAGCCAGGCGTGGTGGTGGACGCCTGTAATCCCAGCTACTCGGGAGGCTGAGGCAGGAGAATCGCTTGAACCCGGGAGGCGGAGGTTGTGGTGAGCCAAGATCACGCCACTGCACTCCAGCCGGAGTAACAACAGCAAAATTCCGTCTCAAAAAAAAAAAAAAAAAAGAAAGAAAAATTCCATAGTTTGGGTGGCTTATAAATAACACACATTTATGTCTCACGGTTCTGGAGGCTGGAAGTCCAAGATCAAAGTGTGCCAGCGTCTGGCGAGAACCCGCTTCCTGGTTCACACATGGCACCTTCTCACTGTGTCATCAAGCAGTGGAAGGGGCAAGGGAGCTCTCTGGGGTCCCCTTTATAAAGGCACTGATTCCATACTTGAGTCTCCCCCATCGTGACCTCATCACCTCCCAAGGGCCTCACCTCCTAACACCATCTCACGGGGGATGAGGATTTCCATGTAGGAATTTGGAGACAGACACAGTCAGAGCACACAGTCGGACTCGCCTTTGAATTTCTCTGCAGCCCTAAGATCACAAAGCGTTAATGCCACACTCGGAAAGAACTGGCTGCTTGGCTGTGCCAGCATCAGACTTTGGGGCCAGCCTCTGTAATGTACAGCAGGGTGGGCGCCCTCCCCACCCCCAGGCCCTGGAGTACCCTCAGGACTACGAGGAGGGTGAGCCCAGGGGCACAGGCCCTGCCAGCTCCTAACAGTTTGCATTTCCCTGCACAGCGAGGGGCAGGATGTAACGAAGGGAGGGCCGTGGGGGCCTCCTAGGATACCTTGGCCCATCTGTTTTGTCGAATTGAGCTCCTGTGTCTGTGAGCCTCTCTGCTCTGAAGGGTGTGGGATGAGGGAGTCGGCCTCGATGGGATCCTGCATGAAGTGTGAACCCTGCCGGTTGTGGGAGGGAAGGAGCGAGGCTGGCCAGGACTTCATCTTCTCCGGGCAGCTGAAGAAGCACCGGGCTGTGCAGGGAAGGGCGGGTGAGAGGAATGCAGGGAGAGCAGGGCCTGTGGCCGGGAGGGGCTGCTTCTCCTTCATGGTGCCCTGAGGAAGCAAGGGCATGTGTGCGTGCCTGTGTGTACAGCTGAGATGTGTGTGCCAATGTGCACAGGTGAGGTGTGTACCAGTATGCACAGGTGAGGTGCATGCGTGCCCATATGCACAGGTGAGTTGTGTGTACCTGTGGGCACAGATGAGGTCTTTGTGCCCGTGGGCACACATGAGATGTGCATGCCTGTGTACACAGGTGAGGTGCGTGCCAGTGTGCACAGATAAGGTGCGTGAGTGCTCGTGTGCACAGGTGAGTCATGTGCGTGCCAGTGTGCGCAGGTGACGTGTGTATGCTGGCTGGGGCATTTCCTGTTTTCACACCCATGCATGACAGCACCCAGAGGAAGACATGCGTGTTTCTCAGGCTTCTTCTCAGCTCAGGGCTCACTGCAGGATTGTGTAGGCCTCCTGCCTCGGGCTCCATGCTGAAGGGTTTGCCTGGACCCACTGGCAAGAACAGCCCTGCCATGACTGGCTTCCCTAACTCCAGGCCTGAGGCTGGGCTGGGTGTGTGGGGGCCAGCCTTCCCTGATGCCCACTCGGGGCTCCACACACGGAGCCTGCTGTATGAGAG
Source organism: Homo sapiens (assembly GCF_000001405.40). NCBI lineage: Eukaryota > Metazoa > Chordata > Mammalia > Primates > Hominidae > Homo > Homo sapiens. Next base: position 2,262,043 of record NC_000023.11, on the reverse strand, counting down.
GGCCTGGGAGAAGGGAGGAGGGAACGAGGAGTCTTGGCACAGCCAGCAGCACTTGCTGCAGACACGACTCACTGAGCAAGGCAAGGCATGGGTTGGGGAACCTGGGGAATGTGAGCTGCTTGGCAGGCATTACCGCTCGCCAAAGACACACAGGAACACCCCTTCCTCGTACAGCACTGGTGGAGGGCCGCCTGTCTGTTATTCTGAGAGCTCACTTTGGGGTTGATACTGTTGATCAAAGCAATCTCTGTTGTATTTACTCATTTTTTTTTTCAGATGGAGTCTCACTCTGTCTCCCAGGCTGGAGTGCAGTGGTGTGATCTCGGCTCACTGCAACCTCCGCCTCCCGGGTTCAAGCAATTCTCTTGCCTCGACTCCCAAGCAGCTGGGACTACAGGCACCCGCCACCACGTCCAGTTGATTTTTGTATTTTTAGTAGAGACAGGATTTTGCCACGTTGGCCAGGCTGGTCTCGAACTCCTGACCTCAGGTAATCCTCCCATGTCGGCCTCCCAAAGTGCGTGGATTACAGGCATGAGCCACCGTGCCCAGCCACGATCTCTGTTTTGAATAATGAAGATAAGCAGATCACATCCAGAACAACCCCACCCAACAGAAATGACAGCTACTTCCTAGAGACTTTAGGTGCTACAGAGCAGATTCATGCGCTTAATAAGAATTGAGCCTCATTATCACCTAAGAAAGCTGAGGAAGCATATATTACCAAGTGCAATTAACAAGAGAGTTTTTATTCCTATAAAAACACATATTAAAGAAAGGCTTTGACGGTATTGCTTATATGCCATTAACTATTATTTTATTTTATTTTTTGAAAGAGACAAATGTCACTCTGTTGCCCAGGCTGGAGTGCAGTGGTGCTATCTTGGCTCACGGCAACCTCCGCCTCCCGGGTTCCAATGATTCTCCCACCTCAGCCTCCCGAGTAGCTGGGATTACAGGCATGCACCACCACACCCAGCTAATTTTTGTATTTTTAGTAGAAACAGGGCTTCACCATGTTGGCCAGGCTGTAATCAAACTCCTGACCTCAAGTGATCTGCCTGCCTTGACCTCACAAAGTGCTGGGATTACAGGCATGAGCCACCACACCCGACCACCATTAACTCTTATCTGAAGAGTTATGTCCACATCCTAACTCCAAATATGTATAATTGAGACCTAATTTAGAAATAGGTCTTTGCAGATGGAATTAAGTGAAGATGAGATGATTAGGGTAGACCCTTGATCCAATATGATGGGTGGCCTTACAAGAAGTAGAAAATACCTGGGCACACTGGCTCATGCCTGTCATCCCAGCACTTTGGGAGGCCAAGGTGAGCAGATCACCTGAGGTCAGGAGTTCAAGACCAGCCTGACCAATATGATGAAACCCTGTCTCTACTAAAAATACAAAAAATTAGCCGGGCGTGGTGCTGCGCGTCTGTAATCCCAGGTACTCGGGAGGCTGAGGCAGGAGAATTCCTTGAACCTGGGAGGTGGAGGTTGCAGTGAGCTGAGATCGTGCCATTGCACTCCAGCCTGGGCAACAAGAGCGAAACTCTGTCTCAAAAAAAAAAAAAAAATGAAGTAGAAAATTTGGAGACAGAGAGACACAGAGAAGGCCACATGGAGATGGAGATGGAGGTGGAGACTGGAGTGATGCGGCCACACACCCAGGGATGCCTGGAGCCCCCAGGAGCTGGGAGAGGCAGGAAGGACCCTCCCCTCCACCCTCACAGATACCCCAGAGTAACATTCAATCAAACATCTAGGTGCCCCATGATCCAGTCAGGTTAACACATAATATTAACTATTCCGACCCCACTCTACATATAAGAAGGGCCCTAAATGGAATGACAGGTGTTCTTGGAAAGAGACAGAAGAGGAGACACAGACACAGAGGAGAAGGCCACGTGGAGATGGAGGCAGAGACTGGAGTGATGCAGCCACAGGGTCAGGGATGCCCGGAGCCCCCAGGAGCTGGGAGAGGCAGGAAGGGCCCTCCCCTAGAGCCTCTGGAGGGAACTGGATACAATTGTAGTGGATTGAATGGTGGTTCACAGAAAGATCTGTCCACATCCCGAAGCCCAGAACCTAGAATGAGACTTTATTTGAAAATAAAGAACTTTGCCGGTGTAATTAGTTAGAGATCTAGAGATGAGATCATCCTGGAGTAGGGTAGGTCCTAAATCCACTGACCGGTATCCTTCTAAAAGACAGAAGAGGAGACACAGACACAGAGGAGAAGTCCACGTGGAGACGGAGGCAGAGACTGGAGTGATCTGACCACGGGGTCAGGGACTCCCCGAGCCCCCAGAAGCTGGGAAAGGCAGGAAGGGTTCCTGCCCTAGAAGACCGTCCAGAGAGAGCACGACCCTGTCCACTCCTGAATTTCAGACTTCTGGTCTCCAGAAGGTATCACTTCACTGGATGAATTTCTGTGACTTTGAAGCATCCAGTCTGTGCTCATTTGTTTGGACAATCCCAGGAAAGTAATACAGATTGCAAAGCAGATCAAGGAACTTCAAAGTCAAAGGGCTTGAGAGCCAGAGCCAGCTCAGAGCCGGCTCTAACATTTTTTGTTTATTTATTTGTATTGTATTGTTTTTATTTTAATTTATTGTATATATCTATATCTATATATATATCTATATATCTATATATATATCTATATATATCTATATCTATCTATATATCTATATCTATATATATCTATATCTATCTATATATCTATATCTATATCTATATATCTATCTATATATTTTTTTTTTGAGACAGAGTCTTGCTCTGTCGCCCAGGCTGCAATGCAGTGGTGCGATCTCGGCTCACTGCAACCTCTACCTCCTGGGTTCAAGCGATTCTCCTGCCTCAGCCTCCTGAGTAGCTGGGATTACAGGCATGCGCCATCACGCCCAGATAATTTTTATATTTTTAGTAGAGACGGGGGTTCACCATGTTGGCCAGGATGATCTCCATCTCCTGACCTCGTGATCCTCTCGCCTCGGCCTCCCAAAGTGCTGGGATTACAGGCGTGAGCCACTGCGCCCGGCCACTTCCCCCTATTTTTTCGAGACTTACAATTCAACTTACACTGCTTTTCTTTTCCTGTTCTCCTCTTTTGCTTCACCAGTTTGATTATGTAAAATGAATATTGATGACAGGCATTCACCTGAGCCATGTTTCATTTCTCCATGATTCCTCTGCAGGGGATAATGAGAGAGTGTTAACAGATGCCTCCTCTGAGCTTTCTGGAAACTGTTCTTCGTTGACGGCACTGACTCTTTCCAAATAGGCCCCTTTTTCATCGTTCATAGCTTAGGAGTGATCTCTTAAAGGAGAGAACATTGCTTTGCTGGGGCTGCCATAATAAAATACCACGGACCTAGTGGCTTAAACAGCAGACATTGAGCCTCCCACAGTCCTGGAGGCTGGAGGTCCCAGATCAAGGTGTGGGTGTGGCTGACTCCTCCTGAGGCCTCTCTCCTTGGGTTGTAGACACCGTCTTCTCCCTGTGTCCTCACAGGATCATCCCTCTGTGTGTGTCTGTGTCCTCATCTCCTCCTCTTATGAGGTGTCTTAGCCCATTTCAGGCTGCTATCACAGAATACCATAGACTGGGTAGATTATAAACAACAGACATTATTCTCTCACAGTCCTGGACGCTAGAAGTTTGAGATCCAGGTATGGGCAGGGCTGGTTCCTCCTGAGGCCTCTCTGCTGGACTTGTAGACGCCATCTTCTCTCTGTGTCCTCACAGGGTCGTCCCTTTGTGTGTGTGTGTGTCCTCATCTCCTCTTCTTATGCAATGCCTTACTCCATCTCAGGCTGCTATCACAGAATACCATAGACTGTGTAGCTTATAACAGCAGACATTGATTCTCCCACAGTCCTGGAGGCTGGAGGTCTGAGATCAAGGTGTGAGCAGGGCTGGTTCCTCCTCAGGCCTCTCTCCTGGGCTTGGAGATGTCATCATCGCCCTGTGTCCTCACTTGGTTGTCCCTCTGTGTGTGTCTGTGTCCTCATCTCCTCTTCTTATAAGGACCTCAGTCCTATTGGATCAGTACCTACCCTAGTGACCTCATTTTACCTGAATCGCATCTTTAAAGACCCCATCTCCGGCCGGGCATGGTGGCTCATGCCTGTAATCCCAGCACTTTGGGAGGCTGAGGCAGGTGGATCACCTGAGGTCAGGAGTTCAAGACCAGCCTGGACAACACGGTGAAACCCCGTCTCTACTTAAAAAATACAAAATTAGCCAAGCGCCATGGCAGGTGCCTATAACCCCAGCTACTGGGGAGGCTGAGGCAGGAGAATCGCTTGAACCCGGGAGGCGGAGGTTGCAGTGAGCCAAGATTGCACCATTGCACTCCAGCCTTGGTGACAAGACCGAAACTCTGTCTCAAAAAATAAATAAAATAAAAGGACCCTATCTCCAAATAAGGTCATCTTTCTGAGTTCCTCAGAGTTAGAACTTCATAGGAATCTGGGGAGACGTAATTCAGTCCATGAGATACGCCCAGGTCCCCTTGGTAGAATAGAACACGCCTCAGCCGGCGTCTTCTGTATTACTGTAGGAGCCCCTAGATGACCAGATGGTGGTAGGACAGCCAGGTATTCCCAGTCAGGTGCAGTTGCCTGGATGTGTGTTCCCCGAATTATTGTGCATTGGGCCATCTGGCCGACGAACTTCAGCTTCCGTGGTTAGCTCCGTCTCCATCTCCCTGATTTTTCTGTTCTTGTGTCATCCCTGCGTCACATATGACTGAAGTTCAGTAAATATATGGTGAGTGGGCCGGGCATGGTGGCTCACGCCTGTCATCCCAGCACTTCGGGAGGCCGAGGCAGGTGGATCACAAGGTCAGGAGTTCAAGACCAGCCTGGCCAACATGGAGAAACCCCATCTCTACTAAAAATACAAAAATTAGCTGGGCGTGGGGGTGCACACCTGTAATCCCTGCTACTCGGAAGGCTGAGGCAGGATAATTGCTTCAACTGGGACTCGAAAGGCAGAGGTTGCAGTGAGCCAAGATCGCACCACTGCACTCCAGCCTGGGCTGCAAAGCAAGATTCTGTCTTAAAAAAGAAAAAGAAAAAAGAAATGAAGATGCTCCCATTCTCAGACCATCCTCCAGATCTCCTAAACCCGAAGTTTGGAGAACAGGGGTTGGCAAGGAGAAGGTCTTTGGGGGAATTCTGATGCATGCTAAAATATGAGAACCACTTGAATTTAAAATATACTGCTTTTTTTTTTTGGATGAAAGATGTGGTTCTTGGCTTTTGCCTGATATAATCATTGCCAGTAATTAGTGTTAATTGCCAAGATTGATTTACTGGCTTGGAAAATTAGCGTTCTTGTAAAGGAATAAATCACAGTGTTGTAACATATTCCAAAAATCCAAGAGTTTTTACACATGAGAGAACATGTCTCCTCAACTTGGCTGTACCGAATCATCCCCATGGTGAAATAAATTTCAATAGAAAGCACTTTGGGAGGCCGAGGCGGGCGTATCACCTGAGGTCAGGAGTTCGAGACCAGCCTGGTCAACATGGGGAAACCCCGTCTCTACTAAAAATGCAAAAGTTAGCCAGGCATGGTGGCATGTGCCTGTAATCTCAGCTGCTTTGGAGGCTGAAGCAGGAGAATTGTTTGAACCCGGGAGGTGGAGGTTGCAGTGGGCCAAGATCATGCTACTGCACTCCAGCCCAGCTTGCACTCCAGAGCAAGACTCCCTCTCAAAAAAAGAAAAAAAAGGGCAGGCACAGTGGCTTAAGTCTGTCATCCCAGCACTTTGGGAGGCTGAGAGGGGTGGATCGCAAGGTCAGGAGATCAAGACCATCCTGGCCAACATGGTGAAACCCCGTCTCTACTAAAATATAAAAAATTAGCCAGGCATGGTGGCATGTCCCTGTAGTCCCAGCTACTGGGGAGGCTGAGGCAGGAGAATTGCTTGAACCGGGGAGGTGGAGGTTGCAATGAGCCAAGATCGCACCACTGCACTCCAGCCTGGAGAGAAAAAAAAAAAAAAAAGAGGGACACATACCTTCCAAAATCATTTTCTATTCTTTAAGATTTCTTTCCTGTGAGACCCTTAAATTTGTTTTGTTTTATTTTATTTTATTTGAGACAGAGTTTCGCTTTTGTCACCCAGGCATCGAGGCTGGAGTGCAGTGGCGCAATCTCAGCTCACTACAACCTCTGCCTCGTGGGTTCAAGTGATTCTCCTGTCTCAGCCTCCCGGGTAGCTGGGACTACAGGCACCGCCACCATGCCCACCTAATTTTTGTGTTTTTTTTTTGTAGAGCTGGGTTTTCACCATGTTGGTCAGGCTGGTCTCGAACTCCTGACCTCGAATGATCTGCCCACTTCGACTTCCCAATGTGCTGGGATTACAGGTGTGACCCACCGTGCCTGGCCATGATAGATTCTCTACCTATTTAAGAAATTCTTTATTTCACTCTGACGTCCCTCAGTCATGGAGTTGTTATAGGCATGGGCGTGCCTCACTGTGAACATGGCTGTCTTGGTTTGAGTTTCTCAACTTATGTAACTTTGGGTGACTTCTTCATTATTTTATTCCTAACCATGAATTCACATCCCGTGAAATCATCCAGTATAGACTAAGTTGTGTAACGTGTTTTGAGTGTGGTATCCCATCTCGATTCGGATTTCACTCAAGGTTTCACATGTTCCCCCTGTGTTCTGAGATATGTCGGACAGCTGACACACTCACTATGTGTCTATGAGCGAAAGTATCAGGGTGTTTGGATGCAGCTGGAATTCACAAGATACCTGCAATGTCCTGTGTTGTTTTGGTTGTTTTCTCTTAGCGGAAAAAGTCAAAGACCTCTCTTTGAGATCGACACCATCCAGGCCAATGTGGTAAAAACCCGTCTCTACTAAAAATACAAAAATTAGCTGGGTGTGGTGACGGGTGACTGTAGTCCCAGCTACTCAGGAGGCTGAGGCAGGAGAATCACTTGAACCCGGGAGGTGGAAGTTGCAGCAAGCCAAGATCATAGCACTGCACTCCAGCCCGGCCTGGGCAACAGAGCAAGACTCCCTCTCAAAAAAAAAAAAAGAAAAAAAAGGGGGGGGGCGTGGGGCAGGCACAGTGGCTCACACCTGTAATCCCACCACTATGGGAGGCCTAGGGGGTGGATCACAAGGTCAGGAGATCAAGACCATCCTGGCCAATGTGGTGAAACCCCACTGTGCTAAAAATACCAAAATTAGCTGAGTGTGGTGGCGGGCACCTGTAGTCCCAGCTACTCGGAAGGCTAAGACAGGAGAATCACTTGAATCCGGGAGGCGGAGATTGCAGTGAGCCGAGATCGCACCACTGCACTCCACCCTAGCAACAGAGCGAGACCCTGTTTCAAAAAAACAAACAAACAAAAAAAACCTCTCTTTATTCGCAGTATTTTCTGAGTTCCTGGTAGGCGGATCGTTATCAAGAATATTAAATGTAGATGATAGTTATCAAGAATATTAAGCGTAGATATCCTAGAAAGAATGTAATGGAGTTGTTTGTACTGCCAAAGGGAAAATTCAATTTAGACATGAAGGATTGTTATAATACTTATAAATATATTGAATGCCACCCATACTTACTCATTAAAACAGTGATTGTCATCAGGTTTAATGAGCACTGGAAAAATAGCTCCAGTCAACTAGGTTATGAGCAGTCGATTGAGTTTCCCTAATTGCATTGGCAATTTGATTATGCAACAATGTCCTGCAATGGAAATACGTTGCAATGCAACGGATTCGTAGGAAGTTAACATAAAAACTCAGTTGTCCTTGCTTCTACACAAGTACCTCTCAAAGTGGATAAATAATCAATGCAAAAACTGCCTGTTGATCCATATAAAAGGACACCGCCTACGGAGACTGGCTGTTGGGAGACCGAGATATGACACGTTTACATCCTACAGTATCCATCACAATAACTTATAAAGGGCTCCTTTCTTTTTGTTTTTTTTTGAGACAGAGTCTTGCTTTGTTGCCCAGGCTGGAGTGCAGGGTGTGATCTCAGCTCACTGCAAGCTCCGCCTTCCGGGTTCACGCCATTCTCCTGCCTCAACCTCCCGAGTAGCTGGGACTACAGGCGTCTGCCACCACACCCGGCTAATTTTTTTGTATTTTTATTAGAGACGGGGTTTCACCCTGTTAGCCAGGATGGTCTCGATATTCTGACCTCGTGATCCGCCCGCCTCGGCCTCCCAAAGTGCTGGGATTACAGGCGTGAGCCACCGCGCCCGGTCTTATAAACACTCAAAAGTATGTTCAGTCTTCACGATTTTTAATAACAAGAAGAGAGTAATGCTTTAATCAGCAAAAAATGGAGAACTCAAATACCCTTTTATAAGGTCCAGATTTAGTAGCAGGTGGCTTTTGTTCAGTTTCTTATTCAACAGGAAAGCTCATTGAATGATTTTTTGTTTCATTTTGTTTTTTGGCAGTCTCCCTGTCTCACCCAGACTGGAGTGCAGTGGCGCCATCTTTGCTGATTGGCTCACGGCCATGTCCGCCTCCCAGGCTGGAGTGTGGTGGCGCCATCTTGGCTCACTGCCATGTCCACCTCCCAGGCTGCAGTGCGGCCGCGACATCTTGGCTCACGGCCATGTCCGCCTCCTAGGCTGGAGTGCCGTGGCGCCATCTTGGCTCACGGCCATGTCCGCCTCCCAGGCTGCAGTGCGGCCACGCCATCTTGGCTCAAGGCCATGTCCACCTCCCAGGCTGCAGTGCCGTGGCGCCATCTTGGCTCACGACCACGTCCGCCTCCTAGGCTGGAGTGCCGTGGCGCCATCTTGGCTCAAGGCCATGTCCGCCTCCCAGGCCGTGCAGTGGCGCCATCTTGGCTCACTGCCATATCTGCCTCCCAGGCCGTGCAGTGACGCTATCTTGGCTTGCTGCCATGTGCGCCTCCCAGGCTCAAATGATCTGCTCCCACCTCAGCCTCACAATTAGCTGGGACTACAGGTGTGCTTTACCACACCCAGGTACTTTTTGTATTTTTTGTAGAGATAAGGTCTTACTATACTCCCCAGTCTGGTCTTGAACTCCTGGGCTCAAGCGACCTGCCTGCCTTAGTGTCCCCTAAGTGCTCAGATTACATGCGCGAGCCACCACTCCCGGCCTAATACCAACGACTTTTGTCAGAGTCCTTAGGGTTTCATTTACAGACCTTAATGGGCATTTCCTCCTACGTATTTGCTTTCATTCTTTCCCATTTCTGGGGTGGATATTTCTTCATCCCTAACCCCCACCCCAGGGAATCTCTCCTGAAACTACGTGCCCCTCTTGGATTCATTTCTTCACCTCCTGTAGAGAAATGTATTGGCTTTTCGCCTGCCCCCACACCGTATTTTTAAACAATCTTAGTTCTCTCTTCTCCACGCTACTGTGTAAAACCATAATTACAGAACCAACCCCTCCATTTACTCTGGAAAAATCTGCCTTTGGATGATGCATTTTCTGCTTTTTCAAGTAACCATTCCTCTTACCCATCAATCAAATGCTGGAGATTCAGAACCGAATGCTTGTAGCTGATATTTAAAAAACGATCATGCCAGCAGGAAAGCCAGTCTTTGCCTCTCTGCACTTAGTAACTATCTGTTTCCTGGACTCTTCTCTTCCCCTGGGGTGAGGAGATTGGAGAAGTTTGCCTTAAAAAGATATCTTGACAGTAATTGGAGGTTTACAGTTTATCTTGGATCAGAGATGGGACTTCAGCTCTGAACTACTCAATTTCCCTGTCTTAATTCTTCCAGTCTCTTAGATTTCTTTTTATTTATTTATTTTTGAGACAGAGTTTTGCTCTTGTCACCCAGGCTGGAGTGCAATGGCGTGGTATCAGCTCACTGCAACCTCTACCTCCCGGGTTCAAGGATTCTCCTGCCTCAGCCTCCCGAGTAGCTGGGATTACAGGCACCTGCCACCACGCCCTGCTAATTTTTGTATTTTTAGTAGAGACGGGGTTTCACCATGTTGGCCAGGCTAGTCTCGAACTCCTGGCCTCAGGTGATCCACCCACCTCAGCCTCCCAAAGTGCTGGGATTACAGACATAAGCCACCATACCCAGCCAATTCTTCCAATCTCTTTATTATGCAGTCAGCCTTTCCAGTCCCCTCCTACCCCACCCCAACCCCCAAAAAGTTATGTTTTGATTGTTCATTATTTTGCAAAGTCTCCATGGCTAAGGACCCCCTTGTCACCCTTTCTGTCCTGCCCTTATTTATTTCTAAGGCAGCAGACCTGAGGTTTCTTTTCCAGCAGAAATCGGGTAAACCTCAGGTCTGTTTGAAATGCTTGTTCCCCAGTGCCATAAAGAAATAGCACTTGAACATTAATTTCCTCAGCAAGGCCATTTTTTTTACTTTCTGCAGAAAGGGTACACTCTCCAGCAGTTTTGCCAGGAGAGTACAGCGAACAAAGGGGACAGGGTCATTTATCACTTGATGCGTCCGCCCTACTGCTGTGTCCAGTTTCCAGGGCTGGAATGGGACCTCACATTCTGTATTTGTCCCGATTGGCCAGCACCTTGGAACTATTTAAAAGAGGCAAAGGCAGAGGAGAACAAAGGAAGGAGGAAGTAACTTGTGGAATGCTGAGAAAGGAAAAAGCACTTTTAGATAAAGAAGAGGAACAGGCTGTGACGTAATGCTTGCTTGGACCAGTATAAGCATGCCAGGGCTGATACTTAGGTTAAATTGTGGGAGCTAAGAGCATAAAGTACATTGATTTCTTTATCACGGCTAGCAGATATTTAGGAATGTTAGCACAAGTCTTTGAATGAAGTTTGCTTCTCAGAGAAGTTACTATTTATTCCTAATTAGATGGGGAGGAAAGTCTTTGAACAGGAACCTTTATTTTTTACAGGCCCGATGTCAGATTTTGGCATGTGGCTTTCTGCTACCCATGGCTGCGTGATGAGACAGTGGCTGGAGGCAGAACTGAGCCCCTGGAGGTGTTAATGGGGGAGTCACTTGTCCTCATGCAAGCATTCAAACATGCCTTTTGCACAACGGCAAGGCACATCTCAGAACATGTCAGCTGCAGGCTGCGATTTCCCGGGTACGAGCTTTCCAAGCTCTGTGATCCACTCTGTCTTTGGTTACATGAAGGTGGGAAAATTGCTCAGTTGCTAAGATCACAGTGTTGGGGCTCAGAAAACAATCCCCTAAATTTTTCAGAGGCATTAGAACCAGAGCAACTCTGCCATCTTGAATAGGGGCTGCGTAACATGAGGCTGAGACCTGCTTGGGCTGCCTTCTCTGGAGGTGGATGAGGCATTCTAAGTCACAGGATGACAGAGGAGGTCAGCACAAGACACAGGTCACAAAGGCCCTGCTGATAAACCAGGTTGTGGTAAAGCCAGCCAAATCCCACCGAAACCAAGATGGTGACGACTGACCTCTGGTCATCCTCTCTGGTCATGATACGCTAATTCTAATGCATTAGCTGATAAGAGACGGTTTACAGATGCCATGACATGGTCTAAAAGGGGGATGAACCTTCAGCTCCGGGAATTGGTCACCCCTGTCCCAGAAAACTCATGAGTAATCCACCCGTTGTTTAGCATATGATAGAGAAATAACCATAAAAATAGGCCACCAGCAGCTCTCGGGATGCTCCATCTATGGAGTACACATTCTTTATTCTTCTACTTTCATAATAAACTTGCTTTCACTTTACTCTATGGACCCACTCGGAGTTCTTTCTCACGAGATCCAAGAACCCTTTCAAACCCCTGAAAGGATCAGGTGATCCGCCCACCTCTGCCTCCCAAAGTTCTGCTGGGATTACAGATGTGAGCCACTGCACCCAGCCAGAAAAGACTTTTTGAATCAATGCTTAATTTTTTTTTTTTTTTTTTTTGAGATGGAGTCTCACTCTGTTGCCCAGGCTGGAGTGCAGTGGCGTGATCTCGGCTCACTGCAATCTTCACCTCCCGGGTTCAAGCGATTCTCCTGCCTCAGCACCCAAGTAGCTGGGATTACAGGCATGCGCCACCACTCCTGGCTAACTTTTTGTATTTTTAATAGAGACGGGGTTTCACCGTGTTAGCCAGGATGGTCTCGATCTCCTGACCTCGTGATCTGCCAGCCTTGGCCTCCCAAAGTCCTGGGATTACAGACGTGAGCCACCATGCCTGGCCCAAGGTTTATTTTTTTAAGATCAATTTCAAGTAGTGATGTTACTAAAAGATATTCATAGGCCAGGTGCGTTGGCTCACGCTTGTAATCCCAGCACTTTGGGAGGCCAAGGCGGGCGGTTCACTTGAAGTCAGGAGTTCGAGACTGGCCTGGCCAACACAGTGACACCCCATCTCTACTGCAAATACAAAAATTAGCTGGGCGTGATGGTAGGCGCCTGTAGTCCCAGCTACTTGGGAGGCTGAGGCAGGAGAATCACTTGAACCCGGGAGGTGGAGGTCGCAGTGAGCTGAGATTGCGCCACCGCACTCCAGCCTGGGCTACAGAGCGAGACTCTGTCTCAAAAAAAAAAAAAAAAAAAAAAAAAAAAGGCACAAAAAGGGCTGAGCGTGGTGGCTCACATCACGTCTGTCATTCCAGCACTTTGGGAGGCCGAGGTGGGCAGATCACGAGGTCAGGAGATCGAGACCATCCTGGCTAACACGGTGAAACCCCGTCTCTACTAAAAATACAAAAAAAAAAAAAAAGCCGGGCATGGTGGCAGGTGCCTGTAGTCCCAGCTACTCAGGAGGTTAAGGCAGGAGAATGGTGTGAACCCAGGAGGGGGTGGTTGCAGTGAGCCAGGATTGTGCCACTGTACTCTAGCCTGGGCGACAGAACAAGACTCTGTCTCAAAAAAAAAAAAAAAAAAAGATTTATGATTTTAAAGATTGAGTTGCATGTTGTGAAGTTGCTCTCCCAAAAGATGTGCAAATGTATGTGCACGCCCTTCCTTTGGTTGTCTGGCCAGTTTTCCCCATGTTCTTCACAGTGGAAATGATGACAGTGTGATAGGAGAACAGATGGAGGGTCATTCCCTCTGATTTTGCAAGCTGAAAAATCAACTTGCAAAAGCAGATGAATAGGAGAAAAGGCATACAAAGTTTACTCGATGGATACATACAGCAGCCTTCAGAGGGAAGACCCAAAGATGCAGGGGAAACCGTCTATTTTTATGCTTAGGTTCAACGACGTCTGAACGAAATCCGTGTAGGAATAGGATTGGAGGAAGAGGGTGTGATCTAAGGCTGACGGTCTGAGTGGGGAAACAGACAGGCCTGTCTAGATTTTTTTGGCCTCTGAGCAGTGCGCCTTCCTTCTGGGGGTGGGGTGGGACCCTCTCTGGGAAGGGGGTCGTAGAACCTACATTCAAACAAGGCAGGTCAAGGAATTTCCTTTTCCTTTTCTTTTCTTTCTTTTTCTTTTCTTTTCTTTTTCTTTTTTTTTTTTTGAGACAGAGTCTTGCTCTTGTCGCCCTGGCTGGAGTGCAATGGCGCAATCTTGGCTCATTGCAGCCTCCACCTTCTGGGTTCAAGCAATTTTCCTGCCTCAGCCTCCCGAGTAGCTGGGACTACAGGTGCCCGCCACCACACTTGGCTAATGTTTGTATTTTCTTTTTTCTTTTTTTTTTTGAGACAGAGTCTCGCTCTGTCGCCCAGGCTGGAATGCAGTGGCGCAATCTCCACTCACTGCAAGCTCCGCCTCCTGGGTTCACACCATTCTCCTGCCTCAGCCTCCCAAGTAGCTAGGACTACGGGCGCCCACCACCACACCCAGTTAATTTTTTGTATTTTTAGTAGAGACCGGGTTTCACCGTATTAGCCAAGATAGTCTCGATCTCCTGACCTTGTGGTCTGCCCACCTTGGCCTCCCAGAGTGCTGGGATTACAGACGTGAGCCACCGTGCCCGGCCTAATGTTTGTATTTTCAGTAGAGGTGATGTTTCCCTGTGTTGGGCAGGCTGGTCTCGAACTCCTGATCTCAAGTGATCCACCTGCCTTGGCCTCCCAAAGTGCCGGGATTATAGCCGTGAGCCACTGCACGATGATAGGAAATTTCTTTATGGCGAGTTTTTATATACTCAGGGTGTAGGGAAACTTAGAGTCCTATTTATAGGGTTTCTGGCTGGCCTTGGGGGAAAGGTGCTTTGGTTTTCGGGACCCACCTTGGGGAAGAAGGATTCCAGTTTCCGTGGTGCCCTTGGGGCGAAATGGGTCTGAGAGACAGGAGGGTAGGAGAAGGTCAGCAAGAAAGGTTTGCTTCTGATGCTGCTTCTGAGGTCTTCATTTTAGGTTACTGTTCTCTGAGCCCCAGCATAGGCATGCATTATTGGTTTTGTTCATTTATTTTATGAAAAAATGAATACATGAATATAGAGGGTATCTAATTTTTTTTTTTTTTTTTTTTTTGTGAGACGGAGTTTCACTCTATCACCAAGGCTGGAGTGCAGTGGCGCAATCTCGGCTCACTGCAAGCTCCGCCTCCCGGGTTCACGCCATTCTCCTGCCTCAGCTTCCCGAGTAGCTGGGACTACAGGCGCCCGCCACCATGCCCGGGTAATTTTTTGTTTTTTTAGTAGAGACGAGGTTTCACCATGTTAGCCAGGATGGTCTCGATCTCCTGACCTCGGGATCTGCCCATCTCGGCCTCCCAAAGTGCTGGGATTAGAGGTGTGAGCCACTGCACCCAGCCCTAATTTTTTTTTTATAGTTTCAGGGTCTGCTCTGTAATTGTAATATTCTACTTTTCATCTGCAAAATATAGTGTATATTGGACATTTTATAACAGGGAGAGGAGGTTTAGAAACCAATACCAGGGCCATGTACAGTGGCTCACACCTGTAATCCCAGCACTTTGGAAGGCCAAGGTGGGTGGATCACTTGGGGTCAGAAGTTCCAGACCAGCCTGGCTAACCTGATGAAACCCCGTCTCTACTAAAAATGCAAAAATTATCTGGGCATGGTGGTGTATGCCTGTAATCCCAGCTACTCAGGAGGCTGAGGCAGGAGAATTGCTTGAACCTAGGAGGCAGAGGTTGCAGTGAGCTGAGATGGCGCCACTGCACTCCAGCCTGGGTGACAGAGCAAGACTCCTTCTCAAACAACAACAACAAAAACCAACATCAGTCTCTGTTCCCCAGTGGTATCATTTATGTTTATACTGTTTTCTTTCTGTATTTCTCATTTGCTTTGATCTTTTTGGTTTTCTTTTATGTGTTTTCCTTAGGAAAGCATTTTCATTTTTCTTCTCCAGATCCTTAGGTCAAAGTTTACTTCATTTATTTCAATTTTCTATTCTTTTATTTTCTTTCTTTTTCTTTCTTTCTTTCTTTCTTTCTTTCTTTCTTTCTTTCTTTCTCTTTCTTTCTTTTCTTTTCTTTTTCTTTCTTTCTTTTCTTTCTTTTCTTTCTTTCTCTCTTTCTGTCTTTCTTTCTTTCTTTTTTTGACAGACTTTCACTCTGTTGCCCAGGCTGGAGTACAATGGCGTGATCTCGTGTCACTGCAACCTCCACCTCCCGGGTTCAAGTGATTCTCCTGCCTCAGCCTCCCAAGTAGTTGGGTCTACAGGCACCCGCCAGCACGTCCAGCTAATTTTTTGTATTTTTAGTAGAGATGGGGTTTCACCATGTTAACCAGGATGGTCTCAAACTCATGACCTGGTGATCTGCCCACCTCAGCCTCCCAAAGCGCTGGGATTACAGGCATGAGCCAACGCACCCAGCCCTCAATATTGTATTCTTATTTAGGAACAGCTTTTGTTGGTAAGAGGCATTGGATTTTCAGAAGCTTTTTCTGAAACGCATATGATGACGGATGTCTTTCTTTTGATCTTTTGAATGTGTTAAACATTCTTTTAGGCTTTTTGATCTTATCTTTAGTTTTTTAGCATAAATATCATGCTGATATTCAAACTATATCTGAGATGGCTTTGTGAACCCTGAAAATTTGAGACAGGTCTCAGTTAATTTAGAGTTTGTTTTGCCAAATTTAAGGACGTGAGCCTGTGACATAGCCTCAGAAAGTCCTGATGACGTGTGCAACGTGGTCAGGTCACAGCTTGTTTTTTTTTTGTTTGTGTGTTTTTTTGTTTTTTTGTTTTTTTTGAGATGGAGTCTCACTCTCTTGCCCAGGCTGGAGTGCAGTGGTACAATCTCAGCTCACTGCACCCTTTGCCTCCCAGGTTCAAGCAATTATCCTGCCTCAGCCTCCGGAGTAGCTGGGACTACAGGCACATGCCACCATGCCTGGCTAATTTTTTAATTTTTTTTTTTAGTAGAGACAGGGTTTCACCATGTTGGCCAGCCTGGTCTCAAACTCCTGACCTTGTGATCCGCCCGCCTTGGCCTCCCAAAGTGCTGAGATTACAGGCATGAGCCACTGCGTCTGGCCATAGCTTGGTTTTATACATTTTAGGGAGACAGGAGACATCAATCAATATATGTAAGAGCTACGTTGGGGTGGGTGCGGTGGCTCACGCCTGTAATCCCAGCACTTTGGGAGGCCGAGGCAGGCGGATCACCTGAGGTCAGGAGTTCGAGACCAGCCTGGCCAACATGGTGAAACCCCATGTCTACTAAAAATACAAAAAATTAGCCGGGCGTGGTGGCGGGCGCTGGTAATCCCAGCTACTCGGGAGGCTGAGGCAGGAGAATGGCTTGAACCCAGGAGGTAGAGGTTGCAGTGAGCCAAGATTGTGCCACTGCACTCCAGCCTGGGCAATATGAGCAAAACTCTGTCTCAAAAAAATAAGAAGTATAGTCCTTGAAAAGCAGGGACAACTGGAAGCAGGGAGGGGGCTTCCAGCTCACAGGTAGGTGAGACACAGATGGTTACATTCTTTTGGGTTTGTGATGAGCCTTCCCAAAGGAGGTGATCAGATATGCATCTATCTCAGTGAGCACAGGGGTGACTTTGAACAGAGTGGGAGGCAGGTTTGCCTTCAGCAGGTTCCAGCTGGACTTTTCCTTTGAGCTTCCCGCTTTTGGGGTGCCCAGATATTTTCTGTTCACAGCTTCCATCAGGATACATATACCATGTGGTTAATTCAGAAAATTAGGCCGGGCACAGTGGCTCATGCCTGTAATCCCAGCACTTTGGGAGGCCGAGGTGGGCAGATCACGTGGTCAGGAGATCGAGACCATCCTAGCTAACATGGTGAAACCTCGTCTCTACTAAAAATACAAAAAATTAGCCAGGCAGGTGGCAGGCGCCTATAGTCCCAGCTACTTGGGAGGCTGAGGCAGGAGAATGACTTGAACCCGAGAGGAGGAGCTTGCAGTGAGCCGAGATCACGCCACTGTACTCCAGCTGGGTTGACAGAGCAAGACTCTGTCTCAAAAATAAATAAATAAAAATAAAATTTAAAAATATATATATATATAAAAGAAGCAAGCGATATGAACCTTCAGCCACCTTGAAATGTTGTTACGATAATTGTGTAGCAAATTGATCGCCTCTGGGCATCTTTGGAGCCCCAGAGGAAAGAAAAACATTATTGCTCAAATACTTCTCCTTGTCTTATTGAAAAGAACTATGAGGCCAATTCTAAGGCTAATGATCTGTGCCTAGCATTAAATTCTAAAAGGAGTCTATGGTGGTTGTGTGCCTTCAAGGGACGTTATGTAACACCGCAAATAACATCTCTTTAAAAAGTGTTTCTAAGGCATACATAGAAAAAGTAGAACATATTTACAGGAGCAAAGCTGGAAACATCCAGTTTTCTGTGTTTCTGGTGATTGAGGTTACCAGAGAGAGAGAGAGAGGCACGTTACTCACTTTACCGCGGTTATCGGATCGATTTTTATCACTATGTCCTGTGATACTAAAACATTTCTCTAAACTGCTTGAACCAAGGTGCAAAGAGTTTAACATGTGCTTAGCACACTACAGAGCTTGCAGTAGATGTGAGGAAAATTTATGATAGCTTGGGAAGTTTGCCAAATTGCTTGTGTGGTTGTCTTTTATGATTTGAGACTCATCAAGAAGACCACATGTGGCCAGGCGCGGTGGCTCATGCCTGTCATCCCAGCACTTTGGGAGGCCAAGGAGGGTGGATCACCCGAGGTCAGGAGTTCAAGACCAGCCTGGCCAACATGGTGAAACCCTGTTCCCACTAAAAATACAAAAAATTAGCCGGGCGTGGTGACAGGAGCCTGTAATCCCAGCTACTCTGGAGGCTGAGGCACGAGATTCGCTTGAACCCGGGAGGCTGCAGCCTGGGTGACAGAGTGAGAATCTGTCTCAAAAAAAAAAAAAAAAAAAAAAAAAAAAAAAAAACAGGGAGCATAGTGGCTCCTGCCTGTAATCCCAGCACTTTGGGAGGCTGAAGCGGGTGGATAATTTGAGGTCAGGAGTTCGAGAGCAGCCTGGCCAACATGGTAAAACTTCCATCTTTGCTGAAAATACAAAAAATTAGCAGGGTGTGGTGGCGGGCACCTGTAGTCCCAGCTACTGGGGAGGCTGAGGTAGGAGAATCACTTGAACCGGGCAGGTGGAGGTTGCAGTGAGCCAAGATTGCACCACTGCACTCCAGCCTGGGCGACAGAGGGGGGACTCTGTCTCCAAAATAAATAAATAAATAAATAAAAAATTAGTAACATAATTTAACATATCTGACCCCAATACAATTAAGGGATGAGTTTATAATAAAAAGGTGAACTAGAAAAATCCACACGCGTTGGAAAACTGGCCAACAGATGGCATGATCACACATGGGTCTAGGGGAGGTGGCTGCGTATAGACGTGGCCGTGGCCGCAGGTACAGATGCTGCTGGGATGAAGCACTTAGGCGTGAACGCCGTCAGCCTCTTACACCTTCTCCTGCTTGCCCCACAGTGCCTGCTACTCACCCCACGCAGCCTACGCCCAGAGCAAGCTGGCCCTTGTCCTGTTCACCTACCACCTCCAGCGGCTGCTGGCGGCTGAGGGAAGCCACGTGACCGCCAACGTGGTGGACCCCGGGGTGGTCAACACGGACGTCTACAAGCACGTGTTCTGGGCCACCCGTCTGGCGAAGAAGCTTCTCGGCTGGTTGCTTTTCAAGGTAAGCCCCTTCTGCTTCTCTGATTCACGGCTGCACCTGAAGATGCTACAGGAAAGGGGGTCCCCAGTCCAGACCCCAAGGGAGGGTTCTTGGATCTCGTGCAAGAAAGAATTCAGGACGGCTCAGTGGTGGAAAGAGAAGCAAGTTATTGAGAAGGTAGAGGAGTAAATGAATGGCTCCTCCGCAGACAAAGCATCCCCGGCGGCCGCTGGTTGGCCATTTTTACGGTGATTTCTTGATGATATGCTAAACGAGGGGGGGATTATTCATGCCTCCCCTTTTTAGACCGTAGAGGGTAACTTCCTGACATTGCCGTGGCATTTGTAACTGTCCTGGCGCTGGTGGGAATGTAGCCGTCACGACAGCCGGAGGTCACTCTTGTCGCCATTTTGCTTTTTGTGGGTTTTGGCCCGCTTCTTTACTGCAAGCTGTTGTATCAGCAAGGTTTTTATGACCTGTACCTTGTAGCAACCTCTTATCTCATCCTGCGACTTAGCATACCTTAACCGCCTGGGAATGCAGCCCAGCAGGTCTCAGCCTCGTGTTACCCAGCCCCTATTCAAGATGGAGTCACGCTGGTTCACACAGCTCTGACACAACCACTTCCAGGCTGCGTGTGCGGTGTTGGGGGCTTGGATTCCGTGATGTATTTGTACATTCTCACCCCAAAGCCTTGGTTGTGTGCGAGCTCGGTGGGTGACGCTGTGTAGCTAGGTAGTGCCCATAAATGAATCTTCTTAGGAGCTGGAGACCGTTTGGGGATGCTGTGGTAGGGGCCAAGGGAAAAACATCCCCCTTTGCCATTTGAAGGTTTGCTGAAAAATCAACGCACAAAATACAATTGCCCTTTTTGAAACATGAATAAAGGAAATGACAGGCAAATGTATTCTCATCCATGGAGGAGAATGTCAGAGGAATTGCCCCATTACACAAAGGGGTACAGACGCTTGTGTCCTCTTCTTCTTAGCGGAAGGGGAGTGGGGAATTGGGGGTGAATATAGGATTCCAAATAGTAAATGATTTTAAAGAGAAGTCAATGGGTTTGAACAATGTACAGTGGCCCGAAAACAGATAATGTTTTTTGTTATTGTTGTTTGTTTGCTTGTTTTTTTTGAGACGGAGTTTCGTTCTGTGTTGCCCAGAGTGGAGTGCAGTGGCGGGACCTCTGCCCAGTGCAACCTCTGCCTCCTGGGTTCAAGCGATTCTCCTGCCTCAGCTTCCCGAGTAGCTGGGATTACAGGCATGTGACACCACGCCTGGCTAATTTTGTATTTTTAGTAGAGACGGGGTTTCATCACGCTGACCAGGCTGGTCACGAACTCTGGACCTCAGGTGATCCACCCGCCTCGGGCTCCCAAAGTGCTGGGATGATAGGTGTGAGCCACTGCGCCTGGCCTCAGATAATGGTTTATGACGAGTCTCTGCAGGGACAGAGGCTGTGGAACCCTCAGAACAGACAGTGGTTTATGAGGAGTCTCTGCAGGGCTGTTGACAGACATCAGTCTTTCCTCCGCGATGTGGGTTCAGAAACTCAGGGAAGGGGACACTGGTCATTTTTCCTTCTTTGACATGTCCAGACTTCAGGAAACTTCAGAGAACAACTTCATCCTGTGCATCGGGAGACACAGAGGAAGCAGGAGGGGGAAGTTAGAGAGATCTTGAGGCTTCTTCAGTTCAGCAGGACAAAGCACCGTACTTTGGGGTGTTGGTTTTTAAGACCCAGCAGCTGAAAGCTCCCACATTTCTGCAATGATCTTCGTTGTCGTGATGCATTAACTTCTTAAGCACTGCAAGATTTCATGCCCCAGCCATTCCCTTGGGTTTTTTTGTTTGTTTGTTTGAGATGGAGTCTAGCTCTATCACCAGGCTGGAGTGCCGTGGTGTGATCTCGGCTCGCTGCAGCCTCTGCCTCCCGGGTTCAAGTGATTCTCCTGCCTCAGCCTCCTGAGTAGCTGGGATTGCAGGTGTGCGCCACCATGCCCGGCTAGTTTTTGTATTTTTAGTAAAGACAGGGTTTCACCATGTTGGCCAAGCTGGTCTCGAACTCCTGACCTACCTCAAGTAATCTGCCCGCCTCGGTCTCCCGAAGTGCTGGGATACAGTAGTGAGCCACCGTGCCTGTCCTCCTTGAGGTCTTTTGAAGTGATATGTATCTGGGAGCTATAGATTTACTTTCTTTCCTATCTATCTCAAGTCGGGATACTAAAGTTTTAATAATTTGTTTACAAAACAAAGAAAGAACCTTGAGAAGCTTTTCTATTTCTCCCTTTACATTGCAGAATCGTCTAATTAGCATTTTTAAAAGTGTCTGCTTTTGAAACACCGCCACGATTCACCTTCAAAACCGCATGGGTTGAGGAATTTTCGGAAGAGCGATTCTAACTCAGCTTTCAAAATTCCTTGGGCGTCTACTGCTTGTTGAAGTTTCCCACCTCTTTCTGAGTCAGTTTAGACAGCTTTTCCCTTTAGGTAATTGTCTGTTTCATCAAGCTTTGGAATTAATGAGCTTGGTTACAAATTCTCTTTTCTCCCTGTTGGACTCCTGGCATTGCTCTTGATTTCGTCTGAAAGTCTCTCATGATATGAGCTGCCCGCCCCCAATGTGGACTTTTTGAGGGGATTAATTACTTCCCTTATTTTGCAGTTTGCTTTCTTATCAGTTGTTCTTCGAATCTCTCATTCCTCAAGCAAAGGAATTTCTTTTTTTCTTTTTCTTTTTCTTTTTTTTTTTGAGATAGAGTCTCGCTCTGTCACCAGGCTGCAGTGCACTGGCGCGATCTCAGCTCACTGCAACCTCCGCCTCCTGGGTTCAAGTGATTCTCCTGCCTCAGCCTCCTGAGTAGCTGGGACTGCAGGCACCTGCCATCAAGCCTGGCTAAGTGTTGTGTTTTTAGTAGGGACGGGGTTTCATTATGTTGCCCAGGCTGGTCTCGAACTCCTGACTTCGGGTGATCCGCCCACCTCGGCCTTCCTAAGTGATGGGATTACAGGCGTGAGCCACCGCGCCCAGCTGTACATCCCTTATTTTGCAGTTTGCTTTCTGATCTGTTGTTCTTCACATCTCTAATTCCTCAAGCAAAGGAATTTCAAAATATTAGTTATTTTATTAAGCACTAAGTATTCGCTAGCAATACACCAACACTAGGATACATTTCATCCTTATAAAACCCCCATGAATCCCTCAGAGAGTGACTTCAGTATCCAAGGAGAGCATTTGCTGTTTTTTTATTTTATTTAATTTATTTATTTTTTTTGAGACTGAGTCTTGCTCTGTTGCCCAGGCTGGAGTGCGTTGGCGCGATCTCAGCTCACTGCAAGCTCCGCCTCCCAGGTTCATGCCGTTCTCCTGCCTCAGCCTCCCGAGTAAATGGGACCACAGGTGCCCGCCACCACGTCTGGCTAATTTTTTTTTTATTTTTTATTTTTTTTTAGTAGAGACGGGGTTTCACCATGTTGGCCAGGATGGTCTTGATCTCCTGACCTCGTGATCCACCTGCCTCGGCCTCTCAAAGTGTTGGGATTACAGGCGTGAGCCACCACGCCCGGCCTCTTTTAAATTTTTTAGAGACCAGGTCTTGCTCTGTCACCCTGGCTGCTGTGCATTTTTTTTTTTTTTTGTAGAAACGGCATCTTGCTGTTCGCCCAGGTTGGTCTTGTGCGCTGGAATTATGACACAATCACTGGCTGCAACCTTGAAATCCTGGCCTCAAGTGATTCTCCCACCTCTGCCTCCCAAAGTGCTGGGATGACAGGCATGAGCCACCATGGCTGGCCTTGACATTATTTCTTTCTAAATATTTAACAAGCAAACTGCAACTTTAGCCACATGAATCATTCTTTAATCCTTTGATCATCATCTGCAAATTTGGATTAAAAATAACCACGGGGCATTGCTCGAGTGATACTGCCTTTATATAAGAGACAACATTGTGGAAACTTTAAAATTATAGAGCAGAAGAATATGCATTAGCCTGGAAATGAAATTAAAATAATGTAAGAATTTTAAAGAAAAGGCTATACAGCTGCAGTAGCTTGATGCTGTCTTTGTAATGATAATTCTGTATTGCTGTGTATGTATTATTTACTAGTGTGTATGCATGCATGCATGCATGCATTGTATATTAAGACTTGGAAGATCAGCTGGGTGCCGTGTCTCATGCCTGTAATCCCAGCACTTTGGGAGGCCAAGGTGAGTGGATTACTTGAGGTCAGGAGTTCGAGACCAGACTGTCAAACATGGTGAAACACCATCTCTATTAAAAAAAAAAAAAATTAGCCGAGTGTGGTGGCGCGTGTGTGTCATTCCAGCTACTCGGGAGGCTGAGGCAGGGGAATCGCTTGAACCTGGGAGGCGGAGGTTGCAGTAAGCCGAGATGGCGCCATTGCACTCCAGCCTGGGTGAAAAGAGTGAAACTCCGTCTCAAAAAAAAAAAAAAGAAAGAAGAAAAACCTTGCAGGATCTGTCCAGGGTCCCTGGGGAGAATCTGTGTGACATACATATCTCTGTGATGTTTCATATCATCTGAGGGCATGGTTGTATGTCACTCTGAAACCTCTATCCTCTGTCTCATCAGAACACATGGACTCGATTCCAAATTCACGGCCAGTAACCTGGGCGACCAGTCGGTACCAGAAGAAAAACTAGGAGGTTGATTGGTTTGTTTTTGAGATGGGGTCTCGCCCTGTCACCCAGGCTGGAGTGCAGTGGTACAATCACAGCTCACAGCAGCCTCGACCTGCTGGACTGAAACGATCACCCCACCTCCACCTCCCGAGTAGCTGGGACTACACGAATGCACCAGCATGCCTGGCTAATTTTTTAAAATTTTTTGGTAGAGCCGAGGTCTTGCTATGTTGTCCAGCCGGGTCTCCAGTTCCTAGCCCCAAGCGATCCTCCTGCTGTGGCCTCCCAAAGTGTTGGGATTATGATTTGTGCATTTATAAAGATGAGAGGTTTGATTTGTCCTGTATACAAATGCATCAGGCCATTCTTCATGCTGAGACATGCAGATGGTCTCAGCCTCCGTAGGAGAGTAGCTTAGTATTTCAGAGGGCATGTGTGCTCTTCAGACCTCTAGGAAGCTCCTCGCAGCTTCATCAGTGAAACTCAGTACCCCCTACAATGTATACCCCTCCTAGGGAGCAAATGAACGTGGCTATTACCTCTCTTCCCACCCCAGTTGTCTCAAGATCAATGGGTGTTACAAAAAAGAGCTATCGGCTGGGAGTGGTGGCTCATGCCTGTAATCCCAACACTTTGGGAGGCTGAGGGGGAGGATCATGTGAGGTTAGGAGTTCAAGACCAGCCTAACCAACATGGAGAAACCCAGTCTCTACTAAAAATACAGAAATTAGCCAGGCGTGGTGGCAGTCACCTGTAATCCCAGCTACTCAGGAGGCTGAGGCAGGAGAATCGCTTGAACCCGGGGGCGGAAATTGTGGTGAGCCCAGATCATGCCACTGCACTCCAGCCTGGACGACAAGAGCGAAACTCCATCTCAAAAAAAAAAAAAAATAGAAAGCTATTGTAAATGCTGAGTGTATCAGCTCCACCATTCAGGGCTCATGTCCAGCAAGTCCTGACCACTTTGAAATCATGTGATCAGGCCTGCCATCAAAATGAACAAATTTGCAGTGTAGACTGCGCCCACTTCACCATGAAGTAGACCACTCGTATCATTGCTTGTCTTAAGCATGTATTTGTATCCGCCATGCAGTCTAATGAAAGTCTGTCTTAGGGTTGATTGGAACTTGGATTGATGTGCCGAGAGGGTGACAGGTTAATTAATCAAATCAAGGATGCAGGTACTGGGAATTTTTTTATTTTTATTTTTTTTAAGATGGAACCTCTCTCTGTTGCCCAGGCTGGAGTGCAGTGGTGCGATCTCGGCTCACTGCAACCTCCGCCTCCTGGGTTCAAGCAATTCGGCCTCATCCTCCTGGGTAGCTGGGACCTCAGCTACCTCCCAGCACGCCTGGCTAATTTTTACATTTTCAGTAGAGACGGGGTTTCGATATGTTACTCAGGCTGATCTCGAACTCACAGTCTCGAGTGAGCCGCCTGCCTCGGCCTGCCGAAGTGCTGGGATTACAGGCATGAGACACCCTACCCAGCCCCCCCATTTCTTTTTTTTTTTTTATTAATAAACAAATCTAACCACCCTCTCTGGACCTTCTATTTCCCCTGGGGACTGTCCCTGACTACAGTCTCCGCTGCAGCAAATCCCCATACAGGAATTGCTCATACAATTCACTTCCAGTCCCCCATGCTCCACTGAAAATGCTCCAGGTGGCCGGGCGCAGTGGCTCACACCTGTCATCCCAGCACTTTGGGAGGCTGAGGCGGGTGGATCACATGAGGCCAGGAGTTCGAGACCAGCCTGGCCAACGTGGTGAAACCCCGTCTCTACTAAAAATACAGAAATTAGCCAGGCATGGTGGCGGACGCCTGTAATCCCAGCTACTCGGGAGGCTGAGGCAGGAGAATCGCTTGAACCCGGGAGCAGGAGGTTGCAGTGAGCCGAGATCGCGCCACTGCACTCCAGCCTGGGTGACAAGAGTGAAACTCCATCTCAAAAAAAGAAAAAATAAGAAGAAATTGCTCCAGGTAGAGCCACCAGGGACTTCACCCTTTCCCTGCAATGTGCAGGCCTCAGCCCTGGCTGTTTCCTCCTCCACGCACGCCCTTCCCCCAGGTATCCAATCCCTCTCCTTCCCTTCATTCAGGCCTGCGCCAAAACCTCCGAAGACAGGGCTTCTCCTGGGCGCTTGCTTTCCCCTCACAAAGCTTTGTTTGTCTTTATGGGTCATCTCACCAATTGGCTTATGTATTTATCGATTCACTTATTTATTATAAATTTAAGGAGTACAGGTGCGGATTTATTTATTTTATTTATTTATTTTTTTTCTTTGAGACGGAGTCTCACCCTGTCACCCAGGCTGGAGTACAATGGCGCGATCTCAGCTCACTGCAACCCCTGCGTCCCAGGTTCAAGCGATTCTCCTGCCTCAGCCTCCCGAGTAGCTGGGATTATAGGCATGTCCCACCACACCCAGCTAATTTTTATATTTTTAATAGAGATGGGGTTTCACCATGTTGGCCGGGATGGTCTTGATCTCTTGACCTCGTGATCCGCCCGCCTCGGTCTCCCAAAGTGCTGGGATGACAGGTGTGAGCCACCGCACCCGTCCTGGCTTATGTATTTATTGATTTGCTTATTTATTATAAATTTAAAGAGTACAGGTGCGGATTTCTTTTTTTGTTCCCTTTTTTTTTTTTTTTTCCCCTGAGATGCTCTGTTGCCCAGGCTGGAGTGTAGTGGCATGATTTTGGCTCACTGCAACACCTGCCTCCCGGGTTCAAGCCATTCTCCTGCCTCAGCCTCCCGAGTAGCTGGGATTATAGGCATGTCTCACCACACCCAGCTAATTTTTATATTTTTAATAGAGGTGGGGTTTCACCATGTTGGCCGGGATGGTCTTGATCTCTTGACCTTGTGATCCGCCGGCCTCGGCCTCCCAGAGTGCTGGGATGACAGGTGTGAGCCACCGTACCCAGCCCGGCTTATGTATTTATTGATTCACTTATTTATTATAAATTTAAGGAGTACAGGTGCGGATTTCTTGCATGGAGACATTGCACAGCGGTGAAGTCCCGGCTTCTAGTGAACCCCTCACCCCAGCTGTGAATACTATACCTGTAGGTGATTTTTTTCATCCTCCACCTCCTGCCAACCTCCCACCTTTCAGGGTCCTCATCGTCAATCCACCCTCTGTGTCTGTGTAGACCCACTGGTGAACTCCCACTTGCAAGTGAGAACATGGCAGGATCAGTGTTTGACTTTCAGTATCTGAGTTGTTTGTTAGGAGAACGGCCTGCTTTTCAAACTGAAGCTCTGTTTCCATTAAAATACAACTTCCAATTTCCCTGCTGTTCCTAGCTCCTAGCAACACCATTCTGCCTTCTGTCTTGATGAATCTGATGACTCTAGGGACCTTAGAAAGTGGAAACAGGCTGGGCATGGTGGATCATGCCTGTAATCCCAGCACTTTGGGAGGCTGAGGCGGGTGGATCACCTGAGGTCATGAGTTCAAGACCAGCCTGACCAATATGGTGAAACCCCGTCTCTACTAAAAATACAAAAATTAGCTCAGCATGGTGGCACACGCCTGTAGTCCCAGCTACTCGGGAAGCTGAGGCAGGAGAATCGCTTGAACATGGGAGGTAGAGACTGCAGTAAGCCGGGATCGTGCCACTGCACTCCAGCCTGGGCAACAGAGTGAGACTCCGTCTCAAAAAATAAAAAGTAAAATAATAAAATAAAAAGTGGAAACGTGCAGTGTTTGTCCATGTCACTGCAAAAGACATGATTTCATTCTTTGATATGACTGCATAATATTCCATGGTGTGTATATACTATACTGTACTTTCTTTATATTAGCCAGTCCTCTGCTGACAGACACTTAGGTTGATTGCATATCTTTGCTGTTCTGAATACTACTGCAAAAAACCTAAAACAGCTGTGTGCGTGGATCAGGGCTCTGTGCCTGGAAGGCAGGGAAGGAGGTACTGAATGTGTGTGTGTGGGTCTAGCTGTGTGCATGGATCTGGGCTGTGTGCATGGATCAGGGCTGTGTGCATGGATGAAGGCAGGGAGGGAAATATTGAATGCATGTGCATGGATCAGGGCTGTGTGCATGGGTGAAGGCAGGGAGGGAGATATTGAATGCACATGCATGGAGCCAGCTGTGTGCGTGGATCAGGGCTGTGTGCATGGATGCAGGCAGGGAGGCAGCTGCAGAATGCATGTGTATGGAGCCAGCTGTGTGCATGGATCAGGGCTGTGTGCATGGGTGAAGGCAGGGAGGGAGATATTGAATGCATGTGCATGGATCCAGCTGTGTGCATGGATCAGGGCTCATGATAGCAAAGCAGAGAAAGAAGGGAGATGACGAGGGAGGGGTCCCTGGAAGAATCAGGCAGTGGCTATTTCCTGCAACAGCTCCCTTCTCCTCTCCTTCCCTGCTATGCCTCTCATTTTTCTAATTTGTTAATTCTGGATAATAATATCACATAAGAGTGTTGTGAACATTGCCGACAGAATATATGGGAAACCATTTTCTCCACTGTAAAGCTCTGTGTAATTATGTAATTATGAGCCATTCATTCCTCTCTCTGACTATATTGCTTGTGGCTCTATTTAGTACACTTGAAACTCTATCTTCTATTTTGTGTGTGTTTCATCTTTTTTTTTTCCTGCACTTGTGCCTCACCATCCACCCACTGCCCATGTCTATTGGAAGCTCCTGGGCAGCAGGGGTTATTTCTGAAATTCTCTTCCTTTGCCCCAAGAGCTGGCAAAATACGGGTGAGCATTTAATAAACATTCATTGGACTGAATGAAGTTGAAATGGTTTCTGTAGCTTGCAGCTCCAACACTCTCCAGGACTCAAGAGTGGCTTGATGCAGATTTTACCATAAATGGTGCTGCACCGTCTCCCCAGCGCCCCCCAGCCGGGCGTCTGGAACTTCAAAGATGCTCTTGTGTCTGTTAAAAGGGAACACACTGCGTTCTTGGATTTGGGTTCACATTTATACATCTTCTGTCCTCTTGCCAGTCTCTAAAGATTGTCATTTAAAAAAAAAAAAAAGCTGTAGATAAAACAGGATGTGTTATTTAAGCCACAGGGAGCATGATTTACAGGACCGTCTTGTGTATTCAGAAGACAACTTTCATTTCCCTGCACAAGGCGTCACCAAGCAAGCCCACTTCATCATTCCGAGAATGTGTGGAAGACAGCGTCTGTCAGCCACAGCTGCACAGCGGCAGATAATGAAATTCTGCCGCGAAGCCACAGTTCCTTGCTCTACACAGGAGGTCGGCCAGATAGGAAGTGTCTTAGTCTTCGTGGGCCACCTCTAGTCTCTTTGGCATATTTCTTTCTTTCTTTCTTTCTTTCTTTTTCTTAACAACACTTTAAGAGTATAAAACCATTCTTAGCTAGTAGCCTGTACAGAAACAGGTACAGGCTGAATTTTGCCCATGGTGTATAGTTTGCAGAGCTGCATAAGAAGCTAGAATGAGTGAGGTTCCCAGCGTGGTCTCTGAGACCAGCAGCCTCTGGGAGCTCGTTAGAAATGCAGATTCTTGGGTCGGGCACGATGGCTCATGCCTGTAATCTCAGCACTTTTGGAGGCTGACATGGGCGAATCATGAGGTCAGGAGTTCGAGACCAGCCTGGCCAACATGGTGAAATCCTGTCTCTACTAAAAATACAAAAAATTAGCTGGATGTAGTGGCAGGCACCTGTAATCCCAGCTACTCGGGAGGCTGAGGCAGGAGAATTGCTTGAACTTGGGAGGCGGAGGTTGCAGTGAGCCAAGATCATGCCACTGCACTCCAGCCCTGGCATCTCAAATAAATAAATAAATAATAAAAAATAAAAAAAAATGCTGATTCTTGGGCCTCCTAAGATCCACTGAGTTAGAAATACCAGGGGTGCAGTTGTTTTTACAAGCTCTCTGGCCCATTCTCTTGAGTGCTAAGCGTGAGGACCCCAGACCCCAGGACTGCAGGGGATTGAGCCCCAGCTTTGGGGCTGTGGACAAAAGAAGATAGTTCTCGGTAATTCCATATGAATGCTCTATATGAATCCTAAAGGAAGTTCTGTTGCTTTAGTTGTTGTTGTTTTCAAAACAAGTGGATACAAGTTCATTCAGGAATCCCCCAGCCTCACACAAGTGAACAAGAGTGATTTCGATTCAGAGGAAGACTTTTAGAAACAGAAGGGTGTAGTGTGAAGGTTGTCTAGTTTTTTTTTAGGAAAAGCTGGATTATACTGTAAATTGATAATAGAGGGGGCAGAGAGAGAGGAGGAGAAAGAGGAAGGGGAAGAGGAGGAAGGGAAGGGAGAGAGAGAAAAAGGAAGATGAGGAAAAGGAGAAAAAATAAAAGGAGGAAGACAGAGGGATAGAAAGAGAAAAAGGAGGAGAAGGAAGAAGGAGGAGAAGATGAAGGAGGAGGAAAAAGGGAGGAATAGAGAAAAGGAAAGAAGGGCAGAAAGAAAAGAGAAGGAGGAGAGAAGAGGAAGAGAAAGATAGAGGAAAAGAAGAAGATAAGAGAAAGAGGAGGAGGAGGAAGAAGTTGGAGAAGATGGAGGAGGAAGAAGAGGGAGAAAATGAGAAAGAGGAGAAAGAAAGGAAGAGGAAGGGAGAGAGAGGGATAGAGAGAAAAACAGGAGGAGGATAAGGCAGAAAGGAGGAAGAGGACGAGGTGGAGGAGGAAGAAGAGAAGATGGAGGAGAAAAAAAGAGGAATAGAGAGTGAAAAGGCAAGAAGAGAAAAGAGGAGAAAGAAAAAAAGAAGAAAAGGCAGAGAGAGAAGAGAAAGGGAGAAAGAGATGGGAAAGGAGAATAAGGGAAAAAAGAAAAAGGAGGATACGATGGAGGAGGAAGAAGAGAGAAAAAGGAAGAGGAAGGGATAGAAGAATAGGAGGAGGATAAGGGGGAAAGAGAAGGAGAAGGAAGAAATGAAAGAGGAGGAGGATAAGATGGGGGAGGAAGAGAAAGAGGAATAGAGAGAGAAAAAGAGAAAAAGGAAGAGGAAGCAAAGGAGGAAGGAGAAGGGTGTGAGAGAGAGGGAGGGAAAGAGGGAGGTTCTCTCAGGCTCAGAGGTGATGCCACCCAGATCAGTTTGAGGTACACATTGGAAATGCCACAGAAGTTACAGAACTGGGAAGGGCCGTTTTGTCCAAGGAGATGCCATCTCTCCTTTCCACAGGGTATGTCTGTGATGGACTCTCTGGTGGCTCTAACAGACTCCCCAGGAACAAAGACATCATAGGCTCTGAGGCTGCCACCCTAAAAAGAAGTGTCCTCTTTGGATGGGAAACTTCTTCCCTTGAGTGGATAAATGCCCTCCTTTGGTTTAGCCTTAAAAGCCAGCCAGCAGTCTCTGTGCTTTTGATTGAAGGTCTCTGTGCGAGACCTTCCAGTGACTCAAGCTAAGAGATGAGCCAAGATCATTCCTGGAGCCCGGCATTTCTTCCTGGTTTCAGAATGCCCAGACTCTCTGCCATTGAGACCGTTCAATTTTGTATTAGTCGCAGTTCTCAAGAAAAACAGGACCAATAGGATCTATGCATAGAGAAAGATTTAGTTTAATTGACTCTTGGGATTGTAGGGGCGGGCAAGTCCAAAATTGGTAGGCTGGCTGGCAGGCTGGAGACCTGGCCAAGATTTGACATTGCAGCCTTGAGCCTAAAATCTGCAGGGCAGGCTGGACACTCAGGCAGGATTGCCCTGTCACAGTCTGGAGTGGAATTCCTTTTCTAGTAAGTGTCAGTGTTTGCTGTGAAGGCCTTCTCCTGATGAGGTGAGGCCCACCCACATTGTGAAGCGTCCTCTCCTTCGCTTAAATGCAACTGATTTGTAAATGTTAATGATATCCACAAACTACCCAGTCTGGTGCTTGACCAAATGTCTGGGCACCATAGCCCAGCCAATTGATACGTGAACTCAATCATCACAGAGCCCACTTAAGACCTGTGTTACCTGACATTAAACAGCACAAGCCATCTCCTCTCTGTTGTCTGTCAGGTGAGTGTTTATTCCTGGTAAGAGCAGGTTTGTGTGTGTGTCTTACGAGATTGTAGTTAAAGGAAGGTTTTCTTAATCCTCTCTGCTTCAGGTGGTCACTGAGGCCATGAAACATCCCTAGAAGTTTAGCACAACCCACAGCTCTCATTGGGGAGTTGAGAGCACGTGTGTGCACGTACACATGTGCACACTCATGCACACATACATGCACACATGTACAAATACACACATATAGATGCAAACACATGCGCGCACCTGCACCCCTCCCACACATGCATAGTATGTGCACACATGCTCACGTGCATAAATGCACACACACCTTCACATGCATAGACACACATGCACATATACACGTGCAAACCCATGCACACAGACATGCGTATATCCACACATCTGTGCCCACATGCATGTGTGCACATATGCATGAGCAAACACACATGCACACATTTATGCAAATGTATATTCCTATCGACACATGCACATATTCACATGTGCATTCATGCACATGCATGTACGTACATGTACTCACACATATCCATATACATACAGACATGCACATACACTCATACAATACACATCCCTCAAGTACACATTCACATGCATGCATACATATACACATGTGCAAACACACGCAGGCCCATACCCGCACATCTGCGCCCCCACACACATGCATGCACATATATTTATCCAAACACATGCATGAATACACACACGTACCCATTAACGTGTGCATTCATGCACGTGCACATACATATACATATACATACAGACATGCACATACAATCATACAATACACATCTACCCACAAGTACACACACATCCACATAAATGCGTACCTATGCATATCTGTGCACACACACACATGCACACATTATGTCACCCTATGATTTGCGTGTGAGTCAGCATCCCAGAAAACATCCAGCCCCGAAACCTATTTTCCAGAACATTCCAGAAGGAGCAAGCAGCAGGTACAGAGAGGCAAGAGGCAGGGGACATCGTGGCAGAAGCAGCAGGATCCCTGGGTGGCTGGAGCAGAGGTATGGAGAGGAAGTGTTGCCTTTGTAGAATGTTCAGAACATTCTTCCAGGAAGGCAGCTGAGCCTGGGCAGAAGTCTCTGAATTTCTCTTTGACCACAGCATTACTCCGTCCCCTCTTCCACAACTTTGGGGCGTGGAAACTCTCCTTGGGAAGCTCAGCTAGGAGTCTCTTTACTTGCCAGCCACTTCCCTGAGTGTGAGTTTCTGCCCTAAGATGTGGACGGTGCTAAAATAAATACATGTGCCCTCAGATCTCTCTCAGCACAACTCAAGGATCTACTAACAGCGTCTGCATTCAAATAGCAACATTTCCAGAAGGCGAACGAGCCTCTGCGTGCCTTGCAGAGAGCTGAGCGTTTGCCGCCCAAGCCCTGCTAGCCTCCTCCCTAGGAGACATCCCGGGTGATGCCATTCCTGCTGCCCTCTGCTCCTGGCAGTGGAGCGTTAGGTAGTTTCCTTGCAGACAGCACAGGGGATCCGTCCCAAGGACAAAGGGAAGCCCTGTGTGTGTCTCTTCTGCAAAGCCCAGCATGTCTAATACAAGTTAAGTGTGGAGTTCAGAGGGAACAGCTTTCTGAAGCTCTTTGAAGAGTCACAGGCAAATATCTCTGTGTGCCCTGGGTGCTATCTGGAGAACAGGAGCTCTAACAAAAAGGAAATCGTGGTTTGAATGACACAAAAGGGATTTGCTATTTCAAATTCACAATATCTGCCTTATCTTAGAAATCAGAATTCTCAGAGTCACCACAGATATTTGGTCAAATAGGGGCAGAACCAGAATTGGTAAATGCAGCAAAGGCTCTGAGGAATAAATTCCTCCCTCCCTTCCTTCCTCTTATCTTCTCTTTTTTCCTC
The DNA here is from genome assembly GCF_000001405.40 of Homo sapiens. NCBI lineage: Eukaryota > Metazoa > Chordata > Mammalia > Primates > Hominidae > Homo > Homo sapiens. The sequence goes on along the minus strand of NC_000023.11, from coordinate 2,228,532 downwards.
CAGTCCTTCCTTTTGCCTCCCTTTTTTCCTTCCTTCCTCCCTTCCTTCCTTCCTTCCTCCCTCCCTCCCTCCCTCCCTCCCTTCCCTCCCTCCCTCCCTCCCTTCCTTCCTCCCTCCCTCCCTCCCTCCCTTCCTCCCTCCCTCCCTTCATTCCTCCCTCCCTCCCTCCCTTCCTTCCTCCCTCCCTCCCTCCCTTCCTCCCTCCCTCCCTCCCTCCCTTCCTCCCTCCCTCCCTTCCTCCCTCCCTCCCTCCCTTCCCTCCCTCCCTCCCTCCCTTCCTCCCTCCCTCTCTCCCTCCCTCTCTCCCTCCCTCTCTCCCTCCCTCCCTCCCTCCCTTCCCCCCTTCCCCCCTCCCTCCCTCCCTTCCCCCCTCCCTCCCTCCCTCCCTCCCTTCCCTCCCTCCCTCCCTCCCTTCCCTCCCTCCCTCCCTTCCTCCCTCCTTCCCTCCCTCCCTTCCCCTCTCCCTTCCTCCCTCCCTCCCTCCCTCCCTTCCCCCCTTCCTCCCTCCCTCCCTCCCTCCCTCCCTCCCTTCCCTCCCTCCCTCCCTCCCTTCCCTCCCTCCCTCCCTCCCTTCCCTCCCTCCCTCCCTTCCTCCCTCCCTCCCTTCCTCCCTCCCTCCCTTCCCTCCCTCCCTCCCTCCCTCCCTCCCTCCCTCTCTCCCTCCCTCCCTCCCTCCCTCTCTCCCTCCCTCTCTCCCTCCCTCTCTCCCTCCCTCCCTCCCTCCCTTCCCTCCCTCCCTTCCCCCCTCCCTTCCCCCCTCCCTCCCTCCCTTCCTTCCTCCTTCCCATCCTTCCCTCCCTCCCTCCCTCCCATCCTTCCTTCTCTTTGGTTCTTTGTTTCTCTTCTTTTTTTTTCTTTCTGTCTCTTTTCCTTCCTTCCTCCTTTCCTTCTTTGCTTCCTGCCTCCCTTCCTTCTTTGCTTCCTTCCTGTTTTTTTTTCTTTTTTCATCCTTCCCTTCCTCCCTTCTTCCCTCCTTTCTCCCTTTTTTCTTCCTCCCTCCTTTCTTCTCTGCTTCCTTTCTCTCTCCTTCCTTCCCTCTTTTCTGTCTTGTTCTCTGCTTCCTTCCTTTCTTACTGCCTCCCTCCCTCTCTCTCTGTGTCACTCCTTCCTTCCCTCCCATTATGCTTCCTTCTTTCCTTCCTTAATTCCTTTCTCTATTTCCTCCTTTCTTCTTCCTCTTTTTCTTTCTCCTTCTCTTTCTTCCTTCCATTGATTTTTTTTGTTTCTCTGTCTTTCTCCTTCCCTTTCACTCAACCCTTCACTGACCTTTGAATACCCAAAACAAAGGTGCTTTGACCCAGGCCATAGCTGATGACACTGAGTTGTTCCCAGCAGGTGCAGGATTCTGTGCAGACACGTCTGTCCCCTCCCTTCCTGCCCGGTTCTCAGCACTGCCTGGCATGTACAGATGTGGGTGCAGGGCTGGCTGGGGTGCAGGTGCAGGGTGCTCCAGCTGCACCTTCCGGAAAGACATTTCATGGAGTTAGGAGGAAAAGGGGCTGCCTCCGGAGGGAAAACTGAGGTATTCATTGTCAGCAGGAGGAAGGCTGACTCGAACCCTTCTTATTCTGCAGCAGCTCTGAGACAGGTCCCAGAGCTTCCCCTCTAACAAAAGCGACTCTGAGAACGATGAGTTGCTTTGCTGTTTTCCCTACCTGTCACATTCTCTGTGCTGCCCTAACACGAGAAACCGTGCCCATGGTCTGGGTGTTTTCTTTTTTTTCTTTCTTTTTTTTTTGAGATGGCATCTCGCTCTGTCGCCCAGGCTGGAGTGCAGTGGCGCCATCTCGGCTCACTGCAAGCCCCGCCTCCCGGGTTCACGCCATTCTCCTGCCTCCCGAGTAGCTGGGACTACAGGCGCTCGCCACCATGCCCGGCTAATTTTTTGTGTTTTTTAGTAGAGACGGGGTTTCACTGTGTTAGCCAGGATGGTCTTGATCTCCTGACCTCGCGATCCGCCTGCCTCGGCCTCCCAAAGTGCTGGGGTGACAGGCGTGAGCTACCGCGCCTGTGTTTTCTTTGGGGAAAAAGATCACAAAGGGCTGGGCCAGTCCAAGGTCTGCTTTGCAGAACGTGGCATTAGAGAGACAAATGCTGGCAGGAACCCTTGGTGTTCTTGAACAGTCCCATGAACACAGAGGGCTCTGTTTGCAATAGAGCTGTGGGGCAGACTGAATGAGCCAGGTAACCAACAGGAGATTGAAATGACTTGGGAGGGGAACTCGAGTAATTGCTCATGCTCCTGAAGTCTCTCCCCTCCCTGACTCTTGAGGTAGCAGGTAAGTGTGGGTATAATTGCCTGTTTCCTGGAAAAGAGGCTTTCTTGACATATGCACACAGCAGCCTGCGCCAATCCCAGTCAGGAGAGAAGTCACCTGGGCTTGGTCTCCATCTGCCGGGGTTGCCAGCCTGACGTCCCATAGACTGGGCAGCTTAGACAACAGACACTGATTTTCCCACCGTCCTGGAGGCTGGAAGTCCAAGATGAAGGTGTGGGCTGGGCGGGCTCCTCCCGAGGCCTCTCTCCTTGGGTTGTAGATGCTGTCTTCTCACTGTGTCCTCACAGGGTCGTCCCTCTGTGCATGTCTGTTTTCTCCTCATCTCCTCTTCTTATGAGCTGTCTCAGTCCATTTCAGGCTGCTATCACAGAATACCATAGACTGGGTGGCTTATAAACAACAGACGTTGACTCTCCCACAGTCCTGGAGGCTGGAAGTCTGACATCAAGGTGTGGGCAGGGCTGGTTCCTCCTGAGGTCTCTCTCCTGGGCTTGGAGACGCCGTCTTTTCCCTGTGTCCTCACAGGGTTGTCCCTCTGTGTGTGTCTGTGTCCTCATCTCCTTTTCTTATGACATGTCTTAGTCCAGTTCTGGCTGCTGTCACAGAATACCATAGACTGGGTGGCTTAGAAACGACATACATTGATTCTCCCACAGTCCTGGAGGCTGGAGGTCTAAGATCAAGGTGTGGGCAGGGCTGGTTCCTCCTGAGGCCTCTCTCCTTGGTTTCATATTTTGCAATATTAGGATAAATAATCTGTGCATGTGTATGAGTGTGTGCATGCAAATGAATATATAAGCATGTTTGCATGTGTATAAGTATGCATGTGAATGAGTATGTGAATGTACACGTGGATGAGCATGTGTGCATGTGAATGAGTGTGAGCATGTGTGCATGTGTATGTGCGTACTTGTGAATGAGGGTGCGTGCATGTGTATGTGTGCATGTGAATGTGTGTACATGTGAAAGTGCATGTGTGTGAGCTGTGTGCATGTGAATGAGTGTGAGCATGTGTGACTGCATGTGAATGTGTGTACATGTGAATGTGCATGCAAATGTGTGCATGTGTGAGCTGTGTGCGTGTGTGAGTGCATGTGAATGTGTGTACATGTGAATGAGTGCATGTGAATGAGTGTGTGCATGTGTGTGAGCTGTGTGCATGTGAATGAGTGAGCATGTGAGTGCATGTGAATATGTAAATGTGAATGCATGTGTGAATGTGAGCTGTGTGCATGTGAATGAGTGTGAGCATGTGTGTGTGCATGTGAATTAGTGTGCATGTGAATGTGAGCATGTGTGTGAGCTGTGTACATGTGAATGAGTGCATGTGAATGTGTGTGTACGTGTGTGTGTGCGAGTGTGAGCATGTGTGCGTGTGAGCTGTGTGCATGCGAATTTGTGTGCATGTGAATGAGTATATGTGAGCATGTGTTCATGTGAGTTTGTGTACATGTAAATGAGCATGTGTGCATGTGAATGAGTGTGAGTATGCATGTGCAAGTAAGTGTGCATGTGTGTGTGCGTATGCATGAGTATGTGTGTGTCCATATGTGTATATATATTTGTGTGCATGTGAGTACATACGAATGTATGTGTGCATGTCAGCATGTAAGTGACCATGCGCACATGAATATGTGTGTGCGTGTGTTTTTCTTACAGAAAAAAAATCATCCAATAGAACTTCATCACGTCGTCATCTCTGTGTCCCCAGAAATACCTACATTTTCAGCACAATGCGCTTGCTGTCTTCTAGAAATCACAAGCTCATTTTCAACATAGCACAGGTGGTATCTTGCCCCCTAAAACGGTAGTACTTGTGTCGCAATTGAATATGCATAGCCCAAGAACTCTTACTCAGATAAGAGGATTTTTCAAAATATGGTAGAAACAGAAGCCCCCAGACACTGCCCACAGGGGAACCACAAAGAGGAAGCCTCCTTCCAGAGAGTGCTGAGTTTGTTCAACAATAGGGACGATGCAGGAGAACCCAGGAGCGGCCTAAGCTGCAGCTGCAGAACACAGGGGCCTCTCCGGGTGGAGGCATCATACTACATGGTCAAGACACAGGTCGGGTATTTGGGGCATGAGCCCCTGAATCCTCAGTGTCAATGATGGCAGACAACAACACAAAACTTGTTCCAGGAGCTGATTTAAGGATTTGTTTGCAAAGAAGGCACAGCACTAAATATAACACAGTGTGGGTGAACATCTCAGGCACCAGCGTGAGGTGTAAATGCTCATTTCTGCGCAGCAGGAACCATGGTCTCTCCTGGGGACCCAGGGTGGCCCCCATCTGGCCTCTCTGATCACTTTGTCCAGAGCAGCAGTGTGGGAAGGGGCACCATGTTGGATTCACAGCTGCAGTGCTTGGTGTCCCTGCCTTTTATATGGAAGTGGGCTGGGCCCCAGAAAGACTCCGTATTTTCCAGCTACAAGATGATGGAGAAGGAAGAAGAATGCCGGCTTTGGGAGCAGATCCTGCCTGGAAATTGGGCAGAACACAGCCGCAAAAGAGAGAAGCATGAAACAGATCAATAAAACCTCTTTCTGCGTTGAAGGCTGCCCCAGAGAAAGACCCTCAAACACCATGGGTGCCTTCACTTGGCCCCTGCCTTCCCTCTCCCTTTCCTCCTGCTCTGTTCTGTCCTTCCTCCCTTCCTCTTTCCATCCCTTTCGCCTTTACTTTTGGTCTTTAGATGCCCAGGGCAAGACACGGGACACAGGGCTCCCCTGCAAGAGCCAAGCCATGGCGCCTGCATCCGCCCCCGAGATGTTTTCAGATACAGTCTCTCTATTAGTCTGTTCTCATGCTGCTAATAAAGACATGCCCAAGACTGGGTGATTTATAGAGGAAAGAGGCTTAATGGACTCAGTTCCATGTGGCTGGGGAGGCCTGACAATCATGGCGGAAGGTGAAGGAGGAGCAAAGGCATGTCTTACATGGCAGCAGGCAAGAGAGTGTGTGCAGGGGAGCGGCCTTTTATAAAACCATCAGATGTCATGGGACTTATTCATTATCATGAGAACAGCACGAGAAAGATCTCCCATGATTCAATTACCTCCCACTGGCTCCCTCCCTTGACACATGGGAATTATGGGAGCTACAGTTCAAGATGAAATTTGGGTGGGGACACAGCCAAACCGTATCAGCCTCCAAATCTCCCAGGACACTTTGGGTTTGCAAGATCTCTGGGCACCCCTAGGTGATTTCCAGACTTGGGAAGTTCTCTAGCTCCATCCATTTCTTTTTAGGCAGCAGAAGAGCAGAGGCAAGTCAGTGGGAAACAATCTCAGGAGTCTGGCAGCTCTGTTCCTCTACTGGGGTCCAGCCTTCCTGTTCCCCTTGCTCGGCACCCAGAGGATGGGCTGGTGGGCACACTGGATTGTCTACCATGCCTTTCCACGTCACACTGGCTGCTGAAGTCAAGACCAGGAGGCAGTGAACTGACAGCAGCAGAATTTCTGAAGTGACTGGGTGTCACAGGCCACCCCACAGAGTCCACCCTTTTCCTTTTTGGAGGGTGTGTGCCTGAACTCTCACCAGTGCTAGGTTTTGCCATGTGGCCCACACTCATCTTGAACTCCTGGACTCAAGCAGTCCTCCTGCCTTGTTCTCCCAAAGCACTGGGATTACAGGCCTGAGCCACTGCAGTGCTAGGGGCACTGGTGAGAGGTGAAATCAGTTCGGGCAAATGGATCATCACTCCCAGAAGACTAGAGGGGACATAACAAAGGCAATATCTGGTCTTTATTCCTGGTTCTGTAACAAGGAGGAGCTTCTAAAACTCTCGCAATTTCACAAATGCTAGCAATTCCCTGGTTGTATAATGAGGTGATATTTGCTGTTTCCTAAATGGCTTCAAGATGGGGCTGGCCACCAGAAACACCAACCATGTCATTAGGAGGTTGGAATTTCAGGCCAGCCTGACCTCTGGGGAGGAAAGAGGAACTGGAGGTTGAATCTGATTATGTGGCCAATGACTTAATCATACCTATGCAATGAGACCCCAGTAAAAACTCTGGACATCAAATGTCTTAGTCTGTTTGTGTTGCTATCACAAAACAACATAGGCTGGGCAACCGGTAAACATTTGTTGCTCACAGTTCTGGAGGCTGGAAGTTCAAGATCAATGCATGGCAGATTCTGTGTCTGGAAGGGACCTGCTTTCTGGTTCACAGACGGTGCCTCATTACTGTGTCCCCACATGGTGGATACGTTCACCAGATTCCCAGAAGCTTATTACAAGAGACAACTTCTGAAACATCTTCATTGTGACAGAAGTTAAGATGCACTGTGTTGGTTCCTGGATTATTGCATCCTAGCTCTGAAGGTTCTCAGGTCCCACAACTTCTAATTCCTCTGAGAATCCTACATTTCTTCCATCCCACTGACCATGACCAAGGGCCAACTCCCACTGCAGAAAACCAGGGTGTGCTGTGTTTCAAGATTATCGCCTTCCACTAGGGTAAAATCCCCAGTCTTTGAAAAACCTTTTTCTGCATCTCAAGTTCCTTTTTGAAACGTCTGTTTCCATGAAACATACGATCACAGCTCATAAATGCCTCAATTCTCCGATGTAGCATGCCTTGCTGAATTGAAAACAAGAATCTTTTTGATGTCCTGATGTTTCATCTAATTGCTAAATATTGTTTATTAAATACAGAAGCCAAGCACTCACTCATCTGCTTCTAGTCAATTAATAAGCATTTCGGTCCCATAAAGAGTGCGTGATTAAATACGTACATCAGGGATTTTAATATGCATCTGCCTAGTGAGATGGATTAACCCACCACTGAAATGCAACCCACTTGGGTACGTTATTGTCAGTGCCTGTTGTAAAGAAACCCAACAGCAGAAAAGCTGTGGTTCAGATTGATCACCCAACCTCGCTTTTTGCATACATTTCTCAGTGCAGCTGATGAGTATATTCCACCTGTCCCTGCAGCATCCATGTGAGTCCTGAGACTCCTGTTTCCTGCTCAGAAATTTGACTCATCGTAGCCTTCTTTTCTTCTTCCACCAGACCCCCGATGAAGGAGCGTGGACTTCCATCTACGCAGCAGTCACCCCAGAGCTGGAAGGAGTTGGTGGCCATTACCTATACAACGAGAAAGAGACCAAGTCCCTCCACGTCACCTACAACCAGAAACTGCAGCAGCAGCTGTGGTCTAAGAGTTGTGAGATGACTGGGGTCCTTGATGTGACCCTGTGATATCCTGTCTCAGGATAGCTGCTGCCCCAAGAAACACATTGCACCTGCCAATAGCTTGTGGGTCTGTGAAGACTGCGGTGTTTGAGTTTCTCACACCCACCTGCCCACAGGGCTCTGTCCTCTAGTTTTGAGACAGCTGCCTCAACCTCTGCAGAACTTCAAGAAGCCAAATAAACATTTTGGAGGATAATCACCCCAAGTGGTCTTCAACCATAAACTTTGTGATTCCAAAGTGCCCAGTTGTCACAGGTGCCATAAATAATTACATTTTCCAACATAAATGTGCCATTTTCCTTGCCGCGTTAATACAACTGAGTACAAAAGTTCCAAGAGAGATGCTCTCTTTTCAGGGGCTGCAATGTCCTCTCTGAGACCTAGTGGTGGATGAGGTCTCCTGTTTGATTTTGTTCCTGCACTCACTCATTTTTCCAGAGACCCAGCTGTGATTCACAGGTGTCAGACATGGGGAGGTGTGAGCCTTGCTTGCTACAGCCTGTAGGATGAGTTTGACGTGGCCAGCAGCACCATCTGGTCAACCTCATTCCAGAATGGCACAGTCACAAGTGAAGCATGCCACTGTCAAATCCGAGAATGTAAACCGCTGAACAGCTATGGATCAAATGGTAGCCCTCAAAAGATATGTTCATGCCCTAACCCTCAGAACCTATAAATATTACTTTATTTGGAAAAGAATCTTTGCAGATAGAATTAAGAATTTTGAGATGGGTCATTATGGATCATCCCAGTGAACCTAATGCCATCACGAGGGTTCTTATCAGAGACAGGTAGAGGGAGATTTGAGTACAGAAGACAAGATATTCGTGTGATGATGCAGACAGAGACTGGAGTGATGCCACCACAAGCCAAGCAATGCCTGGAGCCACCAGGAGCTGGGACAGGCAGGAAGGATTCTCCCTTATACCCCTCAGAGCAATCTTGGCCCCTCTGACGTCTTGACTTTAGACTTCTGGTCCCCAGAACGGAGAGAGAATAAATCTTTCTTGTTTTAAGGCTCCAACAAATTGGTAGTCACTTGTTACAGCAACCACAGGAAATGTATACAGCTTCTGATACTTCTGAAAACCTCACACAGCCAAAGGGTACATCCTTGGTATAGAGGCTCACTCTTACTCACCAGCCAGGCAAGGAAGGCTCAATCCTTTGGTGTTAGAGAGATAGATGTTGGGTTTTCAAATTTCAACATAGAGAAATCAGTCATTTGCAATGCTTTTGAGAAAGTACTGTGTATACCCTACGAGCCTGCACTCCTTATGTGTGAGACTGATGACCATTGGTTGGCTTATTATCCATTCCACTAAGTGACAAAATCCCACTGACTATTCAAATCCAGGCTCCTGGCATGCCTGTACCTTAGAATCACAACCAGCTGCAATTCCAGGATGGAGTTCAAACTAATTGTGGGGGCATGTGCTTCTTACATGACTGCTAGATTGTTCCCAGATGGGGAAGGTTGCCCTGATAAGCAACTTAAATGAAAATAATAAATGTATTGTTTGGCCTCTTTAAAAAAAAAATCATTCATCCTCCGGGAATGGGTTTGTCACCACAGATGGTGATTTTCCTTGGTAGATAACCAGGATGCCTGGATTTCTGTTGTTCCTTTACAGAAAACCAGGAATTTTATGTCATGGACCCACTAGACAGGGGACCTTCCTTGGTACAAAAGGATAAGAAATGTGGATTTGTTCCCTGGGATATTCACGTTAGATGCTTACTACATCATCGGTGTAAGGTCAGCCGAGAGAGAGGATGAGGAGACCTAAAGTCAGGCAAGCAAACTTTACTGAGCTGCTTGGCTGCTCCACCACAGTTAGTGGAGGCAGCCCCACTTACAGACTATAGCAGGGTTTTATAGGGCCAGAACCAGGTCGGGGTGGGGGAGCTGAGTCGAGGGTGCAGGAGGATTGGGTTGGGGTGGGGGAGCTGAGTAGGGGGTGCAAGTGTCTTGACCGCATCCTGGAGATGTTTTTCACCAGCTTTGTTATGCAAGGTTCACAGACATGCTAACCACATCCTGTAACTGTCTGGACAAACAGTTACTGGAGGGGTCAGTGAAGGCGGGGGGCGTTTGTCTTTAGCCCTGGGGGAGCTGTGTGGAGAGTGCAAGGGACTGTATTGTAAGGCCTGTGGAAGGGGAAGGGAACGGTCTGGTTGGGGTGACCCTAACAATCGGTATGCTTCTGTTTCGGGCAGAGCTCAGACCTCAATACCCAGGACTCTCAGTGCAGAAAGAATGAGCTCAAGCCCCTTCTGCAGAAAGATGCAGTCTCTGTGCAGAATGTCTGCTTATATCCTGAGACCCTTCATAGGAAAACCATGAATGATACAACCAGACTAACAGGCCAGGAAACAGCCTCCGGGAAGGAGAGGTTGCCAGAGGTTACAAGGAACAATGAAACTTGCAGGAAACATGCATGATATTCACCTCCCTAGTGTAGCTGGATTCATGGTGCTGCAGGGAGACGTGAAGCCCAACGGTGAAAACTTGCAACAAGATTTATGGTGCAGGGGTCTGTCCCACAGACCCTGACCAAGTGATGGGTGAATGAAGTACATTGACACACAGCTATTCTGCTTTGCCAGTTTGGCTGAGCATCCAAGCCACTTAGTAGCAGCCGTGGCCTCGATCAGTCAGCAAGACTTGCATTTATTCAGTAAAGATTAATTGACAAAGGTTGTGAGTCAACACCACTAGAGGGAAATTGACATTGCGGACTTCCCTAAGTAGAAAGCAATGAAGCACCTGCGATACATAAAAGGTTAGTCTTAGGACCACATGAGTAAACAAGTTAGTTAGAGACATTCCCCACATTCCTTTGCTTCTACTCTAATTTATTTAACTAAAGGTAAGGGGACTAGGCTGCCTTCAGCCAGGTTTATTACTGAAGTTATACAAACGCTCAGGCCTTCCCAGAGGGTTTGTGTCTACTATAACTAAAATTTTCCCCACCAGCCTGACTAAACCCCCACATCTGGATCTGTAGAGGCCCCAACATCACATCTGCCAAGCTTCCCATGGGGCTTAGGTCTCTGTGTGAAGATGATGTAGATGGTCCCATGAGATGGCTGTGTGTTCAGACAGCCCATTGCAGGTTATGACATTGATCAGTTTTCCAGGCCTGCTGTAACAAGTAACCACAACTAGGGACCTCATGACAAAAGGAATTATTTCTCCTCTCCCAGCTCTGGAGACCAGAAGATTGAGATCAAGATGTCTCAGGGCTCTGCTCCATCCGGAGGTTCTAAGGAAGGATCAATTCCTGCCTCTCTTAGTTCCTAGGGGCTCCAGGCATCCCTTTGACTTGTGGTTGCATGACTCCAGTGTCACATGCGTGTAATCCCAGCTACTTGGGAGGCTGAGACAGGAGAATTGCTTGAACCCAGGAGGTGGAGGTTGCGGTGAGCCGAGATCACGCCATTGCAATCCAGCCTGGGAAACGAGTGAAACTCCGTCTCAAAAAAAAAAAAAAAATCCTTATTTCCAAATAAAGTCTTATTCCCAGGCTCTGGGTATTATGATATAGGCAGATCTTTTTGGGAGACCACAGTTCAGTCCACTACAGTTGCGTCCAGTTCCATCCAGAGGCTCGAGGAGAGGATCCTTCCTGCCTCTCCCAGCTCCTGGGGGCTCCAGGCATCCCTGGGCTTGTGGCCGCATCACTGCAGTCTCTGCCTCTGTCTCCACGTGGCCTTCTCCTCTGTGTGTGTGTGTCTTCTTCTGTCTCTTAGAAGGAAGCCTGTCATTGGATTTAGGGCCCACCCTACTCCAGAATGATCTCATCTCAAGATCTTAACTCATTGCATCTTCAAAGATCCTTATTTCCAGCCAGGCACAGTGGCTCACACCTGTAATCTCAGCACTTTGGGAGGGTGAGGTGGGCAAATCACCTGAGGTCAGGAGTTCGACACCAGCCTGACCAACATGGAGAAACCCCATCTCTACCCCATCATTACAAAAATTTTTAACCCCATCATTACAAAATTCTGTAATTTTGTAAAAATACAAAATTAGCCAGACATGGTGTCACATGCCTGTAATCACAGCTACTCGGGAGACTGAGACAGGAGAATTGCTTGAACCCAGGAGGTGGAGGTTGCGGTGAGCCGAGATCTCGCCATCGCAACCCAGCCTGGGCAACAAGAGTGAAACTCTGTCTCAAAAAAAAATCCTTATTTCCAAATGAAGTCTCATTCCCAGGCTCTGGATATTAGGATATAGACAGATCTTTGTGGGAGACCACAGTTCAGTCCACTACAATTGTGTCCAGTTCCATCCAGAGGCTCTAGGAGAGGATGCTTCCTGCCTCTCCCAGCTCCTGGGGTCTCCAGGTGTCCCTGAGCTTGTGCCCGCATCACTGTAGTCTCTGCCTCTGTCTCCACGTGGCCTTCTCCTCTGTGTCTGTGTGTCTTCTTCTGTCTCTTAGAAGGACACCTGTCATTGGATTTAGGGCCTACCCTACTCCAGGATGATCTCATCTCAAGATCTTTAATTCACTGCATCTTCAAAGATCCTTATTTCCAAATAAGTTCTCATTCCCAGGCTCTGGGTATTAGGGTATAGACAGATCTTTTTGGGAGACCACAGTTCAGTCCACTACAATTGTGTCCAGTTCCCTCCAGAGGCTCTAAGAGAAGAACATTCCTGCCCCTCCCATCTCCTGGGGGCTCCAGACATTCCTTGGGCTTGTGGCCACATCACTCCAGTCTCTGCCTCTGTCTCCACATGGTCTTCTCCTCTGTGTCTGTGTGTCTTCTGTCTCTTAGAAGGACACCTCTCAGCCGGGCACGGTGGCTCACACCTGTAATCCCAGCACTTTGGGAGGCCGAGGCGGGTGGATCACGAGGTCGGGAGATCGAGACCATCCTGGCTAACATGGTGAAACCCCATTTCTACTAAAAATACAAAAAATTAGCCAGGCACGGTTGCAGGCACCTGTAGTCCCAGCTACCCAGGAAGCTGAGACAGGAGAATGGCGTGAACCTGGGAGGCAGAGCTTGCAGTGAGCCGAGATAGCACCACTGCAGTCCGGCCTGGGCGAAAGAGTGAGACTCCGTCTCAAAAGAAAAAAAAGACATCTCTCATTGGATTTAGGGCCCACCCTACTCCAGGATGATCTCGTCTCAAGATCTTTAACTCATTGCACCTTCAAAGATCCTTATTCCCAAATGAAGTCTCATTCCCAGGCTCTGGATATTAGGATATAGACAGATCTTTGTGGGAGACCACAGTTCAGTCCACTACAATTGTGTCCAGTTCCATCCAGAGGCTCTAGGAGAGGATCCTTCCTGCCTCTCCCAGCTCCTGGGGTCTCCAGGTGTCCCTGAGCTTGTGGCCGCATCACTGCAGTCTCTGCCTCTGTCTCCACGTGGCCTTCTCCTCTGTGTCTGTGTGTCTTCTGTCTCTTAGAAGGACACCTGTCATTGGATTTAGGGCCTACCCTACTCCAGGATGATCTCATCTCAAGATCTTTAATTCACTGCATCTTCAAAGATCCTTATTTCCAAATAACTTCTCATTCCCAGGCTCTGGGTATTAGGGTATAGATAGATCTTTTTGGGAGACCACAGTTCAGTCCACTACAATTGGGTGCAGTTCCCTCCAGAGGCTCTAGGAGAGGATCTTTTCTGCCTCTCCCAGCTCCTGGGGGCTGCAGGCATCCCTAGGCTTGTGGCCGCATCACTGCACTCTCTGCCTCCATCTCCACGTGGCCTTCTCCCTGTATCTGTGTCTCTTCCTGTTTCTAATAAGGACACTTGATATTGGATTTATGGCCCACCTGGATAATCCAGATGATCTCATTTCAAGATCCTTTACTCAATGACACCTGGCAAGACCCTTTCTGTGAATAAGGTCCCATTCACGGATACCAGGGATTAGGCCTTAGTCATATCTTTTTGGGAGACAGTATTCAATCTACTATTGGCCACAGGGACCAGATGCCATGTGAGTGCGGAAAATATTCTTTCCATTTCTAGAGACCCGGAAAGCCTCGGAGGTGGATAGCTTCTGTTATCTACACCTCAAGTTTCATGAGTCCGCACCTTGCGTAACTCACACAGGGTCCCCACGCACGGAAGGGCGCCATATTGCTTTAACTGTCTGCTGCCCCCGCCTGGAAATTGTTAATTAGGTTTGAACAAGGAGTCCTTCTTCTCATTTTGCGCTGAGCTTGCAATTGGTGTAGCCATCTCTGTTCATGCGTCTTCCCTCTTCAAGGACAGGCAGCAGGTCTGAAACTGGACATCCCCAATCCCCAGTGAGCCTTGTGTAAAACCACTGGTGAGCTCAGGCCTCTCACTATCTGTGACGGTCTCCCCAAATATCCAGGAAAGCTAGTGGGCTTTTGATGCTCACTGGGCCAACCTCTGAAAATGACTGACGGTCAGCCCCATCCGCGAGAAAGTTCCGCAGTCAATTCTTCTGGTCATCAGCATTTGTTTTGAATTCCCCAAGTTGTTTTGCTTTCTTTTCCTTACTTTCTTTTTCTCTCTTTCTCCATCTTTCTTTCTCCTTTCTTTTTCTTTCTTTTCTTTTTCTTTTGCTTTCTTCCTTTCTTTCTTTCTCTCCTTTCTTCCTTCTTTCATTCTCTTTATTTTCCTTCCTCGTTTTTTCTTCTTTCTCTCTTTCTCCCTTTCTCCTTCCTTCCTCCTTCCCTTCCTTCCTCCTTCCCTTCCTTCCTTCCTCCTTCCCTTCCTTCCTCCTTCCCTTCCTTCCTCCTTCCTTCCTTCCTCCTTCCCTTCCTTCCTCCCTTCCTTCCTTCCTCCTTCCCTTCCTTCCTCCTTCCCTTCCTTCCTCCTTCCCTTCCTTCCTCCTTCCTTCCTTCCTCCTTCCCTTCCTTCCTCCTTCCCTTCCTTCCTCCTTCCCTTCCTTCCTCCTTCCTTCCTCCTTCCCTTCCTTCCTCCTTCCCTTCCTTCCTTCCTCCCTTCCTTCCTCCTTCCCTTCCTTCCTCCTTCCCTTCCTTCCTCCTTCCCTTCCTTCCTCCTTCCCTTCCTTCCTCCTTCCCTTCCTTCCTCCTTCCTTCCTTCCTCCTTCCCTTCCTTCCTCCTTCCTTCCTTCCTTCCTCCCTTCCTTCCTCCTTCCCTTCCTTCCTCCTTCCTTCCTTCCTCCTTCCCTTCCTTCCTCCTTCCCTTCCTTCCTCCTTCCCTTCCTTCCTCCTTCCTTCCTCCTTCCCTTCCTTCCTCCTTCCCTTCCTTCCTCCTTCCCTTCCTTCCTCCTTCCCTTCCCTTCCTTCCTCCTTCCTTTCCTTCTTCCTTTCCTTTCCTTACTTCCTCCTTCCCTTCCTTCTTCCTTCCCTTCCCTTCCTTCCTCCTTCCCTTCCTTCCTCCCTTCCTTCCTCCTTCCCTTCCTTCCTCCTTCCCTTCCTTCCTCCTTCCTTCCTTCCTCCTTCCTTCCTTCCTCCTTCCCTTCCTTCCTCCTTCCCTTCCTTCCTCCTTCCCTTCCTTCCTCCTTCCTTCCTTCCTCCTTCCTTCCTTCCTCCTTCCCTTCCTTCCTCCTTCCTTCCTTCCTCCTTCCTTCCTTCCTCCTTCCTTCCTTCCTCCTTCCCTTCCTTCCTCCTTCCCTTCCTTCCTCCTTCCCTTCCTTCCTCCTTCCCTTCCTTCTTCCTTTCCTTTCCTTACTTCCTCCTTCCCTTCCTTCTTCCTTCCCTTCCCTTCCTTCCTCCTTCCCTTCCTTCCTCCCTTCCTTCCTCCTTCCCTTCCTTCCTCCTTCCCTTCCTCCCTCCTTCCTTCCTCCCTCCTTCCTTCCTTCCTCCTTCCTTCCTTCCTCCTTCCCTTCCTTCCTCCTTCCCTTCCCTTCCTTCCTCCTTCCCTTCCTTCTTCCTTTCCTTTCCTTCCTCCTTCCCTTCCTTCCTCCTTCCCTTCCCTTCCTTCCTCCTTCCCTTCCTTCTTCCTTTCCTTTCCTTACTTCCTCCTTCCCTTCCTTGCTTCTTTCCTTCCCTTCCCTTCTTTCCTTTCCTTCCTTTATCTCCCTCCCTCCCTTCCTTCCTTCATCTCTCCCTCCTTCCCTTCCTTATTTCCTTCTGTTATCCCTCCCTCCCTCCCTTCCTTCCCTCCTCCCTCCCTTTCTCTCTCTCTCTCCTTCCTTCCTTCCTTTCTTTCTTTCTCTCTCTCTCTCTCTCTCTCTCCTTCTCTCTTCTTTCTCTGTTTCTTCTTTCCTTTTTTTCTTTCTTCCATTTTTTTTTTCTTTCAACAGGGTCTCACTATGTTACCCAGGCTGTAGTGCAGTGATGCAATCTCTGCTCACTGCAGCCTCGACCGTCTAGGCTCAAGCAACTCTCCTGCCTCAGCCTCTCAAGTAGCTGGGACCAGAGGCGTGCACCACCACGTCTGACCATCTGTATTTTTTTAATAGAGACACGGTTTTGCCATGTTGCCCAGGCTGGTCTTGAACTCCTGAGCTCAAAGCGATCCACCTGCCTTGGCCTCCCAAAATGCTGGGATGACAGGCATGAGCCACTGCGCCCGGCACCAGGTCATGTTTTTTTGTTGTTGTTCAGCCAAGTTTGAGATTCCCTGAGCCAGGCAAATGTCAACTGCAGTTTCCAGCCCTCAGCATCTACACCTCTGGCGTCTTTCATACAGGATCATTTCAAACACCTTGTACTTCCCAGAGGTTCTGCTAAGCCGTGGAGCCCAGACAGATGTGTTTCTGAATGGGAGTGACTTCCTCCATTAAACCAGGATCGCAGCATGCGTTCATCTGAAAAGTGTTTCCAAACAGCCAGGACTATGCACCAAATCTTCAGTTCTAAAAATATCTCCACCTCTGTACAGTTGCACATCATCCAAGAGCCTTTTGCAGCTTGAAGCTCTTGCAAGAAGTGCCAGCTGCTCTTTTATTTTTAATTTTTTATTTTATTTATTTTTTAGAGGATTCTGACTGTTTCGCCCAGGCTGGAGTGCAGTGGCACAATCTCAGCTCACTGCAACCCTCGCCTCGCAGGTTCAAGTGATTCTGTCGCCTCAGCCTCCCGAGTAGCTGGGATTACAGGCGCCCACCCCCACGCCCAGCTAATTTTTTTTTTTTTTTGTATTTTTAGTAGAGACGGAGTTTCGCCAAGTTGGCCAGGCTGGTCTCGAACTCCTGGCCTCAAGTGATCACCCCGTCTCTGCCTCCCAAAGTGCCGGGATTACAGGCGTAAGCCACCACGCCCGGCCGCAGCTGCTCTTCATCATCGTCATAAAGGTAGTTCCAAGTACAGGCTCTGGATGGGGTGACAGGATGTCTCCTATCTCCTAAAGCTGACAATTGATACCGCTGACTGAACAAGCACTCTGGAAAATGACAGACACCGCATTCCCCAGGCTGACAGATGAGCTGTGAGAGCGATCCGAATGTTGTATGACTCCAGCCTCACACTATTCCTCTGTGTTTCATGGTAACCCTTATGTGACCGTTCCTCCCAGGGAAACCAAGAGCATAATTCTGGAGAAGTTCGCCTGTGTTCCTTGATACTTGATTGTGCCATTTCCTGGACACTGTGCAATTTCCTGGAGACACTTCCCAGCAGGGGAAACTGCGTGGATTGTTGGGTGAGTAGCATGTGTGCCATTAGAGCTCTGTACGAACCAGGAGGAATGAGATTCTTTTCTTTGGCAAACCTTGATTCAATACTTGGACCTAGAGTGCATGGATGTCCCAGTGAAGCTACTCTTTTATGCCCTTCCAGTAGCCATGAATAGGTTTTATTCAGGTCCAGCAATGTATGGGACCATCTCATTCATTCATTCATCCATCCATGCATCTGTCCATCCATCCATCCATCCATCCATCCATTCATCCATGTAGTCATGTTTTCAGTAAATAAGTGTTAAGTGTTATACCCAAATACTGGGACTCGAAGTCGGAAGAACAGGGCTTGTGTCCTAAAGGAGCTGGAGGCTGTAGTCAACAGAGGAAGTCCCCAAAGATAGCAGGTCCTAACAGCCTGGAAACTGGCAGTATTGTCTCATGTAGTCACAGGGACTTTTAGCAGGAATGTGTGCGTCAACAAAGACTGGTGTGGGACTTTTAGCAGGAACATGTGCAGTCAGCAAAGGCTGGTGTGTGTCTTTTAGTGGGAATGTGTGCAGTCAACAAAGGCTGGTGTGTGGGGAACACATCACAGTCTAGATGTGTGTCTGGACGCCACCTTGATTTTGAGAGTGTCTGTCATGAACATGTGGTATCTCTCATCTTGGCTGTTAGGAGAAACTGTCATAGAAGGGACACGCCACATTTTCAAAGGCAGGACAGGTTGGGGGGCTGGACCGCAGACATCAGAACTGATCCCCAGATCACAGAAGGTGCATCATACCCATTTCTCCATTTGGGCTGGAACTGGGGAGGTAGCAAGTCTTGCATCAGGTGCCGTAGTTAAGCCATTGCGTCTCTATCTTTCCAACTCCTCATCTCCTCATTAGCAACGACCAGGCTAACAGCCGTCCCCTCTGCACCCAGTTTTGCTGAGAGCAAAGCAAGACTGATGCATTCTGTCAGAGCAGTGCTCAGAACTAAATAGATGCCAGCCATGGTTTGGTGGTGGGGCTCTGGTGTCATTTGTCATTGAAGCAGAAAACTCGGTTGAGGTTATGTTTTCTGCAGTTCGGGCGCCATTAACCCAGGCATCGGGGAGAATATCTGTACGTAGAAAAAAGCTTTGGAATTGTGGCCTCTGAAGCTGTCTTT
Organism: Homo sapiens; assembly: GCF_000001405.40. NCBI lineage: Eukaryota > Metazoa > Chordata > Mammalia > Primates > Hominidae > Homo > Homo sapiens. The sequence goes on along the minus strand of NC_000023.11, from coordinate 2,210,353 downwards.
GTGAAGCACCGTCTCGGATTCAGGAATAGACATTTTACTCATCATTGTGTTTATCGCTTACTTATCATTTTTAGTTACTGCTGTTTTATCCTCTTATAATTCTTTGCCTTCATTCTGGAATATGTTGTCTATTTTCTTGCCTCGACACATGCCATCTTTTTTTGTTTGTTTGTTTTCTTCCTTCTAATCGTAACAAATGTATTGTGAACTCATTTTTTTCCTGACCCCTGGGGCTGCATTTCATAGACTTAGAATGAAGTCGTTGTTTTCATTTTGCCTGATTTGACCAATGGATGAAGAGGGTATTTTAATATTTCCAAAGGTGTAGAATTAAAATTAGTGATTTTTTTTTGCCTTTTTATTTTTTATTTATTTATTTTTTTTGAGACAGAGCCTTGCTCTCTCCCTAAAGCTGGAGAGCAGTGGCACGATATCAGCTCACTGCAAGCTCCGCCTCTGGGTTCATGCCATTCTCCTGCCTCACCCTCCCGAGTAGTGGGGACTACAGGCACCTGCCACCATGCCCGGCTAATTTTTTTGTATTTTTAGTAGAGATGGGGTTTCACCGTGTTAGCCAGGATGGTCACGATCTCCTGGTTTTACAGACTTATGGTTTTATAGACTTATGTTTCTATAAATTGAAATTTCTATAAATTGAAATTTTAATCATGTTATGAAATGTAATGTATTTATCCTGTCTTTTGTAGAGAGAGTTCTGGAAATCTCTGTCACTCTCTGCTTTAGATATTTTGGGGCTGCAGTACTAGAGACCTACAGGTTCATGATTATACTGTCTTCTTGGTGTAATGCTTCTCTTATTAGTTTGTTATTTTATTATTATTACTGTAAAAGATTTAGCATCCCAGCTCCTTGGGAGGCTGAGGCAGGAGAATCGCATGAACCTGGGAGGTAGAGGTTGCGGTGGGCTGAGATCACACCACTGCACTCCAGCCTGGGCAACAAGAGCGAAACTCTGTCTCAAAAAAAAAAAAAATAGATTTAGCTTTGGTTCTTTGATGTTCTATCCTTAACTATCTTTTATCTGATATTTACCATCAGATAGTTCACAAATCCACTGACAATTAGATATTAACATCTTTTTATATCATCTCCTATTTTTAATTGACTACTGCTATCGACCGAACATTGGTGTCCTTCCAAATTCTTTTGTAGAAATTGTCACCCCCCCCCAAGGGGGTGGCGTTAGGAAGTGGAGGCTTTGGGAGGTGATGGTGTCATGAGGGTGGAGCCTAATGAGGGATGGAGCCTCATGCATGAGATTCCTGCCCTTATAAAAGGATGATGAGCTCAGAGTGAGCTCACTGTCCCACTGCCTTGTGAGCACACAGGAAAAAGGCAGCCAACTGTTCACAATAGCAAAGACTTGGAACCAACCGAAATGCCCATCAATGATAGACTGGATAAAGAAAATGTGGCACATATGCACTATGGAATACTATGCAGCCAGAAAAAAGAATGAGTTCATGTCCTTTGCAGGGACAGGGATGAAGCTGGAAACCATCATTCTCAGCAAACTAACACAAGAACAGAAAACCAAACACTGCATGTTCTCACTCATCAGTGGAAGTTGAACAATGAGAACACATGGACACAAGGAGGGGAACATCACACACCAGGGCCTGTCAGGGGGTGGGGGGATAGGGGAGGGAGAGCATTAGGAGAAATACCTAATGTAGATGACAGGTTGATGGGTGCAGCAAACCACCATGGCACGTGTATACCTACGTAACAAACCTGCACGTTCTGCACATGTACCCCAGAACTTAAAGTATAATAAAAAAAAAAATTAAAAACAAAGAAAAAGGAGGCCAAGAAGAGAGTTCTCACCAGGAACCAACCATACTGGCACCCTTGTCTCAGACCTCCAGCCTCCAGAAGTGGGATACAGGAATGTTAACAGTTTAAGCTTCCGACTCTATGGTGTTTTATCCCAGCAGCCTGAACTAACACATAAATTGTATGCAAAGATGTGTAAATTCACATGCAGTTGTAAGAGGTAGTACAGAGTCATCCCATGTACCTTTACCAACCTTCCTGCAATTAGAACATCTTGCAAAACTCCAGTAAATCGCTCAACCAGATACGGACATTGATACAATCTGACCTGCTTCTTCAGATTTTCTTTTCTTTTTTTTTTTCTTCAGATGGAGTCTCACTCCATCACCAAGCTGGAGTGTGGTGGCGAGATCTCGGCTCCCTGCAACCTCCGCTTCCCGGGTTCAAGCGATTCTCTTACCTCAGCCTGCTGAGTAGCTGGGACTACAGGTGAGCCCCACCATGCCAGGCTAATTTTCGTATTTTTAGTAGAGATGGGGTTTCACCATGTTGGCCAGGATGGTCTCGATCTCTTGACATCGTGATCCGCCTGCCTTGGCCTCCCAAAGTGCTGGGGAATACAGGCCTGAGCCACCGCACCCGGCCGCCTTTTCAGATTTTCTCTTTTAGTTGTATGTGGGTGTGGGTGTGTTTGCAAGTATTTCATCGTATGCAATTAAAAAAAAATTTTTGCACTTTGGGGAGACCGAGGCAGGCGAATCACAAGGTCTGGAGTTCGAGACCAGCCTGACCAACATGGCGAAACCCTGTCTCTACTAAAAATACAAAAATTAGCTGGGCATAGTGGCAGGTGCCTGTAATCCCAGCTATGCGGGAGGCTGAGGCAGGAGAATCACTTGAACCCAGGAGGTGGAGGTTACAGTGAGCCAAGGTCACGCCATTGCACTCCAGCCTGGGTGACAGCGCAAGACTCAGTTTCAACCAAAAAAAAAATTGAATTATTTTAAAAAATTGTTGTGGGTCCATAGTAGGTGTGTATATATTTGTAGCTTACATGAGATGTTTTGATACAGGCATGCAATGTGTAAAAAGCACATCATGGAGAATAGGGTGTCCATCTCCTCAAGCATTTATCCTTGCGGTTACAAAGGGGGTTGGAGTGGGGGAGGTGGGGATGGTTAATAGGTACAAAAATTGGAAAGAATAAATAAGACATAGCACAATAGGGTGACTATTGTCAACCAACACACACACACACACACACACACACACACACACAGTTCCTGCTTCAATGGATGAAGTTTTTTTTTTTTTTTTTTTTTTTGAGATGGAGTCTCGCTCTGTTTCCCAGGCTGGAGTGCAGAGGCGTGATCTCAGCTCACTGCAACCTCCGCCTCCCCGGTTCAAACGATTCTCCTGCCTCAGCCTCCTGAGTAGCTGGGATTACAGGGACCCGCCATCAGGCCTGGCTAATTTTTGTATTTTTAGTAGAGACGGGGTTTCATCATGTTGGTCAGGCTGGCCTCGAACTCCTGACCTCATGTGATCTGCCTGCCTCGGCCTCCCAAACTGCTGGGATTACAGGCGTGAGCCACCGCGCCCAGCCGATGTTTTTGTTCCATTTGTTCAGTTTCTCTTCCTGATTGTTCTTTCATCTATTTCCCTTTCCACTGGTTCCCTTTAATTTACTCCCAAACTAACATCCCCCCACCAAGATAACCAACATCAACACCATCCTTCCCCACAAGAAAGGACCTTGACTTCTGCCACTCCCACACCACATAGTTTTGTTTTCTGCAATTTCAGCTCTGGAGTATTTGGGAGGAGGTGGCTGACAGAGCACAGCAACAATCCTTACACGGTCTGTATTCTTTTCCTTCCTTCCTTCCTTCCTTCCTTCCTTCCTTCCTTCCTTCCTTCCTTCCTTCCTTCCTTCCTTTCTTTTCTTTCCTTTCTTTTCTTTGTTTTTTTGAAGGAGTCTCACCCTGTCTCCCAGGCTGGAGTGCAGTGGTGCACTCTCAGCTCACTGCAAGCTCCACCTCCCCGGTTCAAGCGATTCTTCTGCCTCAGCCTCCCAAGTAGCTGGGATTACAGGCACCTGCCACCACTCCTGGCTAATTTTCGTATTTTTAGTAGAGAGGTGGTTTCCACATGTTGGCCAGGCTGGTCTTGAACTCCTGACCTCAGGTTATCCACCTGCCTCGGCCTCCCAAAGTGCTGGGATGACAGGCATGAGCCACTGTGCCCAGCCCACGGGGTCTGCATTCCGTTTTGCTGTTTCTTTACTGTGATGGTTACTATTGAGTGTCAACTTGACTGAATTGAAGCAAAGTATTGATCATAGGTGTTCCTGGGAGGTTGTTGATAAAGGAGATTAACATTTGAGTCAGTGGACAGGGCTAGGCAGACCCACCCTCCATCTGGACAGGCATCATTTGATCAGCTGCCAGCACAGCTAGGATAAAAGCAGGCAGAGGGCCGGGCGCGGTGGCTTACACCCGTCATCCCAGCACTTTAGGAGGCCGAGGCAGGCGGATCACCTGAGGTCGGGAGTTCGAGACCAGCCTGAGCGACATGGTGAAACCTCGTCTCTAGTAAAAATATAAAAATTAGCCAGGTGTGGTGGCACACGCCTGTAATCCCAGCTACTCAGGAGGCTGAGGCAGGAGAATTGCTTTAACCTGGGGGGCGGAGGTTGTAGTAAACCGAGGTCGCACCACTGCACTCCAGCCTGGACAGAACAAGACTCCATCTCAAAATAATAATAATAATAAAAGCTGGGCGTGGTGGCTCACGCCTGTCATCCCAGCAGTTTGGAAGGCTGAGGCAGGCAGATCACGAGGTCAGGAGATTGAGACCATCCTGGCTAACACGGTGAAACCCCATCTCCACTAAAAAATACAAAAAATTAGCCGGGCGTGGTGGCGGGCGCCTGTAGTCCCAGCTACTCAGGAGGCTGAGGCAGGAGAATGGCTTGAACCCGGGAGGCAGAGGTTGCAGTGAGCCGAGATCGCGCCACCGCACTCCAGCCTGGGCGACAGAGCAACACTCCATCTCAATAAATAAATAAATAAATAAATAATAACAATAATAAAATAAAAGTCTGTGGCATCGTAGGAGGGACATGTGATTTGTTTAGGAAAATAAAACAACAACAGAAGCTTGTCTGTGGCTGACGGCATGATAAAAGTTCTGATATCTGTCCCGGCTCCAATCTCGTGTTCACTTGTCATCCTCAAAGCTGGGAGCCTGGTGAGAGATGTTGGATCTGAGAGGCAGATCCCTCATGGTTTGGTGCTGGTCTTGCAGTAGTGAGTCAGTTCTCTCGGGATCTGGTTGTTTAAAGGCTGGGAGCACGGTGGCTTACGCCTGTAATCCCAGCACTTTGGGAGGCTGAGGCAGGCGGATCACCTGAGGTCAGAAGTTCGAGACCAGCCTGGCCAACATGGTGAAACCCGGTCTCTACTAAAAAATACAAAAATCAGCTGTGCATGGTGGCAGGTGCCTGTAATCCCAGCACTTTGGGAGGCCGAGGCAGGTGGATCACCTGAGGTCAGAAGTTCGAGACCAGCCTGGCCAACATGTTGAAACCCGGTCTCTACTAAAAATACAAAAATCAGCTGGGCATGGTGGCAGGTGCCTGTAATCCCAGCACTTTGGGAGGCCGAGGCAGGTGGATCACCTGAGGTCAGAAGTTCAAGACCAGCCTGGCCAACATGGTGAAACACCGTCTCTACCAAAAATACAAAAATTAGCCAGGCGTGGTGGCTGGTGCCTGTAATCCCAGCTACTTGGGAGGCTGAGGCAGGAGAATCGCTTGAATCCGGGAGTGAGCCAAGATTGCTCCACTGCATTCAAGCCTGGGCAACAGAGTGAGACTCCGTCTCATAAATACATAAAAATAAAATAAAGTGTGTAGCACCTCTCCCCCATATCCAGCTCCCACACTCACCACGTGACATGCCTTCTCCCACGTTGCCTTCCGCCATGACTGTAAGCTTCCTCATACCTCACCAGAGGCTGAGCACATGCTGGCACCATGCTTCGTGTATAGCCTGCAGAACTATCAGCCAAGCCAATGAAACCTCTCTTCTTTATAAATTAGCCTCACGGGGTAGATTGCCTGAGCACAGGAGTTCGAGACCAGCCTGGACAACATGGTGAAACTATGTCTCTACTAAAAATATGAAAAATTAGCCTGGCGTGGTGGCAGGCACCTGTAATCGCAGCTACTCGGGAGGCTGAGGCAGGAGAATCGCTTGAACCCAGGAGGCGGAAGTTGCAGTGAACTGAGATCGCACCACTGCACTCCAGCCTGGGTGACAGAGCAAGACTCCATCTCCAAAAAATAAAAAACAAATTACCCAGCCTCAGATATTTCTTTATAGCAATGCAAGAAAGGCATATTACACTGCGTAACTTTGTCAAGCTTCTCCAGGAGCCTGAGTCTCTGGTTCTGTTCAGTGAATATTCATAGGTTTATAAGACTTGGGCCGGGTGTGGTGGCTCACGCCTATAATCCCAGCACTTTGGGAGGCTGAGACGGGTGGATCATCCAAGGTCAGGATTTGGAGACCAGCCTGGCCAACATGGTGAAACCCCAACTCTAGTAAAAATACCAAAAAATTAGCTGGGTGTGGTGGTGGGCACCTGTAATTGCAGCTACTCAGGAGGCTGAGGCAGGAGAATTGCTTGAATCTGGGAAACGGAGGTTGCAGTGAGCCAAGATCGTGCCATTGCACTCCAGCCTAGGCAACAGAGCAAGATTCTCTCTCCAAAAAATTAAAAATAAATTACCTAGCCTCGGATATTTCTTTATAGCAATGCAAGAATGAACTAATGCACTGCGTGACTTTGTCAAGCTTTTCCGGGAGCCTGAGTCTCCGGTTCTGTTCAATGAATCTTTATAGGTTTATAAGACTCAGTGACAGAAAGGTCCTGAAAGGGTTTTCAGGCTGCAAAGGATGTTTTCTATGTGAGTTTGGCTGCAGTGGGAGGTTTGGTTCCATGAAATTGTCCTGATGATCTGATGTTTTTTCTCGATATGTGGTGAGGGGGGCTGGCTGTTCTCTGCAGAGCATATGGGAAGTTGGGGGTGGGTGGGTTGCTGGGTGGGCAAAAGAATCAAGTGCCTCCACTGGCATTTGGTTGGGGGAAGCCTGGGATTTCAACTCGTCGCAGAGTACAGGGCAATGCTACCTAGCAGAGAACACACCCCTGACCCACATGACTCGTGAGTGTGGGACCCAGATGGCCACAAAGACAGAAAACCTGTTTACGATTCACCTGAGCGTAGCACTTAACTCGGCTTACACATATATACAAAGGATTGATTTTCCAGTCAAAAAAAAAAAACACTGCGTTAACAGAGAGACGATTGGACTGGCTGCGTTTCATCACCATTTGGGGAAATCAGAGGACAGGAGAGGACTCATGGTGTTCGAGTTACCAGGACACCAGGCCGGGGCGGCCTGTGATTGCCGTCGGCCACCCAGTCGTCTAATGGGGTAGATGATCATGTCATCTTGTGGATTCAACACATAGAGGCACGACGCATATTACTGCCTCGTTATTTCCAGGGTAGAGGTAAGCCCAAAAGTTGAGATGTACCAATGCATGTTGCTTTATTATTTATTTATTTATTTATTTTTTGAGACGGAGTTTTGCTCTTGTTGCCCAGGCTGGAGTGCAATGGCACAATCTCGGCTCACCGCAACCTACGCTTCCTACGCTTCCTGAGTTCAAGTGATTCTCCTGCCTCAGCCTCCTGAGTAGCTGGGATTACAGGCGCCCACCACCACGCCTGGCTAATTTTATATACATACATACATACATACATATATATATATATACACACACACACATACACATACATACATATGTATACACACATACATATATATACACACACACATATATATACACATACATACATATATATATACACACACACACATATATATATCTATATATATTTTTTTTTAGTAGAGACGGGGTTTCACCATGTTGGTCAGGCTGGTCTCAAACTCCCGACCACAGGTGATCCGCCCGCCTCGGCCTCCCAAACTGCTGGGATTACAGGCGTGAGCCACCGCGCCCGGCCACATATTCCTTTATTATAATTTGCATGATGTGGATATTAGGATATTATTAAATTTTCTTAGGGTGATAGTAAGGATGATTTCATTTTTTAGAAGAGTAAAGCGGGAATTAAAAATACATTTTGGGGCCTTGCACAGTGGCTCACACCTGTAATCCCAGCACTTTGGGAGGCCGTGGTGGGTGGATCACTGAGTCCAGGAATTCGAGACCACTCTGGCCAACATGGTGAAACCTCGTCTCTACTGAAAATACAAGAATTAGCCAGGTGTGGTGGTGCACACCTGTAGTCCCAGCTACTTGGGGGGCTGAGGCAGGAGAATCGCTTGAACCCTGGAGGTGGAGGTTGCAGTGAGCTGAGATTGCACCACTGCACTCCAGCCTGGGTGACAGAGTGACACTGTCTCAAAAAAATATATATCTATCTCTATCTATCTATCTATCTATCTATCTATATCCTATATATCCATATATATATACACATATATATATGCCAGACTCAGTAGCTTACACCTGTAATCCCAGTGCTTCAGGAGGCTGAGGTGGGAGGATTGCTTGAGGCCAGGAGTTTGAGACCAGCCTGGGCAGCATAGCAAGATCCCATCTCTACAAAACATAAAAATAGTTGGCTGGATGTGAAGATGTGCACCTATAATCCCAGCTACTCAGGAGGCTGAGGTGGGAGGATCGTTTGAGCTCAGGAAGTGGAGGCTGCAGTGAGCTATGATCATGCCATTGCACTCCAGCCTGGTCCACAGAGCAAGAACTGGTCTCTAAAAAAACAATGCATCATTTTACATCCATGCGATGGAATATTACTTAGCCATAAAAAAGGAATGAAGTGTGGATACATGCCACCACACAGATGAACCTCAAAAAGTATTATCGTAAGTGAAAGAAGCCAGACGCAATAGGTCACCTGTATGATTCCAGGTCTGTAAAGTAGCAGAATAGTTCAGTTCAAAGAGACAGAAACTAGATTAGTGGTTGCCGTGGAATAGGGCCCGGGGAATGGTAGTGGCTGCTGTTGTATATGGTGTTTCTTTTGGGGTGATGAAAATGTTTTGGAACTCAAGAGTGATGATGGTTGCCCAACATGGTGAACATCCTGAATGTCACAGAATTGTACACATTAAATGGTTAATTTTTTTTTTTTTTTTTGAGACAGAGTCTTGGTATGTCACCAGGCCTGGAGTGCAGAGGCACGATCTCGGCTCACTGCAACCTCCACCTCCCGGATTCAAGTGATTCCCCTGCCTCAGCCTCCCGAGTAGCTGGGATTACAGGCATGCACCACCATTCCCGGCTAATTTTTTTTTTTTGTATTTTAGTAGACACAGGGTTTCACCATGTTGGCCAGGATGGTCTCGAACTCCTGGCCTTGTGATCCACCTGCCTCGGCCTCCCAAAGTGCTGGGATTACAGACGTCAGCCACCGCGCCCGGCCTAAAATGGTTCATTTTATGTTATGTGACTTATATTTCCTTTTTATTTTTTTGAGATAGGGTCTCCCTCTGTTGCCCAAGCTGGAATGCAGTGGTGCAATCCCAGCTTACCGCAGCCTCTACCTCCTGGGCTCGAGGGATCCTCCCACCTCAGCCTCCATAGTAGGTTGGACTTCAGGTACATGCCACCACACCTAATTGTTTTTTAATAGACATGAGGTCTCACTGTGTTGCCCAGGCTTGTCTCAAACTCCTGGACTCAAGCAATCCCCTCTCTTTGGCCTCCCAAAATGTTGGGATTACAGGCATGAGCCACTGAATCGGCAATGACTTACATTTCAATAAAACATAATAATATATTGATTACGAAGATGCCAATTTCCTCAGAGGCCAGGCTCTGCCCAGTGCTGAGTTGGCAAACGTTGGGTGCTCACGTGTGTGCCTTTAACTGGATCAAACCAAAAGATGGAACAGGGCGCCTCTCTGCTGACTGTCATTTGTCCTGGATGCAAGAATCACATAGGAAACCACCGCTTTGGGACAGGTTTTTTGCATCGTGATTCCAATGGGGGTAGATGATGACTGTGTTTTCAGAAAGGGCTAAGCCGGTGATGATGGCATCGGCATAGCTGTGATTATGAATCCCAATGGATTCTAAAGATCCTCTAGATTATTCCAAGAACAGGAATCAATATCCGATTCATCTGCCTATGGATTAACCTTCAGGAGAAGGACCATCCTGGAAGGGGATCTTTGGTTCTATGAATCCTAATGAATTGCAAAGATCCTCTAGATTATTCCAAGAACAGGGATCAATACCTGATTCATCTGTCTATGGATTAACCTTCAGGAGAGGGATGACCCTGGAAGAGGCTCTTTGGTTCTATGAATCCTCATGAATCCTGAACATCATCGTGATTATTCCAAGGACAGGGATCAATACCTGATTCGTCTGCCTACGAATTAACCTTCAGGGGAGGGAAGACCCTGGAAGATACTCTTTGATTCTGAAGGTGCACACCACCACACACTATCTCAAAACATAAAAACATTTTTTAAAGTTTATTTTTAGCAGAGACGGGGATCTCACTACATCTACAGGTGCACACCACCACACCCTATCTCAAACATAAAACATTTTTTAATGTTTATTTTTAGCAGAGATGGGGATCTCACTACATCTACAGGTGCACACCACCACACCCTATCTCAAAACATAAAAACATTTTTTAATGTTTATTTTTAGCAGAGATGGGGATCTCACTGTGTTGCCCAGGCTGGTTGCAAACTCCCGAACTCAAGCCATCCTCTTGCTTTGGCCTCCGAAAGCACTGGGCTTACCGGTGTGTGCCAGGGATTGAGGCATGAGTTACGACCACAGGCTGTCACAGAGACGGGCCAGTCCTCAAGCTGAGTTATTTTTTGGTTCAGTCTCCTTGAAAATAATCAGTGCAGATATGGTTTCTGTTTTCAAGAAGGCTTTGCTTCTACCCATGACGCCCTTATTTTATGCCAGGATATTTCCAGCACCATTTCATTTAAACCTCTCCACTGGCCGGGCGCGGTGGCTCACGCCTGTCATCCCAGCTTGGGAGGCCAAGGCAGGCAGATCACGAGGTCAGGAGTTCAAGACCAGCCTGGCCAACATGGTGAAACCCCGTCTCTACTAAAAATACAAAAAATTAGCCAGGCGTGGTGGTGCACGCCTGTAATCCCAGCACTTTGGGAGGCCGAGGCAGGCGGATCACGAGGTCAGGAGTTCAAGACCAGCCTGGCCAACATGGTGAAACCCCGCCTCTACTAAAAATACAAAAAATTAGCCAGGCGTCGTGGTGCACGCCTGTAATCCCAGCACTTTGGGAGGCCAAGGTGGGCAGATCACGAGGTCAGGAGTTTAAGACCAGCCTGGCCAACATGGTGAAACACCATCTCTACTAAAAATACAAAAATTAGGCCAGGCGCAGTGGCTTATGCCTGTAATCCCAGCACTTTGGGAGGCCAAGGGGTGGATCTTGAGGTCAGGAGTTTGAGACCAGCCTGGCCAACATGATGAAACCCCCATCTCTACTAAAAACACAAAAATTAGGCCAGGCACAGTGGCTCATGCCTGTAATCCCAGCACTTTGGGAGGCCGAGGCAGGCAGATCACAAGGTCAGGAGTTCAAGACCAGCATGGCCAACATGGTGAAACACCGTCTCTACTAAAAATACAAAAAATTAGCCGGGCATGGTGGCGCCTCTAGTCCCAGCTACTCGGGAGGCTGAGGCAGGAGAATAGTGTGAACCCGGGAGGCAGAGCTTGCAGTGAGCCGAAATCGCACCACTGCACTCCAGCCTGGGCGACAGAGCAATACTCCATCTCAAAACAAAACAAAACAAAACAAAAGTTAGCCAGGCGTGGTGGCAGGTGCTTGTAATCCCAGCTACTCAGGAAGCTGAGGCAGGAGAATGGCTTAAACCTGGGAGCGGAGGTTGCAGTGAGCTGAGATCTTGCCATTGCCTTGGGGACAGAGGAAGACTCTGTCTCAAAAACAAAAATCAAACCTCTTACCACTTAAGGTGAAGCATACCCATCACATATTTAGGCCAGGAAACAGAGGGGTAAAAAAGTCCTACAGCCACTGATGGCCCCCAGGTCCCTGCCCACTAGACCACAGGACAGTATGGTTGTCCACCCCATCAATTACCCCGCCTCAGATATTTCTTTAGAGCAATGCAAGAATGGCCTACTGGACTGCATATTAGCATATGCAGTGTGTTAAGATGACATAAGATAACATGACATAAGATTAAGATAAGATTACATAAGACTATCATATTGTATTTTTACTGTGCCTTTTCTACGTTTAGATACGATTAAATACACAAATATTTACCATTGTGTTACAGTTACCTACAGCATTCAGTACAGTCATATGCTGTTGTGAACCCAAAAGTACCTAAGGTCATCCCCCCCTTACCTGCACGTTTGCTTTTCCCGGTTTCGGTTACCCAAAGTCAACTGTGGTCTGAAAATATTAAGTGGGAAATTCCAGAAGTAAATAATGTATAAGTTTTAAATTGCACATCATTCCCAATAGTGAGGTCAAACAGCCCTGTCCCACTATATCCTGCCTGGAACTTGAATCATCGCTTTGCCAGCCCCTCCACGCTGTCTGCACTACCCACACCACCCAAATCAACAGTGGCCGTATTGTAGTGTTTACGTTCAAGTAACCCTCACATTACTTCATAATGGATCCAATGCACAAGAGTAGTGATGCTGGCATACAGTTATCATTTTTCTATTTTATTATTACTGTTGAGCTGGATGCGGTGGCTCACGCCTGTAATCCCAGCACTTTGGGAGGCCGAGGCGGGCGGATCATGAGGTCAGGAGTTCGAGACCAGCCCGGCCAATATGGTGAAACCTTGTCTCTACTAAAAATACAAAAATTAGCCGGGCATGTTGGTGCATGCCTGTAATCCCAGCTACTCAGGAAGCTGAGGCAGAAGAATTGCTTGAACCTGGGAGGCAGAGGTCGCAGCGATCCAAGATCGCACCAGTGCACTCCAGCCTGGGCAACAGAGGGAGATTCCATCTCGAAAAAAAAAAAAAAGGCAATTATTAGTTACTGTTAATTTCTTACTGTGCCTAATTAATAAATTAAACTTTATCATAGGTATGTATGTGTAGGGGAAAACATTAAAAAAAGTACCTGAGTCAGGTCTCAATCAAAATTGAGAACATTGCTTTTGCCAAGGTTAAGGATGCACCTGTCACACAGACACTGCAGGTCTTGATGACACGTGTCCAAGGTGGTTGGGCACAGCTTGGTTTTATACCTTTTAATGAGACATCAGTCAATACATGTAGGATGTACGTTGGTTCCTTCCAGGTCATAGGTAGATTTAAACATTTTCTACTAAACACACACACACAAAAAAAACAATAGCCAGGCATGGTGATGGATGCCTGTAGTCCCAGCTACTCGGGAGGCTGAGGCAGGAGAATCACTTGAACCCAGGAGGTGGAGGTTGCAGTGAGCCGAGATCACGCCACTGCACTCCAGCCTGGGCGACAGAGCGAGACTCCATCTCAAAAAAAAAAAAAAAAAAAAAAAAAATTCTGATTGATTGGCAGTTGGTGGTTGAAAGAGTTATTATCAAGAAGAATGGCTGGGTTAAGACATGGGGTTGTGGAAACCAAGGTTTCATCATGCAGATGAAGCCTCTAGGTAGCAGGCTTCAATAGATTATCAACATTTCTCACCAGAATTAACGTCTATGTTGATGTGAATACTGCTCGCCTTTTCCTGAATTCCACAGAGGAGGAGGGTATTAGGAGACATGTCCAACCCACACTTCCATCATGGCCTGAACTAGTTGTTTGTTTGTTTGTTTGAGACAGAGTCACGCTCTGTCACCCAGGCTGGAGTGCAATGGAGCAATCTCAGCTCACTGCAACCTCCACTCCCGGGTTCCAGCAATTTTCTGCCTCAGCCTCCCAAGTAGCTGGGATTACAGGCATCCACCACCACGCCTGACTAATATTTTTGTATTTTTAGTAGAGACGAGGTTTCACCATGTTGGCCAGGTTGGTCTCGAACTCCTGACCTCATGATCCACCCGCCTCAGCCTCCTGAAGTGCTGGGATTACAGGCGTGAGCCCCTGGGCCCGGCCTCTGAACTAGTTTTTCAGCTTAACTTTGGAATGCCATTAACTGAGAGGAAGGGTCCGTTGAGATGGCTGGGGCTTAGAGTTTTATTTTTGGTTTACACTGGAATTTGGTTTGCAGTCTAAGGGCAATGAGCAGTACCACACAGCCTAGGTGTGTGGTAGGCTATACCACCTAGGTTTGTGCGAGTGTGCTCTACAATTTTTGCACAGCGATGAAATCCCCCGATCACACATTTCCCAGAATGTATCCCCATCGTTAAGCAACACATGGCCGGGCGCCATGGCTCATGCCTGTCATCCCAACACTTTGGGAGGCCGAAGCGGGCAGGTCACCTGAGGTCAGGAGTTTGAGACCAGCCTGGCCAACATGGCGACAACTCGTCTAAACTAAAAATACAAAAAATTAGCTGGGCGTGCTGGTGGGTGCCTGTAATGCCAGGTACTCAGGAGGCTGAGGCAGGAGAATCGCTTGAACCTGGGAGGTGGAGGTTGCAGTGAGCTGAGATTGCGCCATTGCATTGCAGGCTGGGCGACGAGAGGGAAACTCCATCTCAAAAAAAAAGAAAGAAAGAAAAAATGACACATGACTGTATTTTCATCCGTAATGTTCCAATACTGGGTACCTCGGACAGGGCTTTTGAGACATACTCCACAGAATCATATCTTGACCTTTAGACATTAAGTTGTGGAAGACTCCTGTCAAACAGTTAATTTCCATGTCAAGTCAATGCCCCAGAAAGAAAAAGATAGCTATAGGCCAGGTGCGGTGGCTCACGCCTGTAATCCCAGCACTTTGGGAGGCTGAGGCGGGTGGATCACGAGGTCAGGAGTTCAAGACCAGCCTGGCCAAGAAGGTGAAACCCCGTCTCTACTAAAAATACAGAAATTAGCCGGGCGTGGTGGCGGGCTCCTGTAATCCCAGCTACTCGGGAGGCTGAGGCAGGAGAATGGCGTGAACCCAGGAGGCGGAGGTTGCCGTGAACCGAGATCGCACCACTGCACTCCAGCCTGGGAGACAGAGCAAGACTCTGTCTCAAAAAAAAGAAAAGAAAAAAACATAGCTACCTCTTCAAGGTCTTAGCCTGTCTTCCTACGATGCTGCTTTTTACCCTTCTCAATGTATAAACATGTAACATCTAGGCAATATAATCTCACAATTTTTCCTGGTTGAGAGCCAAGCCTCCTTCCCCCATCTCCTGGGTTGGTCTTAAAGTAACCCAGACCACAGATTGGAATATAAATGACTTTCATGTGGCTTCACTTTCTTCTTTGACCTTCAGGTATCCTGACCCAGGCAAGCAGATTTTAAAGCTCATTTCTAGCAAAAGTCCTGCTTCGTTGAAAGCTCCAGCACCCTCTTTCTAAAGGATAAGGGAGAAGGAGTTGGTGAAGTGTTCCTAGCAACCTTCAAAAAAATGGAAATGAATTGATCCAATTCGGTTTCTTCAATTTCTGCAAGTCTTTGAAATTCTAGCCGTGGAAATTTTTATAAGTGGCAAAGCAGGGTAAAAAATATAGCATTCGATGTTTTAGAATTCAGGGCCTCCAAGGAGGCGGCATAAATTGTGGTGCGCCCTTCCTGTGGCTGGAGGAAGTCGTAGAAGTGTCCCGGATGATTGACAGCACTCAGGCAGCTGCCAACGGTACAAGGATTGCTTACAGAATATGCCTTAGGTGCTAGGACAGACGGCTCACGGTTAAGTTATATATGCAGAATAATTCCCCTGCAGAAGTGACAGAAAGAGTCACCAGGCAGGACTAACGGCAGCTTTCTGCTTGGAAAGGGGTGAATGAAGCATTAATATATCAAAGGAATGGATGCATTTCAGAGAGTGTATAAACTACTCGCCGGAGGCCAGGACGGAGCAGTAAACAGCAGCAAGTGGACAGGCACCTAGACCTCGGCTTTTTCACAAATTCCTTTCATGAATGTGTAAAAATGTGTAACGTTTGTGGGATGACATGATTGGCTACTCAAAGTATCTGCCATCTGGGGAGTGCTGGTGTTTGGGGCTGGATGATTATCTATGGCGGGGCCATCCTGTGCACTACAGGGCATTTACCAACATCCCTGGTGGCCTCTACGCAGGAGATGCCAGAAGCACACCCTCCACCCCGGAGTCAAGATGACCAAATACATCTCCAGACATCAGCAAGGGTCCTGTGGGAAGTACAGTTGTGCCTGGTTGCAAACCACTGCCATAGATGATAGATGGATTAGAGATAGATGATAGATAGATAGATAGATAATAGATAAATAGAAGGATGGGTAGATAGGCAGGTAGATAGATGATAGATGGATTAGAGACAGATGGATGTGTAGATAGGTAGGTAGACAGATGATGGATGGATAGATAGATACATGATAGAGAAATGGATGGATGGATGGGTAAGTAAGTGGATAAATAGATATAGATAGGGAGATAGATAAATAGATGACAGCTAGCTACATAAATAAATACAGAGTAGATAGATAGACAGATTATATAGATGGATGGATAGATCGATGGATGGATTGATGGATACCTGGATAGATAAATAGATAGATGATAGCAAGATAGATAGATAAATACATAGAGTAGATAAATAGGTGGATAGATAGGTGGGTGGGTGGGTGGATGGATGGATGGATGGGTGGGTGGGTGGGTGGGTGGGTGGATGGATGGATAGATACACAGATACCTAGGTAATAGATAGAAGACAGAGGTTTCCCAGCCTGTCCTCTCTATCATTGAGTGCCAACAGGCGGGAAGCTGGGCATCTCTCTTGGTGTCGGATACAGAGGCACAGATGGGTACGTGATAGATAGATGTGTAGATAGATAGATGATAGATAGATGATAAACAGACTAGATACATAGATGATAGACGGATGGATTGATAGATGATGGATGGATGGATGGATAGACAGATACATGATGGATGCATGGATGGATGGACTAGATAGATGATAGATGGATGGGTAGATAGATTGATTAGAGAGAGGTTAAGGGAAAGAGAGCTATAGATTGATACACAGAGAGATGGGTGAAGGAAGGAAGGAGGGGAAAAGGGAGAAGAGAGAAGGAGCAATGTGAGAGAGAGGGTCAGTCATGCTAACAGTCTTTTTCAGCCTCAGTGCTGCCAATATTTGGTGGTGCATGACTCTTTGTGGTGGGGCCGTCCATCCTGTGCACGGTTGGGTGTTGAGCAGCGTCCCCGAGCTCCACCCATCAGGGGCCAGGAGCACCTATCTCCTCCACCTCCCTTGTGACAACTGAAAATGTCTGCAGACATTTCCAGATAAGCCCTGGGAGGTCCGAATCACTCCCTTTGAAGAACCAACCGTGACAGACATTTAAAACTATATGCGCAAGATTTTAGACTTGCATAACTACAGAACACATTAAAATTCCAAGTGAGTTATCACTCTCTTCCAGACCAAAACAAGAACAAAGAAAACACCCCTGAGATCCACAGCAGCCCCTGAGCACCACTGCTTCATCTTCAAAGGAGAGGTTTCTCCCTGTCCAAGTGCGGAGGGGCAGGAATCTGGGTATCTCCCAGGGTCTGGGATGCAGAGGCGTAGAGGAGAAGCTGGTGCGTGTGAACATCCCACCGGCCTCCACCTGCTAGCATCCATGCTGGCCGGGATCCACCATCCCTCTCTAAGAAGCAGTTCCCACATCTGCATAGAGCCAATTCCATACCTACTCTGGGGAAAGTGACTTGGGGATGGAAGACATCAGGGCTGGCCTTTGTCAAGCACCCAGTGACAATTACATGCCTGGCCTTTCTCCAATCAAAACATTTCGGCAGCACTTTCAGCTCAATTCTGGAGCTAGATTCTGCTAGATTCAGCTAGATTCTCAGCTAGATTCTGGACCAGTTGGTGAGAGTTAGGTGTGGGGTGCTGGCCACACCTGCAGGCTCCCAGGTTTGGTGCACACCTTTGTGAGCAAAGCATTCTAGCCTGTACCCCAGTGCACATCTGCAGGTGTGCAGATGTTATACGTGCCCATTATGGATGCCCCTGATGCTGCACCACACATAGATAAACCTTTTAAAACCATGACATATAAAGAAATGCAGACAGCACTTCCAATATTTAGTTCCTAACCCTAAGGCTGACTTTGTATGCTCTCTCTCAAGTAGCACGTTTTGAATGCAGGTGTATTTTTAATTAAAAAATGAATTATGATAAAATATGCATAGCATCAAATTTACCATTGTAACTTTTTTTTTTTTTTTTGAGACAGAGTCTCGCTCTGTCACCCAGGCTGGAGTGCAGTGGCACAATCTCGGCTCACTACAACCTCTGCCTCCCGGGTTCAAACAAATCTCTTGCCTCCGCCTCCCGAGTAGCTGGGATTACAGGCACCATTTTTAGTAGAGACAAGGTTTCACCCTGTTGGCCAGGCTGGTCTCGAACTCCTGACCTCAGGTGATCCACCTGCCTTGGCCTCCCAAAGTGCTGGGATTCCAGGCATGAGCCACTGCACCTGACCCATTCGACTTTCTTTCTTTTGGTCCCAATGTGACGACTCTGAGGACCTCATTCAAGTGGTATCATAGAGTATTTTTCCTTTTTAGGACTGGTTTCTTTTACTCAGCGTAATGTCCTCATGGTTTGTCAATGCTTGATCAGAGCTTCTGTCCTTTTTGAAGGCTGAATAATATTCCACCGTATAGACAGACCACATTTTGCTTACCTATTTATCTGCCAGTGACCACTTGGGGAGGCCTTCCACGTTGGGGCTATGGTGAGTAACACTGCTATGAACACAGGTGTGCGAATATTGGTTCAAGTCCCAATTTGAGGGAGCGGGTGCATAGACCCAGAAGTGCATTTGCTAGATCCTGTGGGAATCCCATCTTCAACCTTTTAAGGTTGATGTGGTTACTCTGTTGAAACGCCAAGAACAACCTTCCTGGGACTGGCAGAGGGCAGGTAATTGCAAGCCCTTGTCTTGTGCTACAACACAAGCCTGCACTCTTTCAGTATGCCATTCTCTGTTGTTTGGTGCACAGTCATACGTTTTAATACATGTATGCATTCAGGTACCCAAGACCCCATCAGGATTCAGAACAAGTCCATGACTGCAGAGAATTCCCTCACCTTGCCCATCCACAGGCAACCCCAATCCTCAGCCCTAACCTCTGGCAAGCACTGGTCTGTTTTTTGTCTCTGTATTTGCCGGGTCCACAAAGTCATATACGTGCCTTCATGCAGTAAGTACCCCTTGGAAAGTGGCTTCTTTCACTTCGTAATATGCATTCGAGATGCAGTTAAGTTTTTTTTGTTTTTTTTTTACTTTAAGTTCTGGGATACATGTGCAGAACGTGGAGGTTTGTTGCATAGCTATACATGTGCCATGGTGATTTGCTGTACCCATCAATCCGTCATCTAGGTTTTAAGCCCTGCATGCATTAGGCATTTGTTCTAATGCTCTCGCTCCCCTTGCCCCCCAACCCCCAGCAGGCCCCGGTGTGTGATGTTCCCCTCCTTGCGTCCATGTGTTCTCGTTGTTCAACTCCCATTTATGAGTGAGAACATGAGGTGTTTGGTTTTCTGTTCTTGTGTTAGTTTGCTGAGAATGATGGTTTCCAGTTTCATCCATGTCCCTGCAAAGGACATGAACTCATCCTTTTTTATGACTGCATAGTATTCCATGGTGTCTATGTGCCACATTTTCTTTATTCAGTCTATCATTGATGGGCATTTGGGTTGGTTCCAAGTCTTTGCTATTGTGAATAGTGCTGCAGTAAACATATGTGTGCATGCGTTTTTATAGTAAAATGATTTATAATCCTTTGGGTATATACACAGTAATGGGATTGCTGCGTCAAATAGTATTTCTGGTTCTAGATCCTTGAGGAATCGCCACACTGTCTTCCACAATGGTTGAACTAATTTACATGTCCAGCAACAGTGTAAAAGCGTTCCTATTTCTCTACAGCCTTGCCAGCATGTGTTTTTTCCTGATTTTTTAATAATTGCCATTCTAACGGGCCTGAGATGGTATCTCATTGTGGTTTTGATTTGCATTTCTCTAATAACCAGCGATGATTAGCTTTTTTTTCATATGTTTGTTGGCCGCACAGGCAACCTACAGAATGGGAGAAAATTTTTGCAACCTATCCACCTGACAAAGGTGTAATATCCAGAATCTACAAGGAACTTAAATAAATTTACAACAACAACAAAAAATAAACAACCCCATCAAAAAATGGGCAAAGGATAGGAACAGACACTTCTCAAAAGATGCAGCCAAGTTTTTACCTGAAACAATGGTCCACTCCTTTTTCTTGCCTTCCTGTGGATGGGAAGATATTCCTTTTGGAAAGAAGGAGATGGTGTTTGGACCCACGAGTGCTTAGAAAAATTGCACACTGCTTTTACTCTGCAAAATGAACGCCAACTCCAAGGAAGTCTCTCTCCTTTCTTTACCCCTGCCTCAGGTCACTGGTTGCTTTTTCCTTATTTTCCCATCTAAGATTCTTGCCTTGTGTTTATGTGGACTCGATTGGAAAGACAGAGAAGAAAATATATCCTAGGGTGTGTCCACAGACATAGCACCTAGAAGATAGAAGACAGTTGCAATTACCTACCCTCCACAATTCCCAGAAAGGTGGTTCTTAGCGTTTTCAACAGAGTAACCACATCACCCTATTCATACTCTGCCATTCCTCTATCTATAACCAAATGGGACATTGGATGCTCAAAACCATTATTAATAAAAATTACCTCGGGTGCGGTGCCTTACGCCTATAATCCCAGAACTTTGGGAGGCTGAGGCAGGTAGATCACAAGGTCAGGAGTTCAAGACCAGCCTGGCCAAGATGGTGAAACCCCATCTCTACTAAAAATACAAAAATTAGCCAGGTGTGGTGGTGGATGCCTGTAGTCCCAGCTACTTGGGAGGCTGAGGCAGGAGAATCACTTGAACCCAGAAGGCGGAGGTTGTAGCCAGCCGAAATTGCACCACTGCACTCCAGCCTGGTGAGAGAGTGAGACTCCATCTCAAAAAAAAAAAAAAAAAAAAAAATGTGTTCCGTAGCAGACAGAAATGGTCAGAAAATGGGGTCTCCCTTACAGGCTCCAGAAGGAACCAGCCATGCCAACACCTGGATTTTACCCCGGGAGACCCATTTCGGAGTTCTGACCTCTAGGACTGCAAGATCATCTATTGGTGTTGCTTGAAGTCACCTAAAGCAGTTTAGTGCTGTGGGCATTTGTCACAGCAGTCACTGGACGTGCACCTGCCTCCCAAATCCCACCCTGTCCAGGTGGCTGTAATGCACGTTTAAGAGGCTCCGTTTTGTAGATACAGGGTCTTGCTGTATTGCCCAGGCTGGTCTCAAACTCCTGGGCCCAAGCAGTCCTCCAAATGGGCTCATCCAGTTTAGAAGAAATTGCCCCAGACGCCGGACATTTCTTACTATGGCCTGAGTTTCTCCTTGTCCTTAATATGGTCCAGCACTGAAGTCTATCAGGACACAAACACACAAGATCTCCTTGCATGGAAGGAGAGCTCGCAAAACAGTCTGTTGGTGAAAATCAGCTGCGCCCCGCCTCTGCATTTTCCTGCTCCTCTCTTTCCCTCCCTTGCTGTGATGATTCCTCTCCCCTCCTCCATCCCCACTCCCCCCGCGGCTCTCCTTCTTGGATTTCCATTTCAAATCCCTTCCAATTTCATATCAGCTGCCCCGCAGTGTTTGCCGGTCCCTCGGAAATTAATTTAGCGACTTTCACACGGACATATCATTTCTAACTTCAAAGTCCCGGACGCGGGGGTTGAGCCTCTGTCCAAGGGCACAGACACGGAGACTGCAGTCAGAGCCCTGCCCCTCCAGGCGTTTGCTTGCAAACCACATTAGTCACTGACACCCCGACCTGCCTCCCAAGCAGAGGTTTTAGCGCTGTCCTTTGAAAATTCCCCAAGTCACTGTAGATATCAGGATCTGTCAGTATGAATGATAAGCTAGAGAGAAAAACAAAACAAAACAAAAAGAAAAGAAAGCAAAGGAAAAAGAAGGGCCTTCCTGTAAAATTAAATAAAACCTTACAATTTACATGCAATAGCTCCAGGTAAAGGCGTGTGCACCCGTGGATCTGTAACAGCTTATCCAACTCTGCATAGGATCTCATTTATAAGGGAAAGCTGGATGGGGTAGAGGGGGCTTAAGCGATCACTTTCAGCCCTTCCTCCCCCAAAGCTTAGGAGTGGAGACTGCTTCCATCCTGAAGCCATCCACACAATACATTTTGAATTGGTGGATTTTTGTAAAAGGTCAGGGTTCTGCAGGAAGTACCGCTGGATAAGTGTCACGCGCGTCCGTGAAGGGACCACCAAACAGGCTTTGTGTGAGCAATAAAGCTGTGTATTCACTTGGGTGCAAGTGGGCTGAGTCCGAAAAGAGAGTCAGCGAAGGGAGATGGGGAAGGTGTGGCTTTACAGGAGCTGGGTAGGTAATGGAAAATTACAGCAAAAGGTGGTTATCTATCGTCAGCAGAAGAGGGGGTTACAAGGTGCATGGTGGAGAGATCATAAGACTGATTGTCCAGAAGAAGAATGTCACAGAGTTGATTGATCAGCTAAACTGGGGCAGGGACAAGTCACAATAGTAAAATATTGTAATTTTAGTTAATCAGTTAAGGCAGGAACTGGCTGTTTAACTTCTTTGTAGTTTTTTTCTTTGGCTGCTCCAGAATTCTTGGCTCCTGCAGGCCACCTGGATGTATATGTGCAGGTCACAGGAGTGATAATGGCTGAGCTTCAGCTCAGAGGCCTGACAGGTAAGATCCCACAGTGGGGTCCCACTTGCCCGGAAATGGTACCTTCCACCCAAGGCGGTGACCCACTTGCCCAGGAATGGTACATTCCACCAAAGGCGGTGACCCACTTGTCTGGAAATGGTACCTTCCATTGAAGGCGGTGACCCACTTGCCCGGAAATGGTACCTTCCACCCAAGGCAGTGACCCATTTTCCCGGCAATGGTACCTTCCATTGAAGGCGGTGACCCACTTGCCCGGAAATGGTACCTTCCACCAAAGGCGGTGACCCATTTGCCCGGAAATGGTACCTTCCATTGAAGGCGGTGACCCACTTGCCTGGGAATGGTACCTTCCACCGAAGGCGGTGACCCACGTGCCTGGGAATGGTACCTTCCATTGAAGGCGGTGACCCACGTGCCTGGGAATGGTACCTTCCATTGAAGGCGGTGACCCACGTGCCTGGGAATGGTACCTTCCATTGAAGGCGGTGACCCACTTGCCCGGGGAATGGTACCTTCCATTGAAGGCGGTGACCCACTTGCCCGGAAATGGTACCTTCCACCAAAGGCGGTGACCCATTTGCCCGGAAATGGTACCTTCCATTGAAGGCGGTGACCCACTTGCCCGGGAATGGTACCTTCCACCGAAGGCGGTGACCCACTTGCCCGGAAATGGTACCTTCCACCGAAGGCGGTGACCCACTTGCCCGGGGAATGGTACCTTCCATTGAAGGCGGTGACCCACTTGCCCGGAAATGGTACCTTCCACCAAAGGCGGTGACCCACTTGCCCGGGAATGGTACCTTCCACCGAAGGCGGTGACCCACTTGCCCGGAAATGGTACCTTCCACCGAAGGCGGTGACCCACTTGCCCGGGGAATGGTACCTTCCATTGAAGGCGGTGACCCACTTGCCCGGAAATGGTACCTTCCACCAAAGGTGGTGACCCACTTGCCCGGGAATGGTACCTTCCACTGAAGGCGGTGACCCACTTGCCCGGGAATG
Source organism: Homo sapiens (assembly GCF_000001405.40). Taxonomy (NCBI): domain Eukaryota; kingdom Metazoa; phylum Chordata; class Mammalia; order Primates; family Hominidae; genus Homo; species Homo sapiens. Next base: position 2,186,590 of record NC_000023.11, on the reverse strand, counting down.
GTATCTTCCATTGAAGGCGGTGACCCACTTGCCCGGAAATGGTACCTTCCACCGAAGGCAGTGACCCATTTGCCCGGGAATGGTACTTTCCACCAAAGGCGGTGACCCACTTGCCTGGTAATGGTACCTTCCATTGAAGGTGGTGACCCACTTGCCTGGGAATGGTACCTTCCACCGAAGGTGGTGACCCACGTGCCTGGGAATGGTACCTTCCATTGAAAGCGGTGACCCACTTGCCCGGAAATGGAACCTTCCATTTGAAGGCGGTGAGCCACTTGCCCAGGAATGGTACCTTCCACCGAAGGCGGTGACCCACTTGCCCGGGGAATGGTACCTTCCATTGAAGGCGGTGACCCACTTGCCCGGAAATGGTACCTTCCACCAAAGGCCGTGACCCACTTGCCCGGAAATGGTACCTTCCATTGAAGGCGGTGACCCACTTGCCGGAAATGGTACCTTCCATTGAAGGCGGTGACCTACTTGCCCGGAAATGGTACCTTCCACCTAAGGCAGTGACCCATTTGCCCAGCAATGGTACCTTCCACTGAAGGCGGTGACCCACTTGCCGGAAATGGTACCTTCCATTGAAGGCGGTGACCCACTTGCCCGGAAATGGTACCTTCCACCAAAGGCGGTGACCCATTTGCCCGGAAATGGTACCTTCCATTGAAGGCGGTGAGCCACTTGCCGGGAATGGTACCTTCCACCGAAGGCGGTGACCCACGTGCCTGGGAATGGTACCTTCCACCGAAGGCGGTGACCCACTTGCCCGGAAATGGTACCTTCCACCGAAGGCGGTGACTCCAAGGTCATGGGGATTGTAAGTTGAGCCTTTGAGACACAGAGGCTGATTCGATAACAGTTTTGTGCTGAAACTTCCACTTTCAGGAGGGGTATCACCAAGTTTGCTGTTTTTGCATCAAACACTGAGTCTCTTAAGATGCTTTCATTTTCTGAAACGTTTCTCAGCCTCAGCACTGCTGGCATGTGTGAGCTGGAGGATTCTCCTGGGGCGGGGCGGGGCTGTCCTGTTCACCGTAGCGTGTTGAGCAGCGCCCCTGGGCTCCACCCACCAGATACCAGGAGCACCCCCACAGTTGTGATAACCAAAGCTGTCCTCAGATATAACACAGTGACCCCAGGGGAGAAAAATCACCCCGAATTGAAAACCACTGTCATCGACAGATAAATGATAGTGATAGCTGGATAGATATAGATAGATGATACACAGATAGATAAAGATTATTGATAAAGAGATACAGAGATGCTAAATGATAGATAAATAGATGCTGGATAGATGATAGAGACACAGATAGATAATAAACAGGATAGATAGCTACATAGGATATGATAGATTGAAAGAAGGACAGATGATTGATAGATTGATAGATGATTGATAGTTAAATAGACAGAATCTCTTATGCCCAGCCATTACCTTGATGTCAGGGTTTCTCAACTTCAGCACCGCTGACATTTCAGACTGGAGGACTGTCTGTGGTGGGGCCATCCTGGGCACTGTAAGGTGTTGAGCAGCGTACCTGGGATCTACACACCAGAGGCCAGGATCTCCTCCATCAGGTGGTGACAACCAAAGATGCCCTCAGATGTTAGGCAGTATGTCCTCAAGGGCAGAATTTTCCTTGGTTGCAAACAACTGCCACAGATAGATAGATGAGCAGATGGATGGATGGATGGATGGATAGATAGATAGATAGATAGATAGATAGATAGATAGATAGATAGAAAGATGGGTAGATGGATGGATAGATGGATAGATAGATAGATAGATAGATAGATGGGTAGATGGATGGATGGATAGATAGATGGCTGGATAGATAGAAACAGGTGGGTGGATGGATGATAGGTGGACGGGTAGATGGATGGATAGATAATAGGTGGATGGATGGATAGATACATGATAGGTGGGTGGATGGATGATAGGTGGACGGGTAGATGGATTAGATAGATAATGGGTGGATGGATGGATAGATACATGATAGGTGGGTGGATTGATAGATAGGTGGATGGGTGGATGGATGGATGGATGGATAGATGAATGGATAGACATATGACAGGTGGGTGGATGGATAGATAGGTGGATGGGTAGATGGATGGATGGATGGATAGGTGGATAGATAGATACATGGTGGGTGGATGGATAGATAGGTGGATGGGTAGATGGATGGATAGATTAGATGGATAGGTGGATGGATAGATACATGATAGGTGGATGGATAGATACATGGTGGGTGGATGGATAGGTGGATGGGTAGATGGATGGATAGATTAGATGGATAGGTGGATGGATAGATACATGATAGGTGGATGGATGGATAGATACATGATAGGTGGATGGGTAGATGGATGGATGGATGGATAGATGATAGGTGGGTGGATGGATGCATAGGTAGGTGATAGATGGATAGATAGATGATGGTGATGATATAGTTAGACACGTGATGGTGATAACAGATGATGATGGTTAGATAGATGATAGTGATAGATCGATAGATAGATAATAGATAGACAAAGAAAATTGATAGGTAGATACAGATGGATGCTAGGTGATGGCCAGATGAGACATAAACAGACAGAGCCTCTCATGCTAAACCAGAGTTTCTTGACCTCAACACCATTGCCATGTGGGATGGATAATTAAGAGGCTGTGCTGTACAGCATCCCTGGTCTCCACCCACTAGATGCCCATAGCATCCCTAGCTTGTTATGACCACCAAAAATGTCCCTAGATATTGCCAAATGTCGCGGCGTTGGGGGAGGGGGGGTGGCGGTTAGGGAACAGAACCACTCCCAGATGAGAATCACTGCTATAGAACGAGGTATTCTTTGCATGTAAAAAATATCAGAACGACTCCCCTGACCATAACATACCAGACACACACACACACCTGTCTACACCATGGTGCTGACCCCTAGCTCTGCATCAGGTGCAAAGCAGAGATCTGCATGCATTCTGGTCACGTTCCAGCAGGCACTGAGTCTGTCCTTCCCACCTCCAGGACGGGAGGTACCGCTCCTAGGGATTTAAATCTGTCAGTGTGAATCATCGCAGAGACAGCAAAGCCGCAGCATCGGGCAGCATTCAGGGATGAGGCACGGTCATGCACATAGATACAGGAAATGATCCCAGAGGATCTGGGGACGTCCAGCACCCCAGTATTGAGAAGGAGGCTGCCACCGTGATGCCTTCCGTGAAGCATAGAGCTGCAGGTCCATGCTACGTCTATGCAATAGATACATAATACATAATGCAAGTCCATGCTACGTCTATGCAATAGGTACATAATATGTAATATGTAATACATAATGCAGGTCCATGCTACATCTGTGCAATAGACACAGAATACATAATGGAATACATAATGGAAGTGCATGCTACGTCTATGCAAGAGACACATAATACGTAAAGCAGGTCCATGCTACGTCTATGCAAGAGACACATAATACGTAAAGCAGGTCTATGCTACGTCTATGCAAGAGACACATAATACATAAAGCAGGTCCATGCTACGTCTATGCAATAGGTACATAATACATAATGCAAGCCCATGCTACCTCTGTGAAAGAGCTTCACTTGGCTGTGTTAATCCCACACGTCTTCATTTTTTAGGCAACGTGAGCTTAAAGGAGGGCATTTTGGGAATGGAGGCTTGCATGTAGAGAATGTTCAGTTTCTTTTACTCCTGGGTGTGACTTGGGCTGACCCCTGAATTCCAGACGTTCCTCAGTTTAAGAGCAGAGCACAACTTGGTCGTCCTAGAGAGGGAAGAATTTGGCATTTGCCTAACAGATAAGGCAGATAATACAGAGACTGTTTCACCAAGACGTCCTGTGGTGAACAGCGGGTTCTGAGAAGCTTCAGGACAAAACACTGTGAGGGAATCATGCAGAGACACCACTAAGCTCTTATTTTTTTATTTTCCAACTTCCTCCTCTTCTTTGCTGGAGGCGATCTGGAGACAATCTGCTACATAAAGACAGTAAGAACTCAAAGAAAAGAAAAAGGCAGGATCTCGGCTCCTTATTCAGACAGAGGAATGCAGTTGGATAAAAATTACTGTACTTGGCCGGGCACGGGCACAGTGACTCACGCCTGTAATCCCAGCACTTTGGGAGGCTGAGGCAGCCAGATCACGAGGTCGGAAGTTCAAGACCAGCCTGGCCAACATGGCGAAACCCCATCGCTACTAAAAATACAAAAATTAGCCAGGCGTGGTGGCACACTCCTGTAATCCCAGTTACTTGGGAGGCTGAGGCAGGAGAATTGCTTGAACCCAGGAGGCAGAGGTTGCAGTGAGCTGAGATTGCACCGCTGCATTCTAGCCTGGGCAACAGAATAAGACTCCGTCTCAAAAAACAAACACAAAAAAACTGTAATTCATGGTGCTTACAGTGTTGGCTCAGGGCTGATGCGTTAAACCCTAAAGTCACCCCTAGGACAACAAATCACCCTACTTACAGCCTCTGCTTCCCATTAAATTCTCCTTCTCCAAACCTCATGTCTCCTGTTTTCTCATGAGAAATACTAAGAATTAATTGAGAAGATCAATGAATGTACTTAATGATGAATTTATTCTTCCCACAAATATTGTCAACTATGAGCCAGATACTGGTTTTTCACCTGAAATGGAGCCAGGATTAAAAGGGAGGGAGGCAATGGGAAAGGAAATCTAGATACAGATATGAAACAGGAATGGAAATGGACCTAGGTACAGACACAGATATGGGCATAGATACATAGATATAGAGAGACAGAGGCATAGAGATGAATACGGAAACAGGTGTAAAATAGATACGGTCATAGATTCAGATATAGAAAGAGACACAGACATGGATACAGATACAGAATTGGGTCTGGATACAGATGTACATAGATACATAGGTACATAAGATTTATAGATTTGATGATTGATGATAGATAGATGATATAGTTACATAATAGCTAAACTAGATAACCGATGCACAACAGAGAAATAACAGATGATATACATAGATAATAAATGATTGGTATTCATAGATAAGAGATAGATTAGCTGGGTGCAGTGGCTCACGCCTGTCATCCCAGCATTTTGGGAGGCCAAGGCAGGCGGATCATGAGTTCAGGAGTTCAAGACCAGCCTGGCCAACATGGTGCAATCTTGTCTCTACTAAAGATACAAAAAATTAGCTGGACATGGTAGTGTGCACCTGTAATCCCAGCTACTCGGGAAGCTGAGGCAGGAGAAGCGCTTCAACCAGGGAGGTGGAGGTTGCAGTGAGCCAAGATCACAGCATTGTACTCCAGCCTGGGTGACAGAGCAAGACTCCATCTCAAAAAAAAAAAATAGATTAGATGATTGACAGATAATAGATAACAGATAGGTAGTTAGATGTGCATAGATTAGATAGATAGGCAATAGATGACGGATATAAATAATAGATAAATAGATTTGATGACATAATAAGCATATTAGATGATTAATAACTAGACAATAGATACAGATCCATTGACTGACATTAGATAGATTAGATAGATAATTTAGAGATACAGAGAGACAGATAATAGATGAGATACATAGATGATAAATAGATGATGGATAGATATATAGATAGATGATAGACGGATAGATATACATAGACAGATGATAGATATAGATAGGCAGACATGATAGATAGGCAGATGATAGATAGATAAGTAGATTTAGATAGACAGACCGATGATAGATAGATAGATAGATACATAGAGATAGGCAGACAGATAAAAGATAGATAGATAGATGATAGATAGATATAGATAGGCAGACAGATGATAGATAAGTAGATTTAGATAGGCAAACAGACCGATCGATAGATAGATAGATAGATAGATAGATAGATAGAGGCAGACAGACAGATAAAAGATAGATGATAGATATAGATAGGCAGACAGATGATAGATAGCTAGATAGAGATAGATTAGATAGATATAGATAGGCAGACAGATGATAGATGGATAGATATAGATAGGCAGACATGATAGATATAGATAGACAGATGATAGATATAGGTAGATGGGCAGACAGATATAGGTAGATAGGCAGGCAGACAGATGATAGATGAGCTACATAGATGATAAGATGGATAGACAGATAATGGAGAGATGATGCATAGATAGATAGATACGTAGATGACGATAGGCAGATAGATATAGATAGGCAGACAGATAAAGGATAGATGGGCTACATAGATGATAGGTGATAGATAATAGATGATGCATAGATAGATGATGGAGAGATATATAGATGATAATAGGCAGATAGACGATAGATCGATAGATACATAGATGATGCATAGAGAGATCATGGATAGATAGCTATGTAGATAGATGATAGAGAAATAGATGGATAGATAGATAATGCATAGCTAGATAGGCAGATACGTAGGTAAATAGATAAATGGATAGACAGGTAGATGATAGATACAGGTGTAAATGCAGGTAGATGTGAGTGTGGATGTGGAATTAGACGTAGGCATACTCGCAGACATGAATATAGCCAGAGAATGTTGAGAGCCAAGAAGAAAGCTGAAGGAAGGTACCGGAGAGAAGCTTCTAGAGAGTGGTGAGAGAAGGTGAGGGAAGGGTTGACCCTGAAGCCAAAGACCCTCTTGATGAGAAGGTGAGGGCCACACGGATATGGGGGTAGTGAGAGGAGAGTATTCCAATCAGAGGGAACAGCACACACAAAGACCCCGAGGCAAGAACTGACGTAGCGATTCCAGGAGCGAGGGAGGGCACTGTGGCCGAATCCAAGAGTCACCCCTGCATGTCAGGGCCTTGGGCTGAATTTCATTCCAGGAGCCGGAGGAGGCGGAGGTGCTGGAGCAGCGGACTGACATTGCCCAGTTTGGACAGGGCATCTAAGCATCTGGGAATTGAGGGTAACACGAGGCATGAACAGTGAGGAAGGAAAGGCAAACTGTTGGGGTGCGGCTGAGAGTAGAGAGACCAGATAAAAAGGAGGGAAGGGCCGGGCGCGGTGGCTTACGCCTGTAATCCCAGCACTTTGGGAGGCCGAGGCGAGTGGATCACAAGGTCAGGATGTAGCAGGACGAGCTGCAGACAAAACCTCTCAGACACCGAGTTGCAGAAGGAAGGGCTTTATTCAGCTGGGAGCATTGGCAAGCTACTGCCTTAAAATCTGAGCTCTCCGAATGCACAATTTCTGTCCCTTTTAAGGGCTCACAACACTAAAGATTTTACATGAAAGGGTCATGATTGATTTGAGCAGGCAAGGGGTACGTGACAGGGGCTGCATGCACCTGTGGTCAGAGAGAAACAGAACGGGCAGGGAGTTTCACAGTGTTCTTCTATACGATGTCTGGAATCTATGAATAACATCGGTTTCTAAGTTATGAGTTGATTTTTAACTACTGGGTTTAGGGCCGGCAGCCCCAGGCCTGGTTTCAGGCCTGGCGCCGGGCTGCCTGTCTTTGGTTTTACTTCCTTGTTGTTTCTTCTTAAAACAGGTGCTGAGTATATAAAACAATATGAGAGGGTCTCTCTCTTCCTTCAAGGAGATCGAGACCATCCTGGCCAACATGGTGAAACCCTGTTTCTACTAAAAATACAAAAATTAGCCAGGCGGGGTGGCAGGTGCCTGTAGTCCTAGCTACTCAGGAGGCTGAGGCAGGAGAATCGCTTGAACCCAGAAGACGAAGGTTGCAGTGAGCTGAGATCGTGCCGCTGCACTCCAGCCTGGTGACAGAGAGAGACTCCATCTCAAAAAAAAAAAAAAGGGAAGTTGGTTGCTTAGGGGAGGGAACAGAAATTGGAGCCCCGTGGCTGAGTCTTTCGACCACCCTGGGGGCATCACGCATTTCTGGAGCCTCCAGGCATTTGATGATGGAGCTATACAGGATGTGTGTGTGTGTGTGTGTGTGTGTGTGTGTGTGTGTGTGTGTGTGTAGCTTCTGACCTCCCTGAAGCTGCAGGGAGTGTCTTACACACAGAGGGGCTTGTAGCCAGCTTGGCATGAGTTCAGATCCCAGTGAGATACATGATAAAATGACCAGCGCAACCTGATACCGTATCAGGTTGGGATGATTTTCTTTTCTTGTTTTCTTTTTTTTTTCTTTTAATTCTACTTTAAGTTCTGGGGTACGTGTGCAGAACGTGCAGGTTTGTTACGTAGGTATGCACGTGCCATGGTGGTTTGCTGCACCCATCAACCCATCATCTACATTAGGTATTTGTCCTAATGCTCTCCCTCCCCTAGCCTCCCACCTCCCCGGCAGGCCCTAGTGTGTGATGTTCCCCTCCCTGTGTCCATGTGTTCTCATTGTTCAACTCCCACTTATAAGTGAGAACATGCAGTGTTTGGTTTTCTCTTCCTGTGTTGGTTTCTGGAGAAGGATGGTTTCCACCTTCATCCATGTCCCTGCAAAGGACATGAACTCATCCTTTTTTATGGCTGCATAGAATTCCATGCTGTGTATGTGCCACATTTTCTTTATCCAGTCTACCATTGATGGGCATTTGGGTTGGTTCCAAAGTCTTTGCTATTGTGAACAGTGCCACAATAAACATACGTGTGCATGTGTCTTTATAGCAGCATGATTTATAATCCTTTGGGTATATACCCAGTAATGGGATGGCTGGGTCAAATGGTCTTTCTGGTTCAACGTCCTTGAGGAATCGCCACACTGTCTTCCACAATGGTTGAACTAGTTAACACTCCCACCAACAGTGTAAAAGCGTTCCTGTTTCTCCACATCCAGGCTGGGAGGATGTTCATTCACAGCTTCCACCTGAAGGACCACGTGGCCTCTCATCAACGATGTGACATCACTAGCCAGAGTTCTCGAAACGGCAACGTGCTTGTGGAGGCGTGCAACGCTGCATGAAGGAACCCACAGATGAGGACCAGTGACCTCATTTGGTAACGTGGACAGAAGGTGGCAATGACTTGAGAGGGAGGGATTCCCTCCACATCGGATAACTGAGGAGCAAAAGATGGAGGAGGAATCCAGCAGTGTAGGATGTCTGCGCCAGAAGGCAGCTTCGGAATCAGCCAGGTCAAGCGACGGTCGACAGGACCACCTAGAGAGAGAAACAAGGTTGAATCATACCTGCTATTTTCCACCTGCCTGACCCTGCACAGGTTATTAAACCACCCCATGCACCAGTTTTCCATTCTGTGCTGGGGTAACAACAAATACCCCTAAGTTATGAGAATAAAATCAGAGCAACTGCTCAAGATTGTGGTTGCCAGCCAGGCGCGGTGGCTCACGCCTGTCATCCCAGCACTTTGGGAGGCAGAGGCAGGTGGCTCACGTGAGGTCAGGAGTTCGAGACCAGCCTGACCAAGTTGGTGAAACCCTGTCTCTACTAAAAACACACAAATTAGTTGAGCGTGTTGGTGCGTGCCTGTAATCCCAGCTACTCCGGAGGCTGAGACAGGAGAATCGCTTGAACCCAGGAGGCGGAGGTTGCAGTGAGCCGAGATCTTGCCACTGCATTGCAGTCTGGGTGACAGAGCAAGACTCTGTCTCAAACACAAACAAACAAAAAAGACTGTGGTTGCCATGGTCAAATTCTAGTGGAACCTATTCTCTTTAGTGAGACAGAAGCAACAAAAGAGACTGGCTAAGTTATTTGAGATCACAGAGCTGGACTTGGGTCAACACATCCCAAGCCTTTTTGCAAAGTTCAAAGAAGCGTTGTTGCCCCAGACGACACTCTAGGAAAACAGACGCACCACTGGAGCAGAAGTCAGGAGGCAGGAGCTGCTTTGGACCAAAGATGCTGGATTGTATTGTGGTTTTGTTGAATTTCAAGAGGCCAAATGTAACCACCCAATTTGTATTATGTTACAGACATCTCACTGTGCCTCAGGGTGTCTCAGTATGCATGCATGTGTGTGTATGCATCCATATGTGTGCGTGTTGTTTGTGTGTGTTTGCATGAATTCACGCATCTGAATGCACGTGTGCACACATCACTGCATGCCTGCAAATGCATATGTGAATTTGTGTGCATGAAGGTGTGAATGTGTATGCACGATTGTGTGAATGCCTTGTGCATGCGCAAATGCGTGTTCAATGCACACATGCATGTGTGAATGTGTGCATGTGTGTGTGCACCGTGCATGCACTGTGAAAGGGTTGCATGTGTATCATGTATGTGTGTTTCTGTGCATGTGTGTACATGCATGTGTGAATATGTGTACTTGAGTGGATGCTTGTGTGTGCATGTATGAACGTGTATTCATGGGTATGAGAATGCTTCGTGCATGTGTAAATATGTGTGTGGGCTATGCATTTATTGATGTATGTGCATATGTGTGCATGCATGTGTGCCTGCGTGTGCATGAGTGTGAAAAACTGAGTGCACCTGTGCACGTGTGCAGATGCCTCATGTATGTGTGAAAATCTGCACATATATGCAGTGTGTATGTGCATGGGTGTACATACCTATGTGTGAATCGATGTGTGCAATGCATGTATACGCACGTGTGTACATGCAGGTGTGAGTGTATCTGTACATGCATGTGTATGCCTGGGTTTCAGTGGAAGCAGGGCTGCAAAGAGGAGAAACACTTAGACCCTGACACACAAGAGTTCTCATTTCGGTAGATGAGCTGGCTGTGTATGCAAAGAGGAGAATAGAGGACAAAGACAGGATCAGCATCGTAGCGCTGATGACGACAGCTCTGGACTCCTCTTGATGAGGGCTGTGGCACACATCGAGGGGAGCACTGCTGAAAACAACATAGAATGTGATTTGGACCCAGCATGCAATCTACAAAGGCCGTGCTGCCGACACGGGGCAGGATTTTGGTTGACAGGTTGGTGTTGGAGTGGAAGACCTTCTCCAAAGAGGCTTTCTTGAAATCACAAAAGGAAGGGATCCATGAAGGAGAAGCAGTGCCGAGAGGAAGGGCAGAGACCACAGAGTGCACCCGTGCACGTGTGCAAATGCCTCATGTGTGCGTGAATGCATGTGTGCGTGTGTAAAATGCACATATGCTTTTAGCTGCATGCGTGCGTGTGCAGATGCGTGTGAAAACCTGTGCACACCTGCAATGTATATGTATATGTGTATGCACGAGTGTGAATAGCCGTGTGCATGCGTGAGTGTATGTGTATGTGGATGAGCGTGGGAACCCTGAAGGGAGCCTCTCTGCAGTTTCTGGGACACAGGTTGTAGTTAACCTAGGACAAAAAGTCAGTAGAGTCCTTTATGGGCTGCTGATGAATGAGGCCTGCTACCAGGAAGGAATGGTTTTTTTGTTTTTGTTTTTGTTTTTTTTTTCCGACAGAGTCTTGCTCTGTCTCCCAGGCTGGAGTGCAGTGGGCCGATCTCAGCTCACTACAACCTCCGCTTCCCGGGTTCAAGCGATTCTCCTGCCTCAGCCTCCCGAGTAGCTGGGACGACAGGCATCCGCCACCACGCCTGGCGATTTTTTTTTTTTTTTTTTTTTTTTAGTAGAGACGGGGTTTTACCATATTGGGCAGGCTGGTCTTGAACTCCTGACCTTGTGATCCGCCCGCCTCGGCCTCCCAAAGTGCTGGGATTACAGGCGTGAGCCACCGCACCCGGCCAGGAAGGATTGTTTTGCACGCCAGGGTTTCTCTTTAGCTTATGATTTCTTCCACCAAATCTGTCCCAACCCTGCTGTGTCTGTCCCTACCAGCGGCTGCAGTGTGAGTGAATCCAGGCATGACTGCATGAACACCCAGCTTCCTGTTTGGTCACTTAGTAACCACTAGATGACGTTTACTGAGCTCTTAGCAGGCACATTCTAATCCCCGTAATTTTGTTTACTCGGTTGGAGGAGAAACATTGTCTCTTCTCCACTTTCCCAGCTGTAATGCAAACCTTAGCATACAAGAAACAGGCCGGGCGCGGTGGCTCACGCTTGTAATCCCAGCACTTTGGGAGGCCGAGGCGGGCGGATCACGAGGTCAGGAGATCGAGACCACGGTGAAACCCCGTCTCTACTAAAAATACAAAAAAAAAAAAAACAAAAAAAAAAAACCCGGCGCGGTTGGGGGCACCTGTGGTCCCAGCTACTCGGAGAGGCTGAGGCAGGAGAATGGTGTGAACCCGGGAGGCGGAGCTTGCAGTGAGCCGAGATTGCACCACTGCACTGCAGCCTGGGCGACAGAGCAAGACTCTGTCTCAATAAAAAAAAAATAAAAAAGAAACAGAAGGAGGCACGCTAAAAACTAAAAGTAGGAGGTTAAGGGAAGGGAGGAAAGAGAAAAACCAAAGGATGGGGGTGGGTTCAAACCACATTTTATGCCGCTGGATCGTGTTGTAATATTTCTACATGCTTGGGAATTACAGGCATGCATGGAATAGTATGCAACTGTGAAAAAGGAATGAGATCATGTCTTTTACAGGAATATGGATGGAGCTCGAGGCCATCACCCTTAGCAAACTAATGCAGTAACAGAAAATCAAATACTGCACTTTGTCACTTATAAGTGGGAGCTAGGCCGGGCGCGGTCACTCAGGCCTGTAATCCCAGCATTTTGGGAGGCCGAGGCAGGTGGATCACGAGGTCAGGAGTTTGAGAGCAGCTTGGCCAACATGGTGAAACCCTATCTCTACTAAAAATACAAAAATTAGCCGGGCGTGGTGGCAGGCACCTGTAATCCCAGCTACTGGGGAGGCTGAGGCAGAAGAATCATTTGAACCCGGGAGGCGGACGTTGCAGTGAGCCAAGATCACGCCATTGCACTCCAGCCTGGGCGACAGGGTGACACTCCGTCTCAAAAAAATAAAAAAATAAATAAGTGGGAGCTAAATGAGGAGAACTCATGAACACAAAGAAGGGAGCAAGAGACACCTCTACTTGAGGGTGGAGGGTGGGAGGAGGGAGAGGGGCAGAAAAGATAACTATTGGTACTGGGCTTAATACCTGGGTGATGGAATCATCTGTACAACAAACTGCGGTGACACAAATTGACCTACAACAAACCTGCACGTGTACCCCCAAACCTAAGATAAAAGTTTAAGGGAAAGAATGAAGCAAGCTAAACTTTAGACAACAATAACAGCAACAAGAAAAAGAAGTGACAGGTGTAATTACTTTCATTACTGCCTCAGCCACTTGTGGAAGCATTTTTCCGGTGTTGTGGTATTGTTACATTTTATGGACAACGTTTTTGTGACGATGGACAAACCTGAGCCCCAACACTTGAAAACAAAATTATGTTTTCAGGGCTGGGCGCGGTGGCTCACGCCTGTAATCCCAGCACTTTGGGAGGCCCACGTGGGTGAATGACAAGGTCAGGAGATTGAGACCATCCTGCCTAACGTGGTGAAACCCAGTCTCTACCAAAAATACAAAAGATTAGCCGGGCGTAATGGCTCACACCTGTAATCCCAGCACTTTGGGAGGCTGAGGTGGGCGGATCACGAGGTCAGGAGATCGAGACCATCCTGGCTAACACCGTGAAACCCAGTCTCTACTAAAAATACAAAAGATTAGTTGGGCATGGTGGCGGGTGCCTGCAGTCCCAGCTACTTGGGAGGCTGAGGCAGGAGAATGGCGTGAACCCAGGAGGCAGAGCTTGCAGTGAGCTGAGATCGCGCCACTGCCCTCCAGCCTGGGCGATAGAGTGAGACTCCATCTCAAAAAAAAAAGAAAAATTTGTTTTCAGATCAATTTTTTAAAAAAGAGCTGCCATTTATCAATGGCTTGTTATTGGCCTTAAATTTTGCTAGATACTTACACATATGATTTTACTTGATACCCGTGAACATTTTATGAGGAAAGTTTAATTTTACCCATTTTACAGATGAGAAAATGGGAATAACTGAGTTATTGGCACACGGTCACACACAACCACGGTTGACAGACCTCACGTATCACCTGTTTTTTTTTTTTTGTAAACAGTAATCCTGGTGCCATTTCTGTAATTATAAACATTAAATCAGTGCTTAGCATATTAATCTCGGCTCCCTCGGCTTCTCAAATTGCTGGAATTACAGGCATGAGCCACTGTGCCTGGCCGGTGTTTTCTTGTTAGTCTTTAAACATTCAACAGAGTACAGAGGGTATAATATGAAACTTTTGGTTTTATGTTTAACTTAAAAGGTAACTTTTGGACCATTTTAGATGCTGGAGGTCATGAACTCACAAAATATTTGTATAAAGAACAAGATAGAAAATATTTCAGGCTTTACAGAGCCCACCTAATTGGACGGTTATATACATCACCTGATTTTGTTTTTGTAAACAGTAATCATTTCTGATGCCATTTCCATAATTAACATTAAATCAGTGCTTAGTATATTAACAAAGTTGAACTTCTCAGCATTTTCTTTTTCCAATACAATCACCAAAATGCTTAACTTTTTGGAGGCAAAGATTTAACTATTGATAAAAACATTATTTTCTTTCTTTATTGAGGGATGGGATCACACTCTGTTGCCCAGGCTGGAGTGCAGTCGCACCATCATAGCCCACTGCAACCTCCATCTCCTGGGCTCAAGCCATCCTCCAGCCCCCGTAGCTAAAATTACAGGTGTGGGCCAGTATGCCCAGCTAATTTTTTACTTTTCTTAGAGGCAGAGTCTCACTATGTCGCCCAGGCTGGTCTCAAACTGCTGAACGCAAGCAATTCTCCCACCTCTGCTTCCCAAATTGCTGGAATTACAGGCATGAGCCACTGCGCCTGGCCAGTTTTTTCTTGTTAGTGTTTAAAAATTCAACACAGTACACAGGGTATAATATGAACCTTTTGGTGTTATGTTTAACTGAAAAGGTAACTTTGGGAACGTTTTAGATACTGGAGGTCGGGAACTCGCAAAATATTTGTGTAAAGGACCAGAGAAAAAATTTTTCAGGCTTGACAGAGCCCACCTCATTGGATGGAGCATGGATGGAAAGTAAACTTTCATCTTGACTGGGCCACTCACTGTATTTCTGGATCTCCTGGGTATCGCTGTGAGCTTTAACCCTGACTCATTCAGCCAGCTAGTGAGTGAAGACCGGTGTTTGATGGGAGGTCTCTGGATTCTTCCTATAGCAGGACTGCTTCTCATCGTGCAATGAGCTGGCAAGAGAGCATCATAGACCAGTGGGTCTTGATGCAAGATTGCCTTTGACTGTGTCTCTAAGGACAGGCGGAATGCAAGAAGGTGGACAGGTGGAGGAAGAATATTTCAAGCTTCTGGACGTGAAGTCACAATGAGGCACACAGTGATCACAAGATCCATTTGGCTGATCACAGGAAGATATATTTGAAATAGAAGTTGAAGCATATCAGATTGGACCCTGAACCAGGAAACTGAATTTATCCTGCAGATAATGGGGAAGTGTATTGGTCCATTCTTGCACTGCTGTAAAGAACTACCTGAGACTCGGAATTTACAAAGAAAAGAGGTTTGGGCCAGGTGCAGTGGCTCACGCCTATAATCTCAACACTTTGGGAGACTGAGGCAGGCACATCATCAGGTCAGGAGTTCAAGACCAGCCTGATCAACATGGTGAAACCTCATCTCTACTAAAAATACAAAATTAGCCAGGTGTGGTGATACATGCTGGTAACCTCAGCTACTCGGGAGGCTGAGGCTGGAGAATCACTTGAACCTGGGAAGCAGAGGTTACAGTGAGCGAGATCATGCCATTTCACTCCAGCCTGGGCAACAAGAGCGAAACTCTGTCTCAAAAAAAAAAAAAAAGGAAAAAGGAAAAGAAAAGAGGTTTTGGCCAGATTCAGTGGCTCACACCTGTAATCCCTGCACTTTGGGAGGTTAAGATGGGCGGATCATGAGGTCAGGAGTTCGAGACTAGCCTGGCCAACATGGTAAAACCTCATCTCTACTAAAAATACAAAAATT
The DNA here is from genome assembly GCF_000001405.40 of Homo sapiens. Lineage (NCBI taxonomy): Eukaryota > Metazoa > Chordata > Mammalia > Primates > Hominidae > Homo > Homo sapiens. The sequence goes on along the minus strand of NC_000023.11, from coordinate 2,170,755 downwards.
AGCTGGCTGTCAGGGTGCATGCCTGTAATCCCAGCTACTCGAGAGGCTGAGGCAGGAGAATCGCTTGAACCCAGACACAGAGGTTGCAGTGAGCTGAGATTGCACCACTGCAATCTCAGTCTGGGTGACAGAGCCAGACTCTGGACCGCCCCTGGCCACATTAAGCTAATTATTAATGACTAAAACTACTACATTCGGTAATATATCTGCAGTACATTTTCACTTCATTAATCTCAACAGAATTTTCACGTTTGGAAAATGTGTGCCACACACACACACACACACACACATCATGGCAGGTGCATTTGACAGTTTGCAGATTTCTCATAAAAGCTCTGTGCCCTACCACTGACATGGGTTGAGACCCAGCTTCCTCACTTGTTGTTGTTGAGACAGGTTCTCACTCTGTGGTCCAGGCTGGACTGCAATGGTGCGATCACAGCTCACTGCCGTCTCAGCCTCCCAGAGTCCAGGTGATCCTCCAGCCTCAGCCTCCCAAAGTGCTGGGATTACAGGTGTAAACCACCGTGCCCAGCCTTAATCTAGGTTTTGAGGCCATGTCTTTTTCTTTCTATTTCTCTTCTTTCCTTGTAATCCGTAGTCAGTTTTACTTAGGAAAGGTGGGAGGGTGGAAAAGGAAGAAGAGAAATTTGAAACCGTGTGTTCAATGGGTAAACTTTGTAAGAGTCCTTTTCAGGAAGATCGGGAGCATGTAATTTAAACATGAAATGAAAGCAGAAAACATGCACCTGACATTGTTACATTAGTGTTGCAACATTCTCGTCATCTTGCACTGAAAAATGGAAGGAAAAATGCACCAAGCAAAGTGTATTCAGTCCCCTGATGTGAAGCAAATTATCAACTCCACTGCACTTCAGCCTGGGCGACAGTGAGACTCCATGTCAAAAAAAAAAAAAAAAAAAAGGAAGAAAATGTGGTACATATATACTATGGAATACTATGCAGCCATAAAAAAGAATAAAATCATGTGCTTTGACCGGGCACGGTGGCTCACACCTGTAATCCCAGCACTTTGGGAGGCCGAGGCAGGCAGATCATGAGATCAAGAGATCAAGACCAGCCTGGCCAACATGGTAAAAACCCCATCTCTACTAAAAATACAAAAATTAGCCGGGCGTGGTGGTGGCAGGCGCCTGTAGTCCCAGCTACTTGAAAGGCTGAGGCAGGAGAATCACTTGAACCTAGGAGGTGGAGGCTGCAGTGAGCCAAGACTGCACCACTGCACTCCAGCCTGGGCGACAGTGAGACTCCATCTTAAAAAAAAAAAAAAAAAGAAAAAGACAGTGGCTCACGCCTGTAATTCCAGCACTTTGGGAGGCCAAGGCAGGTGGATCACGAGGTCAGGAGATCAAGACCACGGTGAAACCCCGTCTCTACTAAAAATACAAAAAAAAAAAAAAAAAAATTAGCCAGGTGCAGTGGCAGGCGCCTGTAGTCCCAGCTACTCAGGAGGCTGAAGCAGGAGAATGGCATGAACCCGGGAGGCGGAGCTTGCAGTGAGCCGAGGTCGTGCCACTGCACTCCAGCCTGGGCGACAGAGCAAGACTCCGTCTCAAAAAGAAAAGAAAAGAAAATGTGGTACATATGTACCACGGAATACTATGCAGACATAAAAAAGAACAAAATCAGTGGTCATTAGAGAAATGCAAATGAAAACCACAATGAGATACGGTCTCACGCGAATTAGAATACAATCATTAAAAAGTCAGGAAACAACAGATGCTGGAGAGGATGTGGAGAAATAAGAATGCTTTTACACTGTTGGTGGGAGTGTAAATTCATTGAACCGGCCGGGCGCGGTGGCTCACGCCTGTAATCCCAGCACTTTGGGAGGCTGAGGCGGGTGGATCATGAGGTCAAGAGATCGAGATCAGCCTGGCCAACATGGTGAAACCCTGTCTCTACTTAAAATACAAAATTTAGCTGGGTGTGGTGGTGCACACCTGTAATCCCAGCTACTCGGGAGGCCAAGGCAGGAGAGTTGCTTAAGCCTGGGAGGCGGAGGTTGCAGTGAGCCGAGATCGTGCCATTGCACTGCAACCTGGGCGACAGAGTAAGACTCCGTCTCAAAACAACAACAGCAACAACACAACAACAAAAACCTCTCTTCCTCCCCAGTTCCTCTGCATCTCATTATTGGGCCATGAGAAATAGCAGCCCCCACCTCAGTTGGGTACAGGAACACAGTCATAACGTATGTCTACGGTTTCCATTTCTCGTATGCACATTTACCAGGAAAAGGAAAAATAAAAAGCAAGACAGCTCGTGAGAACCTGGAGGAACATATTACCATTCCTCCAGCTCTTATCTTCCAAGATGCCATTAGACCCAGCCCAGCAAGCCTCCAACCGCCGTGTGACCAACAGTCTGTTGGATTTTAACCTCATGAAGAAAATGGACCTGACTGTGAATAGCTGGGCTACCGTCTTGGGGAGTCAGAGACAGGATGCAGAAATAGCTGGAACGTTTTACTGGGATTCTGCTAGGCTAAATGCTGGAGCAATCCATTACGATGGAAAGGTTCCAATTTAGGTGATTATTTAAGTAAGTAATGAGTATCCCGTTCAGCACGTTAAACTAGATATCTTTTTTTTTTTTTTTTTTTTTTCTGAGGCAGAGTCTTGCTCTGTCACCAAAGTTGGAGTGCGGTGGTGCGATCTCGGCTCACTGCAACCTCTGACTGTCTGGCTCAAGTGATTCTCCTGCCTCAGCCTTCTGAGTAGCTGGGATTACAGGCGCCCGCCACCACGCCTGGCTAATTTTGCATTTTTAGTAGAGATGGGGTTTCACCATGTTGGCCAGGCTGGTCTCGAACTCCTGACCTCATGGCCCGGCCTAGATATCCTTTTGTATTTGTTCTCCATGCTCAACTCTTCTGAAAAGCTGCCCTTCCGGGCTTTGACTCAATTCATGGGAAACAGGAAAAGCAAAACTAGTTGATCTTGCTACTAAGGCGGACTGAAGTTTCTTGTCTTCATTGCTAAACAACTTCCAAATCACTTTGACTCTTTGACCATATTCATGTCTATTTCCCATTAAAGCATCACAAAATAATGAAGGAATTCTTAGGAAGAGCCTCAAGATGCCCATGTGGCGTCTGTGTGGGCTGCCTCATCTGGTAGTTCAGGGACCCACTGGGCCATTTGAAGGGCAAAGAGAAAGCCCCAGGTCTCATGGCAGGAGACAAGACTTCCACAGTGGTGAGCCAGTAAGGAACAGGGCACACAGGCTGGGCGTGGTGGCTCACGCCTGCAATCCCAGCACTTTGGAAGGCTGAGACGGGCAGATCACGAGGTCAAGAGATCAAGACCATCCTGGCCACTGTGGTGTAACCCTGTCTCTACTAAAAATACAAAAATTAACCCGGCGTGATGGTGCCCAGCTACTCGGGAGGCTGAGGCAGGAGAATCACTGGAACCCAGGAGGCGGAGGATGCAGTCAGCCGAGATTGTGCCACTGCACTCCAGCCTGGGCAACAGAGTGAGACCCTGTCTTTCAAAAAAAGAAAAAAACAAAAAAAGAAACAGGGCACACAGCCCATCTGAATGCAAATCACATCCTAGTTCAAAATGCAACCAGACCTCATTATCTGTGTATTTTCTTTATTTTATTTTATCTTATATATATATATATTTTATTTCCATGTGTTATTGGGGAACAGGTGGTGTTTGCTTACATGAGTCAGTTCTTTAGTGGTGATTTGTGACATTTGGATGCACCCATCACCTGAGCAGTATACAGTGAACCCAATTAGTAGTCTTTTATCTCTAGTCTCCTTCCTACCCTTTCCTGCTGAGTCCCCAAAGTCCATCATATCATTCTTAGGGCTTTGCATCCTCCTAACTTGGCTCCCACTTATGAGGGAGAACAAAGGATGTTTGGTTTTCCATTCCTGAGTTACTTCACTTAGAATGATGGTCTCCAATTCCATCCAGGTTGCTGTGAATGCCATTCATTCATTCCTTTTCCTGGCTGAGTAGTATTCCACTTTATATATATATAGCGTGTGTGTGTGTGTGTGTATATATATATATATATATATATACACATACACAGCACTATATACATAGACATATATATATATTGTGTGTATATATATTCAGCACTATATATAGACATATAGTGTATATATACACACACAGTGTGTAAATATATATACACACACACTGTGTGAATATATATACACACACACTGTGAATATATATACACACACACTGTGTAAATATATTTACACACACTGTGTAAATATATATACACACACATTGTGTGTAAATATACACACAGTGTGTGTAAATATATATACTCACACACATTGTGTGTAAATATATATACTCACACACATTGTGTGTAAATATATATACTCACACACATTGTGTGTAAATATATATACACACACATTGTGTGTAAATATATATACACACACTATATACACACACACACACCCCCCCCACAGTTTCTTAAGCTCCCATTTATGAGGGAGAACATAGGATGATAGGATGTTTGGTTTTCCATTCCTGAGTTACTTCACTTAGAATGATGGTCTCCAATTCCATCCCGGTTGCTGTGAATGCCATTCATTCATTCCTTTTCATGGCTGAGTAGTATTCCATTATATACACACACACGAGATATATATATATATATATCTCGTGTGTGTGTATATATATACAGCACTATAGACATATGTATATATAGTGCTGTATATATAGACACATGTATATATTGTGTGTATATATATACTGTGTACATGTATATATGATATATAGTGTGTATATGTGTATAGTGTATATATATAGTGTGTATATATATAGTATGTGTGTGTATATGTGTGTGTGTGTGTATATATATATACATATATATATATACGTATATATATATATACACATATATATATATATATATATATATATATATATATATATATATACCAGAGTTTATCCACTCATTGATGGGCATTTGGGTTGGTTCCACGATTTTGCAATTATGAATTGTGCTGCTATAAACATGCGTGTGTGGCTGGGTGCGGGGGCTCACGCCTGTCATCCCAGCACTTTGGGAGGCTGAGGCGGGCGGATCACGAGGTCAGGAGATGGAGACCATCCCGGCCAACATGGTGAAACCGCGTCTCTACTAAAAATACAAAAACTAGCCGGGCGTGGTGGCGGGCGCCTGTAGTCCCAGCTACCCGGGAGGCTGAGGCAGGAGAATCGCTTGAACCCAGGAGGTGGAGGTTGCAGTGAGCTGAGATCGCGCCACTGCACTCCAGCCTGGCAATAGAGCAAGGCCGTGTCTACAAAAAAAAATGCGTGCATATCTTTTTCGTATAACGACTTCTTTTCCTCTGGGTGGATACCCGGTAGTGGCACTGTTGGATCACATGGTAGTTCTTTCAGTTCTTTAAAAAACTCCCCACACCGTTTCTCTAGTGGCTGTGTGAGTTTGCATTCCCACCGGCAGTGTAGAAGTGTTCCTGTTCCCTGTATCCACACCAACATCTGTTATTTTTTGATGTTTTGATTATGGCCATTCTTCGGGAGAAAGATGGTATCACATTGTGGTTTTGACTTGCGTTTCCCTGATCATTTGTGACGCTAAGCATTTTTTCATACGTTTCTTGGCCACTTGTCTTGAATAGACAGTTCTCAAAAGAAGATGTACAAATGGCCATTATCTGCACATTGTGAATTCATGAATTCCCCTGCTCACTAAAATTGATTTGTCACCCCAAATCAATAGTGAGGGTGCTTCCTGGGTCACTCACAGACACATACTGAATATGAAAAGATTTGAATCACCCAACACACACACACACACACACACACACACACACACACACACACTCCCAGCTGACATCTAACAAAGAAAGGCTGTGTCTTGTGACTTCAGCTCTCCCACTCTAAAAGACAAACAAATAAATAAAAGTGTTCTTTTTGCTTTCTCTTCACTGCCACACTTCTTGCCTTCTTACGCTTTTTCTTGGTGACTTTGCTGTTTAAAATGACCCCCAAGCAGGCCGGGCACGGTGGCTCACGCCTGTCATCCCAGCACTTTGGGAGGCCGAGGCGGGCGGATCATCTGAGATCCGGAGGTCCAGACCAGCCTGGCCAACGTGGTGAAACCCCGCCTCTACTAAAAATACAAAAATTAGCTGGAGGTGGTGGCAGGCACCTGTAATCCCAGCTACTCGGGAGGCTGAGGCAGGAGAATCACTTGAACCCGGGAGGCGGAGGTTGCAGTGAGCCGAGATCGCGCCATTGCACTCCAGCCTGGGTGACAAGAGCAAAACTCCATCTCAAAAGAAAAAAAAATCCATGCATAGTGTTGAAATACTATTTAGTGTTCTGAAGTGCAAAAAACTGATGTGTGTCTTGCAGACAAAATCCGTGTGTTAGAGAAGCTTTTCCCAGACATGAGCTATAGTGCTGTTGACTGTGACGTCAGTGGGAATGCGTCTACAATATCGATTCAGTAAGGTGTCTGGGAACAGAAACACACATACAACAAGCTCATCTATGGACTGGCGGCCAACAGTTTTATGAACAGTTGCTCACGGGAACCTAAGTCTATATTTCCCCTGGAATCCCTGGTGTCATATTTGCTAATTTAGTATTTGCTATGACTTTATAGACTCTCTCTACCCTAAATAATGAGAAAGTACTGCAATTGTAAAGAATTTTTTTTTTTTTTTTTGAGGCAGTGTCCTGCTCTGTCACCCAGGCTGGAGTGCAGTGGCATAATTTTGGCTCACTACAGCCTCAACCTCTCGGGCTCAAGGAATTCTCCCACCTTAGCCTCCCATGTAGCTGGGACTACAGGTGCGTGCTACCATGCCCAGATAATTTTGTTGTATTTGTACAGATGGGGTTTTGTCACGTTGCCCAGGCTGGTTAAGAATGTAAATGTTGGTACATTCTCCTACCGCAACTTAAAAAGACAGGGAACCAGCCCAAATGTCCACCAATGATAGACTGGATAAAGAAAATGTGGCACATAGACACCATGGAATACTGTGCAGCCATAAAAAGGATGAGTTCATGTCCTTTGCAGGGACATGGATGAAGCTGGAAGCCATCATTCTCAGCAAACTCACACAAGAACAGAAAACCAAACACCGCATGTTCTCATTCATAAGTGGGAGTTGAACAATGAGAACACAGGGACACAGGGAGGTGAATGTCACACACCAGGGCCTGTCGGGGCTTGGGGGGCAAGGGGAGGGAGAGCATTAGGGCAAATACCTAATGCATGCAGGGCTTAAAACCTAGATGATGGGTTGATGGGTGCAGCAAACCACCACAGCACATGTATACCTATGTAACAAACCTGCACATTCTGCACATATATCCCAGAACTTAAAGTATAGTTAAAAAAAAAAAGAAAATGGAATTTTGTTGTTGTTGTTGTTGAGACAGAGTCTCACTCAGTCCCAGGCTGGAGTGTGCAGTGGTGTGATCTTGGCTCACTGCAACCTCCACCTCCCGGGTTCAAGTGATTCTTCTGCTTCAGCCTCCTGAGTAGCTGGGATTACATGTGCACACCACTAGGCCTGGCTAATTTCTGTATTTTTAGCAGAGACGGGGTTTCACCATGCTGGGCAGGCTGGTCTCGAACTCCTGACCTCAAGTGATCTGCCTCAGCCTCCCAAAGTGCTGGGATGACAGGCATGAGCCACCGCAAGTGGCCTAAAAATAATTTTTTTTACAGAGGAATTAAGAACAAAGTTATCAGCAGTTTCTAAGTCAAGTCAAGGGACTTTCTGGCATTCCTCATGTGATTGGAGATACAAAGTGAAATAAATAAAGGTTCCTCTTTTTCAGGAGTGACTACCTAGACCATAGGACAGGTACACCATAGCGAGAGTTGTCTCTGACTAATTTAAGCTCAACAGGTGCAGGAGGTGCAGGGAAGGTTATGCCTATGGGGGAAAGTGTAGGTTGGAGATGGTAGGGGCTGTGTTCATCAGGTGGACCAGCAGAACAGGCAACACAGATAGAAAAGCACATGCAAATCCCAAGAGATACCCGACAGCCAGTTGTGTGGAAGAAAACCACCAGCTAAGATGCAGACTCAAAGGGGAAGAGGATGTGAAGGAACATACCTGGGGGAAGACTGAGCCTCCCAGAGCTCCTTGGGATTCATTCCCTGGAGACATTTTTTTTTTTTTTTTGAGATAGAGTTTTGGTCTTGTTGCCCAAGCTGGAGTGCAGTAGTGTGATCTCAGCTCACTGCAACCTCCACCTCCCAGGTTCAAGCGATTCTCCTGCCTCAGCCTCCTGAGTTGCTGCGATTACAGGAATGCACCACCACACCTGGCTAATTTTTTGTATTTTTAGTAGAGATGGGGTTTCACCATTTTGGCCACGCTGGTCTCGAACTCCTGACCTCAGGTGATCCGCCCACCTCGGCCTCCCAAAGTGCTGGGATTACAGCGTGAGCCCCTGCACCCGGCCGTATTCCCTGGAGACTTTTAAGCTCTCAGTGACTGCCTCAAATGTTCAGTATAGAATTCTCACCTTCACCTGCCTCCTGGAAGACAAACTCGAGAAAGACTCCCAGTAGGAAGGAACAACATCATTCCCTGAGCCGGAAAGCATCGCTTAAAATCATTTTCCCTTGTTCTCTATTCAAAATGTATGCAGCTGCCAGCTTTTCATCTGAGGCAGTGGCTGAAAAGCAGGATGTATCTGGAAATCCTGTCTGTGCACAGCAGCACACATGAGGTTGGAGGCCGCTCACTCCGCTGCCTGGGGCTTGTGCCGTCTTGAGTTCTAATGCCCGTGCTCATTAGGATGGACCAGCACAGCGTGGGCAGACACCGTGGAATGACAGGCATCCCTCCTGCAGCGTTCTGCCTGTCTTTAACAGGTGCTTCCAAAGCTCGTTCCCTAAGGCCATTAAGCAGCCCTCAGGTAACAGAGACACTTTGACTAAATTGGCCCAAGAAACGTACCCTTCATTCATTGTTGGAGCTCGATGCCAACTTAATTTTGCTTGTAGACCAGCACACAGCTCTGCAGAGCTGTCAAACACAGACACAGTAGAATGACATGTTCTCAAGCGTGCGTCTAAACTCATCTGTATGGAAAATGGAAGTCATAAGACCTCCTTTGCTGTGTTGTTTGAAAGATCAAATGCAAAATATGTGTGATTCCTTATACAACACTCTTGCACAGTGATGCATTTGTAAAGCCTATTTATTTTTGATGAACTCTTAAGAAAGCCTTGAAGACATTCTGTGTGCATGGTGTCTGCCCTTCTGCCCAGAAAATACACATCTGACATTTTATTTTCTCCATCTTCCAGCAATCTCATGGTAAAAAGTCATTGGAAGATCATACACCAATATGGCGCCCACTGGAAACCAGTCATGTGAACGTATATAATAAGCTTTGTCTCTTCTCTCCGTTCTGCACGTAGTAAAGCTCTGTCTTAACGTTGCAAAATCTGGGCAAATCTCCTGTAGATTCCAGAAGAAATACCAAGTCTGAGATGAAAGCTGTTGCTCCCTGGTGCCACCCTCAATGCCTTCTTTATGTCATTCTGACTTAGAACTTGCTAATGAGTTTTCCTCTTAATTTGTCTTTGAAAAATTACTTTTCATGGTGGTAAAATAGCATACCATAAAATGTACCATCTTGACCATTTTTTAAAGTGTACAGTGGCATTGAATACATTTATAGAGTTGTGGAACCATCAACACCATCCATCTGCAGAACTCTCTTCAGTTTGCAAAATGGAAACTTTGGACTCATTAACAAGCAACCCCCGGTTCGCTCTAGTCCCTAACCTACTGGTAAGTTTTGTCCTTGACACTATGATGGTGTGTTTTTTTTTTTTTTTTTGAGACAGAGTCTCGCTGGGTCGTCCAGGCTGGAATGCAGTGGTGCGATCTCAGCTCACTGTAACCTCTGCCTCCCAGGTTCAAGCGATTCTTCTGCCTCAGCCTCCTGAGTGTCTGAGACTACAGGTGCACACCACCACGCCTGGCTAATTTTTGTATTTTTAGTAGAGACAGGGTTTCACCATATTGGCCAGACTGGTCTCGAACTCCTGGCCTCGTGATCCTCCCGCCTTGGCCTCCCAAAGTGCTGGGATTACAGGTGTGAGCCACCGTGCCCAGCCTTTTGATGGTTTTATAAATAGCAACTGTGATGGCCTCTTACGGGAGGCTGCCCTGGCCGGAACCAAAACATTTTGTAATTCAAAGGTGCGTGGAGCCATTGAACAAAATTGTAGTGTGTACCAGGATCCCCTCGACTTACTGGAAGTTCTTCCTAGGGAGTATAGCTCCCCAAGAAAGATGAAGTTTCTCCAAACAGCCATACACTCCACCTCCTTGGCTTCCTGCCATGATCTCACTCCACCTTGAACTCTGATGTTCCTCTGAACTTCTCAGAAGACAGAAGGGAGTCTCCGGCCAGGTCAGGCTCCCGAAATAGGTCATCACAGTTGCTATGTATAAGACCATCAGAATTCCCACATGTTGTGGGAGGTACCTGGTGGGAGGTAATTGAATCATGGGAGCATCTATTCAAAAAGAAAATGAGCAAATGAGAACCTGCTTATGTCTGACAGTTACTGCCGAGCAAGTTCTCCCCTTCTGGGCCTCTTTCAATAATGCCAGGCAGGGTTTCCACACCACTGTTGCATGCATTGATTTCCTGAGTGCTCCAGTTGTAACACTCCGAGCTGAGCACACTGGATTTTAAACCTTGTCCCTGGTGGGGCAAATAGCATCTCCACTGCTGTGTGTAGACTGGGCGGTGAGTGTAGATGATAATATACCAAGGAAAGGTCTTCAGTCAGAAGGCTGTGGACCCATAATGTGAGAAATGAACAAGGAAAAGTGTGAAAAATGGCCACAAGGGACTGTGGATTTTTATCTACCCCAAGAGTAGTCCATAGAATTGATAATATGAATGTAGAATACATGTCTCATCTGAATGCATCGTCATTCATTTTTGCAAATAAAACACAAATATGTCATAAATTATGAGTAAAGGAATAGTAGCTTTTGGAGGCACTGTGCATGTTCTCATTCTAAGAATAGCATGATATCCTTCAATCATGTGGGGTTGCATAACTTTTTTTGCTATCCAAAAGGAGCCATGTTACCCAATATGGTTCAGAGTGATTGATGTGTGTGGAGCTGCTGGCAGCAGATGGTTCCTGAGATAAATTCTGATGTCGAGTGACGTGAGTTGTCATGGGCAGAATAACATCTGCTACAGGCAGAACTTCTTGATGCTGCAACCAGAAAATCCAGGGCAGGGAATGGTTTTAAAATATAGGCTTTATCATGATTTAGGTAGAGTAAGGTCAACAGACCAGGAGACGACTGCTCTTGAGAAGAAAGTTTTGTTACTTTCCCAAGAAGGTCCCAAGAAGATGGGGGTGTCATATCACGCAGGGCCCCATGGAGGAGCTCAGGAGACGGAAGGAGTAGGAAGAAAAAAATGGGTGAGAGGCTTTATTGCGGTTTCTGTAGGAAGGAACAGGTGAGGTAGGATGAGCAGGTTTAGGATTGCCTAGTTTGAATGATTTCAGCAAGCTCTGGGGGTACAGGAGCTGAAATGGTTTGGCTGTGTCCCCACCCAAATCTCATCTTGAATTCCTACTCATTGTGGGAGGTTCCTAGTGGGAGGTAATTGAATCATGGGGGCAGGTCTTTCCCGTGTCGTTCTTGTGATAGTGAATAAGTTTCATAAAATCTGATGGTTTTATAAGCGGGCATTTCCCTGCACAAGCTCTCTCTCTGCCTGCTGCCATCCATGAAAGACATGACTTGTTCCTCCTTGCCTTCCACCATGATTGTGTGGCTTGGAACTGTAAGTCCATTAAGTCTGTCTTTCTTTTGTAAACTGCCCAGCCTGTGGTATGTCTTTATAAGTTGCATGAAAACAGACTAATACCGGGGCTCTCCGTATTCGCCTGGTACCTGGCACTGGGGACCTTAGGGCAAGTGGAGAGTGGCCATGGGATGGGAGACTCCCACACAGAATGTTGTTGGGGTGTGGAATCTAGATTGATTGTTTTGCATATGAAAGACATGCTCATAGAGGAGTTGTTCATGTTCTCCAGAAATTGCCTAACCCTGAGATGGTCAGTTTCTCTAGAGGCAGCAAGACCCCCTAGTGTCAAAGCATCACATACAGAAATCAGGAAATGCAATAATGATAGGAACATTCCCCTGCCAAAGGACCCTTACACAGTCTTTAGCTGCTTTCAAGAGATGCTTGGTGGAGGGGGAGGGGGTCCTCAGCCCTACCAAATTGTGGAAGAATGCAGTCTTCTCAAAATACATGGACTTGTGCTTCTAAAGCGTAGCTCTAATGCATAGTGAGTCTTGCTGTATTAGTCCGTTTGGATGCTGCTGATAATGACATACCTGGGTATGTCTTCCAATTCTGTAAATCTGCCATGACTACAAATCCCCATGTCTCGTTTCCTAGCTGTTTTTAAAGAAAACCAGAGCCACAAAACACACAAAGCAATGGAAGCTATGCTGTTCTCCTTTACTTTCATAAATGCCTATTTCCACTCAGGAGAAGACGTACCTGATACAGACATACTTGGGAGACTGGGTAATTCATACAGAAATAGAGGTTTAATGGACACACATGCCATGTGGCTGGGGAGGCCTCACAATTGTGGCAGAAGGCAAGGAGGAGCAAGTCACATCTTACATGGATGACGGCAGGCAAAGAGAGAGCTTGTGCAGGGAAATGCCCTCTTATAAAACCATCAGATCTCGTGAGACTTATTCACTGTCATGAGAACAGCATTGAAAAGACCTGCCTCCATGATTCAGTTACCTCCTCCCACAGGGTCCCTCCCACAACACGTCGGAATTCAAGATGAGATTTGGGTGGGGACACAGCCAAACCATATCACTTGCTTTATCCCTCATTTTTGGAAACAGCTCATCATACACATATGGCTTTCCTCATGCAGCAGAAATGCCTGGCTTTTAATGACTGGATAGTAGGAGAATGACCTACCTTGACTATTGACTGGATTCCTTCCTAGTTGTGTCTGGGGAGATTTTCGTCATTCTTGTATCTTTTTACAACACCCTCAAAATCTGGAATTACTTTGGATGTCTCCAGATTTCTTTTCTTTTTTTATTTTCCCCAGAGTTTCGCTCTTCTCTCCCAGGCTACAGTGCAGTGGCATGATCTTGGCTCACTGCAGCCTCTGCCTCCCAGGTTCAAGCAATTCTCCTGCCTCAGCCTCCCAAGTAGCTGGGATTACAGGCACTCACCATTACGCCTGGCTAATTTTTGTATTTTTAGTAGAGACAGGGTTTCGCCATGTTGGCCAGGCTGGTCTCAAACTCCTGACCACAGGTGATCCAGCCACCTTGGTCTCCCAAAGTGCTGAGATTACAGGCATGAGCCACCGTGCCCATCCAGAAGGCTCCAAATTTCTTAGTGCTTCCTGAGCGAGAGGGTGTCTTCCCTAATGTGCTTCTCTCTTTTAAAGTAGTTTCTTGGAAACGTTACACTTCTGTAAATCTGCCATGACTACCACTCCCCGTGTCTTGTTTCCTAGCTGTTTTTAAAGAAAAGTAGAGCCACAAAACACACAAAGAAATGTAAGCCGTGCTGCTCTTTTTTTTTTTTTTTTTGAGATGGAGTCTCACTCTGTCGCCCAGGCTGGAGTGCACTGGCTCCATCTCGGCTCACTGCAAGCTCCGCCTCCCGGGTTCACGCCATTCTCTTGCCTCAGCCTCCCGAGCAGCTGGGACTACAGGTGCCCGCCACCAAGCCCAGCTAATTTTTTGTATTTTTGGTAGAGATGGGGTTTCACCGTGTTAGCCAGGATGGTCTCGATCTCCTGACCTTGTGATCTGCCCGCCTCGGCCTCCCAAAGTGCTGGGATTACAGGCGTGAGCCACCGCACCCGGCCTTGTGCTGCTCTTTTTGGCACTCATAAATGCCTCAGGCAGAACACTCAGAGATACCAAATCCCAGTTCAGTGAATGTTTCTGGTTGTTAAAGACAATGTCTCTGATCTAGTATAGCAACTTTGTTCCATGGAGAAGAAAACAGAGTTCACATTTCTGAGCTTCCTGCCTAGGCTGCCTGGCAGGAATGAGTTGGTCAGCTCTGAGGGTAATTTCCTGTGCTAAGTAGAGTGGGCTGAATAATGAGCCCTAAAGATATCAAAGTCTTAATCCTTAGAGCCTACTAATCTCTGACCTCACAGGAAAACATGCACTTTGCAGGTGTGGTTAAATTAAGAATCCTGACATGGAGGGATTATACTGGATTATCCAGGGGGACTCCATAGAATCAAAATTGTCCCCTTTTTTTTTTTTTTATTGAGACAGAGTCTTGCTCTGTCTCCCAGGCTGGAGTGCGATGGCACGATCTCGGCTCACTGCAACCTCCACGTCCCGGATTAAAGCAATTCTCCTGCCTCAGCCTCCCTAGTAGCTGGGATTACAGGCACCTGCCATCATGCCTGGGTGATTTTTGTGTTTTTGTAGAGATGAGGTTTTACCATGTTGGCCAGGCTGGTCTCAAACTCCTGACCTCAGGGGATCTGCCCACCTCAGCCTCCCAAAGTGCTGGGACTACAGGCATGAGCCACCATGCCTGGCCTCAAGGGGTCTTCATAAGAGGAAAGGAGAAGGAGATTTCACACAGAAGAGGAAAAGATCAATGTGAAGATGGAGACAGAGACGGGAGTGATGTGGCCACAAGCCCAGGGATGCCTGGAGCCCCCGGGAGCTGGGAGAGGCAGAGAGGATCCTCCCGTAGAGCGTCCAGAAGCAACTGGATATAATAGTAATGCATTGAGCAGTGGCCCCCAAAATATATGTCCATGTCCTGACTCCCAGGACCTGTGAATGCAACCTAATGTGGAAATACAGTCTTTGCAGATGTAATTAAGTAAAGGATTTTGAGATGAGATCATCCCAGATTAAGGTGGGTCCTATATCTCATGACAGGTGTCTTTCTAAAAGACAGAAGAGGAGACATAGACACAAAGTAGAAGGCCATGTACTGAGGCAGAGACTGGAGTGATGTAGCCACAAGCCAAGGGATGCCTGGAGCCCCCAGGAGCAGTGAGAGGCAGGAAGAATCCTCCCCTAGAGCCCCCAGAAGGAACCAAACACAACTGCAATGGATTGAATGGTGATCCCCAAAAGATCTGTCCATGTCCTAACCCCTAGAACCTGTGAATAGGACCTCGTTTGGAAATAGCGTCTTTGCAGATGTGATCAAATTGAGGATGTTGAGATGAGATCATCCTGGATTGGGTGAGCTCTAAATGCAATGCAGGTGTCCTCCTAAGAGACAGAAGAGGAGAGACAGACACACAGGAGAAGGCCACGTGGAGACGGAGGCAGAGACTGGAGTGATGTGGCCACAAGCCCAGGGATGCCTGGAGCCTCCAGGAGCTGGGAGAGGCAGGAAGGACCCTCCCCTAGAGCCTCCGGAGGGAGCACACAGCCCTGCCCATGCCTTGATCTCACGCTTCTGGTTGCCAAGACTTGGAGAGAGTACATTGCTGCTGTTTAAAGCCACAGAACTTGTAATCATTTGTTAAAGTGGACTCAAGAAACAACTACAATGGCTTCCCACTGGGGTTGATGTCACCAACAGGCACAGAAGTTGAGCAGCATGAGAGACTGGTCAAGACAAACCAGAGCCTTGGGGAAGGGAGTGTAGGTGGTGAGTCAGCGTAGGGAGGACAGGCTGTGAATGTTCCAGCACAGACATTGCCTCTGCCCAACGTGCCGAGGTGGCCTCCTTACATCCTCCCTCTCTGAGGTTTAGGGTTCTTACCAACTCTAGCCCACTAATAACTCCCATCACTTGAGTGAATTGTTCGGGGGAATAATCTGCTTTTGCTTTTCTTTTCTTTTTTCTTTTGAGTTTTGAGACGGAGTTTCACTCTTGTCGCCCAGGCTGGAGTGCAATGGCACGATCTCGGCTCACCGCAACCTCCGCCTCCTGGGTTGAAGCGATTCTCCTGCCTCAGCCTCCCGAGTAGCTGGGATTACAGGCACATACCACCACACCCAGCTAATTTTGTATTTTTAGTGGATACTGGCTTTCTCCATCTTGGTCAGGCTGGTGAACTCCCGACCTCAGGTGATCCGCCTGTCTTGGCTTCCCAAAGTGCTGGGATTATAGGCGTGAGTCACTGCGCCCAGCCTCTAATCTGCTTTTTCTAAGCTGAATAGGTAGAACAATAATTTATAAGATGTTACAATAATTTATAAGAAATATTTTCCTTTCAGGCCGGGTGTGGTGGCTCACACCTGTAATCCCAGCACTTTGGGAGGCCGAGGCAAGCGGATCACCTGAGGTCAGGAGTTCAAAACCAGCCTGACCAATATGGTGAAACCTTGTCTCTACTAAAAATACAAAAATTAGCCAAGCGTGGTGGTGCGTGCCTGTAATTCCAGCTACTTGGGAAGTTGAGGCAGGAGAATCACTTGAACCCAGGAGACGGAGGTTGCAGTGAGCCGAGATTACACCATTGCACTCTGGCCTGGGTGACAGAGCAAGACTTAGGAAAAAAAAAGAGAGAGAGAGAGACAGAAAGAGAGAGAAGAGAGAGAAGGAAGGAAGGAAGGGTGTGAGGGAGGGATGGAGGAAGGAAGGAAGGGAGGGAGGAAGGGAGAGAGGGAAATATTTTCCTTTCAAGGTGATGACCTGAATCAGTAAAATAGAGAAAGTATTGGAGAGAAAAGACCATCATCTGATAGATGAGTTTTCTATGCTGCCAAAGCAAACTGCCACAAACTGGGGTGCTTAAAACAACAGAGATTTGTCCTTTCCAGTTCTGGAGACCCAGAGTCTGAGATCAAGTTATCTCACAGCTGTGCTTCCTCAGGAGGCTCTCGGGGAGGATCTTTCTTGCCTCTCTCCGTTTCCAGGGGCTCCAGGCATCCCTGGGCTTGTGGCTGCATCACTCCAGTCTCTGCCTCCATCTCCACATATCTTTCTCCTCTGTGTCTGTGTCTCCTCTTCTGCCTCTTAGAAGGACACCTGTCGTTGCATTTAGGGCTCACCCTAATCCAGGATGACCTCATGTTAACAGGATGACCTGCAAAAGCTCTATTTCCAAATAAGGTTACATTCTGAGGTTCCAGGTGGATGTGGATTTATTTTTTCTTTTTCTTTTTTTTTTTTTTTTTTTGAGACAGTTTCGCTCTTGCCCAGGCTGGAGTGCAGTGGCGCGATCTCAGTTCACCGCAACCTCCGCCTCCTGGGTTCAAGTGATTCTCCTGCCTCTGCCTCCCAAGTAGCTGGGATTACAGGCGCCCGCCAGCACGCCTGGCTAATTTTTTGTATTTTTAGTAGAGACGGGGGTTTCATCATGTTGGTCAGGCTGGTCTTGAACTCCTGACCTTGTGATCCACCTACCTCGGCCTCCCAAAGTGCTGAGATTACAGGTGTGAGCCACCATGCCCAGACTCTCCTCTGTTTCTGTATCTCCTCTTCTGCCTCTTAGAAGGACACCTGTCATTGCATTTAGGGCCCACCCTAATCCAGGATGACCTGCAAAAGCTCTATTTCCAAATAAGGTTACATTCTGAGCTTCCAGGTGAACATGCGTTATTTTTTTCTTAGGAGGAGCACTATTCAGTACAGTAAACTCTCCATGAGGGTGGCTTTTGGGGGCTCACGGCCTCAAACCTATCTTACGCTCATCAATAAAAACAAAAACATATATGACTGGGCGTGGTAGCGCATGCCTGAAATCTCAGCACTTTGGGAGGCCGAGGCGGGCAGATCACGAGGTCAGGAGTTCGAGACCAACCTGACCAACATGGTGAAACCCTGTCTCTACTAAAAATACAAAAATGAGCCTGGCTTGGTGGCACGTGCCTGTAGTCTCAGCTACTCATGAGGCTGAGGCAGGAAAATCGCTTGAACCTGGAAGGTGGAGGTTGCAGTAAGCCAAGATTGTGCCACTGCACTCCAGCCTGAGCGACAGAGTGAGATTCCGTCTCAAAAAAACAAAAACAAAAAAACCATATATATATAAGCTGACTTTGCTATAACTGTCATCCCCCCAGTGCAGGGAGTCAAGACCACAGTTGCAAGATGGCGGCATGCAGACACAGACATCTGCACATGTGATACCGCCACCTCTGGTCGTTCCTAGCATAAGAAGTTGTATCCGGTTGGCTTCATCTGCCCTGAATGCCTAACTATGATCTCCAATGCATGTGTCCATCCAAGAAAGAAGTCCCCATCTACCTAGAATGGGTCGATATTGAGAATCTTCAAGCCACAAAGATGCGTCTCATCTCTGAACATTTGGAAACACATTTGAGGCCCAGAATACTTCTTAACAAACATTCAAAGCAGTGTATGGAAATTGTACCCAAACTAGAATTGTGTAAATTGAAGAGTTTGTTTTTTTTTAATCATCTCTAGCCAGCTAGCTGGAGACATGTCAATGCTTTGTGAGGAACATCGTCTATGCACCTTTCTTTTATTCTTATTTTATTTTAGAGATGGAGTTTCACTCTTGTCACCCAGGCTGCAGTGCAGTGGCGTGATCTCAGCTCACCGCAACCTCCGCCTCCCAGGTTCGAGCAATTCTCCTGCCTCAGCCTCCCAAGTAGCTGGGATTACAGGCATGCGCCACCACACCCACTAATTTTTGTACTTTTAGTAGAGACGGGGTTTCGCCATGTTGGCCAAGCTGGTCTCGAACTCCTGACCTCAGGTGATCCACCCACCTCTGCCTCCCAAAGTGCTGGGGTTACAGGCGTGAGCCACCTTGCCCGGCCCAGAATACTTCTTAACAAACACTCAAAGCCTTGTATGGAAATTGTACCCAAACTGTAATTGTGTATATTGAAGGGTTTTTTTTTTTCATCATCTCTAGCCAGCTAACTGGAGACATGTCAACACTTTGTGAGGAACATGGTCTAGGCAGCTTTCTACTTGCAGCTTATGACTTGGAAGAGAGCCTCACTGTGCTCAAGAGAGCTCTTGCCTAATGATGCATTTGCTGCCTCAGGAGGCGAGGGTTTGTTGGCTTGCATAAGCACATCTTAGAGTCCAGGAATTTTGATGAGAGAGTCTTCATTATCCTTGGGAACAAGTCTCCTCCAAAAGTTCTGAACCAACAGTGCTAGGAATCATTTCAGCCTCTGTTTCATCGTTGACGTTGAGTTGTAGGACCATCCAACGAAACATCATTAAGCGGCTTTACTTTGCCAGGTGGATGACTGATAGGTGCAAATCCCAGGTACAGGATGATTCCCACACAGGTGGATCTTTTCTGGCTTAGACAAACAGGGAGAGGTGAGATGAAGGGACAATTTCAACAACACTCATCTCTTTGGGATGATATCACCCCCGTAGCTATCATGCCCAGTGGCTCCATGACCACCATGAGAATTACTTTTCACCAGCTCCTAAAGCTCTGAACCTGTGCTGTGGCAAACATCGGGGGCAAGCTTCATGTTCTGTGTGTTGGCTGATTGCACAAGAAGCTAATATCATCGGGAGTGTATTCTGAGGATCTGCCTTGTGTCTGCCATCGTCTCACAAAGCATTACATTGTAGAGGAATCAGAATAGCATGAAACCACCAGGCAAGTTGAAGCAGAGTCATACGCAAAACTCAAGACACCAGCACACATGGCATTGCTAACTTTTTCTCCACCCAGCAAAGCTCATTCTCTCAGGGACAAAGTCAGAGAGAAAAGGTGGGGACTTTCCACGGTTGGGTAATTGGATTTAGAAAGTCACAAATTTCTGCAGGGTAATAGAAGCAATTCATCACCTGTGAGGTTGGCATCTCTGAGTCTCCGCTTGTCAGCACCCGGACTTGCTGCCAACTCCTGCTCATTCACACCTCCTGCTTGACTCCCCCACCTCAACCTCCTCAACAGAACTTGCATTTTCAAGATCAAAAAAAATTTCTGCAGAACAGAACTAACTTCATGGCAGGCATTTCTCCATCTGTGCAGCAAAGGAAGGTTCCACTAGACAATGGTTAGCCTTTCCTTGCAGGCTTGGAATCCTTTCACTGTTACCTGTTTATTTAGAGCTGAGAAGCAGAATATAATCAAGGCTCAGACCATTTTTGGAGACAGTCAGAGGCTCAGGACTGCAGGAAAGAGTGAGTTGAGAATCTCTAAATAGGCAGTTGTTATGCCCCACATAGACAGAAATGAAAAGAAAGGGTTGGGCACAGTGGATCATGCCTGTAATCCCAGCACTTTGGGAGGCTGAGGTGGGTGAATCATGAGGTCAGGGGTTCAAGACCAGCCTCTGGCCAACATGGTGAAACCCCGTCTCTTCTAAAAATACAAAAAAATTAGCTGGGCATGATGGTGGGTGCCTGTAATCCCAGCTACTCAGGAGGCTGAGGCAGGATAATTGCTTGAACCTGGGAGATGGAGGTTGCAGTGAGCTGAGATCGCACCACTGCACTCCAGCCTTGGTGACAGTGTGAGACTCTGTCTCAATAAAAAATAAAAATATAAAATAAAAATAATATAATAAAAAATAAAAAATGTAGTAAAAAAAATTAAAAAATAAAATAATAATAAAAAAGAAAAGACCTGCAAGAACAGGAGAAGAACCCATAAAGTTAATTTCCCCAGTGAGTGAGGAGGAGAGAGTAGTAAACCAGGCAGAAGTCAAACCTGAAGGGAACATCAATAAGCATGCCAACGCTTCATTTGGTATCTTAATTTTATCATGTATTGATTTTTCCTGAGCATTTTCTAGGTAGCCTTTTCTTTCCATCTCTCCCTGCTAAACAGTGATATTCTTGGCCTTTCTAATGAATCATTTTGACATGGAGACGTTGTCAATACCAGTTGGTGCAGCTTTTAACATTTTGGTCATACGCCAATCATGAACACACTCAAAAGTCTTGGACATAATGAAAAGCATGAGAGTATTAAGAATTGTCGATAAAGTCTCTATGTAGCTTTTGGATGCTCAAAATGCCATACTTCTCTCAGAATCCAAGGAGAATTAAAAGGATTGATGGGTTTAAACATTTCTGTATTTATTTTTCTCTCCCCTTTCAACTGTACTCTGCCCAAGGTCTGCATTCGGGTGCAGACCTTTGGGACATACACATATCCCTAAAAATATGTCTATGTCCTAAACCCTCATAACCTGGGAAATGGGACCTCATGATGGAAAAGGGTCTTTGAAGATGCAGTTAAGGTAAAGATCGCAAGATGAGATCATATAGTGGGTGTGACCTCCAATGACAAGTGTCATTATAACTGATAGATGAAAAGACACAAAATGAAGGTCATGTTGGAGAGAAAAGCAGAAATCAGGGTGATACGTCTACAAGCCAAGTGTATTAGTCTGTTTTCACACTGCTGTTGAAGACATACCCGAGACTGGGCAATTTACAAAAGAAAGAGAGATTTAATGGACTTACAATTCTATGTGGCTGGGGAGGTCTCACAATCATGGCAGAAGACAAGGAGAAGCAAGTCACATCTTACATGGATGGCAACAGGCAAAGAGAGAGCTTGTGCAGGGAAACACCACCTTATAAAACTATCAGATCTCATGAGACTTATTCACTATCATGAGAACAGCATAGAAAAGACCTGCCCCCATGGTTCAGTTACCTCTCACCAAATCCCTCCCACAACACGTGGAAATTCAAGATGAGATTTGGATGGGGACACAGCCAAACCATATCACCAAGGAATACCTGGGGCCACTAGAAGCCAGGATATAGCCATGAGACAGATTCCTCTCTTGCAACCCTCATAACGAACCATGCTTCCCAACACCTTGATCTGAGACTTCTGCCTTCCAGAACTATGAGAGAACATATTTATATTGTTGTAAACCACCCAATTTGTATAAATTTGTTACAGCAAGTTCAGGAAAGGAACTCAAGTTCCAACCCAAATTTTTCTCTTTGAAGATCCTCTGAACCCCATATACATCATTCCCCCATCTGAAATACCGCCTTTATTGTACTTTTTTTTTCCAAACTTTTTTTGTGGGTTTATTTGGGTTTTTTTGTTTGTTTGGTTGGTTTTTTTGAGATGGAGTTTCACTCATGTTGCCCAAGCTGGAGTTCAATGGCACGATCTCGGCTCACTGCAACCTCTGCCTCCGAGTTCAAGAGATTCTCCTGCCTCAGCCTCCCAAGTAGCTGGGATTGCAGGAGCACGCCACCATGCCTGGCTAATTTTTTTGTATTTTTAGGAGAAACAGGGTTTCACCATGTTAGCCAGGCTGGTCTCGAACTCCTGACCTCAGGTCATCTGCCTGCCTTTGGCCTCCCAAAGTGCTGGGATTACAGGCGTGAGCCACCGCACCTGGCTGTCGTACTTCTATTCCAGACATGAGATGGGTCCCTTATACATAGGTGATTTAAGTATTGTTCATTCATGAATGTCAACCTCTTGAGGAGAATGCAGTTTTAGTTCTTCTCTCCTAACCATGCCTCACTCATGGGAAGGGATAAACAAATGTCCGTGCAGAAAATAAATTGGCAGATGCTCAGAGTGTGATGTGTCCTGTGTAATAATGAACCTTTGCCACTGACAGAAATCTAGCAGTCACAAGCAATTAATGTTTTCTGTGAGTCGTCCAAGGCTAATTTTAACCTCAGTAACAGTCTCCTGCCAGATCTGATAAGTTTTCTCCTCTGCTTCTGACTCTCTGGTTCCTGATGGCAGTTGGCTATGTGGAAGCTGGCATCTTGAGTACATTAACAATTTCCGGAAACTGAACTGCATAGCTGATGAATATGAATGACCTTCTCATGGGGTTATTGGATAATGCTAATACAATCTGACATTTTGTAGTTGTGATGGGTGGTCTCCATTTTACCCAGACGGAAAAGGCTCTGCTTTGCAACCTGGTGATAGACAAGAGAACAGACACCTAAACACACAGATGAAAATAATTGGAGAGATGCATCATGAAACATCCCCATTTATATTTACAGGAAGAGCTTACTGTGAAACTGTCTCAAATGGCTCCAGTTGGAATGTCCATTTTGAAGAACAAAGAGCACTCTAAATTCTCTTTCTTGAGAAAGATCTTGCATATTGGAGGCAAAAGCAGGCACCGTATCTCCATGGAAATATTCTGTATTTTGCCTGTTATCTGGATGCTGGACAATAGAACATAAAATTCACCAAAGCGACTTTTCCTCTTGGGATATTCATTCATTCATACTTAACTTGCCTTAGTGAATGTTGAGAAGGCCATTGAGATCCATCTGCCAGACTCAATGGAGAGTTAGGTCAGGCTGGCGTGGGGAGACTATCTGTTTATGTCGATTACACTCTCCCCAGGTGACCTCAGTAGATAGATCATCATCTGCTTCCTGCAATGATGGGGAAATATTGGTTACGATGGACTGTCTATGAGATTTACAGTTTATGAAAATTGGTAAGGTAAAGGTGACACATACTTGGGGACTCAAGATTTGAAAAGAGCAGTTACAAAGGGATTCAAAAAGAAATAAGAATGTTGGGCCTGGTGTGGCGGCTCACGCCTGTCATCCCAGCACTTTAGGAGGCCGAGGAGGGTGGGTCACTTGAGGTCAAGCATTCGAGACCAGCCTGGCCAATATGGTGAAACCCCATCTCTACTAAAAATACAAAAATTAGCCAGGCGTGGTGGTGGGTGCCTGTAATCCCAGCTACTCAGGAGGCTGAGGCAGGAAAATCGCTTGAACCAGGGAGTCAGAGGTTGCCGTGAGCCGAGATTGCACCACTGCACTCCAGCCTGGTGACAGAACAAGACTCTGTCCCCGCCCCCCCCCCCAAAAAAAGGAAAAAAAAATTAAATGATAGGGCACCCTGTCAAGGTAGACAAAATGTGATTCTGATCATAAAATGGGGAAGAAAAGTTGGCATATAGTTTGGTCTCTATGGGTCTCTTTGAATATTTTCCAGTTTGAGAATTAGACTGTGGCATCTTCAATACTTTTCCAAAATGATTTTAAACTGTATTGTTAGGGCCATGTCTGATGTCAGATATAAAATCACTAGCTGGGATGCCGTCTCATAAAATTTCAACATCTGAGGGTATCATTTGAGTGTCTGTCCCCTTGATGTTTTGTGTCATCTTCAACTAGGACAGAAATTTGAAATATTCACTGGTTTCAGACATTCACCTCATTGACTTCATTTTTTACTGGATGGATTCTACCTGATTTTTTTTTAAGTAAGCTAGAAAAGAAATAGGAATGGATATCTCATATACCTTTGCACTCAACTCTCTCTTGTTAAAATTAAACAAACCATGGGCACGTGGTACGATTCCTAAGACCCAGTGAGTTGTCTACAATCCTGACTGTGCCTTACACAATTTAGGGACCTAATCCTTTTTTCGCAGTTTCTAAGAGCAAGAGTTCATCGCCTGCGTTTTCTTCTTCATTGTGAAGTCTATGGTAGCTTAGTTTCCTTGGTACTCAAGCCCAGTCAGCTAAGCTCATACTCATGTCCTTTCTCCTTTGAACCACACGGCTCTATTTCCTTCCACAGCAACCCACTGTGACTAAGCTCATACTCATGCCCTTTCTCCTTCGAACCACACGGCTCTATTTCCCTCTACCGCAGCCCATTGCACCATTGCAGTCGTTTATTTTGGGATCCGCAGATTTTCCCGAAAGCTAAAATAAGCCTTCACGAAGCAACGAGAAACCCATGAGAAGTAATTGACAGTGGGCTGTTTGTCAGACTTCTGGCAGCTCAGAGCAACTTCAGTTTCTGCCACTCGTTTTTGGAAGAAGCTCACACATCATTCTTATGTGTGGGATTTCTTGTTGAAGTCTGTGGCTTTGTTTTAGGGATGCATTCACGACACAACTGGAAGAAATCTTCTAACTGTTTACAAGCAATGCAACACCCAGAGCATGAAACCTAACACCCCTCTTGGAAATTCATACTATGACCTCATAATGCTAATGAGCCAGAAGTTCTTGCTAAGCTCTAAACTAAAACCATGTCGATAGTTGCAGTTTAGTGTCCAGTGAAAACTGCATTTATTTTATTTCATTTTTGAGATGGAGTCTCGCTCTGTCACCCACGCTGGAGTGCAATGGCGTGATCTCAGCTCACTGCAACCTCTGCCTCCCGGGTTCAAGCAATTCTCCTGCCTCAGCCTCCCAAGTAGCTTGGATTGCATGCGCCCACCACCACGTCCAGCTAATTTTTGGGGTTTCACCGTGTTAGCCAGGATGGTCTCGATCTCCTGATCTGGTGATCCGCCCGCCTTGGCCTCCCAAAGTTCTCGGTTTACAGGCGTGAGCCACCGCGCCCAGCCCTGGACTGTCCTTAAGAGTACAGATCTTTTATTTTTTTCTTTCCTTTTATTTTTTTGAAACAAGGTCTTGCTCTGTCACCCAGGCTGGAGTGCAGTGGCGTGACCTTGGCTCTTTGCCATCTCCACCTCCCAGGCTTAAGCAATCCTCCTCCCTAAGCCTACCAAGTAGCTGGGACTACAGGTGCACACCACCATGCCCAGCTAATGTTTGTAATTTTTGTAGAGATGAGGTCTCGCTGTGTTGCCCAGGCTGGCCTCGAACTCCTGGGCTCAAGCGATCTGCCCTCCTCAGCCTTCCAAAGTGCTGGGATTACAAGCATGAACTATGGCACCCAGCCAGTCTTCTCTATAAATACCAATTTGGCTTGAAATTTTCACCACAAAGTCAATGTGTACCAGTTTTTCACTTATTTATCATCATCATTATAATTTTGCTTTGACCTCCAGTTTCCAGACCTGGTCAGGAATACCCCTGCTCTTTTTTTTATTTTTTATTTTTGATGGAGTCTCGCTCTCTCGACCAGGCTGGAGTGCAGTGGCGCAATCTCAGCTCGCTGCCACCTCTGCCTCCCGGGTTCAAGTGATTCTCCTGCCTCAGCCTCCCGAGTAGCTGGGACCACAGGCGCCCGCCACCACGCCAGGCTAATTTTTTGTATTTTTAGTAGAGACGGGGTTTCACTGTGTTAGCCAGGATAGTCTCCATCTCCTGACCTTGTGATCTGCCTGCCTTGGCCTCCCAAAGTGCTGGGATTACAGACATGAGCCACCACGCCCGGCCTCCTGTTCTTATTAGTAAGCCTGTTTGATTCAGTCCATCCTGAAATTAAATGTAGCATCAGTTAGCTCAATCAGAGCTCAGTCAGAAGGAACAATTCAATATCGTGAAATCTCCAGTGCTCCCGAGCCATGAAACCTGCACGAAATGGTATTTATCAGCATAAAGTCACCAGAAACCAGCATATGATCCTCAGTTTTGGAGGCTTACAAGCTAGGATTGATAAGAATAGTATAGCCATCAACTGTTGTATCAGCTTACAAGAGACCAACTTCTGACCCACGCATTACTCGTTAATTTGGTGCCATCCAGCCAGGGTGGTCATACACTCTCTTGGGAGACAGATTTGTCTGGGGCGCTACATATGACCAGAGAAGAAGTTAGTGTCAATAGAGGTTGAGGTGAAATAAATGGTATCAGGTTGGTACAAAAAGAATTGTGGTTTTTGCCATTGAAAGTAATGGCATATACATATGCCACATCAATATATGTATAAAAGATAAAACAATACAATATTCACTCAGCAGAATATCATTGAATTGTAAAAATAACTCAATATCCTCAAAGGGGCCGGGCGTGGTGGCTCACGCCTGTAATTCCAGCACTTTGGGAGGGTGAGGCGGGCAGATCACCTGAGGTCAGGGGTTCGAGACCAGCCTGGCCAACATGGCGAAACCCTTTGTCTACTAAAAATACAAAAATTAGCTGGGCATGGTGGCACACACCTGTAATCCTAGCTACTAGGGAGGCTGAGGCAGGAGAATCACTTGAACCCAGGAGGCGGAGGTTGCAGTGAGCCGAGATTGCACCACTGCACTCCAGCCTGGGCGACAGAGCAAGACTTCATATCAGAAAAAAACTCCTCAAAGGATCATGTGATTACATTTACATATACATATCTATATATATATACACACACACATATACACACACAAATATATATAAATGACACATGAACATATGTATATAAGATTTATATATTCTTGTAATATACTCTAATAAAATATGATATAGTTTGTGTATTATGTATATATTGATTGCATGCATATATATATGTATATAGATTGGTGATATATAGATAGATACATAGATACATAATCACATGAGCCTCTGAGGCTATTGAGTTAACATATGTAACTTATTAACATCCATCATATGAATCCTCTTCTAATTAGCACAGCCTCTCGACACACTCAGAAAGATGTAATTAACTGGATTCCCACTCGTGAAATAACAGTCATGTTCCCGCCTACCTCCGGGAGACTAGAGCCAGGTCCCTCGATGGGAGTTTTGGGTTTTCCTCAACTCTTTCATTAGATAGTTCTAGAAAGTCCTCAACTCTTCTGTTAGTTCTAGAAAGTCCTCAACTCTTCCATTAGACAGTTCTAGAAAGTCCTCAACTCTTCCGTTAGACAGTTCTAGAAAGTCCTCCACTCTTCCGTTAGACAGTTCTAGAAAGTCCTCCACTCTTCCGTTAGACAGTTCTAGAAAGTCCTCCACTCTTCCGTTAGACAGTTCTAGAAAGTCCTCCACTCTTCCGTTAGACAGTTCTAGAAAGTCTTCAACTCTTCCGTTAGTTCTGGAAAGTCCTCTACTCTTCCGTTAGTTCTAGAAAGTCCTCAATTCTTCCATAGACAGTTCTAGAAAGTCCTCAACTCTTCTGTTAGACAGTTCTAGAAAGTCCTCCACTCTTCCGTTAGTTCTAGAAAGTCCTCAACTCTTCCGTTAGACAGTTCTAGAAAGTCTCTTCGTCTGCATTCACCATTCAGTTGCATCCATTTGGTGAGACAATGTGTGGTTTAGTTCGCGCGCAGGCTTATTTTTCGTATTATCAAGCTCTTTAGGGGAGAATGCTGCACGGATGCACTTATCTGAAGCTTGATCCTGAAAAGACTGTAGAAGTGATTTATCTCTTGCTTTCCCAGACTGAAAGTCATTTCAGACCCCCCACTCCTCTGTAAGAACCAGCTCAACCTCCTCATTCACGTCCACCTAACCATTTATAAGCAAAGAAATTTGAATAGTGTTGGAGGAGAAAAGCTAGAGGAAAGTCAGACATTTTTCCTCTAGCTTTTCAGCTCTAACACTGTTCAAAGATGGTGGTTGTTGACTACAATGTTAATTCAGAGGGCAGCAGATCATGGTGGTTGGCTCCCAACTACTCAAATCTTTAAAGTATCTTTTCCCTCAAGAGAAGTCAGAAACTTTGTTTGCACTTCATATAGTTTGGCTGTGTCCCCACCCAAATCTCATCTTGAATTGTAGCACCCATAATTCCATGTGTGATGGGAGGGACCCAATGGGAGGTAATTGAATCATGGGGGCGGTTTCCCCCTACTGTTCTCGTGGTAGTGAATAAGTCTCATTGAGATCTTATGATTTTATAAGGGGATTCCCCTTTCACTTGGTTCTTATTCTCTCTTGCCTGCCACCATGTAAGACCTGCCTTTTGCCTTCCACCATGATTTTGAGGTCTTCTCAGCCATGTGGAATTGTGAGTCTATCAAACCCCCTTTTCTTTATAAATTACCCAGTCTCGAGTGTGTCTTTATCAGCAGCATGAAAATGGACTAATACAGCACTGAAGCCTCTGCATGCTAATTTCATAAACTCCGCACAGCTTGCATGATGGCCAACAGCTTTCTCTGCTGGTGTAGTTTGCCTCACCATTTTGGACATTGTATCAGAGAAACATTTTACTCATTCTTTTTGTTTCAGAACTAAATTAAAAACTAAGCTTCAAAATGAGCTGATGGATTTCTGGAGCCAATCACAGGCTTTGTCATAATCCATACATTTGGCTTGTAGGGGGTCAGTTTCCTGTAGAAATTCAAATTTGTCTTAAACACACCTTCGTGGATAAGTCTTGTGTACTCACACAATAATTCTCTCTCTCCTCTCTCTGGTTTATACAAAAAAAATTCCTTATAACACAATACCTCCTCCTCTTGTCCACATAGGCTATCAGCTTATACTGTCTTAGAAACACACTGATTTCTTCGAAAGAAACAAAGGATAAGAACGTACTCATTGCTACCCATGAAGAGAGGAGCAAGTTTAAAACACTTGTGAAAATTAGGTGTGTTCTCTATAAGTTTTCTATTATGTTCAGGGGTACACATGCAAGTTTGTTATGTAGGTAAACTGGGATCATGGGAGTTTGTTGTACAGATTATTTCTTCATCCAGGTATTAAGCCTAGTACCCATTAGTTATTTTTTTCTAATCCTCTCCCTCCTCCCATCTTCTTCCCTCCAATAGTTAGGACATGCTCTGTCCTTCAGGGTGTGTCGAGAGGCTGTGCTAATTAGAAGATAATTCATATGATGGATGTTAGTAAGTTAATAACATGATGGGTGTTTATGTTAATAAATTGAGTTACATATATAACTCAATATCCTCAGAGGCTCATGTGATTATCTATTATCTATCTATCTATCTATCTATCTATCTATCTATCTATCTTCTATCTATCATCTATCTTTCTATCTATCTTGAGATAATAGTGTCCAGCTCCATCCATGTTGCTGCAAAGGACATGATCTCTTTCTTTTTATGGCTGCGTAGTATTCCATGGTATATATGTACTACATTTTCTTCATTCAGTCCACCACTGGTGGGAATTTAGGTTGATTTCATGTCTTTCCTAGTGTGAATGGTGCTGCAATGAAATACAATTGCATGTGTCTTTATGATAAGATGATTGATATTCTTTTGGGTGTATGTCCGGTAATGGGGTTGCTGGGTTGAATGGTAGTTCACTTTTTAGTTCTTTGAAGAATTGTCACACTGTTTTCCACAATGATTTCTTATCTCACATGCCTTCTTTCAAAATCTCTCTTATGCCCTTGTTTCTGCATTGTCGCCCACCTCCTATGCGAAGTTGTTTCCAAAGCTCAATTAGAGCAATGGTATCCCAACTGGTTTCCATTCTTTCAGCCTCTCCCACTGGATTCTAGGTCTCTCCTTTTTCCAGCCTCTCCCACTGGGCCCCCACTGGGCTCTATGCACTAGAGCAATCCTCCATTCCTCCACGCCTTCACCACTCTCTCATTGCTTACAAGCGAAAGCACTTGGCCATCTGTTCATGGCCTTTTAGCCTTCGTTTCGACAGATCACACATCCATCACGACGTACCATGTCTTGCACCTGCTCTGGAGTCCATATTTTTCCTCAAGCAAGATCTTCATGAATAACAGTTGCCTTGTGTTTCTGGTATACCCTCTGCCTGGGATAGTTTTCTCTTCCCTCCACCAATGCAGATGCTGCCCTCATTCCAGCTTCTACTCAAGTTCAACCTCGCTTCTGCATTTTGTCTTTAACTTTCGTCCTTGGATTTCATGTTCTTTCTCTTGGTCCTTACCTTTTCCCGAAGAGTCCTTCACTGCCCCTTCCCAGCATCTCCACTGAGAGGGTCATTTTCAGGACTGTTCCTAGATCAATCTGAACTTGAGCTAGGGACCTCTTCAGCTAGCCATGGAGAAAGCCCTTCTTGTACCAGTACTTTTGTGGAGAGGGTAGAATGATGTCCTTGCTCTCATAAGTCTACCTGAGAAGGGGGTGACTTGGTACGTATCAATGGATGCTAAGTTGAGCTCTGCCTTTTGGGGTCTACTTGTCTTCTTAAGTGAGGAATTGTTGTGTCTGAATTACTAAACTCACGCTCCTCTCTGTTCCCAAGAAGAAAGAAACTTCTTCTTTCTCCAGCTCTGGCCTGGAGCTTGTAGTTCTGTTAACTGGACCGTATCTTGATGCCCATGTGTCCCCAAGGACAAGGAAGTTTCTGACACATTATATATGCATGTTGAATAGAAGGAAGGATGGATAGACAGACGGATGAGTGGATAGATGGATACATGGATGGATAGCTGGATAAATGGATGGTGGATATGTGCGTGAGTGGATGGATAAGTGGATGCATGGACAGATGGATGGGTTGCTGGCTGGCTGTCTGGATAGATGGGTGGATGGGTGGGTGGGTGGGTGGATAGATGAGTGGATGGTAGGTGGATGAATAAAGGGATGGATAGTTGGATGAATGGATCGATGGATATGTGCATGAGTGGATGGATAAGTGGATGGACGGATAGGTAAATGGATGGGTGGCTGGCTGTCCGGATAGATGGGTGGATGGGTGGGTGGGTGGATAGATGGGTAGATGGTTGGTGGATGAATAAAGGGATGGATAGTTGGATGAATGGATGGATGGATATGTCCATGAGTGAATGAATGGGTGAATGGCAGGTGGATGGATGGATGGATGGCTTATCCAGATGCCTGAAGTCTTCCTGCCTGGATTTCTGAAGTTTTCCACCCTAACTTTCCCTCACCAGGCCCCATCTACCTTGACAAACACCTTACCATGTCACCTTGGCAGACTAATGGCATTTATCTGCCTGAAAAATTATTTGAGCTTGTGGAGTCTCAGGCTGGCCTTGTTGAGTCACAGCTTCCAGATGGGCTGTCCTCCCAAATTCACTGAGGCTTGGATTCAAACTCTCACATTGCTAAGAAGACACTGCCAATCCTCACTGATGGCACTAGGACCCAACCGTCCATCATAGAAACTCAGAAAGGCTTGATAAACTTGCCACCTTTGATTTTCTGTTGCTTATCCATGGGACCCAGGTGTGACATCTGCTGTGGCCATGAGCAGATTTGTATCTTTAGTCCACTCAGACATAGCTGTGTCTGATCCAAATAAATGCCATTGTTTTACATTTTCTCATAGAGCCCTTCTTCCTACTGTATCTTCACAGCTTTGTTGGTTTCCCTCTCCTACACACATCTAACTTCAATCTCCCAGATGCATACCGCACATCTAATTCAAAATCAGTTTATTTCAAAATCAACTTATTGGCCAAGTGATGGCCATAGCCACAGATGGCTCCACTCCCCCTTATTTTCCCAGAAAGGTGAAGTAACAAAAATTAGCATTTCTATGCCTACACTTGTTCTGGACAACAAGTTCTTCCAGTGGGGGCGGGGGGGGGGGCGGGGGGAGAAAATGATACTTTTTGAACGGAAGTGAAGACAGAAAGAGAAAATCTCCAATTCTGTTTTCGTTAATTTATTCCCAAGAAACCAGAGTGACAGCACAACAAATGAGTGTACAGGCACTGAAGCAGCATTTAAAATTATTTAGGACTCTTGAACCAGACCAAATTGTTATAAGGCCACTTAGGTGGTGTCTCTCAAAGAGGCCCAGTCATCACTCTAAGTTGTTTCTAGGCCACAGAAGATGCTTCATAGTACAAAAGAGAACATCAGTCAAACCACTGCCATTCTGGGATAAAAAAGTAAGGGAGAAAGTCCTTCCAGGGCATATTGTTCTCAGATGCCCCAGCGGCAGCACTGCTGACTCGTCATGTGGGATTCAGAGTCTTATAGCTGATTATCAACATTGTAGTAATGATGATGATAATGACGATGTGATAATGACAATGGCATGGTATGATGATGGTGGTGATGATGATGGTGATGATAATGATGATGACAATGATCATGATGATGGTGATGATGATGGTGATGATAGCGAGATGATGATGATGATAATGGTAGAGATAATGGAGATGACGATGGCAATGATGATGATGGGAGAGGTAATGAAGATGGTGATGATGATGATAATGATGATGATGGTGAGGATGGTGATGGTGATGATGATAATGATTACGATGGTGAGTATGGTGATGGTGATGATGATGATGGGAGAGGTAATGAAGATGATGATGGTGAGGATGGTGATGATGATGATGGGGGAGGTAATGAAGATGGTGATGATGATGATAATGATGATGGTGAGGATGGTGATGATGAGGGGAGAGGTAATGAAGATGGTGATGATGATGATAATGACGATGATGGTGATATGATGATGGTGAGGATGGTGATGGTGATGATGATGATAATGACGATGATGGTGATAATGATGATGATGGTGAGGATGGTGATGGTGATGATTATGATAATGATGATGATGGTGAGGATGGTGACGATGATGATTATGATGATGATGATGATGGTGAGGATGGTGATGATGATGATGGGGGGAGGTAATGAAGATGGTGATCATGATGATGATGGGGGAGGTAATGAAGATGGTGATCATGATGATGATGATGGGAGAGGTTATGAAGATGGTGATCGTGATGATGATGATGGGAGAGGTTATGAAGATGGTGATCGTGATGATGATGATGGGA